>NC_000020.11:24463756-25091959 GCF_000001405.40 Homo sapiens | reverse complement strand
ACCCTCCACTCAGGGTGATGGACTGGAGGTACTGGGTCCACACAGATGGCTGCTGCAGCCAACCCTGCCAGAGTCCCCAAGGTGCCCTAGCCATGCTGCCGCTTCTGCTAGCCTTCATCAGTGAAAACTCAGCACAAACAAAGCAGTTTCAGGGTGGCAGCTCAGTGACATTCATTTCCACACTTTTGTTGAAACCGGTGAGTGAAACAGGTTTGTAAATTTCTCAGCCTCTTCTTCTAGTATTTTGTAAAATATTCAGCTTCTTCCTGCAGGAGGGCAGTCCCAGGGCTGGGCTGTGAGAGTCTGATGTTGGGGCGCCTTTCTTTCCTCTTGAGCACTCAGGTTACAGTGGATGACATGCTCCCAGCCAACCTTCCTTGGACCAGGCCTTGAGCATGGGGACAGGACTGGGGAGAGGACTCCAGATCTAATGTGGAGTGAATGGGGAAGAGCTAAGTTTCTCCCAGGAGACCCCGTCAGGCAACAGGCATATGGTTCAGACTCCTCCATCTTATGGCCTGTTCCCCCGCTGCAGACCTTCACTAAGCACTGGCTCTGCACCAGGAGTGTGCGGGGCCCTGGCATGCAGGGGCCCCAGGCCAGCCCCAGCCCTGCTCTGGAGCTTATGGTCAGTCTAGGCTTGGGTTCTGCACAGCAGACTCTGAGACAGGGATTTGAGTGAAGTAAGTAATGTGGGAGGAACCCAGGAAGTTCTAGTAGGGGAGGGGCAGGGACACAGAGAAGCTGTGACAGCAAGTGGCATTTCCCAAGGCTCAATCACACCAGGACCTCGGGTGACTATGCAAGGTGATTTCTCTTCGGGATTTTCCTACCACAGGATCATTGCACCCCTTGGCCAGGTATCATCCATCAACCCCTGTCATCTGTCAAGAGTGGCTGCTGGAGGCATCACCCTCTGCCCCCCAGGACTTCAGTCCTAGCTGGTGCACTCCTGGCTTTGGGGCATCCTCCGCTCGAGTGGCAGGTGCTGCAGGCAGGAAGCTGTGGTGTGTGTGTGAACTGTCTACAGAGGCTGCAGGCGACCCGGAGGGCAGCCTGCCAGCACTGTCAGCTACAGCATCCGGCAAGGCAGATGGGTAAAGCAGTAAACCAGCAGGTGAGTGAACGGTTGCAATTGTGGCGGATGCCTTGGAGGGAGCTGACTGGGAGTTGAGCACAGAGGGAGGAGCAAAGACCTCCTTCAAATAGGGTCATGGCCGGTGCCTGCCTCCTTGGAGTAAGTAGGTCCCCAGCAAGCAGAGGCAGGAACCCGCAGTCACGCCACCCTGGCAGAGTTGTTCTGACCTTTGCCTAGAGCCTCGGTGCTACCTGTGAGCTGGGATAGTGATCACATTCACTTCTAATATGAGCTGGTTAAAAGCACATTATCATTGGCCAGGTTTCTCAATTGCCAAGAGATGACCTAGTGCTTGTTTAATACCAGAAATGAAGCTCAGCAGCAGCTCTTGGGCTGTCCTTCAGCGGCCCCTCACATGCCCAGGTGTGACCTTCTGGTTAGGGTGGCCTATGTCACCTCCCTCTCACCTTCTTGATGTCCACACAGTGCACCTGCTTTTGTCTGCCATGGGGGAGAGGAGGAGAGGCAGATCCTTCTGTGCCCTCTGCTCATGACCTTTTCTGCAGTGGGGTCCGAGGGTGGGCTTAGCTCAGGGACTGGATGGTGTGTCCTCTCCTAAGCTTAACTTGGCTCTGGGTTCCTTTGTCTTACAGATGGAACTTAACCAGAAGAAGCTAAGGAAGAGAAGAGAGGAGAGGAGAGAGACAGTGAAGAGGCTGGAAAAGGAGGAAGAGAAGTATGTTCTTTGGAATCAAAGTGTTACCTGGATTCCTACCCAGGATTTTCCTATTGTCTCAGGACCTAAAGGGAAAAGACCGGCCATGGGGCATGTGAGCCTCTGGGAAATCTGCCTCAAGCCCATAATGCCATCCGTCTACAGCAGTTGGAACAGTGTAAGAGTCAGACCTCGCCAGATCCCAAGCGCTGCAACATGAAGAACAAAACCAAGGTTAAGCCACAGACCAGGCCCCGTGGAGATTTCGCTGCTTCTAGCCTGACCGTCAGGATTTGGGTCCTGACCGCTCCCCTGGCTGTTGGGCTGGTCCCAGCTCTGGGCCTCCGTTTTCTCACCCACAGAATGGGGACGATACAGGACCTCCCTCATCAGAGCTGTCACAAGTGGTAAGTGAATGGGTTCGTGAGAAGCTCTGCAGTGCCTGGCGCAGACCAAGGGCCCCACCGATGGTGGCTGTGAGTTTTCCCACTAATGTATTTTTTGATATGTAACATTTTAAAATAAAATTTTCTCTTTTCTTTTTTCCTTCTCCTTTTAGAACCTCAATTTCCTGATTCCCTAAGCTCATGTCTGGTGCTGACTATTATCTTAGTGCTGAACTCAAGCTTTCCTCATAGCTCCTCAGAGCATTTGAGAATAACTGGGTGTTTCTGCACCCACAACATATTTGTAAAACCAGTCAGGATATATGGTTCATGAAGCATTAATAGAAGATGTGGTTCTCAAACTTGAGTGGGGCTCAGGGTCCTCTGGGGGGCTTGTGAACACACAGATCATGGGTCTCCCCAAGGTCTCTGATGTTGGAGGTCTGGATGGGGTCCAAGAGTTTGTTTTTCTGGCCAATGCCCAGGTGGCCAGAACCACTTTTGGGAACCACACTTTGAGAACCACTGGCACATAGTAAGGAGGCCTCTTCCAGAGGCCACCAGGGAAGTCACTGTCCTGGAAGGTAAAGAACATTTGTCCAGGGGATGTGTTAATGAAAAGACTCAGTTCTGGGCTCCTGGAGCCAGGTAGGAGATGAGAACAGACACAAAAGAACTTAAGAATAAGAAAATAAGACCAAAGGAGCATCAAGTGCTTCAAGAGTGCAGCAGTGATTTTGTTCCAGCTGGGGCAGGAAAACCTGGGGAGGCTCTGCGGTGAGGAACCATTTGGGCTGGGCGTTGATGGGTGGCTGAGCACTGCTTGGCGCCTGGCCCTGCAAGTGCGATGTGGTGGGTCCTGTGTCCCACCTTGAATCTGTGTCCTGTCCTTGAATCTGGTGGCTTGTGGCTGCTTAAACCAGTCAGCAGGGCCAGTGCACACTAATGCCTTGGGTACAATGCCCAGGGCCTATGCTTCTAATGCCATTGAATATATTTTAAAATCAGAAGGAAAAATGAGTACAATAATAAAGAATATACAATAATGAATCTAGACTGGATTATATTCACCTTTATGCCAACATAGGCACAAAATACAACTTTAAATATTTTTATGGAAGAAGGGGCCCATGAAAGCAGAAGTGCCACTCCCCCAAAACTCATGCTATGGCCTCGCTGACTGAACGTGATGGAAGTAATGCTCTGACTTCTGTGGAAGGGCCAGCAAAGGCTGTGCAGCATCTGCCTGGTTCTTGTGGGATGCTCCCAACTCCCCGAGAGCCCACAAGGCCAATCAGCCTGGGCCATGTGAGCGGGCTGCCTTGAGCACCCAGCACAGCCCCGTTGAGCCCTCAGATGACTGCCACCCCAGACAGCAACCACAGGAGGGCTCTAAGTGATAATGGCCTGCTGAGCTCTCCCCAGATTTTTGAGCCACAAAACTGTGACCAAAATGAAATGGTTTGTAAGTAGCTGAGTTTTGGGATAATGTGTTACCTTAAAATAGTAACCGGAACATCCAGCCAAGAAAGGGAACTCGGGGGCTGGTGCTCTCATGGGGCTGATGAGAGGATGGACAACCCTGATCTCCGCACCCTGGGTCAGTTTTATAGGATATACCACATTGCTGACTCTCAAGAGCCTGCTTGTTCACTGATGAGCTGGGCATGTGATACCATCACTTCTTCAGTCACTAGCAGGAAGGAGTTAGGAGTTAGCATTGCCCATGTGGCAAGGGGAAGCCATTGAGGAAACTGCAGTAGGGAGCAATAGGCTGTGCTCAGGCAAGGATCACTGTGGCTGTGGAATAAAGATGGCAGTGGTGGGGTATGGGGAGGGGCATGAAGGAGGTAGAAGGAGATTCCAGAGGGCAGAGCCCTGGCCATACACCCTAGACAGGGTTATTGGATGCAAACCACAGAAATGTCACCCAGCCAATTTACACAGAAAATAGCCTTACTGAATGGCATTGTTTCTCCCCCATACACCCCCTCCCCAGACTGATGGACAGCTGGAGAGGAAGGGCAGGGATGTGCAGCCCAGGCACCTGGGAACAAGGCCAAGTCACCACAGGGCACAGCAGTGAGTGTGCCATAGCATGCAGGGTAGCCACGGGACACCCACCATTGCTGCTGCAGAAAACCCTCCCTCTCCTTTTGTCCCTGGGTCAAGGTCACAGAACTGCCAAGGAGTGGGACAAGGAGGACTTTACCTGCTGTTTTTTTTCTTTCTTTCTTTCTTTTTTTTTTTAGAAGCCACCTCTTTAGGGTACTCTGAAACTCATTTGTATACTGAGTAGCCCTAGACTAAAAAATAAATTCCACTCCAGCAAGTGAGCAATTGGTCTGAGCCATGTTGTGGCAATGGGTGGTGTCATGGTCTGTTCTGTGCTGCGGTAACAGAATACCACAGACTGCGTAATTCATAAACAATACAGGTTTATTTGGCTCATGGTTTGGAGACTGGGAAGAAGTTCAAGGTCAAGGGACCACATCAGGTGAGGGCCTTCTTGCTGCCACATCACATGGTGGAAGGTGTCACATGGTGAGAGAGGAAGAGCAGAAGAGGGGGCGGGAAGGGGCCAAACTCATGTGCCCACTCCCATGGTCACTAACCCACTCTCACGATAACTAACCCATTCCCACAATAACTAACCCACTCCTGCAACAATGGTATTGATCCACTCCTCAGGGCAGAGCCCTCCTGACCTAATCACTCCCTAAAGCCTCCACCTCTCAACACTGTTGCATTGGCGATTAAGGCACAACACACGAACTTCAGGGCACACAGTCAAATCAGAGCAGGCAAAGGAAAGAAGATGCCACTTTGAGAGGGTTTGAAGAGAGATGCAGGGCAGCAAGACACCCACAGTCAGAGTTAGGCCGTGAGCTGACACTGCTTGTATTCAAATCCTGTCTTTGCCACTGGATAGTGAGTGACCTTGGGCAATTTATGCAATTATTTAATCACTTGAAATTTTCACTTCCTCATCTGAAGCATGTGGACAATAATATTATCTACCCATAGAGCTGTGGTCAGGATGAAATGTGGCCATTGTGATAAGGTGTTTATAATAATAGCTGCCCCCCAGTAAGAAGCCAAGAGAGGTTGGCCATCTTCATCACTTTCAGTCGTGGGAGGAGAGCCTGTGGGGAGAGTGAGGGCCTGAGGATGACACTCGATTCTGTGTGGGCCCCGGGGTGGAGGAAGAGGAGACCTGGGGAGGTGCAGGCTGCAGGGGAGGCTGCTGTGTTCAGCTCTGGGTGTGTTGCATTTCAGTGCCCCGGGAGACTGGTTCAGACATGCAGGAGTACATTGAGACAACAGCCTGGGCTTCAAGAGTGGGGTCCAGATTGGAGAAGATTCCAGAGATCTGGGCAGGGAGATGGTGATTGCCCCGTGGGGTTCCACCTGAGAAGAAAGAAGGGCTCTGTAGACTTTGAGCTGAGCATTCCAGGAACACCCAGGTAAAAGCGAGATGGAGACAGGAAGTGTCTGAGCTCAGGTGGCTAGAAGCAGAGCCAGGGACAGGGTCTGGGCGCCTGAGAGATATTGAGACAAGGTCTCAGGAATGAGGGGCCAAGATGGGGTGGGAACAAGCTGAGCAAGGAGCTGACTTGGTCTGATCCATGAAGGGAGAGGGTCTTGTAGCAGAAACGCCTCTGCAGAGCTGTCCTTTGAAACGAGAGGAGAGGCCTCCTATCATCCCTCTGTCAGTTGATGACACAGTGTGTGTGTTTGTCAGGGGGTGGGGGGCTCTGGATTAAGGGGCTTTTGTCAGCCAAGGGCAATTCTTCCTATTCGAGGGCCCCACACTCACAACAGCTGGAAGAAGGTGCGACAGTTCTGGAAAGGGGGTCTGGGTAGGCACAACAGCATTTAGATACGAGGCAATATGGAATGCAATCATCAGCAAGTAACTAAAGCTCCTCCTGCTTGGATCTCTGGGAGGCGGAGTAGAAGGCACCTCTAAGAGTCACTCTGTGCAGGGGTGTGTTTGTGTGTGTGTAGCGGGGGGTGCTTACATTGCAATTCCCGTCAGTGTTTGGTGTCGCATTTCTCCACGTGTTAATTATTGGCACCTTTAGCTAGTGGGCAGAGTGAGCTCTGAAGGTCGAGAAAAGTCCCCAGGTAAAGATGTGGCGGGCACTGGAGGCTGGGCAGGCGTGCAGTTGGAGGGGTCAGGCTGGAGGTGGGTGGGGCCAAACAGCCTCTGCCACAACTTTTTTTTTTTTTTTTTTTTTTGGAGACGGAGTTTCACTCTTGTTGCCCAGGCTGGAGTGCAATGGCTCTATCTCAGCTCACCGCAACCTCCGCCTTCTAGGTTCAAACGATTCTTCTGTCTCAGCCTCCCTAGTAGCTGGGGTTACAGGCATGCATCACCATGCCCGGCTAATTTTGTATTTTTAGTAGAGACAGGGTTTCTCCATTTTGGTCAGGCTGGTCTTGAACTCCTGACCTTGTGATCCGCCCGCCTCGCCCTCCCAAAGTGCTGAGATTACAGGCGTGAGCCACTGTGCCCGGACTTTTAACTGAAGACACAAAAGCATCCGAGATGGAGCAGCCAGAGGTGGGAGGAAAATCAGAAGAACGGAGCCGTGGGGGGTCATTTCTGCAGACTCACAGGGCGATCCGTTTCACCTTCTCGGGGCATCCCACCCCATTGTGTCTGAGCACTTTATCGCGCCAGCCTGGCCAGCCGCGGCTCTGAGAAGCCCAAGAGGGGTGCCTGCTGAGCCACTCACAGCAGGTCCAACCTCAGCCTGGCGCTGCCAAGGCACATTCGCGGTCGGCGACAGAGGGGCTGGAAATCTTCCTTAGAAAATAATGAGCTGAGGAACCTTTATTCATTAGTTAAATCCCGGGTAATCCTGGCTGATGAAGACAGATTCGGAACCCTCAACGGATTTAGGGACCCAAAACGACTCCTGGGGGCCGCCCGGGGCGGGAACGTTCGCGGGAGCTGCGCCTCTGGCAATAGATTTGCAGGTGGTATCCGGTAGGGGGAAGCTGGAAGGAGCCCATTCTTTTGGCCGCCAGGACGCGGAGGCTTCCCCTAAACGCGGCCCGTAGGTTTGGCAACTGCGAGGGCACCCCGGGGACACGAGGATTGTGGGTGGATCGTGGGCTAGCTTTTTATCTCTTGCAGACGTCTCCTAAACGGCAAGAAGCGCTTCCCTGGTCTTGGCTGACGCTGAGTGAAGCGCCCGTATAACTTGACGCTGGGCTCTGGGTGGATCCCCACCACATAGGGCGCGCAAGTGGATACCAGAGCCCCGGCAACAGCGGGGACACAGATGAGCGCAGCGTCGGGTGGGGGGCGTTTCTCACTGTAGGAGGCTATGAAAATGTCCTCCCGCGCTGGGCTCCTGCCACCGCCACGCTGCGAAACACAAGGTGACCCAGGACACAACTCGCCCACCGCTGGGGTCCTGCAGGCCCCTCCCTGGCATTGGGGTCCCGGGATGCATTAGGAACGCCCCAGTCCAGGAATTGCAAGACCCCTTAGAAGTTCGTTCCTTCTGCATCTCTGAGTCCCCTTAGAGCTCCAATACGGGCTCCTTGATTGAGTCTCCTGCTCTGTGTCGCCCTCGCCACGTCTCTGTGTCCGATGTGACTGGGTTAATAAGTCCCAGTTGCTCTCACCTGCAAAATGAGTTTAAGACGATCCTTCCCGAGGCGCCGCGGTCACTATAGAGAGTGTCTGAGGCTGGGCTCCTACCGCCTGGCCTTTTGGTGTCTTTGGATCACTGGCTATCTACTCGGGGTCTGTCACTCCCGTGATCGCCTACCTTCCAGGGAGACCTAGGGGAGGGAGACCCCAAGACCTGTCCCAGGTGAGGCCACTTGGTCGGCACCCGGGGCTGCAGGCACGGCGCCCGCGTCCGCCCTCGCCCCTTAGGCTTTCCATTCGCGGGCGACCCCGGTCGGGCCACCTTAGAATCGACTACCCTGCCTGCCTGACTGGTCTCGGGCTACAAACTGTGTGGAAGCGTAGGTATCTCACTTAACTGCTACCCCAAATTCGGATTTACAAACGACTACGCAGTCCCGAATGCCCAACGCCTTCCCTAAACCCAGAGATAAATCTGGGGGAAAATTCCTCGCGGAGCGGAAAACAACGCCAGCGTCTAAAGCGTTCTGCCCCGAGCTGGAGTGGTTCAAAAGACAATGATCTCAAAAGAAAGTGATTGTTTTGGTAATCCCGGGAACAGCTTGCAAGGGGGAGATTTGGGTCTTCCTTTAGTAACGGAAAGTCAATGCGCAGCCTCCTGTAATTATCCTTATCGGAAGCCCCTTGTTTAATCTGCATGTTTAGCGGAGGCCCCACTCGAACGCGCAGCGAGTGGGAGACCCACTTTGCAGGGCCCAGGCTCGGGCTCCGGTCCCTGCGTGCGCGCAGGCAGCCGCGCCGGGTTCCCGCGGAGCTCAGGCGTTTGCTCCTCCCTCGCTGCGGGACCTCGGACTGTAGGACCCTCAGGGAGTGGGACTGAGGAGATCTGCTTCCGGGGTTCTGGGATTGGGAAGCGGGGGACGCAGGGCTCCGAGCGATGAGGGCTGGTTGGGTTCAAAGCGCGAACCAGTAGTTACTTACCCACGTGCTTGGGGCCAACTTTAGCGAATATCAGAGTTTCACTGATTATTCAAAGAATCAGGCTTTCTTTGAATAATCGTGAAATTGGACAATAAATTGTAAGCCCCGATGAAAAGGTGTGCTTTCCAGTAGACAGACTCTATTTTATTTCAATTTACCTCCCTCCACTCCTCCCCAATTTAGGGTTGCTGGATAAAATACTGATACATACTCCTACAAAAAAAAAAAGCCCTCCTTTTTTATCTGAAATCACATTTCACTGAGCCGACAGTGTTTTGTTGGTTAAACCTGGTACCCTGCCCGTCTCAGCCCCGGGCAGTCCACTCCTCTCTCTGCTTCTCTCCCTTTCCCCAGCTCTTGTGAGTCTGCCACCCCCTACAGTTCAGCCCGTGGAGTGTTGGGGATGGACCTGGGGGTGGATTTGGATGGAGGTAGAATGACCATGGATTAAAGGGATGGAGGTAGGATGACCATGGATTAAATACACGGTTTTCATTCCTTTCCCCTTGGGGATTTTCAGAGAAGGCCTTCTTACAGGAAGGCCTTCGTGGCACCGGCGGCGGAGGTGGAGGGCTGGCTGGGGACATATATGGGGTAGCCATCGGGGTGTGGTTGGGAATGGGGTCCTAGGTCTTAATAGGCAGTTGGGTCGCATCAAAGAAGCTTCAGGGCAGCTGGGAGTGGGGCCTCCACCCAGAGAGTCTGGAAGGAAGGAGAAGGCCACGCCAGGATGTAGAACTTGCGACTTTTCGAGGGACAGGCAGACAGCGGAGTCACTGTCCCTTACCTTCTTTCCTCCCCTCCCTCCTAGAATGGGGGTGGGGTGGGGTGGGGTGGGCTGGACAGAAGAGAGGAGGAGAAGGAGGTGACTGAGGGGACTGCAGCTGGGTGGGCGGTAACCGAGGGGAGGGGAACTGGTGGCGTCCCCATCTCGCGGGGTCCGGAACGGCGACGCGCCCGCGCCCAGCTGATTGGAGCCCTTCAGGCCTCCCGCGCCCGACCGGCAGCCCAATCCTATAAAGCTTCCTCTAAGCTGGGCCCTCCGCAAACGGGATCCAGAGAGGCTCGCGCCTTGCTTGCTAAGGAACCATGACCGGCCGGGACTCGCTTTCCGACGGGCGCACTAGCAGCAGGGCGCTGGTGCCTGGCGGTTCCCCTAGGGGCTCGCGCCCCCGGGGCTTCGCCATCACGGACCTGCTGGGCTTGGAGGCCGAGCTGCCGGCGCCCGCTGGCCCAGGACAGGGATCTGGCTGCGAGGGTCCGGCAGTCGCGCCGTGCCCGGGCCCGGGGCTTGACGGCTCCAGCCTGGCGCGTGGGGCCCTACCGCTGGGACTCGGCCTCCTCTGTGGCTTCGGCACGCAGCCGCCGGCGGCCGCTCGAGCACCCTGCCTGCTCCTAGCGGACGTGCCGTTCCTGCCGCCCAGGGGCCCCGAGCCCGCTGCCCCGCTGGCTCCCAGCCGTCCGCCGCCTGCGCTCGGCCGCCAGAAGCGCAGCGACAGCGTCTCCACGTCCGGTAATCAGGCCCGCGCTTTCCGCTCCTGCCCCTGTCCCCTAGGCTCTGAGCCGCGCAGGGGTCACAGACCATCGCCCCACCGCACCCCTGGCCCCAGCGGCCCAGATCTAGGCGGGGAGCCCAGAGCGAGGCCCCGTCGCGGGAGGGGCATTCGCGGAGCTGCGCCGCCTGCCCCTTGCTGCATCCTAAATCCCTGCCTCTCATCCGGGGTCCTGTTCCCTCAGCGATGTGAGACCGCCACCACCTGGTTCCGGGTGGAACCTTTTGATGAGACCCTGGGGTCTTCAACAACCATCTCCAGAGGGCCATTTTTCCCCCCAGCGCCAGGCGCCAGTCTCCGCCTCTGGCAGCTGCGTGGGTCGGGAAGGCCCGGGCCTGTGGTGGTCACCAGCAGCACCGAACAAGGTACCAGGTGGAAACGCGGGCGGAAATGATCGAATGATTGACGGGTCCTGGAAGAGTACGGGGCCTCGAGCCCTGGAACTGTCCGCCCCTTGGGGTGCTGAAAAGGGAGTCCCGGGTACCGCGCTCCTCTGCCGGCGCAGCGTCCTCCCAGTCCCCTGTGCAGGAGAAAGAAGCAACCTTGGGGATTCATTGTAGTTACGCCTAGAGATGTGTTCCTGGCCTACCCATTTCCCCAAAGAAATCCAGACGGGTCGCGGGGAAAGAGAAGGAAGCAATGAAATTCTATAAAGGACAAGGGCTAAGGAAACGAGTGGTTTTGGGTGTGGGAGAGAAAAGAAAGAATTACACAAGAAAGGATGGTATGTGGTAGAATCTAGAGCTGAGCATCCAGGCAGCCAAGGCAAAAAGAGTAGACTGGGTCTTCTGATACTAAAAGGAAGCATGTCAGATCAATAGGCAGGCAGGTTTTTGCTCCACTCTAAAAGGACTTTATTTCATGAGCTCTACGTAAGATAAAATGAAACTCCCTATTAGTGTCACTAAAAATGCAAAACTGTTTTCATGGGATGGGTTCTTTCTTACAAAACCAAAGGCAGCTAAATCCAACTCTGCCAGCATTTCTGAAAGTCTGGAGCAGAGCTGTCCAAGAAAAATGAAATGTGATTTCATGTTTGACGGAAATTTCTCACAGTCACATTAAAAGTGAAATGAATCTAAATACTATATTTTAACCCAACAATGATAGCAAATATTATCATTTTACACATAATCAATACAAAAATATTTTACTTTTTAGGAGCACTAAGTCTTCTAACTCCATTAAGTGATTTATGTTTACAGCATGTCTTGATCTTACTGGCCACATTTCATGTGCTTAATAACCTTATGTGTCTCATGTCTCATCAGGTTGGACAGCCCAATACAGAATGTTTTAATCCAAGCCAGGTTTCTGGTGAACTAATTGATGGATGAGTAAAACTAGTATTATTTAGTTATTTTTGCCTTTATTCATTTTAAAGATATTTTGAGGCAATTATGCCTTCTAGCAATGAATCTCACAATAGTTTGGCCTTCTAACCTTCTTTTCCATCTAGACTTTTTGATGTATTGGATATAAAAAGGTAAAGCACAGTGGAGTGGTTCTCAAATTTTCAAGGGCAACTACACATCATCTGAGCACACTTGTCAAGAATGAGCCTCCTAGATCCCACCTCCAGAGATTCTGATTTGGTGCATCAGGGAAGGGTTGCAGTTCTGACGAGGGTTCTGATGTCACAAGCCCCAGACTTCCTTTGGGAAATGTTGGTGTAGAGGTTAAGATGATGAGGCTGGGGGCATAGGGGTGGATGTGTTTGGAAGCAGTGTGGGGATAGAAAGTGCAATCAGTGGCTGAGTAGTTTTGGCTTCAGATAATCTGGGATTTGAATTCTCAACTTCACCATTTACTACCTGTGTGATTTTGGGCAAATTACTTAACCATTCGGTGCCTCAGTTTCCTCATCTGTAAAAATAGGATGATAATAATAGCAGCAGCCATTTTGGTGTTTTATTATTATATTAAGAATACTTGAGATAATGTATGGACAGTGTTAAGCACAGAGCCTGGGATCTAGTAGGCACTAAAAATGCTGGCTCATACTGTAAACTACTTAAGTACCCAAGAGGTTCATAACTTCAATCCTCACATTAAAATCCAGGAAATAGAGGGGATATGATCACCCTTAAAGTCCTCTTCTTCTTTCTGTGCCATCAGATGAGGACAGCCAGTCTGAAGACAGGAATGACCTAAAGGCATCCCCCACCTTGGGCAAGAGGAAGAAGCGGCGGCACAGGTATAGGGCCAGGCAGTCCCCTCTGCCTGCCTTTCCTCGGGACACAGCCCAAGGTTTATGGCACCTGCATCTGAGAATTTATGGCCCGGCATGATAGCAGGCCCAGTGGTTTCCTGGTTGGCAATGGGAAGGGCACAGAAGCCATTTGGGAAGATAATTCTGCAGTTCCTAGGAGGCTGGGAAAATGCTACAATCTTGCTAGCATTTTTTTGGGAGCATTTTAAAGACAATTTTGTGGATCTGTCAAATGGATTTTGTCAGAATGAGCTGATGGAATTCATTAAGAAAGAGCTAAAGAACTGTTTTCGTTTGAATCAAATTTCTGGACATCAGCTAATCATTCAGAGGTGGGGTGTTCCATTATCATGAAGTGGCTTCTAGGGTCTGGACAGCAGAGGAAGCAGGCACGGTGGTCCTTAAGGCCAGGGAGGCTGCTGTCCCCAGGGGACATGTGCCCACCTGTGTGTTTTGGGGTCCTTGCAGGACAGTTTTCACTGCTCACCAGCTGGAAGAGTTGGAGAAGGCATTCAGCGAGGCCCACTACCCTGATGTGTATGCCCGAGAAATGCTGGCTGTGAAAACTGAGCTCCCCGAAGACCGGATACAGGTGTCTGGGGTCCCTTTTCTCCGCTCCAAAGATACCACAGAGAACGTGTCATTCCCACATTCAGTGAGCCAATCAGCAGTCCCTTCTCTATAGCCAACACGCTCCCTTTGCATAGAAACTGAGGGTCCCTTAGCTGAAGGCACCACAAGAGCTTGCCCCTATGACCCTCATGCCTTTTTTCATTTTATTATTATTTAGTATCAAATCATTCTTTAAAATCACATGATAATGTGTGCTGCAACTAGAAACTATAAAGATATGTCAATGAAAAAAAAAAAAAAGAGACTACCTCTCCATCTCAAACCCTGAAAGAAATCAACACAAATGCCTGAGGAGACCTTTCTCTACTTTGTGGAGTATATTATCTGCCCCTGAATATGTATGTGCATATACATATCTACATGCATATATACACACACTCACATGCATACATAGAATTTTCCTCTTGGTTTTATCAGAAGATATGTCACTAACTCTTTTTTTAACAGCTAAACCGTATTTCATAATAGTCCTTTATTAACATAATGTTTTTAATGAGAAATATCACCAGCAACCCAATAGCCTAAGCTCGGAAGGAGCCAGTGCCCCAGTGAGCTCATTCCAATTAATGAGAAAAAGCAGGAAACACTGTAGTTGACCTCTTCACACAATGTGGGAAAAGGGAGTTTGATTCTTTAGTTTTTTTCATTCCTGACTCTATGGAAACTTCAGTGGACGTGGTCACAAGTGTCCCTACTGCGTTGAATGCCCGTGAGTCCGGACCGCACGTGGGCGCTGCTGGGGGCTCCTGGGCGCTCTCCCTGAGGGCGGCTGGTTGGCCCTCGGGAGCTATTTCCTTCAGAAATAGCATGGGATCATGCTCGGGAGAGAAGATCCGAGCCCTGGGACGCCGCCTCCGCTCCTCCAGGCGCCCCTCTTCACTGTCTCTTCTGTGTGCCTTCTGCTTCTCCTGCCTCCAACCAGGTCTGGTTTCAAAACCGCAGGGCCAAATGGCGCAAGCGGGAGAAGCGCTGGGGCGGCAGCAGCGTGATGGCCGAGTACGGGCTGTACGGGGCCATGGTGCGCCACTGCATCCCGCTGCCAGACTCCGTGCTCAACTCCGCCGAGGGCGGCCTGCTGGGCTCCTGCGCGCCCTGGCTCCTGGGTAAGGAAGGGCCCCCGGGATCGCACGGCTCGAGGTGTTGTAGGAGGTGGGGGAATCCCAGGGTGTCCCCACCGAGGCAGCCATTTCCAAAGCAAAGCAACGTCAGTTTACTGAGATTCAGGTCCAGAACCGTTCTTATTATTTTTAATTAATAACAAAGCTTGCAGCAACTGGATGGTTGCCTCATTTTTCACAGAGACTGTCTAGGCTGTGTGGAAGTCTCACCGGGCTATGCATGCTAAATATGTATTTGGGATTTAAGGGTGAAATGACATCATTGCATTAACAGCATCCAAGTGTTGAATGCTGTTAGAATTTTTAGAAACCATACAATTTAGGGCACTTGGTAATAGGAAACAGGGCAGTGCTGAGCAGCGACCCCTGGGGACAGTGAGCCCCTCCATCTGAGTCAGGAGGGCTGGCCCCGGGCTTGGTTCTGCCATGAACAACCTGCCGAGTGGCTTTTCTGTCCCTTAGATTTTTGGTGCTCAAAGAGTCTCCGCTGCTGAGACCCAGCACTCTCAGGATGCTCCACCCTTGTTGCCCTGTTTGCTGTCGCCAGAAACCAACAGGCAGGGATCACAGATTGTGGGAATGAGTCACAGATGAGTACCTCCGGGCACGGGGTAATTAGTTAGGAGGATCATGGTGGCATTTTAGGTTTAGATGGAGGAAGTTTTTTGCTCAGCGAACAGTTTTTGAACAGCTACCAAGCAGCCCTATCCTGGGCACTGGAGGTTCCAATCATAGATATGTCCTGACTTTGCTCTCAAGGACTGAAACACTAGAGGGAGCATTGTAGGCAGTGACCCAAACTGGCTCATCTGAAATTGCACAAACAGGTGGGGGAGGGCACTTACTGGCATCTGCGAGACCGCAGCCTAGGGGAAAGTGGGCCCAATGCCAATCACTGTGTCATCCTAAACACCTTTGCTGGATGTGACCCGGGGTCAGACACCTGCTTTAAACCCCTAAGGTGGGAGTTACCTACCTGCCTCTCCTGTAGGCCCCAGAGATAGGCACTGACAAGGACAATTCTAGTGGGATTTAGAGAACAATAAGAAGGAAATTTACTTCATTGCTGAATTTAAATTTTTATTTTTATTTTTTCCTTTTTATTTTTTTTTTTACAAGGGATGCATAAAAAATCCATGGGGATGATAAGGAAGCCAGGAAGTGAAGATAAGTTGGCAGGACTCTGGGGCTCTGACCACTTCAAAGAAGGTTCTAGCCAGAGTGAGTCAGGATCACAGAGAGGCTCAGATAAAGTGAGCCCTGAGAATGGCTTGGAAGATGTGGCTATTGACCTCTCCAGCTCTGCCCGGCAGGAGACCAAGAAAGTGCACCCTGGGGCTGGTGCTCAAGGAGGCTCCAACTCCACGGCACTGGAGGGGCCCCAGCCAGGGAAGGTGGGAGCCACATGAGACCCACAGGTCCCACTGTCAAAGGCTGAAAATGTGCATATTCCTCACTGGCATTTTCCAAAAGACAAAAATTGTCCAAGACATATACTCTCAGTTTGATTTTCTTCTGACAATGTCAAGATAAAATGCAATGCCACTTGCTTTAAGAGGACAGATGAGTGACCTAGGGAAAATTCTATTTCATTCTAGAATGGAAACGGTTCCTTAATGGCACTTTAACCAGTTAACTTGGTGCAAAACTTTTGATTCTCTTTTGTAGCTTGAGCAGGGAGGATCCGAAGTTCAAAAATGATTTCACTGCTGGGCATCATTTGAGATGTGTGGTTCAATGTACTGTATAGATGAATAGGTTAGGTCTGATGTCCTCATTCTCAATTAGGAAATATAAAATTGTTTAATATCCAGAAGAATCTGATATCATCATAGTGAAGACTCCATACAGACACATGAATGAATTATATTGTCTTTACCTTGAACTTGGCCTTGGATATTTCAATTTTCTTGTTAGGGAGTAATTTTGTGTTTTCTTGAGTGTCACTTGATAGGCTATGCATATTGGAATTCAAAGAAACCCATACTCTAGTCGTTTCTGCATTTCCTTTAAAAATAGCATGGGATCATATTTAAACAATTGTTGGATAGCTGGAAACAGTGTTTTTAGGTCAGACCAGGCTTTTGGTCTTTCAAAATTTGTGATTGAAAGCACTTTAGTGACTTGGATTTTGTAAATCTTTCCTTTCCTGCGTTTCCTTTGCCATTTATTTATTCTTTAAAAATAAACATTTTGTGGTGTGTTTACTTTTCAAGGCACTCCTCTATTACACACTTGTACATCTCCACTATCTCTGATCCCAGCCAGGCTCTCCCTTCACCCCTTCTCAATCTGGGGACATGTGACATGTTTTATTCTTCAGGCTGCAGCTCTTACCATGTGTTGCCTTGTCAACTCCTCTGGGGCAGCAGCTGTGTCTGATACACTCTTTGGAGTTCAGAGGCCAGAAAGATACCTTCTAGTTGATGGGAAAATATGGTGCTTCCTGAAGAAGGAAGGGCAGTACAAGGAAAGTGTGGAACTGCTCATTGTGAGGGCTTTCTCTGGGAACTGGCCCAGTGATCTGTCAGGCTAGGCTTGGTGCTCCCATCTCTGCAGGTGAGAAAACAGAAGCTCTCTCCCTTTGGCCTATTTTTCTCATCCTATGTTAGTTCCATACTCTTGGGAAAATTAAACATCACCAGTTCCTTTCTGTAGCAACAGAAAATGATAAGCCCTATGTTCTTGTATTAATTCTGGCTAACAGATATCATAACTGAGGCCTGAGACTGCACCCATAATGAGCAGTTGGCATGAACTCTAGAAGTTCTTCTGTCTTTCCTGTTTAGAGACAGCAGCCCTGGCTCCAGGCTCTGTAGCCACACAGGTTCTGCCTCCCAGAGGGTTGGTTCTCAACACATTTCCTCATGTTTACTCCTCGGTTGTTGCTTCCATCCCTCTTCCTTAGCTTATCCAGGATTGAGTTTGGGAGAGGGAACCAGTAAGCTGTGCAACTTACATACATCACACTTAGACAATACGGGCAGCCACTAAAATTGTAACAGTAAGGCTTATTTATTAATGTGGAATGATGCTGACAAAATTTTGCTGAGTAAAAAAAATCCCTAAAAAAGAAAAAAGATAGAAATAAATATGTAAAGCAGAATGAAAATGAAATGAATAACCTTAACAACTGGTTCTGCATACAAAATATACAAGTAGTGGACAAATCTCTATGTAATATTACAAAGGAAAAGGAGAAAATAGGAAGTGGCACGAGAGAAAGGGGCTAGAAGCACTGAAGTAAAAATGGAAGGATGCTTTCTTAACATAAGGAACTCTCTTCAATATGGCAGGTTAATATTTTATAATGTATACATACATACACGTGTTTATATGTACATATATAAGAGCAGAGTCTTTGAGGCGGCTTTGCCAACTCTAGCCATGTGACCTTGGATGAGTTTCACTACCTTTCTGATCTCTTGGTTTTTCAACTGTAAAATGGGGATGACAGCAGAACACTCATTTTTCTGAAGATTAAATGAGATGACATGAGTAATATACTTGGCTCAGTTTCTGAGGAAGGAGCAAATTAAATATTAACTATTATTACTGTAATTATTGGCATTTCTATTAATATCAAAAATCAAACGAGAAAGTTTATCATTATCATTTTTTGACAATATGGGACAAACAAAATAAATCATGGAATAATAGCTTGTTGGAATGGTCTGCAACAACAACTCAAGAAGAACTCTACGAACACAGCAAAACGTCGCCCTAAGAGCAGGGCTCGGTGTGTCATTGGGCTGCTCTCTCCCTGGCTGTGCAAGGACCAGGAGCTCAACTGGCCACGCCCCACAGAGGACCACCGCTGTCCTGTGTGACTAGAGTCTGGAGACGAGGACTTTGAGCCGCTCACGAACATCATCAGGAATCCAGGACTCAAGCTTGTCCCTGCAAGGTCACTGGAGGTTCCTGAAGTTCAGACATCACAGTGGAGATTACCTATGGCCACATTTCATCAAGGAGTAAACCCCCACCTGCTAGCAGACCGTCTCTCACTCCTCATTGGTCAGCACTGCATGTCACGCTCAGGCCTAAGCCAATCATCACCAGCCAGGTGGGCAGAATTCCTTGTTTGGTTTAGTCCAATCAAAATTCACCTCTGGGGCTAGGTCGTGGCCAGCCCCCGCTCTTTTTGCCCATTAACTAATGTAATTTGGCCCCTTTCAACAAAGAAGAAAGAAAGGGGAATGACTGGTAACCAGCCAACCAATAGGTCATCCCTATGCAGAAGGTAAAGTAGTGCGTGTGTGATATTAAGAGAGAAAACAAGAAACGTGCATAAAGACGAAAAAATAGACGAAAATTTTAAAAAATATTCATAACATTTTTCAGATCATGGACAAATGGATACTTTGAATTTTTAAATATGTTCTAAGTTTTGTAAAATTAGTATGTAAAAATAAAATAATTTTTAATATTAATATTATTAAAATATTAACACCGCTTTCTCAATATAGGGTTAAATTCACATGAGACAAAAACGCTTTTAAAAATATCATATGAAAATTTTTCAGGATAAAGAGTTCACATCTTGCCAGTGACTCCTGCGTGGTTCTCACAGTGCCAATCTGAGGATGGAGAGGCCAGCAGGATTTTACACGTGGTCCTCTCAACCCTCACTCAAATCCCCCAGCACGTCAGATTGGAATCTGGCTACAGACTGACAGCAGGACTGAATTGTTTCCAGTGTTCAAAATTGTTTGCCAGCTGAAATGTGGCTGTTAAAATCCAAAAGGAGATTTCAAAAAATTACAGTTTTAGTAAGGCGAATTTGGAAACATTCTTAATAGGAACCAGTGTAACACTCTTGGCCCTGTAGCAGCAGGAGGCAGCATCTCAGGACTTGAGGACATTCATGAATTAAGGTGATATTTTCAGAAATGATAGAAGAACAAGATATAACAAATAATGCTTTTTCCTTAGGTTTAATCGTATAAAAACAATATATGAAAACACAATTGTTTTCTGTGGTCAATGAATCATGTTCAAATTCATTATCTCTTTGCATTCTCAGAGGGTGAGACATTGGGCTGCAGAGAAATGAAGTGAACCTGCTAAGCCGATTGTCAAATGGATGAGAAACTCAGAGCCAAGGATCGGGAAAACACCCTTAAAGAACGAGGTGATGGCTGAGTCTGTCCCAGCTCAGTGCTTTGATAAGACTGTGATCATCACAGCAGGACAGTATCGGCCTGGGGGGACAAATGGACCCATGCAGCAGGAATAGGAGCAGGCAGCACACACACGTGTGGACAGAAAGTGGGTGCGGCTGACACTGGGGGAGGGCTGGCTTTTTGGTAAGTTACTGGGACAACTGTCCATATGGGAAAACATACAATTGGACCTGTACCTCACACCTTACAGGAAAACACTTCCAGGTGGATTAAAGACATGGTGTATGTGTGGGATGTGTGAAAGGCAAAACTATAAAGCTTTCAGATGTTTTGGTTTAGAAGATCCTTCAATTACCCCCAAACTGTGGCTTAAAACAACCATTTTAAGGTCACAATTGTGTGCATCTGTTTCAGCTAAGTTCACTAAGCCACAGTCTCTCGCTCTCTCTCAGTCCCACCTTTCCCTCTCTCTTTCTATCTACATATATGCAAGAGTTGTTGTGAAATACTCTCCCTGTTTTCCAGTGCAAACTTCTGCTCCTGGAGGCTCCCGTTCACTGGACTTTGCAGGAGACACACAGGCTCCCCAGACCCCGTGGTGGTGCCTGATGACCTTCAGCTGAACCCTGTAATGCTGCTAAAGTCTGCCCCTCTGGAGAAGTGCTCAGGTAGCATTGTTCTGCCTCAGGAAGCATGCCGATTTTCCTGTGTCATCCTTGATGATCACTGCTACCAGACTTGCCCCCTGCAGGGCACCCCATGTGCAAGGAATTCAACAACCTAGGAGTTGAAAGCATTGGTCTCCCAAGTTCAGTGTGTTCTTTTCCGTATCTATTACCAGCTGATGAGAATAAACCTGCAGTCATGACAGCTAGGTCCTAGTGACAGGTGCAGAAAGCTGCTCTTACAGAAACTCCCCTCCTTATTAAGAGGCTTTGTCTATCACTCGGAACTGCTTCTACTCAAGATTATCTGTTGAAAGGGAACTGTCCATACCAGGGCATTGTTCTGACTTTTCTGGACTTCCTCAACCCAAAATGCCTTGAAGAAAAAAAAAAAAGACCCTGAGTGTTAGGGCAGGGTCTCACTCTGTCTCCAGGCTGGAGTGCAGTGGCACAATCATAGCTCACCGCAACCTCTAACTCCTGGGCTGAAGTGATCCTCCCACCTCAGTCTCCTATGTTGCTAGGATTACAGCGTGAGCCACTGCCCCAGCTACTCCAACTTAAGAGTTCCCCCAAGGCTGGCTGCCCTTCTCCTCTCCTTCCATCATGAATGACACATGGGCATCCCCTTCGGCTAGCATGGCTGACCTGTGCCTGCCTGGGTGCTCAGCTTGGCACCCATGTGAGTTTGCAGCCTGAAATTTTAAATGGAGGAGTTTCTGTGCTTTTCTGCCCTGATTCCTCTTACTGACCCTCTAAGTCACCAGCTGTGGTCGTCTCCTCTTTGACCCCTGATCTCAACCCGGGCTTTGAAATGTGTTTGTTCACATAATTGTCCATTACCCATCCTTCCTGTCATTGCAGAATCTGTTGTCTCATACTGACATTTTAAGACTTTTTTTCACTTTCTTCTGTTGAAGATCACCTACTAAGAAGTACTTCCTCCTTTTCATTCTTTCTTTATAAGAATTAATTAAATTTTAATTGACAAAAATTGCATATATTTATGGTGTAAGACATAATGTTTTGGAATGTGTATAGATTGTGGAATGGCTAAATCCAGCTAATTAACATAGCATTACCTCACATACAGTTTTTTTTGTGGTGTGAACACTGAAAATCTACCCCCTTAGTGATTTTGAGTATATAGTACATTGTTATTAACTATAGTCACAGTGTTATACAGGACTTAAACTCATTCCTCCTGCAGAACTGAAATTTTTTGTCCTTCGACCAACCAGGCTGCCTCTTTTCTATTTCCCTCTTTAACACAGTCAATTTTGTGCAGTAACTAAACTGGGAAGTGGGGGAGATTCTGGGATCTCCTTTACTGTCCCATGTAGGGAGCCCTTGGAGGGCCAGGGATTCCATAACAATGACCAAGGTGAAGCCCAATATTGCACAGGAGTGTCTGTGTGCAGGGGGTTGGGGGGGGGCATTCCTTTTCCCAAGTAATGCAATGAGTCTTACAAGAAATTCCTGCGTGGGACACTTCTCTGCCACAGATCACATCTCCTCAAATATCTCTTACTCCAGCCATTGCCACAGCAACTGGTCTTGCTTCCCACTTAAATTCAGTTTAGTCTAAAGCTGCCTCCTTACATATTTAAGTCTGGCCAACAGGTTTCTTTGTACATAGTAAACTATAACCTAACTGGATGTGTAAATAGGCTATAACCTACTCTCATACCAATCACTGAGTTTTGGCCAATCACAGGGGGCCAACTGTTCAAACCGTGTTCAAATAAGACAACACCAAGCTGTAACCAGTCCAACCGTTTCCGTACCTCACTTCTGTTTTCTGTGTGTCACTTTGCTTTTTCTGTTCATGAGTCTTCTTTGGCCATGCGGCAGCACTGGTGAGTCTCTGAACCTATTCTGGTTCAGGGCTGCCCAATTCACAAATCATGCTTTACTCAATTAAACTCTGTTACATTTAGTTTGCCTAAGATTTTTCTTTTAACACTGCCCTGGGGCTTCTCTGACTTTGAGATGTGGATGCCTTAGGTACCCCTGCCTGGTACTTCCAACTGTGGACCCTGAAGGGCTTCCTAGAAGTCCATAGCACACACAAGGCAGCCCGTGACCAGTCGGGGGAGTTATTGTGATAAATTCTCCTCTTCTGCCTCTGTGATGGAGACCTCTGAAGTCATTCTATGCAGCAACGTGAAGATCCTGGTGGCACCTAGCCCTGGTTGCCCTTGGCGTGACAGACTGGAGAAGGAACACTTGCTGGGTATTCTGTCCATCCCCTCTCCCACTCCTCAGTCCTGCATCCTCTCCCAAGTCAAGGCACCTACCCACAAGCCCACAAGACTGGGAGCAGGAGCGGGAGAGGATGCTAGGGACAACAACCCCAGCCATGACTGAATGCATCACAGAATCTGGAAGAGTTATTACGACCTAAAATTCCTCCTGCACACGCAAACTGGTTTTACCAAGTTCAGTTTTGTAAACAAAGTTTGCATCCAGTGAAATAGCCACTTTTGTGAATCTAGATGAAATACAGTCACTGCCCCAATCAAAAAAATGATTTTGGGATTTCTTATACATGGCCTGAAAATACTATGAGGGTCAATTTTTCAGTTTCCCCTTGTATTTCCATCAATTTTTGCTCATATTTTTGGAGTTGTCTGCAAGTTAAGAACTTCTAGATCTTCCTGGTGAACATTTATCATACAAAGTTTCCCCTTTTAACTTTCTTGCATTTTGTCTTACTGTGCATTTTGTCTGATATTTAATTCATATTTATTTGGTAAATGTTTTCTATACTTTTACTATCAACATTTCTAAATATGTTTTAGGTTTAGGTTTGTCTATTGCGGAGTATATAGTTGAGATTTTGAAAATCCATTCCAAAAATCTTTGTCTTTAACTAGAGAATTTACTCCATTTACATCAATTATAATTGTTGACATTTAAATTTTATTTTAACAAATTTATTTTTTGTGTGTATTTGCAAATGTTTTTTACCCTTTCTTTTAAATCTATTTCTCCTTTTTTTCATTTTTCAAACTGCTCAGTTTTCTTACCCCTTTTCCCCCTCTACTGGATTAGAAGGTATATATTCTGCTTCTATTTGTGGTTAATCTAGAAAATTTGACATGCATATTGATGTAAATGTAAAACTGTCCTGAACATTCGAGAAATTATAGGATGCTACTTTTGATTTCTTAATTACTTTCTACACTCTTGTTCAGGATTTTTCTTTTACCTTGTTTTTTTTCTTAATCCCATGATGCAGGCGTTATTGCTATAATTTCATATCACTAATGTTTCTTTAGATTTACCCACAAGCGTAACAATTTCCTTGCTCATTGTCCTTCCATTGCAGGCACACCACCCTTATTGTCCTCATTTGGGGGATAATTTTCCTTCTTCTGGAAGTAATCCTGAAGTAATAGGGTGAAAAGCCTATAGTTTTTGTTTGTCTGAAAATGTATTTTGTGCTTGTTCTTGAAAGATGATTTCACTAACTACACTATTCAAAGTTGACAATTATTTTCCTGAAATACTTTAAAGATTTTACTCAGCTGTCAGCTGTCAGTCTAAACACCATTCCTGTGTAGGTAATCTATCTTCACTCTCTGGCTCTTTAAAGACCTGCTGCTGATCTTTGGTTTGTGACAGTTTCACAATCATGTGTAGAGGTGCCGCTTTCATTTTTATTTAGCTTGATTGGAATTTGTGTACTTCCTGAGCCTGAGTATTGTCTTTCATTAATTCTAGAAGTGTTGCAGCTTTTAATTCATTGAATATTTCCTCGCCCCTTCTCTCCTTCTAAAACTCCAAATGTGTGTGCCCGCATGTGCGTGTGTGTGGTGTGTGTGCATGTGGTGTGTGTGTGCACCTGTGGTATATGTGTGGTGTGTGCATGTGTTTGGTGTGTGTGGTGTGGTGTGTGTGTGCACACGTGTGTGTGGTGTGCGCATGGGCATATGTAATGTGTGTGTGCGTGTGTGTGCGTGTTTGCTCACAAGTTGTGCACGTCTGTGTGGTGTATGTGCGTGCATGTGTGTGTGAGCATGCGCATGTGTGGTATTTGGTGTGTGTGCATGTGTGTGCATGTGTGCGGTGTGTGCATGTGTGTATGTGTGGTGGTGTGTGTGTGCGTGTGTGTGTGGGTGTGTGCCTGTGTGTGGTTTGTGTGCATATGGTGTAGTTGTGTGGGAGTGTGTGTGGTGTGTGCATGTGTGTGTGGTGTATGTGTGTGTGGGCACATGTGTGGTATGTGTGAGTGCATATGTGTGGTGTGTGTGAAGTGTGTGTGTGGTATGTGTAATGTGTGTGTGGTGTTTGTGCATGTGTGTGTTAGTGGTGTGTGCAGGTGCGTGTGTGTGGTATTTGTGACCACGTGTGTGTGTTGTGTTGTGTGTGTGTGCTGTGTGTATGTGGTGCGTGGGGTGTGTGTGTGTTGTGTGTCTATGTGTGAATGTGTGTGGTGTGGGTGTGCATGTGTGTGGCGTGTGTTTGTGATGTGTGCGTGTGTGTGGTGTGTGCATTATGTGTAGTGTGTGTGGTGTGTGTGTGCGAGTGTGTGTGGTGTGGTTGTGTAGGGGTGTGTGTGGTGTGTGGTGTGTGTGCGTGCTGTGTGGTTGTGTGTGGTGTGTGTGGTGTGTGCGTGTGTGTGGTGTGTGTGTGGTGTGGTGCCTATGTGTGGTGTGTGCATGTGCATGACGTGTGTGTGGTGTGTGTGTGTGGTGTGGGGGGGTGTGAGGGTGTGTTTGTGCTGTGTATGGTGTGTGTGTGTGGTGTGTGTGTGTGGTGTGTGTGTGTAGTGTATGTGTGTCTATCCCATGCCCCATGTCTTGCATCCTCTTTTCTAAATTTTCTTTCTTTTTTACTCTATGCTACAATTTCTATTTAATGGGAAAATTTAATTAATTCAGTTATTACTGATATGATGTATGGACATATCTCTTGATCTTATTTTATATTTCCCAACTTGCCATCCTTGCTTGTTCCTTCCCCACTCCACCCTTTCCTGTTTTGTTTTATTAAAATTGACCAACTTTTCTTCCATTTCTTTCACCAATGGTTTGGAAATCACATACTCTTTTTAGTTTTCTAATAATTATACATAAAATTTAAACATACCTAATAAACATGTTTCTATCACTATGTAGAGTTAGCCTGCATTTATATCATTCCTCCATCCAGACAAAAACTTTGGCTGGACAAAAATGGCTTTACTTTACTTCTACTTCTCCCTGGTCCCCAGCCAAAAAACCTGACGCTTTCCCCAGAGCACCTTCGCAGTGCTCCCAGCTGCCCTCTCAAGCCACTTCCCAGGTCTGGCTGCCATTGTCAGACGCCACTGGACCGGAAATCTACCAAAACGTCAATGCCTGCTTGCACGTAAGTCCAGGATAAAGTTAATTCTAGTTAAACTAATATGAAAAGAAAACCACAAGGGGTGTTCCTGACTATATCCCTCAGTTATAGTTTCTGCCTTGAATTCTAACCCATTTGCCTGCTACCTGCCAGGGGCTCCTCCTCAGAATTTCTCTTCCACCAAGGGATTTGTGTTTTCCCAATTTATCAGACTTTTAAAGGAATCTATCTGTCTATCTATCATCTATCTATCTATCTATCTATCTATCTATCTATCTATCTATCATCTATCTATCTATCATCTATACACTTCCTGTACCCAGTCCGTCTTGATGGAGTATGTATCTTTGCGAGGGCGAACAGATTTCTCATATCCTCATCCAGAATTCCCCGAGTTCAGGACTATCACACTGTCTTGGCCATAGTCAATCTGTGTTGATTAATTTACTAAGGAGACAAAGGTTATTCTGAGAGGGCTCATTATTAGGGAAATGCTCCTGGGCTTCCTTTGATGGCGATATGATCTTAAGGAATGCGTGAGTTCTTCTGGTTGGCTTGTCCTGTGGAAGATTTGACAGATTGCTTAGATAGGCTGGAAAGCAGCATCAGTTACAGAGCCAGGGGGCAGTGTTGGCCAGCTTTACAATTTCTCAACATTCAGCCCGGTAAGAAATTTGACTAATGCTATTAGTTCCTCATCAATAGATACACATCCTCTTGGGTCCTCGCTGGTGTTTTCAGGGCTGGGGCCATGTTTCATCTCTCTTTGGGACCCACAGAAACTGGTCTCTGGGAAAGCCATGTCCAGCCCTAGCGATCAGCACCTTTGCAGACTAATTCCTCCCCTGCCTGTGGTCTCTGCTCAAAGCTGTGACTGCATCATAAACCTTCACACCTGAGTTTGAGCTGAGAGGCTGGGAAGCCCAAGAAGTTCCTGAGGCGGTAGGCAGAGATGCGATGGCAGTTTTAGTGACCTTTGCCTTCTCAGGACAGAGCAAAGGGGCCGACAGCTCAGATCTAGCCAAAGGCTGTTCCCTGGTTTCCCTCTCCCCCTTGTAGCCTCTTATCATGGAGGGATCAAGAAACCAGGTGATTGCTGCAAAACAAGCAACCGAGCAATATCTGCGTGATGACTCAAGCAGTGCACCTGGCTCCAAGACCACTCAGGGGACAGGGTGGGCTACCAGCAGGCATCAGGACCCCTGGCCCTCCATGTGTGTGGGGACTGGTTCAGGCTTCTGCTGGACGATGAAACTACAGGACAAAGCCATGAGGGCAGGTGGCCCCTGGTCTTTCAGGCACAGTGGAAACCCTGCTGCTGCCGGTGCCTCTGCCTGGGTGTGGGAGTCTGTTTCTCTGAGCACAGTGTTGAACTTGGGACTATCCCTTTTGTCCTCTGGACTATAAGCCTCCTCCTCTAAGGTCCACATTCTAGTTGTCACTCAAATTCAAACTAAAGCAAACGCCGAGTTCTAGCTGAGGATCCATTTCCTAGCTTCACCTCTCAATTTTTAGTTTTATGCAAGTCAAAATCTAAACCTTCCCAGCCAGAGCTGGCTGCCATTCTCAGAAGCTACTGGACTGGAAATCTACCAAAATGTCAATGCCTGCTTGCACTTAAGTCCAAGATAAAGTTAATTCTAGTTGAACTAACATGAAAAGAAAACCACAAAGGGTGTTCCTGTCTATATCCCTCAGACATGGGCTTGGGTGGCTATGTCTCTGCTCCAGCCCTAAAGTAGTGTGAGAAACAGCGGTTGTCCCTGGCCCAGAGTGACGGCTGATGGGGATGGGGCAGTTGTGAGACAAAGAAGACATTGAACGGAAGGAAGGAGGGCAGGAGTTCTCCAGAGCCAGAGTCCGGTGGTCCTTAGGGAAATCTGTGGAGGGCCCCACACTGGCAGAGGCTGTGATTTTGGGAAAGGAGTAGAAACTCTGGCTATTAAGTCTGGCATGTTCTTAATGGGACTCATACACCTCTTGGAATTTTAGAGCTCAAGGATTCAGAATTTGGATCTCATTGGTTCATTTTGCAGATGAGAAAACTGAGGCCTAGAGATGTCAGGGGCCTTGCCACATGGCAGGTTGGAGGCAGAACAGAGGGCAGAAGCCAGGAGGGGTTCTAGGCCTCTCCCTTGGCTCCCTGTCTAGTGCTATCTGTACACTCAGGAGCTCCATGAAGGAGGAAGCCATTTTTGATCCACACAGGAGGCAGGACAGTGGCCACAGCTCAAAGTTCTCAGAGCTTTGCCCTTGGAGTGACCCCAAGATGTCCCTGTGATCTCAGAGACTTACAGCTCTCAAATAGCACTAAAAGTGACGCCTGGCCTTGAGCGAGAGAAGGCAGTGCAGCTACCACAGTAGGGGAACCCCAGGAGAGGCAGCTTGGGAATGGGGAAGGGCATTGGCATGTGGGGGCAATTGCTGTGCCCCCCTTGGCCCTGCAGGCCTGGCAGTTAGGGACTGTTCTCCCAGGTGTAATGATTTTCATGGTGTCTTCCTTGAACACTGAGGGCTGCAAGGGGTCTTGTGGGGAAGTCTGTTCTATGGGTGGTTGATGGATGATGTCCCCAGCCGTGCATGCTCATGGATGGCTGGGGTGAGTGATTAAGAGTTACCAGGATTTGGTGCTGCTGGAATTGAGTTACCATGTCGCTCATGCTGACCAGGAGCTGCCCCACCACAGAGCCCAACTGTTCTGCCTCCTGCACCGCCCTCAGAGCATCAGAGAGCATAGCTGCCTGGCCGGGTATCCCGCAGCCCCAGGAAGGACGCCAGGCAGTTGCTGGATTGCACTCCCACTTCCCAGCTCTTCTTGCGCTTGTGGCCACCCTCTCTCGTCCTGTGCTTCGCTGTGTGTTGTTGGGTTGACCCCGCAGGGTCAGGGGCGCACTGCACTTCTGCAGGGCTTTGTGCACAGTGCCACAGTGCATGAGGCTATGGTGTGTTGCAGCCATATGGGATCCTCAAGCCCCCTGCTGAAGCAGATGTATGCGCAGACTCCACATACCTCATCCTCACCCGGAGTTCATGGGGACATCGAGAAATAGGAGCCAGAAGGGAAGGGAGCCCTGTCACCTTGTGAAGCTGCCACCATGGCAGCCCTAGAGATATAGCTGAGAAAGCTCCTCATTTTTTCTTACTCAATTTTTTTTCTCATCTCTTTATCTATAGGTAAGCTTGCTTAAAAGAACTTTGGGTGGCCTGGTAACTTCAGGACGCTTCGCCAATTACCAGAGGAAGTAAGGCTTGCCCAAAACCGAGCAAACCAGAACCAGTGGCCCCTGTCACCTTTAGATCATTAGCATATCATTATAATGCTAAAGTCCCCACTCATAGAAGAGAATCATAGAAGAGAATCGTTGCCACTTTCTGCACACGTGTCGTATGAAGAGCCTGTTCATGATCTGCACCTGCGTGTCTGAAGTTCCTCCCCACATAAGCTTACATAGCTCCTGCCCCACATCTAACCCTGTTACATTCCCCAGCTCCCCACCGCTCTGGAAGAAGCTGTCTTTAGAGCAAGTGCTCTCTCCTTCTCCATGCCTGGCCGGGAATAAAACCTGCTTTTCCTTTTCCCCAATCTGGTGATCTTTCTTTGTAGCTGATGCAGAGTAGAGAAAGAACTCAGTGAACTGGTGACGAAGCCAATTCCAGACTCCCAGCATCTGGGTCCTGTACTTGATCTGAGCTCTGCCATGCTCTTCTAAATTCTGTGTTTTGGTTTTACTGTGCATTTCAGCTATTTGAACAGTGTCTGTCTCTCCCCAATTTGAACTGTGACCTGCTTGCTTGCAGGGACCAAAACTGGACCGTCCTTGTCCAACTGAGAGCCCTCAGCTCTTGGTGGTGCACATGGGAGAAGCTCACAGGTTTCTTCTGAGTGTCATTGGAAAGAGGTGTGTGTGTGTGGGGTCACAGAGACAAATGAAGAGAACAGGAAGAGGGAGAGATGGAGGAGAGAAGAGGAAGGGAGGGTTTTACCAGCTCTTTGGAGACCACTGAGTGCACAGGGAGTGGTTGGGGATCCGTTATCAGCCAGGACTGTTTCTTGAGCATCTGAGCACTGCGACTCTGGAGTAATGGGCATGGCAGGAGCTATGAAGGCAAATGGCGAAGGCCGTGTTGGTGGGCTCTGTCCCTAAAGCTGTTAAATTAAGATGCTCTGGACGCTATGGCTCTGCTACCTACTAGCTGGTGGCCTCGGGTGAGCTTCTGTCCTCCTGCTTATTTTCACACATGTACAGCAAGGGCAAGAGCATTCACTGCTGCAGGTTGTAGGGTCAGTAGTCACAGCTGTGTTGGCATTTCTGGCCTAAACATTAGTACCGAGACAGAAGCGAATCCCGGATTCCCAAGAACCCTGCCCTCTAAGCACTTCGTGTGTCTGCAGCCCCTGCCTGACAGCATCCAGCGTTCCAAGTGAGCTCTCCTGAAGTTGAGGCCAGCGGCTTCTTAGGGAGAAGATGTGACCAGCACTGCCCAGATAGCCTGCTGCCCTGTCCAAACCTCTGAGGGTCCTTCGGGATGCAGGGCCAAGAGTGGGTGCTCCTTGTGCTTGTTCAATCTTGTGCTTGTTCTGCAAGAGTTGATGACTGGCTGCCAGGAGGGAGGCAGTGGGGACGACCTTGGCCTGGGCTGTGACACTCAGAAGGAAGGTCTCAAGGCCACCTCTAGGTAACTCGGGCAGCAAGAAGTGCAGTTCTGCACCACCTGGTTGGTTCTGACATGTTTGGTTCTGAAATGATCACTTCTTCTTATCCAACCAGAAGGAACGAGGTAGCATTTATTTTAAAACAGAGTTAGTTCTACCTACTTTTCTCATTGCAACTGTAGAAGACCTTAGAAACGAAGGTAGTAGGAAGAAGGAGCCATTGCCGTGCACTCTCCATGGGGTGGCTGTTGGTGCCAGGCCCAGTCACAAGCAGCATAGCTGGTCTCTTCTCTCACAGGGCTCCCTCCTGGTAGGAGGACTAGGAAGATAAACACAGAGCTAATAAGTAACAGCCATGGAGAAAAGTCAAGTCAGGGGTTGAGACTAGGGAATGAGGGCGGAGGTATAACTTTATGTAGGTGACAGGGAAGAAAGGGCTCTTGGATGAAGGGATGTTTGAAGACACCTGAAGGAGGTGAGGGGGAGTCTCTGTGGACAACTGGGTGGAGCATTCCAGGCAGAAGGGACATCGTGTGGCAGTCCTGAGGTGGGAGCCTGCTGGGTGATGGGAAGGACAGGAGGAGGCTGATGTGCTGGAGCCCCAATGAGTGAGAGCAGAGGAAGAGGGTACACTGGATCAGGGAGGGCAACGCTTCTCTAACGTGAATGTGCATGCAGCTCCCCTGGGGCTTAAGATGCAGATTCTGAGGCAGCAGGTCTGAGATGGAGCCTGGCATTCTGCATTTCTACAAAGTATCCAAGTGATGCTGCTGGCCCATGGACCACACGTTAAGTAGTGAGGCTATGGCCTGTGGGCCAGGGAATGATGTGGTCTTTGTTTTGAGGAGACTGGGGAGCCTTTGGATTGTTCCAAGCTCCAGAGCAAGTTCCTCTGACTCTTGTTTTAAAGGAATTGCACTGGCTGCTGGTTAGGCTGTCAGGGGCAAGGGTGAAAGCAATTTGAAGCCTACTGAATAATCCTAAAAGAGATAGGTATGGTTAGGATGGTAGCAGGAGGGGATGGTGATGGGGGAAGAGGTTAGTGCTGCAGGTGTTCTGAAGGTGAGTCACAGGATTTGCTGACAGGCTGCATGTGGAGTGTGAGGGGGAGGAATCTAGGATGACAAGGGTATGAGCCCAAACAACAGGAAAATGCCATTTCCATTCACTGACATGGAAGATCCGTGTTGTGGGGAAGAATCCCAGGACTTGGTATGTTTCAGATGTGAATGAGACATTTGAATACAGGACTGAGATGTGGAGGAAAGGTCCAGGCGGGAGGTGTCAATATGAAAGTGAGAGGCTAGAGAGCTGGCTGCTGTTTCCTAGGGGGCAGGGGAGAAAGGGGGATTTGAGGGCTGAGCTCCTGGGCACTTCAACACTTGGAAGGCAGAGAGAAGAAAGGCACCCAGTACAGGGCACTGAGAGGCAATAGTCAGTGAGTGAAAGAACCATGCATTTTTCAGCCTCAGTTGTTGTATCAGTTACCACTGCTGAGTTACAAACCATCCCAAAATTTAGTGGCTTAAATTTATTCCTTCTACAATTCTGTAAGTGGACTGGGAGGTTCCTTTGCATCCCAGGTGTTATCTGGGGTGACTCATGAGGCTGCCTTGGCTGGGACAGGAGCCTCCACATTGGCGTCATTCTTGTCTGGGAGTTGGTCCTGGCTGTGGATGGGACAGCTTCATCCTCGCCCTGGGTCCCTTCCTCTGGAAGGCCAGCCCCGCTTCCTCACAGCTCGCAGCTGGGTTCCATGGGAGGATAAGCTGGGGCTACGGGGTCTCTCAGGACCTCCACATGGAACTGTCACAGCATCCCTCCCACCAGGCTGTACTGGCCAAAGCAATCCAGCCAGCCAGGGTCCTCCTCTGGACAGAGCAGCACACCATCATGTGCAGGCGGTGCAGGCGTGGGAAGGAAGAGTTGGTGGCCGTCTTTGGGACCCCCTGCCACAGTTAGGAGCTTTCTCAGTTTACAATTTTACTACTCACTGACCTCTGCCTCTCAGTGCCCTGTACTGGGTGTCTTTAATATTCTATTCAAATGAACTTAGGCCAACGAGCTCCCCACTGGGGGCACTGGGTGTTAGTCTTGCTCTTCCCTTAGCCAGCTGCATGCTCTTTAGTAAGTCCTTTTATTTATTTGGGCTCAGTTTCCTCATTTTTTCCACCTGGAGTTTGACAGTTGGTGGGAATGGACAGCACTAGATAAGTTTCAAATTAAGTAGACTAGTCGGGTGCCGTGGCACACGCTTGTAGTTCCAGATACTCAGGAGGCCGAGTCAGGAGGATCGCTTGAGCTCAGGAGTTCCAGGCTGTAGTGAGCTGTGATGGGAACCATTGCACTCCAGCCTGGGCTACAGGCCCTATCTCTAAAAAAGTATCATAAATAAATAAAGGAGAAAATGCAGGTCAAGCGCTAGCACTGTGCAGGGCATGTGTTATGCTAGTAGATGTCACTGATTCTCCAGCTCTAGGTACACTCCTGTCTTCTCTGGCAGACAGCAGCATTCCCCAGCAGGGGCTGGTGGCTAGCCCACGCAGAGGCTCCTCCAATGGCAGGCTCCTCCCCTCTGCAAGCCCTACAGCTCAAGGGAAAGAAACTTTCCCATCACAGAGAACTCAATAAACCAGTTTTCCAAAATCTCTCTTCCCTGTGTTTACCCGTTTGTTATGAATTTACTTCTTGGGTGTCAGAATATTTAAGAACTCGGTGGAGACCAGTTTTATACGTTTCCTTCTGTCCTTCCTGGCTCCACAGCTGCAAAAACATCATCCCCACTACTGAGCTTACTATGGGGCCACGCAAGGGTAGACGCTTGACAGACATTGTCCAATGTATTCCTTACTGCAGCTGCCCACCCCCGCCGTCCCCGCCCCCCAGGGAGACATTACTTCCGTCTTCCCCAAAAGGAAAACGAGGCACCGAGAAGTTAAGGAACTTGCTCAAGGTCACAGAGTTTGAACTCAGGCTACAGATGCTGCAGCAACTGGAGAAAGTCCTCATCGCCCCATATCACCCACCACCGACCCCCAGCAGGACGTGACCCCCGCCAGGACGGAGGCCGGCAGCTGGGGGGCTGGAGCATGGGACCCAGAACACGGACTCAGGCTTGCGCAGCCTCCTGGCTTCTAGGCGGGAGCCTAGAAAGGCGCCAGCCCCTTTCGCGTGCTGCTGAGACTCCAGGGGTGGGGTTCACTCTCAGGGGCGCACAAAGGCATGAAAACCTTGGCTTCAGCCTCTGAGATGCGGAACTGACCGACCTATTGTCTTGGGACCCACCAGTGCGCTTGGGTGCACCAGCCCCCTTAACGTTGGTGCCGGCTCCCTCCCGGCTCCTCCCCATCCCAGAGGGTCCCCTCGCCCCAGGCCCTGAGCCTGCGTCCTGGGGTCCTGGGCCGCACGTGCCTCTGGCAGCTCGAAGAAGCTGTCGGGGCTTGCAGGAGAGCGTGCAAACTGAAACCAAAACAGGCCGACTCGAGGAACATCCGGGTGGGACCGCAGACTCACCGGAGCGCAGCGCCTGGGCCAGGGCCTGGGACCCTGCTCCGCCCCGCGCTCCCCTGCACCCCTTCCCCACGCTGCTCCCCTCTTCCTAAGCGGCCCCCCCTCTCCCGGGCAGCAGAAGAAGGGGTGGGACCCGGGCGGGCTCCGGGAGGGGGCCCTGGAGGAATGGATGGTGGCGGAAGGGCGGAGCAGGGGCGGGGCCCGCGGAGACTCCACGGGGCGCCCCGGGCGTGAGGCACCCACTCTGGGAGCACAGAGAGCTCAGGTAGCCTGCCTAGATGGCGGCGCGCACCCTGGGCCGCGGCGTCGGGAGGCTGCTGGGCAGCCTGCGAGGGCTCTCGGGGCAGCCCGCGCGGCCGCCGTGCGGGGTGAGCGCGCCGCGCAGGGCGGCCTCGGGACCCTCGGGCAGCGCTCCCGCAGTTGCAGCAGCAGCAGCACAGCCAGGCTCGTATCCCGCGCTGAGTGCACAGGCAGCCCGGGAGCCGGCCGCCTTCTGGGGGCCTCTGGCGCGGGACACTCTCGTGTGGGACACCCCCTACCACACCGTCTGGGACTGCGACTTCAGCACTGGCAAGATCGGCTGGTTCCTGGGAGGCCAGTTAAATGTCTCTGGTGAGTGGGCTTCGGGAGACCCAGGACGCCCCCAACTCTTGGGTCCCGAGGGGACTCGGAGCCTCTCGCCAGCGGCAGCCGTCCCCGGGCAGCGCGGATCGCAGCCCTGCAGGGGCCCCTCCTCCGGTATTCCGTCCGCCCCGCCCGCTCTAAGCAGTGGCTCCACGTCACCCCGTCCCTCATCCCATCGGGCCCCAGATCCACGTGCCCAGCTCGGGCCGGCGCCCGCGGGGACCCGGCGGCCGCTTGGGACGCCCCGCTGCTGGCCTTGCTCGGCGCGGCTCCTCGCTCGGCGGACTCCAGAGTTGCGTTACCGGGTGCATAGCGCCGCTGAGCAAGAGCCGGCGGGGAGCCGCGGGCTACACCCGAGCGCCCCGGAGTCGGGACTTTCCCGTTCCCATACCGGGGTGGAGGGAAAAACAAAGCGGTGGCGGTTGTCACTGCGGGCTGCGGTGCCCGGGGATCAGCCTGGGGACAAGCCCTGCCCACGTAAACAAACAGAGCTGTGGCGGGCGACCTGGGGAGGAGGAAACTCGGCGTGGCAGCTGGAACCAGTTATTTCTTCGCTGCGGGCCTGGGGCCTGGGGCCTGTGGACGGGAAGGAAGTAACGGCGGCCTCCCCGTTCTCGTTCTCGGCCTCAGAGAACTGCACCCCAGCGACCTGGGGCCTGCTTTGGACCCGCGGGGTCTGACGTCGGCCCCAAACAGTTGACTGGTGGTCAGTTGTTTGGAACTTGCTGAGCAGAGGCCCTGCTGCTCTGCTAAGATTTGGGGCTGGGGGTCGTACACAGCACCCTCGCCCCCACCTAAGGCGCTGACTGGGCACCGAGGGGGAGGCCCTGAACTGCAGGCAGGGCTGGCCACGCAGGGTGGGTGCCAAGTGCGAGGTGGGCTCCGGATGCAGGGTGGGCCTGGGTGTGGGGCCTGCGGGGAGGGGCTGGCAGACACGGTGTTGATCAGAGGGATGCAGACCAGAAGGGTGGTCATAACCAGCTTGCTGGATTTGGGAGTGTTTAAGAAAGGACCTGCGGGTCTTTATGGCAGGGTCACCAGGGCCCCATTTTCTCCAACTCCTCCCTCAGTTGTCCTTGTTGTTCTGCCCCCCCAGCCCTCAGTCTCCTCATTGTGAGGATGGGGGCAGTCATGCTCAGAGGTTAGGCTGAGTGCTGCAAGGTGTGCAGCAGACCCAGCGCTTACTGGTGACCCATAAGCAGTAGCGATTTTAGATAACTTCAGAAATAGTCATACAATTATAGATAGTGTCTTGCAGTTATTTTTCAAAGAAATTGGAAGGAACTTTGGACCTCCCCCACTCCCCGAAATTGTATATTACTTTGCTGGTTTAATTAAAATGAGTCACTTACTAGATAAGTGTTTTCTTTAACATTGAGTCAGCAGCAAGTGCCCTTGAACTAGTGGGAAAAAAACCAAACCCTTTGGTTTGCAGAGTTGGGGCAATGTGCCCTTGAAGGAGACTAGAGCAGCTTGCCCAAGGACAGAGGTGGAAAGTGACCTGCTCTGGACTTGTGAGGCCAAGGTCATGGGGAACATTCACAGTTGGCCTGTGCACACTTGCAGCCCCACTCAGATAAGACAGTGGGGCGGACCTCCTGGGGCCAACAGCAAGGACCTTCTGAACCTCGCTCGGTCAGGATCAGGGTGTGGTCAGCAAGCATTCTTCTGTCTCCTTTTCCTTCACTTATTTCTTCTGATAATATGGCCTTTATGGCTACGTTAGCCAGAAATTGAGCTTCAGAAAACTAACTTGAAAAACAGCTTTTCAGCAGCTTTCTCCCCTGGGATGTGCGTGCCCTCCTGTTCATGGGTCAGCAATATCTCTTTCCTTTGCCGGTGTCTGCAAACCATAGAGAAGACAGTATGAAAAAGGGCCAGGCCAGGCCATGACTCTTCTGGGAGCATCTAGAAAGTCGTGGGATGGATGAGAACACTTTGGTCTGATCTGTCAGCTGTGTGTGATAAAGTCAGATGGCTTGTTCCAAAGGAATATCACTCTTGAAGAAAGCTTCACCTCACCCCCTCAAGAATACCAGTGGTTCTCAACGCATGGTCTTCAGACCTGCAGCATCAGCATTACCTGAGAACTTTTGAGAAATACAAATTCTGGAGCCCATCCTGGACATCTGGAATCAGAAACCCTGGGATGGGACCTGACACCTGTGTTTATAACGAGCCCTTCAGATGCTCCAGAGGACACTCGGGCTTGAGAACCACTGGCCTGTACGCCTCAAACCAGGGCAGATGAAGGCACTTCTAAAACAGAATTGGGATTAGTGTCCTGGCCTTGGCCCTATTAAACAAACAGCAAGCAAATGATGGGCTGTGGATGGCGCAACACAGTTTCGTGGCTCCAGGTGTCTTTAGAATCATGACTCGGGTTGATTTCTTGCTTTCCCTGTACTGTACTTTGCATGTTTCCTCATCTGTAAAACAAGGGCCGTATGTAACTGAATTCTGTCCTAGTTACTATTGATGTACATCAAACCACCCCTAAGTTTAGTGACACAAGATAACAACAATTTTATATTCCTCGCAGAGTCTGTGAGTCAGGACTTTGGACAGGGCCCGATGGGGATGACTCATGTCAAAGGGCAAAATTAGGACAAATTTAGTTTAAAGACCTTACTTCACTTTATTCGTGATTATAGAATTGGGAAACACCCCATTCCATAAAACAGAAGGAATGTTTGATGAGCTGAACAGAGGAGGATGGTTTTATAGACAGAAGGGGCTGAAGGATGCAGACATGGAGAACAAAAAGTGGACTGGTTATTTCAAAGCTACTTTTGTTGTAAAGGTGAAAGTGGAAGGAGCTCCCTTATCATGCCAGCTTGTTTGGAGATTTAGCTATCTTTCACTCTCCTTGTTTCTTAGAAGGTCGGATAAACAACTTAGTTTCCATTTGGTGACACCGCACTTTAGCAAGAGTGACTCCATTTTTGTGTGATCTATTGGGCCTCATGCAGCTCAGTCCAGACCAGTGGCCTCCTATACATTTTATTTAACACTTGCTCCTGCTCCTCAGTGTCTGAGGTTGGAGTCATCTGCCTGTTTCTCACTCCCAAGTCTGGAGCCTTGTTTGGGACAACTTGCAGGCTGGCTTCAGCCAGAACTGTGGCCCAAAGCACCTCCTGGGGCTTGTCACAGCATGGTGGCTGGGCCCAGGCAATTTCCTGCAACCAGAGGTCCAAGAGACCAGCACAGATGTTATCAGGCATCTTCCGACCTGGGGAAGGGGACCTGAGTGTTTGCACCTGTTTTGTTATCCATGGGAGTATCTATCAGCACACCCATCCCAGGGCTGTTAGAATGAAATGAGGAAATGCTTGTAAGGCACTCAGCACTTTCTTAACACATTATACATCCCCAGTCACTGACTATTTGTTATTTATTAATGAAGCATGTGGGGAGGCTGTGACCTTGTGCTTGGCCTTCGGCAGTGCTGCTGAGAGAGCTGAGCTTCATCTGAACTGGACCACATGGGCTTGCATCTGATCAGCCTGGGATAGGTGGGGAATAGGCTTCGGAGAGCATGCAGGTGGCTGAGGTTGCTTTCAAAGCTCCACAGTATCCTGCCCATCCCACAACTCCAATAGCCAGTTGAGGTTATGGTGTCTGAGACTCACTGGGCAGGGTAGACAGAGTGTCTGTGCCCTTCTGTGACTTGCTTCTATTGTGTAAAACTGCCTTGCAGAAGGTTCTTTGGAGAGCCAGGTTCTAAAAGGGATTCTTTCCCACCTGTGAAATTTGGCTCTGTCCTTTGTAGGGCTCTGCAGCTCTTTTTGCCCTGTGGCATATCAACTCAAGATGTCAGGAAGTTGTAAATGCAGAACCAGAGGGTAATGACATGTGTTGCTTTCAAAACACACAGCTAAGCTCTATTTTTAAAACCCCCAATTTTAAGTGATGTTTTTCAGTGTGTGTACTCTTAAGCAAGAGTGTAAAAATCCTCTTTGTAACCAAGCATTGAGCACTGGGAAATTTCTTGGATGCTTTTTGGAGATTAATTGCAGGAACAGAGGCCCTTTTGCTGTAGTTCCTCTGTGTTTGCTGTAGTTTCCTCTCTGTGGCATGCCTCTAATCGTTCAGAAGGCAGGACACTGACAGCGGCAAGACGCTGTGCGCCTGTGCTTCATTTTCCTCCTAGTGATTCCAGTGATTAAAGTAACTTTTCTAAGGTTTTTCAGGGAACTCTACATGAAAAAGGAACCCCTAATCTTAGGAGGAGGATCCTCCCGAGGAATCCAAGTCCTCCCCAGCTGTCAGGGGCACGACTTACTTTAAATAACAGATGCTTTGGGAAAATTGTCCAAAACAATTTTTGTGACTGACGTAATATCTCAAAGCCTGCCAGGGAAGATTGCTATTAAAAGAAAGTCCATTGTGGGCCAGGCGCCGTGGCTCATGCCTGGAATCCCAGTACTTTGGGAGGCTGAGGTGGGCAGATCGCTTGAGCCCAGGAGTTTGAGACCAGCCTGGCAACGTAGTGAGAACCCCATCTCAAAAAAAAAAAAAAAAAATTAGCCGAGCGTGGTGGTGCATACCTGTAGTCCCAGTTACTTGGAAGGCTGAGGTGGGAGGATCCCTTGAGCCCAGGAGGTGGAGGTTGCAGTGAGCTGAGATCACGCCAGCGCACTCTAGCCTGGGCAATGGAGTGAGACCCTGTCTCAAAAAAAAAAAAAAAAAAAAAGCTCATTGTGAATAGTAACTCCGTATTCAAATTGAATTTCTGTATGCTGGGTTCCACTTTCAGTTAGGGTGTGTGAGTGTGAGGGATGTATTTAAATAAGCAACAAGAGTACTTGAAAATTCGTACGTGTGTGTCAGGATTGTAATGGAAATCCCAATACTCTTATAATGCCTTTTTAAAACAAAATACCAAACCCCTGCCCCAGCCACGGGCATTGGCCGACTGCGTCCAGCTGTGTTAGGCCCTGGGTGGGGCCCTGGGCATCTGTGAGCGAGATGGAGCGCCCTGGCTGGCCGGCCCTCAGCTCCGCATGGCTTGTCGCATCCTCATGGCACCAACATGAAGTGGTTGGTGGTCCCATTGCACAGATTTGGAAATAAAGGCTCCAATTCATGTACAGCAATGAATAATCCAGAAAATGCTCAATACCACAGAGCCCACATTCTAATGAGGAGATGAACCATAAGTCAGTAAATGAGTAAGTCCACACTGAGGTGGGAGGGGAATTGTGATGTAATTCCCAACGCCAGTCTACATGATAAAGGAATCTTAGGGACACAGTCCCTGCCCTTGGGGAATGGCATTGTGCCCTGTAATGGGGACCACCAGGGAGCATGGGGCAGTGTGAAATGGTGTGGGCCTCTGAGAGGCGAAGGACAGGTCATCCATCATGTGCTGGGAAACTTGGGAAAGGCCGGAAATAGGAGGTGGAGTTTCAGCTACACTTTAAATTGCCATGGGTCCTTGCCCAACTCTTCTTGGAAATGCTGAGAAATGGAATTTTCTTGTCTCACTGCCCATTTCTTTGGGCAGATTTTTTTTTAAACTTTCTTTTCCTCCTCCCTCTCTTCCCCACTTCCTTCCTCCTTTCCATCCTTCCTCACCTTCTTACCTCCTTCCTCCCCCTCCTTTCTACCTTTTCATCCTGAAATTGAAGCACTAGCAGGAACCATAACTATGTGCGAAGAGCCATGTGCACATGGGTGTTAGGGCCACTGTCCCCCAAACCCCACATGGAGCTTTCTTCAGGTGCCTGTGTGGTCTGAGCACCAGCCATGGTGGCCAGAACAAAGATGGGGGAGGGTTGTTCTGTTTGCCTTCTTGGGGGACACCTTGACTCCATCTGACCCACAGCCAGAAACAACCCAATGGCACCTAGTCCTTCCAGTCCCACCCAGACCAAGGATCATTATACCCACTCCAAGGATTAGGAAATGGGCTTGGATTAAATGATATGTGCATTGTCTGTGGTTAGTGAGTGGCTGGACAGGGGCTGGACTTTAGACCCTGAGTTTTTAGTGGTGACTCCAGGCTGCCAACCAGTGGCTCATGAGGCTGGCAAGTATGTGTAATCACCCCTGTCCCAAAGGAAAAAGAAAACCATTGGAAATCTTGCATCTGCATAGAAAGGGGATGTGCATGTAGGTCCATGTGCACACATCGTCAGAGTCGGGTCCCAGGACCAGCAGCGGCTGCATCACTAGGATCTTGTTAGAAATGCAGATGCCCAGAACGGGGACGGGGCACACTGGCTGCAGCTAACACGTCCTCTGGGGACTTCTGATGCCACTCAAGGTTGAGAAGCACTGATTTGGGCCAAAAAAGAGAATGTCTTCTACTTAAGGGATGAAGCCACAAAGACAAGAAGAGGTCTGCTCCCTCCCTTGGGCATGAGGGGACCACCTGGTGCCAGTTACACCTCAATATGACCCTTTGGCTCGAGGACGCAAGTGGTCTGTTCCTCAGCTCTGTGCTCTGGACCAGGCTACCTGAACCCAGACCTGAGCAGGACACTCAGCCCTCGCCCTAGGGAGCGCAGCAGGCAGTGAGCATCTGGAAGAGTTGGGGGATGCGCAGGGTCTGGGACAGTGAGGTGCTCGGGAGAGTGAGCGCCTTGGGCTGAGAGCTGCAGTGTGGGTGTGAGGAGGGCACAGTGCCCCAGGCAGGGAGAAGCCACAGCAAAGGCCTGAGGGCAGGGGAGCTCACCAGATGTGGCCCGGTCAGCAGGGAGAGGCAGGTCATTGGGGCCTTGGTGGCCACTTTTTGAGCACCTCTGCATGTGGCGAGGCACCTGGGGGACACTGTGTTTGGGGCTCTGTTCTGATCTGCTGGACCCAGGCCACCTGTCAGCCCTGGAAAGACAGGGACACAGGGCTTATCTCACGGGCCACCCAGCCGCACCTGGGTGCTGTCCATCCTGGGGCTGGCCTGCCCCTCTCCACCTTCCTCACCTCTGCCTTCCTGCTTGGTATAAAATGGTGCAGGATGTCCTGCTGGGCTGGGAGGCTGTGAGGGCCTGTTTGAAGTTGGGCAGTCACTGTTTCTGAGAAGAGTGTCCTGGTGCCCTGGCTGCTGTGGGAGCAGGTGAGGCGATGAGATGAATGCCAAGGCGAAGTGTCCAGCGTGGTTCGAGCCCTTCCTGCTTCATCTTGGCTGGGGCCTTGGGCAGGTCACCAGGCCATGCAGAGGGCGTTTGCTCATCTACACCTGGGCAGGCCACTCTTCCGGGGGGCTCCAGGGTCAAATTTGGAGTGGAGCAAGTATGTCAGGCAGAGCTTTTCAGATATGAGAGTGGGTTCACATCTCCTGGGGCTTCTTATGAGGCTGGTTGGGACTCAGCAGGTCTGGGTGGGGCTGAAGATTTGCATTTGTGACCAGCTCCCGGGGGGGATGGTGGGTGCAGACAGTGTCGATCCTCAGCTAGACATTCCCAGGCTTGTCATAGCATCATAGAGTCACTGGAGGTGACAGGCAGGCAGCGGGGTGTAGGACTCTCTGTGTAGGGATGGTCTCCTGCTGATTGTTCAGAAGCCAGAAGTCCATGGCTTTCATGTGAAAGCTCTCGATTTTTAAATATTGGACTGGACTCACACACGCATGCCTGCACACCCTGGTCAGGGTGGTTAGCACAACTGTATGCTGGACTCAGCCTAGGGACCACGTTGGCTAATATCTGCTGTACCCGTGTATTAATTTTCTCCCTGGCAGTTGTGTTGTTTTTCCATCTCCTTCAGGGTTTACATGTTCCTGTCGCCTGCCTGAATTGGCCTCACTATTCTTCTCAACTGTTCTGTCTTCCGTCTGTAAGACCAAGCCTGATTCATCCCTCCTCCCCAATTCCCCCACTACCGGCAAAGCTCGCTTCCCTCCCACTTGTTGCATAGAGCAGTTCTTCACCGCCTGGTGAAGAACTGGACTGTTACCGGGGGACTTTGGAGGGTGGGGCGGTGGGACAGACTGTGGAGCCAATCTGCCTGCGTTGAATCCAGCTCTGCCTCTGTGTGACCTTGGCCAGGCAGCTTAACTTCTCGGGGCCTCTGTTCTCCCATCCATAATGGGAGATGCTGGTGGTGCGGGCGCTGTCTCCGTGGAGGCTCTTGCAGTAATTATTGTTTCAGCCCCAGGCTGCTCTTGACTTCCCAGGGTTTGCCTTCCCAGGGTAAATTCAGCTCCAGTGCCCTGTTTGGACAAGTGTCATGAGCCTGCCGCCACCGGCCTTGTGTGTTTGGTCACTTTTGCATGTTTCTTACGTTTGCATCTGTCTCCTGCACCCATGGCAGGGGCTTCGAATCTGCCCTGGCATTTCCCTCAGTGTTCAGTGTGGGGCCTTGATCAGGATTGGCACCCAGGACTGGTTGGGTTAAACCATCTCAGGGTTGTATGCTCCTTCTTTTTGCTCCTAAGAGACTCCCCAACACCCAGCAAAACATTGTGGGGTTAATGCTACACTTGGCATGACCACAGTGAACAGAGGTTAGCACCCCCAGCTCCCCAACACACACAGAGATGTTGTGTAAATTCAGGTCTGCCACTGATCCCCTTCTTAGTTTGTCTTCTTGTTTTTATTTTCTTCTATTTTTTGGGCATGTCTTCTCTTTTATTTTTCTGTTAATAGTAGTTCAAAGAACTTTCCTGTGTCTCTTACTAGTATTAGTAATTTTTTCCTGGAATCTGTCTACATTTGTTACATTTTTTGAGGTGTAATTTACAAACAGGCTACAGGGGTGACCCTGAGAGACCAGGTGGGTGGGTGCTGCTGCCCCCAAAACCATTCATGGGGCTCATGTCCCTGCATACCTGGGGACCCTCCGATAAGCCAGTGAGTGAGGAGAGCTGGCTTGAGGGTTGCCAGAAGGGGCTCAGCTTTGGAATCTAATGAGTAGTGACCAGCCTGCCAGCGGAGGGGCCCCGTGCTGCTAATCCTCAGTCTCACGGTGTGCCACAGAGCTGTTTCTGCCGGAGGGTCATGTGTGGGAGCTTGGGTAATGGAGAGGGAGGGAGCAGAGCCTTCTGCAAAACCAGGACATTTCCCCATCACGAGCCACTTCTTGGAACAAGGCTGGTTTACTGGGTGCTCGTGGAACACGTGGGGGAGTTGGGTCCTCGTCCCTTCTTGCACCTTTAACCTTGGGGGCAGGTCAGCACTGGGCACATGGGAACTGCAGGAGCCAAGCCCTGAAACAGGAACAACCTGTTTGCACTGAGTGTTCTTTCCAACAGCTTAGGCTGCAGTGCCCAGCCCTGGCTGCACATCAGAACCAACCATGGGGGCTTTGAGGCTTTGAAGGCCCAGGACCCATTGGATGGGGTCTCTAGGGGTGGCCCAGGAGATGCCAATATGCAGCCAGGGTTGGGTCCACTGGTGTGAAGCAACCACTTCAAAATATTTGCAGGACATCACCTTGTACCTCTGAGATCATGTTTGTTCACCCTTCTCCTTGCAAGGGGGTAGAAACATCATCACTGATGAGGACAGGGTCTCTGTCAGTGGAAGAAGAGAGAGCCACAGCAAACTAGACCCGCTCCAACCCCTCAACCTGGCCGAATTCTCACTCAAAAAGCACCAAGTGTAACATCCGCAAACCCTCTTTTTGTACAGTCAACTGCTTGGACCAGCATGTTCGGAAGTCCCCCGAGAGCGTTGCTTTGATCTGGGAGCGCGATGAGCCTGGAACGGAAGTGAGGATCACCTACAGGTACTGTGCCCTCGAATGTTCAAGGTGCGAGGGAGGCGCCCAGCCCAGTCCTGTGTGCTGAGTCTGGCTGTCAGGGAGGGGCCGTCTGAGTCTCAGGGAGTGCATTTTGGCTTTGCAAGTGCTCTCTTATCCAGGAAAAGTAAATGTGAACGCAAGCAGAATGAAACACAGTAAAAGCCGGTCTAGCCTGCCTGGCCACACTCTCAGCGCCTTGTGAGGATGGGACAATAAATAAAATCATCTTTAGTAGAGTTGTTTTGTTTTTAAGCTGATCTTTTTAGTCTCTGATTCCTTAAGCAGATTCTATGTGCCAAGCATGCTTCAGATGCTGTGTGCTTTGGGCGGTCTGCACTGGCCTTCCCCAAGCTGCTTCCTGTAGGGGCTGCTGTGTTGGTGCAGCACCTTGGTTCTCCATGCAAACCCCGTTTGCCTGAAGCTCACCTTACCCTTACAGAGATGCCTCAGGCCCACTGTGCCCCTAAACTGTGAGTTCCTAAGTCCCCATCACACACAATCATCGAGCGTGATTACTCTCCTGGGGGCAGCTCCAGGGTCTTCTTGTCCAATTACTTAGCAAGTCTTCACTGGGTGCCTTCGTGTCAGTATGGGCTGCAGTATGTTGCAGTAACAGACAATCCCCAAGCACATGGCAGAGTGTGGCTGGGTGGCCACTGTGAGCTAATAGTCAGGAAGGCCTCTTGGAGGAGGCAACATTCCAGCTGAGGTCCTGTGGGCCAAGAGGAGCAGCCCTGAGAAGACAGGGGCAGACCTGGTGCAGGGATCCCAGAGGTAGAGGGAAGGTGCATGTGGCTGGGACACAGGAGCGAGGGGACGTGGAGGAGGAGCATTCCGACAGGCAGGTCCACACTGGGCAGCCTGAGAGCAGCGGTCACTGCCCTGCCACTCGGGTGACCTGGGGGCGAAGGGGCACTTGTAGTTTCCTGTTTGTTTCTTGAACTCCAATTTTATCACAGACCAAATTCACCAAACCTGCTAAAACCGTGCTCATGCTGACTTTTGGAGGCAGACGAGTGATGCTAGTGGATCTGCTGCGGCTCCCAGTGGGCCCTGTCCTGCTCGTTCCTCCCCTCGGCCCCCAGGAGCCCTCAGGCCCATCACAGCTCCACCAGCCTCGGCCAGGGCTCCTTTGCTGACCCGTCTCCCCCACCAGCCAGACTCACAGCCTATACAGCACGCATTTCTTATCTCTAGTCCCTGGTTGCAGATGCCGTGTGGCCCATAGGCCAGCAGCATTCTTCTGCCCTGGATCCTCGGGCCCCACTGGACAACTGAGCGGCCCCCCAGGTGGCCCCTGCACACTGGAGTGTGCTTGGCTCTGAAGACCCAAGCTGCTGCAGCTGCCCCTCGCCACGGTGGGCCCAGCTCCATCTGCCTGCGAACAAAGCCCCTTCTGAGAAGGAACTTGAGGCTGCTGCCCCTGGAGTAGTTCTTCAGTAAAAGATGAAAACCCTCTGTTGGGGGTCGGGGGCTAAGGAGCTAACTGGACACCTGGAGGTCCGGCAGGGAGGGCCCAGCCATGGCACTCCCCGAAGGGCCAGTTTCTCTCCATCAGTCTCTCAGGTGTGCCTGGACCCTGGGGCAGGCAGGTTGTGTGCCACGCCCCCTCGGCTGGACGCTGCCCGTGGGAGCACTGAGTGTGTGCTAAGTAGCGGTTCGGTCTGTGAGCGGGGCTGGAGCCCTGTGGAGACGTGTGGTTAAACATAAACCATGTGAGAATTCTCAGGACCACAGCCAGCCTGTGGAAGCTAAGGACAGCTTCAGGTCCATGACACTGAAATGGCCCTGGCAAAGTACTTATTACTCTGTCTCTAAAAATAAACAGGGGCCGGTCGCAGTGGCTCATGCCGGTAATCCCAGCACTTTGGGATGGTGAGGATCACTTGAGGACGGTGGGTGGATCGCTTGAGGTCAGGAGTTTGAGACCAACCTGGCCAACATGGTGAAACCCCGTCTCTACTAAAAATACAAAAATTAGTTGGGTGTGGTGATGTGCGCCTGTAGTCCCAGCTACTTGGGAGGCTGAAGCAGGAGAACTGCTTGAAACTGGGAGGTGGATGTTGCAGTGAGCCAAGATTGTGCCACTGCACTCCATCCTGGGTGACAGAGTCAGACTCCATCTCAAAAATAAAAATAAAAATAAAAATAAATTGACTTCTTCTAAAATGGTTTGCAGACTTTAGCCAGGCTTAGTACCAGGTGACCATTTCTATTTACTGTTTGAGTGAAAAGTGTTACCTGTAATTGCAGCTAGTATTTGAGGGATGTGAGTTCCTCATTGTCCTGGTCAGGCTAGGTTTCTGATGTGAGGTTTTCTTCTTCCTTTCTCTGAGGAAAGCCCCTAGACATTGGCACTGGTTGTCCTCCTGACAGACACATCACTGCCACTGAACACAGTGCTTTTCTGCCCATGGGCCTCGTGCCACAGCACTCGAGGTGCCTAGGATGGTTGCAGGCCTCCTCAGCTGGAAGATCAATGTCCAGACTAGCAGCCTGGGCCCTTTAAAGAAACCCCGTGGGGCTGGTAGAGGTTGGGACGCTGGTGCCGATGCAGGAAGCTTGCAGGGTGTGAGGAAGTCTGTGTGTTACAATCCCAGGTGACCTGGCAAGGGAAACCTCCCGACTCTGGTCCCCACCGTGACCTTAGGCACAGGTGACGCTGGGTCAGCACAGGCAGATGCAGCCCTGGGACGGGTGCCCATGGCCTTTACCCTGCAAGTGGAGGATTTGCAATCCCTGCTTCCCCAGGTCCTCTGGGGTGCAGGGTCAGCAGAAAGAGGCCCGTTCTAGTTCTAGTTCAGTACCATCCTGCTGCTGGCCTGTGACCTTGTGCAGCTCCCTAATCTCCCCGGGTGTGACTTTCCCATCTGTACACCCAGGGTAATTATCACAATGGAGATGACTGTAAAGTAGGCACAGGGAGATGACAGCCCGAACGCACTAGCAAGTAAGAATAGCCGTGATAATGATGTAGCTGCTATTTATTGAGTACTCACTGGATTCTAGAGCTGTTTTCAGCATTGTAACTGGGCAGCGAGGTTGGACCTCGTGCTGGCTGGCTGCAGGGCTTGGAGAGGAGGACCCCCTCCCCTGCCGCGGTTTTGCCCCGCTTCCTCCTTCACAAATGCAGTCCTCAATTCCCACTGGGAGGTGAAGGGCTCAGCCTGGGACGTGTGCACCCATCTCCCAGGGCAGTCTGCCACCCGACTCCAGGGTCCCAGCTCCATTTCCAGCCTTCCTCTGCCCGGAGCCAGCTGAGGCAGCCCTTCTCCCCTGGTGAGCCAGCAGGCTGAAAGCCCAGAGCAGGACAGTGCCTGCCAGAGGCTGTAGGCCTAGTGGCCCCAAGGCTGTGGGGCCAGGCAGCACTCTGGGACGGCAGTGGCTCTTTCTGGCTGTTTACCTGCACTTCTCCAGCAGGTGCCCATTTTATTTTATTTTTAATTATTGATTTTTGAGGCAGGGGCTCAAAAATGTCACCCAGGCTGGAGTGTAGTGGTACTGTCACAACTCACTGTAGCCTTGACCTCCCGGGCTCAAGTGATTCTCCTGCCTCAGCCTCCCAATAGCTTGGTGTGTGCCACCAAGCCTAAGCTTTTTATTTTTTGTAGAGATGGAGTCTCGCTATGCTGCCCAGGTTGGTCTGGAACTCCTGGGTTGGAGTGACTGCCCACCTTGGCCTCCCAAGTACTGGGATTGCAGGTGTGAGCCACCGCGCCTGGCCGGTGCCTGTTTTAGAAGACTGTCCTTCACACTGTAGTTCACATGGGCAGGTTCTAGAGACCCTGGGGGGTGGCCATGTGGAGAAATGCAAGTTCCTCTCTTTCGGAAAAGCGGTGGCCCAGGTAGATGAATGAGGCTTTGAGATGGCTGCTGCCTAGCTGGTGTGTTTCTCCCTGCCTGGAGCCTGGAGCCTGGGGTCTGGGCCAGGAATTCCCAGGCTAGGGTTGGACTCCAGGTGCAGGAAGCAGCCTGAGGCCCTGTGCAGGTCCAGATCTTCTCAGCCAGCAGGGTATGCCCCCACACAGAGGAGAGAGTGGACTGTGGGTGCCAGGCTGGGGGTGCCTGCAGAGCCTCCAAATCAGTGAACCTCTTCTCTGAGGGTCTCTGTAGGGGGGTGTGAACTTAAACTTGAACTTAAATGAGAGCATCTTAAGCCAGAGGACCAAGTTTTAGCTCCGGCTTGTCCTATGGCCTTGGACCCATCCCTCTGGGCTTTGGTGTCCTCATCTGTAAAAGGAGGGATTCAATGGCCCCAGTATTCCAGCCCTGGCAGGCGTGCATGAAGCACGGAGGAGCAGAGCTGGGCCCCGAGTCTGTGAGGAAGCACAGGCATCGTGTGCCACTCTGGGAGCTGTTCCCCCGTGGAAACTCCTGCTGGTGGGGGTGATTTCTGTGGCTGTTCCTTCCTGGCCTTTTTATTGGGTGGGGTCGTGCACAGTGAGAAACCCCTGACCAGAGAAGCAGAGGGGATGTCAGGCCTCCCCCAACCCCACCTACCTCAGAGTCCCAGGAAGCTGAGGGAGGTTTTCTCCCTGGGTGTGCTGTGCTGGGCTGGGCATGGGGCTTTACTGCGAATCTGTGAGGCCTGGCACCTGATGCGGAGGCCTGCAGGGCTGTGCATGACAGGGCCTGGCCGTTCACCCTAGGCAGAGGGAGCTGCCACACACTCCAGCTGTGGTGGGGTGGGGACTGAGCCTGGGGCCACCTCTCTGAGAGGCTTGTTTCTGTTGTCAGCCCTGGATGTCTTCGAACACAGCCATTTAGGGAGGTCACAGAAGTGGCTGGTCCCTTGGGGGGAGCAGGAAGCAGGAAGTCCTGTCACAGACACTTAGGTGGAGAAGGCTTTGTGGAGGGTTGAGTTTTGAGAGGCAGAGGAAGGGGAAGTGTGGCGAAGGCAGGAGTGGGGGACTGGTGAGGACATGGCACGGGGAGGAGCCAGGGTCTGGGAAGTGGTGGAGGCGGGAGGCTGTGCCCTGCCTGCCCTGTCCCTGGCAGGGGGAGGGGCCAGGGCCCAGGACCTGGTGGAGGCAGGAGGCTGTGCTCTGCCCAGCCTGACCCTGGCTGTGGACCTAGAGCCTGTCACTCCACCTCTCCCACCCTTGGTTTTCTCATTTGCAAAATGCAGTCACACTTCTCCTCCACTGGGCTGCTGGGCGTGGAGAGGGGCATGTGGGATGAAAACCAGAGGGGTGTCTGGAGGATGAGGGTCCGTTTCAGCTGCAGGTCAGGGCCAGGTGAAGGAAGGCCAGCAAAGGGTTTCAGATTTGAAGAAGGGCAGGACATGGGTGGCCCCATGGCTGCTGGGGCCGAGAGTGGGTGGGTGGTGATTTCAGGGGTGACGGTACTCAGCGGGACTTTGCCTGGGAGGACACGTACATCAGCTAAAGTGTGCCCCCTCCCCATGTCCCTAGTGGGTGACCCTTGCCCCTTGCTCTTCTGCTCACCTCCCAAGTTAATTACCCTAGTGAGCACACTCCCTTATTAAAACATCAGGGCAGCTGGGGGAGGATCCTAACTCACGGGAGGCTGTGGGGGAACAGCCTCGTTGACCCGTGTGTGACACAGCGGCTGTCGTGGAAGGCAAACTCGGTGTGGTCTGTGGGGCTCCCATGGTGGGGTGAGGCGTGGAGTCCCGGCCTAGCTGCCCCACCTGAGAGGAGGGTGCCCGGGCAGCCTCTGAGACTTGGGCTGGGACCCTTGGTCTGGAATCTGCACGCTACAGCCAGAATCTGATAGGATCCCATGTTACTCGGGGTGGGCTGTTTTTGAAGCAGCATCCACCTTTCCTCCAGCCCCAGGCTGCGGCTGCTGCCACTGGAATATTTGGGGTCTTCCTACGCACGCTGCCTGTGCTCCCTTGCGTTCTCCTGGGTGCCGAGGTCCTGGCACGTCGTAGTTTAGAGAGGCCCCATCTTCAGACTGCAGCACAGTGACCCACACTGAGGGAGTTTATGTCCACAGAGACCTCTTTGTTGGGGACAGGACCTTTCTGAGAATTCTCTGGGGCGACCACAGGCAATTCTAGGCCAGCGGGTGGGTTGTGGAACCTGACTGGGCTGACACCTGGGCTCCACAACCCACTGTTAGGGCAGGAGGATCCCACCTGTACCTTCTTGGATCCCAGGCCACTCGAATGGAGTCTGGCGTCCTTCCTCCTCATGCAGGTGACCAAACCCTCAAAGTCACTCCAGTGTGCAAAGGCCTTTGGCCACCACAGCTGTTCAAAATCTGCTGTAACTAACAGGCTCTGGTCTTCACCCTGATGTATTTATTCCACCCACGGTGGCCCATCTCATGTGGATTCCCAGTAGGCCAGCCCGTTTTCAACAAGAACAGTCTTCTATCTTCACATTAGAAACCCATTAGATTTTTGGACTTCACAACTAAATTGTGGGACAGTTTTCCAGGCTAACATTTTGTATGGTTTCTGGCATGTTTTCCCAGTGTGAATGGGGCCACTTTTGTGGAAGGGCTCCCCTCCCAAAGGGGTATTCTGCCTGGTGCAGATTCCAGCATCCCTGGGGTAGTGCCTTTGAACAGGGATGAGCTGCAAGGCCACGTGCGGTGGCCTGGGGACAAGGGCTGCCATGGAGAGTCTGTGGGCGTGCTCTCAGCCCGTGGCCTTATGCCCGGGAGTACGGTGCCATCTGTGGAAGCCCAGCCGTGAGCTTATGCAGACCCTCCATGCCATCTTAAACCCAGGGTCAGAGGGAGTGTGGCCTGGAGGTCACACGGGGTGGACTGAAAAAGCTGCATGCTTTTGCTTCTCACCTTCCTTCCAAATTAACAGGTTTTTTTTTTTTTTTTTTGAGACGGAGTCTCGCTCTGTCACCCAGGCTGGAGTACAGTGGCGCAATCTCGGCTCACTGAAAGCTCCGCCTCCTGGGTTCACGCCATTCTCCTGCCTCAGCCTCCTGAGTAGCTGGGACTACAGGCACCTGCCACCACGCCCGGCTAATTTTTTGTATTTTTAATAGAGACGGGGTTTCACCGTGTTAGCCAGGATGGTCTCAATCTCCTGACTTCGTGATCCACCCGCCTTGGCCTCCCAAAGTGCTGGGATTACAGGCATGAGCCACTGCGCCCGGACAAATTAACAGGTTTTTATTAGCAATTACTTATCCTTAAATGAATAATTATTCAATAAAAGGAATGAAATCATAAATTATTAACAATTATTGTTTTATAAAGGGGAAAATTAGTTCAAGTGAACTTTAAGGGTGGCCTGGGGTGGGGCATCTGGGCAGCTTCTGGGGTGTGGCTGCAAAGATAGAGGAGGAGGCTGCCCCTGGGGCTGGGTGGTTTGGGTATTGGGGCTGCAGGCTCCCAGGCTGGGGCTAGTGTCAAACGGGCTCCGTGGAGCAGTTGTGTGTGCATATCTTCCTTGTGCAGTCAGTCCTATCAGGAGCCGAGAATCAGCGGTGGAAATATTTGCACCATGATCACTGGCAAATGTTATAAGTCAAGGCTTCTTTTGCAGAGAAACTGGCTGTTATCCAGCACAGCACTGGGGAGCAGGAGCCTCCTGTTCTTTGGAGGAGTTTGATGCTTCTCTAGGCTGCTGCCAAGAGGCAAGGAAAGTCGCTGGGCCCGAGGCAGGTATGCCAAGTGGCTGTGCTCTCTGGATTTCCACCTGTGTGGCTGTGTCTGTGAACTTCCCCTCCAGGGCTTACTCTCCTCCAGGTGTTAATCTGGAATGTTGTGTGGACTCCCAGGAAAGCCTGATAAATAGAAGGACCCCCAACCTGCGTCCAGGCTCTGGAGCGTTCTGTGTGAAGTTGGCTGCCCTGTGTTGTGCTGTGTCTGTGGCAGCCGAATGGGCTCTGGTAGAGCCATTCAGAGAGACGGAACAGAGGGCATGTGGGGTGTGCAAACTTGGAGTGGGACCTGAAAAATCTCCTGTGGTTTTTTTTTTAACCACAGGGGAAAGTGAATGTTTACAGAATGTTAAAACCTACACCCCTTTCCAAATTCCACAAGGGAAAGGACTCACTTCTGTGGCTTTCTCCCAGGAGGTAAACAAGTCTGTCCAGCCAGGGGCGAATGTTCTGCCAGGGCACCAGCTGTTCTCGGGGCTGGCTTCCAGGACTCCAGTCCCCCAGTGTGCTCTTGTCCTGGGCTGCCAGCCTGCAGGAGCTTCCAGAGTTCTTCAGGCATTGACACCTGGTTCCCGCAGTCATGTGAGCTGGGCTTTGTGTCTGGAAGGGAAAGAACTTCCTTTCCAGAGACAAGACTTGGGCCAAAGGCCAAGTGCTGAGGTCGAAGGGAAAACCAGGCGTTAACAGGAATGAGGACAGAGCTTCTCTGGAGTCTGGCCTGGTACTTTAGTCCTACAAGGCTTTCTTAGAAGCTGACTGCATCCTGGGCTCTGGTTAGAGGAGAAAAGAAAAACTAAGGATGTGGGATTTGACCTGCCTGTGCCTGGGGAGGCATGCCCTGGGCAGGTGGCCCTGAATGAGGAGCCAAACACTGAATGATGAAGGAAAACGCCATTCCACACCCACCCTCGGCCCTGTCCTCCATTCTGGGGACAAGAAGAAAGGCTCAATTGAACCCCCATGCGTGTGGGGACTTTGGGCACTTCTCTTGCTAACTTTCCCTTTTGAATGAGAATCAGCCTCAGGTTCATTCTTAGAATAAATTTATATTAAAAAAGTGAACTAACTCAAGAAAAATGTTACATGAATAATTATAGCATTGGCAGATGGCAAATCTTTTGAAGTTTGGGAGCCTTTGCAATAGGAGTGGTTCTGATACTGAGGAGCTGGCTGACAGCAAGGCCCCTGGAGCTGGGCCTGGGTTTGAATCCTGCCCTGACTCCTTCAGCTGAATAGCCTTGAGAAAGTGGCCCAACTTCTCTATGCCTCAATTTCCTCATCAGGAAAGTGAAGAAGGGAAGGGGAGCTCAGAACCTATGGGCTGTTGTGAGGGTTAAGTGGGTTCTCCATGGGAACCTGCTCTGTGGGAGCAGCCCTGGGTACAGGATACTTGCTTGATAGCTGTTCTGTCCTTGTTCCATGGGATGGGGCTGTGAACTGAGGGTGGGGTGAGGACAAGTGGGAGGAGGGGCAGGGGAGGGAATACCCCCTGGATGCAGAGGAGGTAGGAGGCCATGGGCCTGGAGAGGAGGTTTCCTGTGCTGGCAGTGGCAGGCAATCATGGCTGGAGAAGCTTGGGTAGCCAGCAGGGGGGCAGTGACAGGACGACATGGCAGATGGTGGTAGGCTGTGCAGAGCATGTGGGGTGGAACTGCCTTCCCTCTGGCCTTTTGGAAGCACAGGCCTCGGGCTGAGTGCCTGGAACCCCCAGACTGGCAGCAACCCCAACTGTAGGAGGCTCTGCATCCTTCTCAGATCTACTCCCGCCCTCAGCACCTGCCTTGGGGGCATGGAGCAGGCAGGCTGTGCAGGTGAGGGCTTCCTGCAAGGCATTCACACAGCTGAGGTGCATGTGCCCTGAGCCGGCGACACGGAGACTGCAGCTTCCATAAGGCAAACCAGCATTTTGCACCTGCCCTCCTGAGAAGGAGGTGCCTGAGGTGCCCACCTTTCTTAAAGGTCCATCAGTGTTCAATAATTCTCTTTTTCCCATGTCTTGTATTTTCTGCAGTCATTATGGCCACTGTTTACAGGTCACCTTCAAAGGTGCCTGCAACTTCATATTTGGTCTCCACGACCACCTTGGTAGTGGGTCCTATTATTAGGCCATTTCACAGATGAGACAGTTCAGGCCCCAGTGGTGTGGGGGGCTGTGTTGGGAACCCTGCTCTCTGATCAGTCATTGTTTGGCCTCCCGTGAGACTCCTGAGTGATAAACTTGCAGGTTCAGCGCTTTCCACAGAGTCTAGCAAAACCTCAGGGAAGAGACTTTCACTTTCCATAAGGAATTTAGAACACACATAGCTTTAGTGATCTTGTTACTGGCTGAGCTGGCATCACTACTAGCAACTCAGCTCATGTCTCCTGGGGGCCCTCGCTGTGCCTGGGCCCGCCTTGGCCCAGGGGACCATTCATGTTCAAGTGCGGCTGCCACTTTATGTTTTCACGGCAGCTTCTCTTTGCTAAATGTCATGGTCATGACATCAAATAATGACGTGAGAAATTTCATACTTGGTTTATGAGCCCTGCTAGCTGACTTCCTGGTCTTCTGTTCTCTCAGCAGAGTGAGCAAATCTTACCACCATTGAATGACAGTCAGTGGCTACAGTAATGTCAGGGCCAGAGGAGGCTGCCAGGAGGGAAGGAGTCTGTTCCCCAGGCCTGGGTCCATGAGATGCGAGCTGGCCATCCATGCTTTGCGTGGCCTTCCACGCTCCTCCTGCGTGAGAAGGGGTCAGCCTCGCCAGGCTTCCCTTCCCTAAGGCTGATCCTTTCTTCTCTTACTACGAATATGTTCCTGACACAGCATGCTGAAGAAAATATCAAATTCTAGAGACAGCATAGGAATGTCCTTTCAAGTTTTGGATCTAGACCATGGAGTTGGCCTTCCCCAGCCCCCATCAGCACCGGTGCTTGGAGAGAAGTGACTGAGCCTGAGGAAATGCTTTGTGTCTGTCAGAGGCCTTCACATATCAAGACAATTACCTGGGTTTACTTCCCTTATTGGCAGAAGAAAATGAAACGTTTCTGTAGGCTGGTTTCTCAGAGGGGGTCCTTCCCATTTGCTTCTCAGAGCAGCAGCACATCTTCATGCCAGCGTGATGCAAGGTGACAGCAGCCTAGCCCCTCAGGGGAAGGAGGACACAGGGTGTCTGCAGGGTGGGTGTCGCTCTTGGTGGAGGTCCTTCCCACTTCATGCTCACCTGCTGCGCCCATTTGCTCAACAAATATTTATTGAGTACCTTATATGAGCTAGGTGGATGCCAGGAGGAAGGCAATAAGCAAAACCCAGATCTCTACCCAAGCAGACCTTGTACTTGATGGACAACAAAGAAGTCTGTTAGCTAATGTTTATTTCATGAATACTGACTGCCAGAATAATTGTAAGCAATAAACAATCATGCATTCTCAATTTCTTTCTTTCCCTCTTTCTTTCTTTCCTTCCTTCCTTCCTTCCTTCCTTTCTTTCTTCTTTCTTTCTTTTTCTTTCTTTCTTCTTCTTCTTTTTTTTTTTTTGACAGAGTCTAGCTCTGTCACCCAGGCTGCAGTGCAGTGATGGGATCTCAGTTCACTGCAATCTCCACCTCCTGGGTTCAAGCGATTCTCCTGCCTTAGCCTCCCAAGTAGCTGGGATTCAGACATGCAGCACCACGCCTGGCTAATTTCTGTATTTTTAGTAGACACAGGGTTTTGCTATGGTTGGCCAGGCTGGTCTTAAACTCCTGACCTCAAGTGATCTGCCTGCCTCAGCCTCCCAAAATGCTGGGATTACAGCTGTGAGCCACTATGCCCAGCCTTAATTTGTTTATTTCTTAAACACGAGAGCACACACAGGACTTACTTATCCTGGGCCTTCATCAGGAAATGTCTAGGAGGAAAAGACACTTTCAATATTAACCGTGACAAAACTAGCTCTGATTGAAAGACAGATGAAAAAATAAATACCAGTGTATTTCTTCCTCTCTTTTCTCTGAACTCTGTTTCCAGCTGTTTCCTGTTTTGGACTAATTTTAAATTCTGAGGCGGGGGGTGGGGGGCAGGGGTGCAGTTGTACCGTCTGAGTTCAGGCAGTTATCGTGTTGGTCACAATTACTTGCAGTCAGATTGTATCTTTAGCATTGGATAAAAGTTATTCCCAATTGATGTTAAGAGTTGGTAATAAGTCTTCTTCCTTCCCCAAGGCCAGTCAGCGTTTTCCTAGTGTTAAGCACCAGGAACACAAGGCCACATTTGTATTTTTGTGCACATCATTTGCATACGTCTGCACCAAAAGCTTGACCCGGCAGAGTACACTGCAGACAAACCTAAATATCCTGCTCAGTACCTGAACAACAAGTGTTATATTTCTTCTTGGACTTAAAAGTAAAACTCTAACTCATTTTAGTGACTCAGAAAGCTGCATGTCCCCGTGCTTTGGAAACCCACTAGGGTGCTACATAAGAGGATCCTGCAGGTAGTGAGGAAGCCACTGTTTCCTGCAACTGTAGCCCAAGGCACCAGTCACTGAGTGGCTGCATTATCTTTCTGATACAGAAACAGTAACATTTCGGTTTGTGGAAGTCTGAGAAATTATGAATATCCAAAAACATGCTTTCAAATGGTTCCTGAGTACTTGGAATGGCAGGATCACTTACTTGAACAACATTTATTTTTCAATGATTTGAAGACCTAGGTTTGCTGACCATATTTTCCAATAATATATGTCTGGAGGATATTACTAATGAAAAATGAGAGTTTAAACTTAAAAATCCAGGCTTCAAAAATTGGCTGGGTGTGGTGGTTCATGCCTGTAATTCCAGCACTTTGGGAGGCCAAGGCCAGTGGATCACTTGAGGTCAGGAGTTCAGGACCAGCCTGGCCAACATGGTGAAACCTGTCTCTACTAAAATACAAAAATTAGCTGGGTGTGGTGGTGCACGCCTGTAGTCCCAGCTACTCAGGAGGCTGAGGCAGGAGAATCCCTTGAACCTGGGAGGTGGAGGTTGCAGTGAGCGGAGATGGCACCCCTGCACTCCAGTCTGGGTGACAGAGTGAGACTCTATCTCAAAAAAAAAAAAAGTCACCTGGAAAGATGGGGAGAAATTGAGATAGAATTAGATTGGGATAAATGGAAAGCCTGCTTTAAAAAAACACAAAACATTTCCATGGCCATAATAGGAGCAAGCCCTAGTTAAAGGGCATCTGTTACATGTATTAGGAGTTGGGAGGGTGCAGGTTAGTGACCTCATGTTGAATTTGAGCCACCTGTCAGGTATTTTAAAAATGCATATGGTCGGCCGGGTGCGGTGGCTCACACCTGTAATCCCAGCACTTCGGGAGGCCAAGGCAGGTGGATCATGAGGTCAGGAGATTGAGATCATCCTGGTGAACACTGTGAAACCCCGTCTCTACTAAAAATACAAAAAAATTAGCCAGGCGTGGTGGCGGGCACCTGTAGTCCCAGCTACTCCGGCTGGGCTGAGGCAGGAGAATGGCATGAACCCAGGGGGCGGAGCTTGCAGTGGGTGGAGATCGCGCCACTGCACTCCAGCCTCGGCAACAGAGCGAGACTCCATCTCAAAAAAAACAAAAAACAAAAAACAAAAAATCCATATGGTCGGCCTGGCGTGGTGATAGCTCATGCCTGTAATCCCAGCACTTTGGGAGGCCGAGGTGGGTGGATCTCCTGAGGTCGGGAGTTCAAGACCAGCCTGACCAACATGGAGAAACCCCGTCTCTACTAAAAATACAAAATTAGCTGGGCATGGTGGTGCATGCCTGTAATCCCAACTACTCGGGAGGCTGAGGTGGGAGAATTGTTTGAACCTGGGAGGTGGAGGTTGCAGTGAGCTGAGATCGTGCCATTGCACTCCAGCCTGGGCAACAAGAGCGAAACTCCACCTCAAAAAAAAAAAGGTTAAATATAGAATTGAGGTCAAGGGTCTGGGTACCCACATTCAGCTCTGGGCAGGCACCATGAGAATGTGGGGGTCCATTTGGAAGTCTGGGGGTGTCTACTGAGATCGAGTGCCGTCATGGAGGGCTCGACCAGAGAACCTGGGGAGGAAAAGCTTCCAAGAGGATGAGGGGCAAGGAGTATTCAGGAATTTGAAGGGCTGTCATTGAGAAATTAGATTTATTCTGGGAAGCTTTAAAGGTCTGAGGTAGGACTAAGGGGTGGAGTTTGAAGAGCTGCAAATCTTGGTCCAATTTTTGGTAGACTGTTTCCCTATTAAAGTGACAGAGATGTGGCCCCATGAGGTGAGCTCTGGCAGTGTGATGATTAAGTAGAGGCTGGACTGCTGTAGGCCAGAATGTGGCTGCCAGATTTCAGAACCTCAAGGAGGCTGCACCGCCTGACGTCCAAGGATCCTTTCCACTTCAAGGTTTATGACCTTGGCAGAGAAAATAGGAAGGGAGAGAGCTCTGAGATTTACCGGATCAAATCCTTCATCAGGAGCCCCTCCTCTGGACTCAGCAGCAAGAGTGTGAGACTCACCAGACCCTGCTTCAGCTCTTGGGCCCATGTTGAGGCCCCTCAGTCTTCCAGGGAAACCTGGTCTCTAGACCCTCCCTGGAGGCTGTCGTTTAGCTGTCCAGCTTCAATGACTGGGTGACTTCTGCCCCTATAGGGAAAATCCACTCTTCTTTCTGCCCCAGTCCTCCTCCCAACAGCCAATCTATCCAGAAAGCTCTCCCTGCTGCCCTTCCCTGCCACCCCCAGTGGCTGTACCACCAAGTTGAGCTGCTCAGTGCCCTGCACACCTTCACATGTGCCGTCATTTCCTCATCGGAGCTGTGCTCCTGGAGGACACTCTCCCTGTCAATTCCTTTCTCAAATGCAAACACCCCACTCACTCCCAAGGTGCCTAGAATGGGATTTTTAACATCTCAGGAATTCACTGAAGTGAGTTAGCTGGTTTTTGTCATTTTAGAAAACGATTTCAAACAAAGATTTCTGAGAATTTCCATCTGATGGGAAAGACGATAGCTACTGAATGTTTGGCAGAGTTCCAAGTCAGTCTTGCTTTTTATTAATACTTGTGACAGCTGTACAAGGTGGAGGGTGCTTGCTGTTTCTCAGATGGTCACATGGCAGCTCAGAAAGATAAGCTCCCATGTCTAGGCAGCTACTACAGAAAGCTACCCCAGGCCTTTCTGTAGGGACAGTCCAGTGTCCTTTCTTGGCTTCAGATTGCTGCCCTCCGTCTGCAGAACAGGGACTAAATTTCATCGCCATTTAACTGGTGAGCATAATTCAAGCCTTCATCTCTGGTAGCAGCGAGGCTTAAGCTCTCAGAGCTATGAAAACGGAATCTGGCTGAAGATGTTGAGTGACTCTGGACCACGGCTCCCTCTTCAGCCGGTCACAGGCCACCCCAGCCTCCTCCCCGGAGTAGCAGGAGTGTTTCTGAGCCCTAGATTCTGTAGAGCTTGGTGCTGGGGGTTTTCCGGGGGAGTGTTCCGTCTTTTATCATAAACCTTGGCAAGGGGTGCGTGGGTGGGGCGCCACTGAAAGGCGCCTTTGTCCTCCTTCTGAAAGCCTGAAGGGAAAACGATGAAATCCCACAGAAGAGGCCGCTGGAGCCAGGCTGGGCAGGCGTGCTGGCTGCGGGGAGAACTGCGGGCTGGCCTTGCGATCTGGTTCTCATGTGGTCCCCTCTGCAGATGGCCTTGGGAAGAAACAAAGGCCTCCTTGAGGCCCCTGCCTGTGATGCGGACAGCTCATTTTCATTCTGCTGTGGTTTCCCGGGTGGCCTCGTTGAGCTTCACTGTTCTCGGGAGCCCTTTCCTTGACTACCCTTTGAACAGAGGAGAGCTATGCAAACACGCTGCGAGCGGCCTTGAGAGCCCGAGGAGGGTCTGCTTTCTGGGCCCCTGCAGAGGGCAGGGGTCGCGGGCTGGTGGTCTGCCCCGCCCAGAGAGAAAGGGCCTTGGCTTCCCCTCATTCTTCGTTCTGTGTTAGCTCTTTTTATTGCAAATAATTAATTAAAGTCAGTACAGCAAGAGTGGGAAAGTGGTTAATGCAATTGCCAGGTCCAGATTCAGAGGGATGAGGCGCCGAAAGGAAAGACAACCTTGGGATCGCTTCCACTTCCTCCACTTCGCACCGCATGGCCGGCAAGTTGGCGGCTCTCGCCTGCTCCCAGTTTTCCCGGAGTTGAGTATGGTTGACTCTGACTGGACCAGGTTGGGTCACGTGTCGGCCCTGAGCCAATCAGCTTGCCCAGAGAGATGATGCGCCCTGAGTGGTGGGTGAACCTGGTGATAGGCCCCAGAGTGGCCAGAGAGGAAGGGCATGCGCACACCATAGACATAGGCAACGTGGTGGACGACATGGGGGCTGGGCGGGGGTGCTGCTCACCCACCTTGTGCCCAGTGCTTTCCCTTCCCCTTGTCCATGGTCCCCTAGCTTGGGGAGAAAGCAGGGTGCTTGCTCTACCCGCCAGTGCTGTCTCGGGGCTGCAGGGAGTTGTGGCTGCCCTGCTTGCGGTCTTCACTCCCAACTCACTGTGGCTTTGCAGAGCTGGAGTCCGCCCTATCTGGGCTTGGGGGTCTGCTCCCTGAGAGCATTATTTGGTGCCCCTCGACTGTGTTGATTCAGAAATCTGGGACCTGTTGTTTCTCGACTAAATGTCTTATGAGATCAGTCTTTCTTTTGGAGGCAAACATTTTCGGAAGTTTTGGAACCATGATGATCTATGCCTCAGACACTTGTGGTCCCTGAGAAGCTGCTGCTGGAAAAAGGGGTCCCCATCCGGATCCCAGGAGAGGGTTCTTGGATCATGCCGGGAAGGAATCCAAGGCGAGTGGCAGAGCGCAGTGAAAAGAGATAGTTTATTGAAAGCTTCTCAGTTACATAGTAGGGCATCCTCAGCAAGAGGAGGAATGCCTCTGTTTTGTTTCTTTCTTATATAGGGGTCTTATCTATGTAAAAGCTAAGCTATGTCTCCCTGCGGGTAGGCTGACGAAGTGACATTTATTACTTTGTTGATTGAAAGAAAGCTATCCTTGGCATTTTAGTGCATAAGTACATCAAAGCATGCCTATAATCATCTTAAAAGCATATATTATGCAATATTGGGGCATCTGGACATTCTGTTGTTGCAAGAGTTTGTCTTTGCAGGTATTAAGCTACTTCGTCAGCTGTAAACATCTTATGACTGTGGGTCATGACTGGCAAGGAATGTGCCTTGCTAGTTTTAAGATGGAATTGATTCTAAAATGGTGTCACCATGGCTCCCCTACGCTCCTGTTCCCCTAAAAAAACCCTGCCGTAAGCGGACTTAAGGATAGCCTTGTCACCCTAGCAATGTGGCAGTGAATCTCTGCCAATAGCAATCTACAAATGTTAAAAACTTTTCTTTTTCTGGAAAAGTACTTTCCATGCATTAAGTATTCAAGTGCCTGTTTTCCTGGCACTGGGCTGGATGTATATGACATAAAATTTGCAGTATTGCTCCACCCCCAAACTGCTCTGCATTTTGGCCCTCCTCCATCTCTGATGGCTTTCTCTTCCCTGTGCTGCAGGGAACTACTGGAGACCACGTGCCGCCTGGCCAACACGCTGAAGAGGCATGGAGTCCACCGTGGGGACCGTGTTGCCATCTACATGCCCGTGTCCCCATTGGCTGTGGCAGCAATGCTGGCCTGTGCCAGGATCGGAGCTGTCCACACAGTCATCTTTGCTGGCTTCAGTGCAGAGTCCTTGGCTGGGAGGATCAATGATGGTGAGGAGGTGGGCATGGGGAGGGAGGAACCCTGGAGTTCCCTGATCCTTGTTCCTGGGGGCCTGGCCATCAGTGTAGAGACCATCAGAGTGCAGACATTAATGTCACACAGACAAATGACAGATCGTACTAGGGACAGGCACATGGCCGAATGAGAATTTGTTCTGTGGGCTGAGATCTGAGTGCATTGGATTTAGCCAGGTGAAAAAGGGACAGTTCCAGTTGGAGGGAACAGCAGAGGCACAGGCCAAGTGGAGGAGGAGCACAGCATGAGGGCCTAGTGCAGGTGGGTGTAGTGCGGCAGGAGGGAAGTGTGGAGGTGGGATAAGGCTGGAGATGCACAGGGAAGGTTCCACAGGTCAACAACTGGAAGGCTTCTATCCTGAGGAGTGAAGGTGTGGACCATATTTGGGGATCTGGAGTCAGGTGAAGGGGGTCTTTCTGTCTGCATGTGGGTCAGTGTGTTTTGGACATTGTGCAGAACAATAACTTCCTTGTTTTGCTGTTGTCAAAGGACTGAGTGTCTGGATGGTGGCCCTATGTCCATGCAGTCTGATCTCTGCACCCTGCTGTCTCCTAGAGGGAGTCCCTGAGCTGGCTTCGCAAGGCAGGTGCCAGGTTCTAGGTGCCATTGAGAATTCTTGTGCCTCATAGAAAATAGAACTAATGGGTAGAGTTCTCAGACTCCTGTTGACCTCCCTCTGTATAAAAGGCTGGGAAGCCCTTCCGCTTCCTTTCAGAGTTTCTTCCCCCACGTTCAAGGGTGATGCTGCTACCTCTTTCTCTTTTTCTTCCTCTCTCTAGAACTCTGTAATACCAACTGTGTACCAGGCACTGTTCTAAGCACTCTACAAAGGTTATGTCCTTTAATTTACCTTACTCTTCATAAGTATTTTATGCAATAATACTATTATTATTCCCCTCCCCTAAAATTACTGTTGTAACCATCTTAAAGTGTACAATTCAGTCACATTAAGTACATTCACAGTGTTATGCAGTCATCATCAGTATCTAGTACCTGAAGTTTTTCATCACTCAAAATGTACACTTTACACCCATTAAGCAGACATTCTCCATTCATCCATGTTGTGGCATGTATCGGTATTTCATATTTTTAATAGGTGAATAATATGCATTCATTGATGGCCATTTGGGTTGTTTCCATTTTTTGGCTATTGTGAATAGAGCTGTTATGAATGTTCATGTATAGGAACACCTGTTTTTAATTTTGGGGGTATATACCTATGAGTGGGCTTGCTGACTCATGTGGTAATTCCATGTTTAACTTATCAAAGAACTGTAAAACTGTTTTGCTAAGGAGATGCACCATTTTACATTTCCACTAATAGTGTATGCAGGCTCCAGTTTCTCTGCATCTTGTTGTTTTTCACTTTAAAAAATTACAGCCGTCATAGTAAGAATGAAGTTGTATCTCATTGTGGTTTTGATTTGCATTTCCCTAATGACTAATAATATTGAACATCTTTTATGTACTTGTTGGCCATTTGTATGTTTTCACTGGACAAAGTCTACTTAAGCTGTTTGCCCATATTTTAATTGCTTGCTTGTCTTTTTGTTGTTGAGTATGTAAGTTACTTATATATTCTGAATATTAGACCTCTATCAGATATATGATTTGCAAATATTCTCCCATTCTGTGGGTGGTCTTTTCACTTTCTCAGTAGTAAACTTTGGTGTATAAAAGTTTTAAATTTTAATGGAGTCTAATTTATCTATTTTTTATTTTGTTGCTTGTGTCTTTGCTGTATTATTTGAGAAAACATTGCCAAATCTAATGCTGTGAAGATTTTTTCCTATGTTTTCTTTTTTTTTTCTTTTTGAGATGGATTCTCGCTCTGTTGCCAGGCTGGAGTGCAGGGGCATGATCTCAGCTCACTGCAACCTCCGCCTCCTGGGTTCAAGTGATTCTCCTACCTCAGCCTCCCGAGTAGCTGGGATTACAGGCACGTGCCACTGCATCGAGCTAATTTTTGTAGTTTTAGTAGAAACAGGATTTCACCATGTTGACCAGGATGGTCTCGATCTCTTGACCTCGTGATCCGCCCGCCTCGGCCTCCCTGTTCGTATGTTTTCTTCAAAGAATTTAAGTTTTACCTTTTTACATTTAGATCTTTAATTTTGAGTTGATTTTTGTACAGGGTGTGAGGTAAGGGTCCAGTTTCATTCTTTGTCCTATGGCTATCCAGTGGTCCCAGCGCCATTTGCTAAAGAGGCTGTTCTTTTCCCTGTTAAATGGACTTGGTACTCTTGTTGAAAATAATTTGACCATATATGTGAGGGATTATTTCTGGGCTCTCTATCCTATTCCATTTATCCATATGATTACCTATGTATCTATTATTATCTCAGTATCAAACTGTTTTGACACTGTAGCTTTGTAAGTTTTAAAACCAGGAAGCGTGAGTCTCCCAACTTTGTTCTTCTTTTTTCAAGATTGTTTTGGCTCTTCTTGCTTTCTTGTATTTTCATAGGAATTTTAGGATTAGCTTTTCCATTTCTGCAAAAAAAGATGTTGGGATTTTGATTGCATTCAATCTGTAGAAAAATTGGAAGGTATTGCCATATTGACAATATTAATCCACAAACATGGGATATCTTTCCATTTATTTAAGTATTTTAAAATTTCTTTCAACAATATTTTGTGGTATTCAGTGTACAAGTCTTGCATATCCTAGGCTAAATTTATTCCTAAGTATCTTATTCTTTTATGAATTTTTATAAATGGAATTGTTTTCCTAATTTCCTTTACAGATTGTTCATTGCTAATATGTAGAGATACAGCAATTTTTGCATAGTGATCTTGTATATTGCAAATTTAATGATTTATTAGCTCTAATAAATAGTTTTTTTGTGGATTCATTAGGATTTATACATAGTAGATCATATCATCTCTGAATATAGTTTTACTTCTTCTTTTCCAATTTGGATGTCTTTTATTTCTTTTTTTTTTTTTTTTTTGCCTGATCACTCTGGCAACAACTTTGTTTACAATGTTGAATTGCAGTGGTGAAAAGTGGGCATCCTTGTTTTGTTCCTGATCTTAGGGGGAAGGCTTCAGTCTTTTACCATTAATATGATGTTAGCTGTGGGTTTTCAGATGCTCTTTATCCATTAAGTTCCCTTCTATTCCTAGTTTTAAGTGTTTGATCATCAAAGGGTGTTGGATTTTGTCAAATGCTTGCTCTGCGTCAATTGAGATGTGTTTTTTCCTTCATTGTAGTAGTGTGATGTATTACAGTGATTAATTGTTGCATGTTGAACCACCCTTCCTTTCCTAGGGTAAGTCCTGATTGGTCATAGTATATTCTGTTAATATGCTGCTGGATACAGTTTGCTAGCATTTTGTGGAAGAGTTTTGTATCATTGTTTATATGAGATATTTGTCTGTAGTTTTCTTTTCTATAGTAATCTTTGTCTGGCTTTAGTATCAGGGTAATGCTGGCCTCATAAAATGAATTTGAAAGTATCTCCTCTTCAATTTTTTGGAAGAGTTTGAGAAGGATTGGTGCTAATTCTTTAAATATTTCATAGAATTCACCAGTGAAGTCATCTGGTTCTGGTCTTTAGAAAGGGAAGAAGATGGGTAAACTGAGACACAGAGAGTTTAAGTGACTTACCTAAGGTCACATACCTAGTAAGTGACAGAGCCAGGAGTTGAACACAGACATTCTGCTGCCATAGTTGATGCTTTCAGCATTATGCTAAGCTGCCCCTTTTCTCTCTTGCTGGTGTGGCCATGGTCACCCAGTGCTTCTGTTGAGATTGTTTGAAACAAGCAATAGCAGTTGACTCTTGGTGACTTCATCATGTGGGGATTTAGTAGCTGGATGCTGGGGCAGCTCCCAGAACCTCAGAATTCCTAAACAACCAAGCATGGGAGGGCAGGGGCCATGACTCTGTCCTGAAGAGGACTCTGCCCTGATATCCTTCAGCCTTTTTGTGCAGCTCTGCAGGTACCAGGTTCCTGGGGACAAGATTCTGTTGAGATGGGTATCTGTGTCCTGTTGGGTCAATGAGGGGCTGTTTTGGTTTTCTATTGCTGTGTCACAAACTACTCCAAAACTTAGTGTTTAATAAAACTGAAAACAATAAATTTTAGTATTCTATTTCATGGGTCTGTGGGACAGGAATCAGATGGGGACAGGGGAATGGCTGTTTTCTGCTCCATGACATCTGGGACATTAGTCAGGTTGACTTGAAGGGTTGGGGACTGGTGGGCCTGTCTTTCTCTCCACGTGGCCTCTTCACATGGCTGACTTGGGCTTCCTCATAGCCTTGCAGCCTTAGCAGTCAGGCTTGTCACATGGCAGCACATGGCTCCAAGAGGAAGGAAATAGCAACTGCCAGTGTCCTACAGTCCAGGCTGGCACAGGCCTGGCATCACTCTTGCCTTACTAGATTGGCCGAACCAGTCCGTGGCCATTCTAGATTCAAGGGGAGGAGACCTGGATCCTGCTTCTCTATAAGAGCAGGTGAAAGAATGTGCAGCCATCTTCAGTTGGCCACTGGGAGGTGGGTGTATATTGTGAGTCTGACCGCTAGGCTCTCACATGTCTGGGCAGCCACCTTAGTCAGCAGGTGCAGTTCCAGAGTTCAGTCCCCTGGCCTGGCTTCCAGGGTTGGACCATCCCTCTTCATTTGTCTTCCCTCTTGCTTTAGGCTGCTTGAGGAGTGGAGAGTGTTGCAGGGGAGGGTAGAGGTCAGGAGAATGGCTTTGAGAGAGACTGTGGGGGTAGAATAATGACCCACTCAGATGGCCACACTGTAATCCCCCAGAAGCTGTGCTATGTCACTTGCATGGTGAAAGACTTTGCACATATGAATAAGGCAATAGGATATCCAGGTGGGCTCCATCTAATCCCACATCCTTAATGCACAGAACTTGCTCCAACTAGAGGCAGAGGAAGTGAAGCAGAAGGGGAGGTCAGAGAGATTCAAAGCAACTTTACCCGCCGTTGCTGGCTTTGAAGATAAACAGGGCCACGAACCAGGGCAGGTGGTGGCTGTAGTCGCTGAGAATGACCCCTGGCTGACAGTCAGCAAGGAAAAGGCGACCTTAATCCCTCAGTCGCGTGGAACTGAGTTCTGCCAACCACTGAAATGGCCTGGAGGTGGATACTCCCCCAGAGCCACCACATAGGAGCCAGCCCTGTCCTTGACTTTGGCCTTGTGAGACTCTAACAGAGAACCCCACCAAGCCTGTCCAGACGACAGAACTCTGAGCTAAAAATGAGTGTTCTGAGCCACTAAGTTTGTGGTCATTTGTTATGGAAGCAGCAGAAAATGAACGCAGATGCTGGTACCTGCTCAAAACCAGGGAGAGAAAATTGAATCCTCCCAGAGTGGCATGTGGTTCCTGCCAGCACCCATGCTGTGGCCCAGCCTTGGAGGGCGCCAGTGGGCCAGACATGCTCATGGTGCTCAGAAGCTCCTGGGTACTTCCTAGAGGACCTCCTGGAGAGCCTACTGGGCAGGGAGGCCCTGGACAGGTGCGAGTCAGGAGTGAGGTGTGCGCCTTGGGAGGTGGGGAAGGAACTGCCTGCTGTGTAGTGTGATTTCAGCATGTTGCATGGGCTGGGGTCATTGTATCGTGAGAGCTTCTGACCCCCATGAGCTTTCTTTGTCTCCCGTCCCCTTGAGAAAGGTTCATTCCTTCCTGCTGGTCCATCTCCCTTCCTCGCCCATAGGGGGCTTACCTGGACCAACCCCTGCTTGGGGATGTAGGTCTGGAAAGTCTCTGATAGGCTCCACCCAACTGACTTGGTTTCCCCAGGTGAGCTATCGCTGAGGCTTGAAGGCCAAAGAGTGTGTGTAGCCACGGCTCTTGGTGCCAGATGCAGGGGTGGCTGCATCTGGGCAGGTCTAGGGTATCTCTCTGACCCCCGGATGGTGCTGTGTGTGCTGGAAAATTCTCAGGGAACCCTCATGGCCATGACATCTCCAGGGCTCTTAGGAGGAGAAAGGGTGGGCCTGTTGTGCAAAAGTGCTTTCAGATTTATTTAGGTAGGACTCTCCCAGAGGGGACATTGAGGCCAGAGTCTGTCTTGGAAGTGTGGTAGGGCAGTGGTGGCTCTGGACGGGAATGTGGCACACATGCCTCAAATGGCTCCATGCAAAGGGTAGGGAGTTGCAGGATTTGTACCCCAATTATGGAGAGCCATTGGTCGAGGGTTCCCCAGCACTTCTGCCCATAGCTCTGCAAGAGGCCTTTGGTGCAGAATGACTGAAAGGCCCAAGGGATGTGGGTGAGGCCCTGCCAGTCAGGGTCACAGCTGGGCATTTGTCCCAGGCTCTTCCTGAGGGGCTGTGTAGTAACCCCCCGCAGCTGTGATCCCTCTGGGTCATCCCGCACTGGGGCACAGCGTGGAGGACACCTCCTTTTCCTGGGGTCTTGAGGCCCACTGTGCGTGCACCCCTCTTCTCTGCTCTGGGCCTACCCCTAGGTTAGCCATGGAAGCTAGGGTCCTCCTGGCTTCCCCCTGGGCCTGGCTGAGCAACATTGGTCATTGAAGAGCAGGTGTGGGATCAGGAGGGCCTTCTCCTGAAGGTAAGGTGGGCAGGCAGCTCCCAGTCATCCACTGGGGTGTGGTTTCTGATCTCTGGACAGTGAAGGCTCTTGGCCCACACAAGTCACTCTAGACAGGGCCTGGCCACATGGGACACCTTTGGGCTTGGCCTCTGGTTGTCCAGCTTTCTTGTTCTCTGCCTCTCGGTATTTCTCTGTCACCTTGATTGCTGCAGGTGGCATGATGGCCTCTTTCCTGGGGTTTGCTCCTGGGCAGACAGGAGAGAAAGGTGGAAGTCTGGTTGGGAAATTGTCTTTATGCTGCTGACTCAAGGAGGAAGAGCTGAGCTTCAAAGTAATTTATCTCTGGTTCCTTCCCCTCAGCCTCAGAACTGGACAAAGGCCTGGTGCTTCTTCATGGCACACAAAGGCTGGAGAGCAGGCAGCCCCTCACTTTTTCCATTGAGTCTTTTACTCAAGATTGGACTGAGTTTCTCACACTCCTAGGCCTGGATGTCCTATGTGAGTCAGAGCTATGAGGGTTAAAGTCGGGAGGAGACTGATCAGAAATGTCTGTGTTGTCTCTGTTAGCCAAGTGCAAGGTGGTTATCACCTTCAACCAAGGACTCCGGGGTGGGCGCGTGGTGGAGCTGAAGAAAATAGTGGATGAGGCTGTGAAGCACTGCCCCACCGTGCAGCATGTCCTGGTGGCTCACAGGACAGACAACAAGGTCCACATGGGGGATCTGGACGTCCCGCTGGAGCAGGTGGGTTACCTCGCTTTGCACAGTTTGAGGCGAGGTCATATCAAGTTAGCTGGCTCTGAGGCTTCTCGGGTTGTGGTTCTCAATTTGGGTTCCCTAGAGGTGCCCAGGGTTCCTCTGTGGTATTTGGTGAGCTTGAGTCCTGACTGGGAAGATAAAACTCCTATACGACAAGCATGTTGGAACACTTACTGTAACACAAATGCTTGCACCCACGCTTTTGTTTTGTGTCCTTTCCACATTTGGAATTGAACTTGGACAGGTCAGAGCAGGTGAATTCTGAATCCTGTGTGTGGAGTCCTGCTGCGGAGGGGGAGTGCTGCTCTCAGAGAGGCTGAGTGCCCTCGGTGGGCTGTTTGTTTCTTCTCCCTGCCAGGAAATGGCCAAGGAGGACCCTGTTTGCGCCCCAGAGAGCATGGGCAGTGAGGACATGCTCTTCATGCTGTACACCTCAGGGAGCACCGGAATGCCCAAGGGCATCGTCCATACCCAGGCAGGCTACCTGCTCTATGCCGCCCTGACTCACAAGGTACAGGCCTGTGCGGGCGGTGCTGGGCCCTTGGCAGGGATCCAGGCAGGGGCAGGGCTGGAAGTCCTCCTGCTGCAGAGCGAGGCCTGTAGGTGTGAGAGGTCAGTGTTTCTTCCTGGCCTATTCGGGGCAGGGCCCCCTCGAGTCCTCCCACCCTACAGCTCCTCAGGGCCCTGGCTGCCTCAAGCCCCCACTGCACTGTCTGGAAACTCCCAGATAATCTGATCATGTAACGCGGCAGCAGGACACTAAGGGCCATTCGCCCAAAGATTTTTAAAAACTCTTTTTAGAACAGATAGAGAAAACCACCCAAATTAAATGCATGGCTTAATGAATTATTATAAGGCAAATGCCACTTTGATCAAGAAGTGGAAGGCCACCGGTTTCTCAGAAGCCCCTTCCAGGCCCATATGGCCACAGCCCCGTCCAGCATGTCTTGATGTGTCTTGTGCGCCTGCCCTGTTTTTATTTTGATAGTTTTGTGACCCATATGAGCATCCGTGGGCACTGTAGCTTACTGTTGCCAATTAAAATATTGTTTTTTCTTTTGTTTTGTTTTGTTTTGTTTTGTTTTGTTTTTTCATGGAGTCTCACTCTGTTGTCCAGGTTAGAGTGCAGTGGTGTGATCTCAGATCACTGCAACCTTTGCCTCCTGGGTTCAAGTGACTCTCCTGTCTCAGCTTTCTGAGTAGCTGGGATTACAGGCACCTGCCACCACACCCTGCTAATTTTTTTTTGTATTTTTAGTAGAGACAGGGTTTTGCCATGTTGGTCAGGCTGGTCTTGAACTTCTGACCTCAAGTGATCTGCCCGCCTTGGCCTCTCCAAGTGCTGGAATTACAGGTGTGAGCCACCGTGTCCGGCCTAAAATATTGTTGATATGTGTTTTAAGTCTTTTTAAGCCTATGCTCCCCCATTTCCTTACACTTGGCCATAGTCACATCCAGCCATTTTTCTCTGGTGTCCTTTGGTCTGGGTTGTGCCTGTTGTCCCTCTGCCTCTGTGTTTCCTGCACGTGGGCAGTTAGATCCTGAGATGGGATCAGGCTCCACTCAGTTGCTGTGGAAGAATAAAGGGGATTCGGATGTCTGTCCTCTCATGCTCCTCGAAGCTGATGATGCTTGATGCCATTCTTGGCCTTTTTTGCTTTTATTTTTTGTAGTTCTTAAGGGGTTTAAAAAATCGTGGCATAAGGTAATGCAAAAAGGTGTCCATGTGTTAAACGTACAACTAGACGGACTCTGCAGTGTGCCCACCTGTCCTGCTGCTGGAGGCCATTTGAGGAGCCAGCTGCCTCTCACAGCTATGGACTGCAGCCTATGCATGCCTATTTCCTAGTGACCTGGTGTGAACATGGTGGAGTGGGGGGACAAGCTCCTGATGCTCCTTTCCTGTCTCTGCAGCTTGTGTTTGACCACCAGCCAGGTGACATCTTTGGCTGTGTGGCCGACATCGGTTGGATTACAGGACACAGCTACGTGGTGTATGGGCCTCTCTGCAATGGTGCCACCAGCGTCCTTTTTGAGAGCACCCCAGTTTATCCCAATGCTGGTAAGGATGGTGAACCCTGTTTGGGACCCCATGCTGGTGTCAGGGGAGAGAGCCTGAGGCTCGAGGCTTGTGGAGAGGTTCATGGAAGGGGGACGCCTGGGTTCTGGTGAGGGTGTGGCTCTCCAGGTCCTGCTGTCGAAATGCCCGGTGGGGCCAGGCCCCAGGTCTTCAGAAAGATCTGACAGGCAGCAGCAGGGAGTCTGACTTGGTGCTGGAGGACATCTCAAGGCCCCTGCTCCTGCACTCCTGCCCTCTGACTTAAACTGCCGGCCTCAGGCCATCGCTTTGGCATCCTTCTCACCTCTAGGCTGCTTGCCCAGATCCAGCCCTTTCTCAAAGCCAGGGCCAGCTGCCCGCCACTTCTGTGTCCCCAGCCCTGCCCCTGAGCCTTCAGGGCTGTCCCTCAAACCATGTTAGGCATGGCCTAGAACCATCTCCATTAAATTGAGATCACTTTGAAGACAAGGTGATGACTGGCTCCCTTGGGCATCGTCCTCCCACACAGCACAGTGTCTTCAAATATTTTCTTTAATGTAAGCAGATCATGGTGGCTCTGCCCAAAGGCTGCTGCTCCAGTGTTCCATGGCACTGACAACTGTGCATGGACTGTGTTATCACCTCCCAGTGCTCCATCCCTGCCTTTGGGGGCTGGGTGTGCTCAAGGAAGAAGTTGTAGGGGCAAGACCAGGGATTAAGGGCCATGGCCCAGGTGCTGTCTCAGGCCACCACTTCAGCCCTTAGAAGCTCAGTGTTCCATGTGGAGGGGATGGTGTGGGTAGTGGGTTTACAGGAACCAGGGGTGTGCATGCCGGGCACATGGCCCTGCTCCCTGGGACACACGCAGTGGCAGCTGTACTGTCACCAGGGGAAGCACCAGTCACCACTTTAGAGCCCATGTGAGTGTGATCGAGTGAAAGCTCTGTGTTAATGCTCCATGGGTTATTAAATCCACGTAGTATCACCTTGAACTAGGCCATCACCCTAAGCCTGGTGAAGACTGTTCCTGAATGTGCCGCCCATGGATCTGGGGAGTGCTTGGAGGAGAGCGGCCATTGGGGACCTGTCCCATGGGGCTTCTTTCCATCTTTCACTGGCGGGGGTGGGGGGTTGGGGGGATCCCTTTCATATGGACATATGCGCGTCTGCACATGCCCAGCACTCAGGAAGTCTTGGCTGATCTCTGAGTTTAAAGTAAACCATGTCAGCTCTCCTGCTGACAGTGAATTTCGGCCTTTCTGTAGGTCGGTACTGGGAGACAGTAGAGAGGTTGAAGATCAATCAGTTCTATGGCGCCCCAACGGCTGTCCGGCTGTTGCTGAAATACGGTGATGCCTGGGTGAAGAAGTATGATCGCTCCTCCCTGCGGACCCTGGGGTCAGGTGAGCGGCCTGCCCTGCAGCAGGAGAGGTTGTGCTTGCCCTAGACCCTCAGAGCCAATACGGGCTTCAGCAGGACTTCAGTCATGAAGCTGCCCGGCTTTGTATGTGTGAATTCACGCAATGCCAGACCGGATCTGGTAGAAAGCACCAGCACCTCTTCCCACCTGTAAGCTCCTCCCCAGAGCTGGCAGCAGTTACCTGTCTGGGGAACAACGTTCCAGACATTTTCTGTGCCGTTGTTTCTGTGCCCAATTTCTGTAGCTTAATCTTCATTAGGAATACTTACCCACTCAATAAGTTAAGGGTCAGGTCAGTTCTTTAGTGGCTGCATGGGATTTAACTGTATAACTTAGCTGGGTGTGGTGGCAAAGGCTGAGGTGGGAGGATTGCTTGAGCCCAGGAGTTTCAGGCTGCAGTGAACTAGGATTGCACCACTGCGCTCCAGCCTGGTGACAGAGTGAGACTCAGTCGTCTAAATAATAGTAATAATAGTATAACTACAGTTTGCTAAACACTGCCCCATAGTTGGACCTTTTGATTGTCTCCAAGTCTGTGGAGTGGATACCATCCTGCACTTTTGCCCTGCTGTTACTGTAGACATTTCCAGGCAGACAGTTCAAAGCTTAGGCCTATTGGTAATGTTGATGGATATTGCCAAATCACATGGAAACATTTTGGAAATGTGATGGTGGCATGGTTTCGACAGTATCAGCAGTGTCTGTCTTTCGGGCTGGTGCTGGGAGGGACTGGGTGCTGGTGACTGCTGTTCTCTCTCCTGTCCCTGCCACATTTCATGTCTGCCTTGACGTGTGGTCACGCGTGGTCAGCCACCTGCTTGGTGGCTTTTCACTGGGGAAGCATGCAGGGCAGTGACCATGGAAGAGTGTCCCATTCTGCCACATACATCCTTGGGAAGGGAGCATGTACCTCCCAGTGAACATGTGATTCCACTACTACTGGGTGACCATGAGGCCATGCGGGCATCCGGGCCACAGGCTGAGAGGCACAGCAGCTGGGGCTGTGCCCTGCAGAGCTCACCACTTGTTCCCAAATGTGAGATGGGGATGAGACCTACCTACAGGGTGGCGAGGATGCCACAGAGGGTCAGATGTGAGCCTTAGTATAATGTTCAGCATGGAGATGATTAATGGAGAGAGCTCCTGAGGAATAGCAGGCATCCAATGACTCCTCCTCCTCTTTTCCCTTATTTTCCCCATTAACAGTAAAAACCTTCTGTTTCTCAACCAGCTTTCTAGATTAAAAAGCAGGAGGAGTTTGAATACTATTAATAAGAGCAAATATGTATTAAATGCCTTTATCTTCACATCAGTCCTTTGAGCAAACAGCAGATGTTGTTTCACATTACAGAGAAGGAAGAGGAGGCACAGAGAGGTCAGAGAACCGGCCTGAGGTCACTCAGCAAGTAGGGCAGCCTGTGTTGAACGCAGCACTTGGTTCTAGAGTCTGTAAAACTCACTCTGCCCCCCACCTGATTGATGGGCTCTGTGCCCCCACCCTGTACCCTCAACAGGTCCCTTGCCATACTGTCCCCTCCACCTCTCAGAAAGAGTATGGGGTTCCTTTCTAGATGGTGAATCTTAGTTTGCTTTGTGCTGCTGTAATAGAATACCCTGAAACTGGGTGATTTATAATGAACAGAAATTTATTGGTTCACATTTCTGGAGGCTGGGAAGTCCACATCAAGGTGTTGGCATCTGGTGAGGGCCTTCTTGCTGCATCGTCCCATGGTGGAAGGGCAAAGAGAAGGCAAGAGAGAGCAAGAGGAGGTTGAACTCACCCTTTTATAATGGCACCAATCCCACTCATGAGGGTGGAAACCTCTTGGCATAATCACCTCATAAAGGTTCCACCTCTTAATACTGTTACAATGGCAATTACATTTCAGCGTGAGATTTGGAGGGGACAAACATTCAAACCATAATAAGTGGTGAGTTTGGGTGGTCTCTCTTGGCATGCTGGAGCTGGGCTTGAGAGGCCCGTGTGATTCTGACTGCCTGGGCCATGTAGTGCTTGTGGACTGGGAACAAACAGCGGGGTGGCCAGGGCCATAGAAACTCGCCCAGATCCTCTAGGTGTTGTCAGCAGGGCCACCTGAGTGGGCCCTAGGCATTAGGTGGGGACAGGGCTGAAGGGCAAGATTTGGTTTTCCAGATACACTCATGGGATTTGTCTCCTGAAGGAAGGTTCACGGGGTCCAATGACAAGGGGTACCGCCCTAAGTGCATTTCAGGAAGGGGTGTGCTCTGGCAGCTGCATTAGAGTGGGATGTGTATCCCAGCAGCCTCTGCCTCACCTAGGGGTCCCCACAGACTTGGAACACCTCTGAGCCAGGGGGCCAGCCCCCAGCAGAGGCTCAGCTGGGTTTTGTGTATTTAGCTGGTTGATAGGCACATTCCTATTCCTGTTGCATAACCGGTTCTAGCCGCAGAGCCCTGCGGGAGGCCAGGTGCTAATCACACACCTCGCTGTTCTGTTCTCGGTATACAGTGTTGGCAGGCAGCGTGGCGTCTTGTGATGTCTTGCACCTGGGGCTCCCAGCACCTCGGAGCAGTGCTGGGAGTCAGTGTGTTCCACACCTTGGCCAGGGCCAGCGCTGTGCTGGCACACCTGTCGGTGCAATTCCACAGCCCAGACCCATTCCAGGCAGCTGGGATCAGCCCTCATGACATTTAATCCGTTGAGTCGTCAGAATCCCACTCACTCAAGACATTCCCCCTAGATTTGTATTTCTCAAAGCTTTTTTAAACTTTCAATTTCATAAGTAATACATGGATACACTCTTGTGAAAAGAAGAAATTGGAGCATTGTACTTAAAGCTGATGTCCTTAGGAGCTGGGCGTGGTGGTACGTGCCTGTAGTCCCTCGGCTACTTGGGAGGCTGAGATGGGAGGATCCTTGAGCCCCAGAAGTCGAGGTTGCAGTGAGCCATGATCATGCCACTGCACTCCAGTCCAGGCAACAGAGCAAGATCCTTGTCTCTCTCTCTCAAAAAAAAAGAAAAAAAAAAAAAGCTGAAGTTTTCCTCGACCTCTGCTCCAGGGGTTGTTGCTCCTGCGCCTTCGGCCCTGTCTCTGCAGTTAAGTTCCTGTAGTGGATGCAGCTCTGTTAAATGACGTTTTCTTTAACACCAAAGTTACCACACCGTGCTATGATGCTGTAATGTTTCTTTTAAGATTGTAGAATCTGCATTTTTCCACACGGACCTGCTTTGCCGTGGGGATTACCCTGGCTTGTGTGGTCACAGCCCCGTGGCTGGGTGCAGGCTGTCGCAGTCTCCCAGCGTGTCCACCAGCGCTGCGGGGCATCTCCCTGCCCCTTGTGGATGTTCTGAGTGCAGGTGTGACACACAAGACACTGAGCTGCCAATGTGGCCAGCACTGATCATGCAGCATGGATGCGGGGGCCACTGCTGGGACAGGCTGTGGGTTGTGAGTGGTCCTGAGCAAGAGGCAACCACCAGCACGAGAGTATTTCAGTGTTTTAGTGATAGCACGTCTAGCCTGGTGAGTTCTGGCTGAGTGCTGGCCTGGTGTGGAAATGTCATAAGGTAGACACTGAGAATCCTAGGGTGTACACATATCTTCTTCCTTTCTATTGAGATATAATGTGTACTAAAGGGTACAGATGTTAAGTGTTCAACTTGAGAGATGTTTACGTGTATAAGTGCTACAGAAATTCCTAGTCCCCAGAGGCCCCCTTATGGCTCCTCCCAGTTACGAGAGTTACCCGAACCATGACCACAGTGTGGCCTGCATCACCACGGACAGATCCGGCTGCACTTGAACCTCAGCTGGGTGGGATCACACAGCACACCCCTCCCTTGCCCAGCGTCATGCTTCAGACTCACCAGTGCCGCTGTGGGTCGTGGAGGTTCGCCATCTTCTTTGCAATGTGGCGTTCCTCTGCAGGAGCGTGCCATATTGTATTTAGCCACCTACTCCTGAGGGATGTGTGTGGTTTCTAACATGAGCAGAGCTGCTGAGGACACCCTTTACATAGCCACTTCTGGTGGCATCTGCAGTCATTTCTGTGGGGTGTACGTCAGGGGTCATGTTTTGAGGTATTTAGCTGTAGTAGATTCTGCCCCAAGCAGTTGCTCAGAGTAGTTGTATTGGTTGTATGGAGTTTTAAATGTTAAGAGAAACATCCAGATTGCTCCTCAAAATTGCTGAACCAAACTATCCTCCTAATGGTGTCTGTGAAATCCTGTTTTCCCCACATTCTTACTGGCTTTTTGATATCCATCATCTAATGGTAAAAACACATCATGGTCATGTGCATTTCTTTGATGACCATAAATACGGTATGTCTCACTGCATTTTCAGGTCTCCTTGTATGTTCTTCAAAAATAAAAATCACGGAGCTGTTTTCTCCTTAAAAATCTCTTTATTTGGCTGGGCACAGCAGCTCACACCTGTAACCCCAGCACTTTGGGAGGCCAAGGCAGGTGGATCACCTGAGGTCAGGAGTTCGAGACCAGCCTGGCCAACATGGTGAAACCCCGTCTCTACTAAAAATACAAAAAATTAGCCGGGTGTGGTGGCAGGCGCCTGTAATACCAGCTACTCAGGAGGCTGAAGCAGGAGAATCGCTTGAACCTGGGAGGTGGAGGTTGCAATGAGCCAAGATCATCCTGGGAGACAGAGTGAGACTCAGTCTCAAAGAAAAACAAAAACAAAAAACAAAAAACAAAACTTCCCTTTGGTTTCAGGTTTATTTGCAGCCTGTTAACATCTTTTTCTTTCTGTGTGGTTTCAGTGGGAGAGCCCATCAACTGTGAGGCCTGGGAGTGGCTTCACAGGGTGGTGGGGGACAGCAGGTGCACGCTGGTGGACACCTGGTGGCAGACAGGTGAGGAGGCCTGGGGAACAGGTTCCGGTCTAAGTGCTGGGTCTGCAGGGTCAGGTGTGAGGCTGGGACTGGGGTCCAAGCTCTCAACAGCAGGTGCGATAGAAGACGCTTCAACGCCCGAGACTGCGGAAACCCTGGAGCCTAGAGTGAGGGAACTCAGAGGTCGCCTGGCTGCTGTTTCCCACCTGTGGGACCTCTTGTCACAACTTCTCTGAGGCTCGGTTTCCTCCTTTGTGAGGTGGGGGCGCCCCCCACACGCCTGGGTGAGGGTGAACTGAGGTGACACAGCTCAGCTTGCTGCCCAAGGCCTGGTGTGCAGCAGGAGCTCAGGGGCCGTGTCCCTTCCTAGTGCCCCTTTCTGAACAGGGGAACATCTGATGAGACAGGCCCCATCTTCTAAGGGAGCATGAGTCTAAATTTAAATTTTAGTGGGAAAAGGAATTTTTCCTGTGACATTTTGTTTGGATTTGTCCCCCCTTCTCTTGGGTATCTGACTTATTAGGAGGCTTGGGGCGAGAGACCACCATAGATGTAATGAATGTAACTATCTGAGGGCTCATCCTCAAGCCAGAAAATGAGGCGTTCCCATGGGACAGTCCCATCCATTCAGGAAAACCTGGGACAGAGATTCTCTAGCTGAGTCACTGGGGCATTTCCCTGGTACAGGCTGGAAATAATGTGAGGGTAGGATTTGAGAGCATCTTTTTTCGTTGTTGGGTTCATGTCAAATGGGCGCTGGCCCAGAAGCAGTTCTTTTTCTCCGTCTTCATGTGCAAGTGGGTGGGCTCTGCCCTTTCCCACTTCAAGCAAGGGCCTGACATGGCGAGGGGGCCTGCACCTGGCTGTGGGATGCCAGAGCTCCTGGGGCTGAGGCCACTGTGGGGCCGCCTCTCATATCCACAGTGGAGGGCACCAGACCCACATCTGGTTTGCCTCAAAGATCGTTGTGCCCCTGAGGCGTTTCCTTGCCCACAACAGGGACAGTCCCACCTACCACCCACTCTGGATACACGTATCCCTGGGTCCGGGGCCGATTATGCATTTCTTTCTTGTCATACCTGCAGAAACAGGTGGCATCTGCATCGCACCACGGCCCTCGGAAGAAGGGGCGGAAATCCTCCCTGCCATGGCGATGAGGCCCTTCTTTGGCATCGTCCCCGTCCTCATGGATGAGAAGGTGTGTATGGGCCTCCCCCACATGGGGGTCATGTGCTTGCCCTCCCTTGTCCCTGCCTGCCCAGCCCAGCTCTCTCCTGTGTGCCCAGGTCTGTACCTGGCAGGAGGCTGCTGACCTTGCAGCGTTCACTGCAGCTGGTATCATGCACTGGGTAGTGGCCACACAGGTGGCTTGGGGCCCTCCTCAGGGGCAGAGGGGAGAGCTATGGACAGCTCCCTTGAGGGCAGGGCTTGTCATTTTTTGGCACACTTCTCACCCAGAGCCTGCCCTGTCTCACTTGCATGTCCGGGGTCTACAGGGCAGCGTCGTGGAGGGCAGCAACGTCTCCGGGGCCCTGTGCATCTCCCAGGCCTGGCCGGGCATGGCCAGGACCATCTATGGCGACCACCAGCGATTTGTGGACGCCTACTTCAAGGCCTACCCAGGTGAGCAGGCTGTCAGGGACCCTCTCATTCCTTTTCAGCTGACTGCTGGAATCTTATTCTCAGAAAACATTTTTAATGGGATTTGAGTGCAGCGTAACACTGTGGCCAGGAATAGGTGCTCGCGAGGCCAGAGTTTGACTCCGCACCCCTCTCCCTTTGCTGTACCTCCCTGGCTTTCCTTATCTTGACAGTGGGAGTGATTCCCCACTCGGGGACTTTCTTGGGGCTACTTAGGTGTGGGTGTGAAGTCCTGCACTGCAGCCAGGCCCATGGTAGGATCCTGTTAGCTACGGCTGGGAGTTTTCTTCCAGTTTACTTTTATTTTTTCCCAGTTTCCCTTTTTGTCGTAAACAAGACTCAGTGTTTTGGAGAAGCATCTTGGATGTGCTGCTTGTATACCTTCTGCTCCCCAAAGTCTCGATATCTCGGAGCCACCTGCCCATGCTCTAGAACATAGGGAAGCATCGGAGTTGCAAGGAGGGCCGATGGGCGAGACTTCAGCCGCGTGCTGGGCTGCAGAGCTTCACGCTTACTGAGGTTGGGACATGGGTCCTGGCTCAGGGTTCCTGGTGCTGAATTTCCCTGCTGTGGTGCAGGCTATTACTTCACTGGAGACGGGGCTTACCGAACTGAGGGCGGCTATTACCAGATCACAGGGCGGATGGATGATGTCATCAACATCAGTGGCCACCGGCTGGGGACCGCAGAGATTGAGGACGCCATCGTGAGCACAGGCTGGGCCTCCTCCTTCACTCCTACACCTCCATGATGCCCCTGTGGACCTGCAAGTTGGGGTGGGAGTCCCTGGCCCGAGTCACTTCTAGCACCCGGGGCCGCCACATTTTGCCCTTTTGTTCTCTGTTGTACACAGGCCGACCACCCTGCAGTACCAGAAAGTGCTGTCATTGGCTACCCCCACGACATCAAAGGAGAAGGTGAGTGTCCTGGAGATGAGCTCCTCCCTGATTCCTGACCCCACACCCATTATGGGCACCTCTGTACGAGGAGCAGACTCTGGAGAGTGGAGTGATAGGGGATACTGTGGGCCAAGCTCTCAGTGTTCTTCTCTCTCAAGTGGAAACTGTAGGGGAGGAGGCTGAATAGCACTCGTGTTCGGTCGGGTTTCTGAAATGCCCTGGTTCTGCTGTCCTTTCAGGACACACATCCACAGTGGCCATGACCCAGTTGGGCTTGGCTAAGCTTGGGGGGTTTCCCCTTCTGTCCATGGTGTATCTGGTGGGGACACCGTCCAGCCCCATTACAGAGAGTTTATGAGAAAATGTCCAGCCTCATGTATCCTCACGGGCTTGGTCATAGCACTCAAGCCAGCTCTGCAGCCGCCACGCGTGTGTGCCAGAGTGTGCTCTGGAGTGTGCAGGCTGTGTGCTGCGCTGGGACTCTTTGGACGAATCTGACCTGTGGTTCCCACTGCACAGCGACATGCTGGGGGAATGCAGAATGAGGGACTAGAATGGCCTTTACCAAGGCCACGCTTTGTTTCGAGTCTGCCAGCTTCTTGGTGGCTGGGTCTGGGAAGGGGCGGGAGCACCTAGGTGTTGCAATGCCAGGTCCATCCAGGCACACTGCCTGGCCTGGCGTGACCTGGACACACACTGACCCCATGCCAGGGCACTGCTGGGCAGACTGGCTTCTCCTGCCCTGCCCAGTGGCTTGGGGTCAGGCTTGCCCTCCCGCTGGGAGGCCACCCTGTGTCACAGTGTGTCCCAGATGTCACCTTCCTCCCTGCACTTCTATGTGCCGTTATTCCATTATTTACTTAAATGCTCTCTTTAAATTGACGCATTGCAAGATTGAGAATTTGTTTCAGTGCTTTACAAACAGCATTTTCAGTTGCCATGGAAAGGCTATGCTGGTAAGGCTGGGATGTGGGAGAGAGCTGGTAGGGACCCCTGCCCGGTGACATGTCCAGATGTGATCAGGAGGGTCAGAGAGGACGGAGACGAGGACAGTTTCTCAGGTGTGACTAGGGTAACTTAGTGCCCCCCTGAGGTTACCTCGCTCTGGCAGGAGCCTGGGCCCCTCCTCTGAGGACTCCTGCATTTCACATCTCTGGGCTGGGGGTCCACAGGGCACTGACGTGTCCTGGGATTTGAAAGCCCCATCTATGTCTGAGTCCAGTGGCTGAGCCAGTACTCCCTGGGGCCACTGAGAGGGGTCCGGGCATGGTCCACTGTGTCTGGGGATTCAGCAGCCCCTGGATTGAACTCCATAAAGCAAGTGCAAGATCAAGGAAAGGACAATGGAAGTGACCTTTAGACAAACGTTTGGGCATCACAATCACTGTCTTTCATAGGGTGGCCTAGCCTTAGGTCTGTTGGGGTGGTGTTGGGGCATGGTCTGCTGTGGACGCTGCTGCCCAGGGCACGTTCTGCGTGTGTGGAGCTATTGCAAGTCTGGTGTTGCCAGGCTTCTTAATGTCTGCCAGATGTGTGGGGATAATTTGTCTATCATGTGTATGATGATGTGCATTTTCCTGATTTCTAATGAATTTGAGTATCCATTCTATAATTATGAAGAGCTGATGAACAGCTCTTGGTTGGCTCTAAAGCTGCCTGTGAATATCGTATATTTGTCCCCACTCTCTCTGTTTTGCAGCAGCTCTGAAAAAGGGCAGCCCCTGGACCTTGTCTAGGACCTAGACCCAGCAAGCCTCTGGTGCTGCTGGCCAGGCTCTTGTCTCTCTTGTCTCCAGTGTCCTGAGCCTTGCCTGCCTCGTCCTGGCTCTTAACTGGCTCCTCCACCCATGTGGAAGGTTTCCTCCCTCCAGCTCCATCCTCAGAACTCAACAGTCCAGGCCCACTTCTGATCCCATATCAACGACCAAGATGAGAAAAACGGTGTTCTTTCCCTCAAAGATCTAACAGCCTAGTGGGGTGGCAGCAGGGGGACTGACAGCTGTTCCCACATAGCATGTGCCATAAACTAGATTCATGGGTGGAGTCAGGAAAGGCTTCACAGAGCAGGAGGTGGCTGAACTGAGTCTTGAGGGATGAATAGGAGTTCGCCACATGGATATAGGAAGGCCTTTCAGGCAAAGGCTGTAGGTCTTTACAGATCATAGCTTGTTCAGAAAACCAATCATCCATTCATGCACTTAACAACCATGTGTTGAGCACCTCCTGTGTTCCAGGCATGGTTCTAGATGCTGGGGACACAGCAGTGAGTGAGAAGGTCTCTGACCCCATAGAGGGGTCAAGAGTAGAGGAGAGAGACAGACAAAGAGCAAGAAAGATGATCACCAAGGAAACGACACAGTCAGTTAGGTGCTACATGCCAGGGAAGAATGGGTGAAGGTGGCATGGGGCTGGGGCAGATGAGCAGTAGGAGAGCCACACATATATAGAAGCTTCGAGGGAGAGACAGAGCACCTCACAGGCCAGTGGGGACGGGCAGGCTATCAGGGATGGCACCGGGATGAGCAACTCCTTATATGGACAACAATCAAATTAGATCCCTCTTCACAGTGTGAACTCTTCCTGGAACATGCCAGGGTACTGAAAAACGAAAGCTAGTATTTATGCTATAATGTGGGCTGGCCCGTGCTGCCCAGCAGAACTCTCAGCTGCCTCTCAGCTGTCTGTGTTGTCCAGGGTGGCAGCCTCTGGCTGCTCATGGTGCTGAATGGCACTTGAAGTGTGGCTCATGCAGCCAGGGAGCTGCTGATTTAATTGAACTGAAATAGCTACCCTGGCCCATGGCACCATGTTGCACACACACCCCCAAAGGCTGGTGGTGCCCATTTGCTGTGCATCTGTGCACCTTCTCATGGAAGTCTCATTCCATCAAACCACATTATGGGTTATTTCACAGATGTGTACACAGAGAGGGGAGGTCCCATGTCCCAGGTCACACGCAGCCAGTCAGCATTAGAGCTGAGATGCCAAGCTCTCAGCCACACATGTGCACTCACCTGGAACATCTGTGGAGCTGTTAGAATCGCTGCCACTTTTCATGAAACTGAAGTGCATCTTTGGGTTTGCAACTAAAGAAACCAGCTGCTACAATGTCACTAACATAGGATTCAAAAGCCCTTCGGATTTCTGGCAGTCTGTGCATAGCACCCTGCCTCGGGAGTTGGCTCCTTGTCTAGTATTTAATACATCCCCAAACTTGGCTTTATTTTCAGCTGCCTTTGCCTTCATTGTGGTGAAAGATAGTGCGGGTGACTCAGATGTGGTGGTGCAGGAGCTCAAGTCCATGGTGGCCACCAAGATCGCCAAATATGCTGTGCCTGATGAGATCCTGGTGAGTGGGCCTCCCACAAAGATGGGGCTGTGCTGCTGTTCTTCCCACAATTGTCAAGTGACAATGATCTTTTAGGAGCATATTACTCTTTTCCAATTAGCATCAAAACGGACACTAGCTGTTTGGTTTTCCTGGCTGGTGGTGAGGATGGTGGGTCTCTGTGTTGTCATAGAGGGAGAAGTGAGCTCAGCCAGCTTACTTGTCCAGGAGGTCGCCTAGGCAGGTTTCCATGCTCAGTGGGCTCATCTGTCCAGGAGGTTGCCTAGGCAGGCCTACATGCTCAGTAAGCTCACATGTCTGGGAGGCCACCTAGGCAGGTTTCCACACTCAGCCAGCTCACCTGTCCAGGAGTTCACCTAGGCAGGCTTCCACGCCCAGCCAGCTCACCTGTCCAGGAGGTCACCTAGGCAGGCTTCTGCTCTCGTATGTTGGCATGTGCAGGCTAGTCACAGAAATGGGGCTGCTGGTGAAGAACCTTAGGGATTTTCATTAGAGACATGGGGACAGTACCAGGGTTCTCCAGCCCCTGTGTGGTTCTTGAGCACTTTTCCTGGTGGCAGTGAAGGAGATCGCAGACCCCCAACCCAGGGGGTCAGAATCAGGGGAGGATTGGGCTGCCTCTTCAACCCCCGGCTTTTCATTCCCTCCTTTATGAACATTGCGCGCTGTGACTCTGGGTTTGGCGGCCCTCAGAGGCGGCAGGGCCAGGATCCACTTGGTATTACAGGAGTTGACACATTTGGCCCAGTGACCAGAATTTCAGGAGACCCGGACTCACCCTAGGTGAACTGAACTATTTCAAAAGACAGAATGACTGTCAAAGATCCCAAACACAGCTCTTAATGCATTGCCATTTGCAGTGAATGGGCTGTAGTTGTTTGAGCATGCTCCATGTTAGCTTTTCAAACACTAAGACAAAATTTTTCTCTTAAGTAGTTCTCACCTCTGATGTAAGACAAAACCTGCCAAGTCCCAGGCCAGAGAATGGAGATGAGGCACCCAGTGGGTGCTTGGATCTGCTGCCACCTGGGTGCCTGCACGTGGCACAGTGGCAGGACAGACGGACGGCAGTACGGGGTGAACCCGGCCTGGGTGGACCCTGCCTGGCGGAGAGCATCGGGGTGGATTTCAGCTTAGGTCCAGACAGTAGGAGGATAAAGCCAAGACCTCGGGCCTCACCGTTCTCTGGGGTGGAGGCTTAGACATCCACTGTGGATCCCCGGGAGGGCATCCCCCCTGAGCAGAGCCCTTCTGATCTTAATGCAGTCCACGCTAGCACAGAGGCTGGGCACCATCCACGCTCTAACACTGTGCCTGTTCCTTGCCAGGTGGTGAAACGTCTTCCAAAAACCAGGTCTGGGAAGGTCATGCGGCGGCTCCTGAGGAAGATCATCACTAGTGAGGCCCAGGAGCTGGGAGACACTACCACCTTGGAGGACCCCAGCATCATCGCAGAGATCCTGAGTGTCTACCAGAAGTGCAAGGACAAGCAGGCTGCTGCTAAGTGAGCTGGCACCTTGTGGGGCTCTTGGGATGGGCGGGCACCCAAGCCCTGGCTTGTCCTTCCCAGAAGGTACCCCTGAGGTTGGCGTCTTCCTACGTCCCAGAAGCAGCCCCCACCCCACACATGACCCACACCGCCCTCACGTGAAGCTGGGCTGAGAGCCCTTTCTCCCATCCATTGGAGGTCCCAGGAGTGTCACCCATGGAGAGGCTATGCGACATGGCTAGGGCTGGTTCTGCCATCTGAGTTTGGTTTCCTGGAATGAAAAGGCATTGCCATCTCCATTCCTCTGCCCTCTTGAGCCAGCACAGGAAGGTGAGGCCCTGGGATAGCGCGCCTGCTCAGATAACACAGAGCTAGTTAGCTAGTAGCAACCGTGTTTTCTCCAGATCTGTCTAGATACAAAGGTCAGAAATCTTATTTTTATACTTTTATATTGTGGAAGAACAGCATGCAACACTCACATGTAGTGTGTGGATTTACTTGAACATGTTCTTTTTAACATGTAGTTATGAAAATCTCCTTTTTTGCCTCTACTGGTGAGGAAACATGAGGATCAGAGGCCACATTTTTAATTATTGTTAGTGTATTTGGAAGTCTGAATTGGAGATGTTTGTACCTCTGTCTAAACAGTTCCCTTGAGAACTTCCAAGCCTCCGGCATCTTTTCCTGGTGAGTGTTTCTCCTGTGCTTGGTTGTGTATAATGGAGCTAACTCCTAAGCGGTGGGGTGAATGTGGCCGCCTTAGTTCTGAAGCTACTCCAGTTATGTTCTGTTTCTTCAAGCTGTGATCCAGAAAGATTTTTGTGCCCCCAGATGCCTCTTGATAGGAGAGGCAACATACTCCAAATAGTTGGGTTCTTCAGGGAAGCTATTAGAAACTCAGGTGACTTGTTAGAGCACTAACTTGGTCAGAGCCAAATCCTGGCAAACGCTGCCTGACCTTCACTCTGTGGTTGGGGCGGTGAGAACCACTGAGGTCCAATGATGAGACTTGGAGGTCTGGATCCAGTCTCTCTTTGTTTTAATGTGACTTAGGTGCTGTCAACATTAGCAAGATAATGGAAATCACGACGCCAGTGGGTGCTTACCTCCCTGCTAGGCATGCAGGGGCTGGCGGTTGGCAGGGGAAGGAGGCCCAGTGAGCCGGGTCCCTTAGGGGAGGGAGAGTTTGTCCTCTTTGCCCCACAGTCTACCCTTCAGGGCCTTGTGGCAGTGCCAGTGTTCGGGGGGTGTCTGGGCCACTGAGTACCCACTCGGTCGTGGTTGTGCTGGCCTCTTGGGTGAGTGAACCTGTGAAGCCCAGGAGGTGGTGTTGGCTGCAGGGTACACAAATACTGAGTGGTGGTCTTTTGTTACAGGCTTAGCAACAAAGCTGTGCCCTGGGCATGGGGGGCTGTAGTGTAGCTACAGTTGTGCGTTTGTGAAATGGCTTAGCTTTCCATGTTGCTGAGAGGAACCTGGACATGGTCCCGGGCATCTGAATGATCTGTAGGGGAGGGAGTTCAAATAAAGCTTTATTTTGTTCATTTTCTCTTTGTGGTGATTTTTTTGGGTCCAGTAATGCTACTCTTTTTTTTTCCTGAATATAATCCTACAGACAAAATTGGAAGGGGCCTTTTCTCCTGGGGGGTTCACACTCACAGCCCTGACTGCTCCTTGGTGAGCTCACCTGCCTTACCAAGGATGGCTGACTGCGCTGATGCATCAGCCACACGTGGCCACTTAACTGTAACTTAAACAGAATAGAAATTTGGTTCCCAGTCTGCAGTTGCTGCATTTCAAGTGCCCAGAGGCCATGCACAGCAGGTCAGATAGGCGCACTACCACCATCACTTGGAGGCCGCAGGCGGCACTGGGCTAGAGCACAGGCAAGAGCGAGGGACAACCTGGCTCTGAGTAGCGTGCATGAGGAGCATGGCCTGGTCCCTGGGTCATCCCTCCGCTAGGGTGGGCTGGTCCTTCATCAGGACACACTGAATCAGTGCCACAGAGGCAGAATCTCAGCAGTCTGGGTCTGCTCCTGACACCCATCTGCCAGCCCCTCGATCTTATACTTCCTGGCCTCCATAGAAACAGATTTCTGTGGTTTAAGCCACCCAGCCTATGATATTTAGTTACAGCAGCAAATGAATACAAACGAATACAACTTTCCTACTTCATATTGTACAGAGGTTGTGACAAAAAAGAAAGGGATTCTGGACCATGCTGCATGATGCCCTACCAGCAGAGTTCCCAGGGCAAGCCGCCTCTCTCAAACTGCAGATTTGGGAAGAAAAGCAAAGATGCTGTGAAATACTGCCAGCCAGCTACTTGCTTACTTTGATGCTGACCTGTGGTTACTCTGTGGGGTGCTCACCAATGTTCCCTTGGTTACTACAGAAATAATTAACAAACAGAGCTGCTCCAGGGCTTCTGGCCAAGGGTTCCTCCTTCTCCAGCTTCTAGGATCCTGTTCTATGTTTATTTGGCATCGCTGCAACACCCCTCTGCTATTCCACAAAGAAATTTTTGCAGAGCAAACAGACTGGCTATCCAACCTGCTCCCAGATATCCTGTGCCAGGGCCAGGTCTGCAGAGGTACCTGCTCTTTTGGGGGTACAGTTCTGGCTTTTCTACTTGACATTATGACTTCTTTGCATCATGGATTGTTTGGAAAAATATTTCTAATTTTTTTTTTTTTTTGAGATGGAGTCTTGCTCTGTCACCCAGTTTGGAGTGTAGTGGCACCATCTCAGCTCACTGCAACCTCCACCTCCCCAGGTCAAGCAATTCTCCTGCCTCAGCCTCCCGAGTAGCTGGGACTACAGGTGCACGCCACCACACCTGGCTAATTTTTGTATTTTTAGTAGAGACGAGGTTTTAACATGTTGGCCAGGCTGGTCTCAAACTCCTGACCTTAGGTGATACACCCGCCTTGGCCTCCCAAAGTGTTGGGATTACAGGTGTGAGCCACCACGCCTGGCCTATTTCTAAAATTTCTAAACATTTAGTTTTTGTTATTTTATAGTTTTTGTTATTGGTGTTTAGCTTATTTGCACTGTGATCAGAGAGCATGCTCTCCCATGACTTCTGTGCTCTGAAGTTTGTTGAGGCCTGCTGCATGCCTCAACCTATCGCCAATTTTTAGAAAGGTCCCATTCAAGATGGAAAAGAAGTATTCTGTAATCATTGGGTAGAAGATTGTATACGTATCCACTGGGTCAAGTTGCTGATCATGTTGTTCAAATCCATGTCCCATCTCACTTTTACTCAGTTGTTTCATCACTTACTGAGACAGACTTGTTAAAAGTTCCCACTTCCACTGTGAGTTTCTCTAGTTCTGTCAGTTTTTGCTTTGGACATTTTGAAGCTTTATCTATTTGCATATTTATCTAGCACAATTATTTATGTATTTATCTATTTGTTGTGTATTAGGTGCTATTTAAAATTGTTATAACTTCCTGATGAATTGACTCTAAAAGAGGCATCCCCCTTTAGTCTCTAAATGTGCTTTCTTTTGGCTGTAAAATATATTTCGTCTGATATTAGTATAGTCACATCAGCTTTCTTTTTGTTAATATTTGCATGGAATAGTTTTTCCATCCCTTTAATTTTCTTTTCTTTCTTTTTTTTTGAGACATGGTCTTGTTGTGTTCCCCAGGCTGGTCTCGAACTCCTGGGCTCAAGCAATCCTCCTACCCCAGCCTCCCAAGTAGCTGGGACCACAGGAGAAAACCATGGTGTCCAGTGGATCATTCCTTTAACTTTAATCTTATTATAGCCTTATGTTTTTGATGTATCTCTTTTAAATAGCATGTAGCTTCACCTTGGTTTTTTAAATCACTCTGGAAATCTTTGCCATTTAAATGATACATTTAATCTACTTACATTTAACGTAACTAGTTATATATTTGGGTTTAAATCCACCATCTAACTCAGTACTTTTTATTTGCCCTGTTTGTTCTATGTTCTCTTTTTTTTTCCTTCCTTTAGAGTGACCATTTTTTATTATTCTAATTTTTGCCCTCTCCCCATTAGCTTGAAGTTATAAACTCTTACCATTTTAATTGTTACCCTAGATTATAAGTTGCAGCCTTCAATATTAATTGGTACCTTACCCTATTTCCAGTCAATACAAAGACTTTAAGAACACACTTTAACAACATATAAACCTCTCTTCCAACTTATAAATCATGCATTTTAGTTTTCTCTCTATTTTAATTCTACAAGGTAGTATTATTATAGTTGTATGCATCTTATTATTGTTCTATATAGACAATATTAACTTAGATTTACCCATATATTTATCATTTTTTGGTATCTCTTCTATACCTCCAAACTTCCATTTGGAATAATTTACCTTCTGCCTGAAAGGACTTTTGTCATTTCTTTTAATAAAGGTCTGCTGATAAGAAATTCATTCAGTTTTTGTCTACTTGGAAGTATTTATTTCATGATCACTCTTAAAGGATATTTTGACTGGGTGTATAACTCTAGCCTGTTAATTATTTTTTTCAGCACTACAACGATCTCATTTCCATTGGTATCTGTTTTCCCATGTTTCTGTTGAGTAGTTGGCTGTCAAACTAACAAATGGTCATTTAAAGTTAATCTACCACTTTTCCTTTGGCTGCTCTTGATATTTCTCCTTGTCTTTGGTTTTTGCAGTTTTATTTTTTGTTGACTTTTTTTTTTTAATCTTGCTTGGGTTCTGCAGGACTTCTTAGATCTGTATTGATGTCTGTATCATTTTGGAAATATCTCAACCATTATCTCTTTAAATATCATTTTTGCCTATTCTCTCTTCTTTTGTTGAGGACCCCAACTTCCCATATGATGAAATTTCTCACAATTCTAATTTCTGTATCTCTTGCTGCCTTAGCCTGGGTTGCCTGGAAAGCAGAGCCTGATATAAAGGCTTGCATGCAGGTACATTACTTACGGATGTGATTCTAGGAACAAATGTGAGGAATGAGGGGTATGGAACAGGGAAGGAGCAAGAACCAATACAAGTATTTGACTGAGTCAGCTGGTGTGACAGACAACTCGGGCTGCATCTCAGGACTCAGGAGGAATCTTATAAAATATGTCCCTGAACTCACTCATTCACAAAGAGCTGTTAGAAATACAGCTTGGCACAAAGCTGGAGGCATCACGCTACCTGACTTCAAACTATACTACAAGGCTACAGTAACCAAAACAGCATAGTACTGGTACCAAAACAGAGATATAGACCAATGGAACAGAACAGAGCCCTCAGAAATAATACCACACATCTACAATTATCTGATCTTTGACAAACCTGGCAAAAACAAGAAATGGGGAAAGGAGTCCCTATTTAATAAATGGTGCTGGGAAAACTGGCTAGCCATATGTAGAAAGCTGAAACTGGATCCCTTCCTTACACCTTATACAAAAATTAATTCAAGATGGATTAAAGACTTAAATGTTAGACCTAAAACCATAATAACCCTAGAAGAAAACCCAGGCAATACCATTCAGCCCATAGGCATGTGCAAAGACTTCATGACTAAAACACCAAAAGCAATGGCAACAAAAGCCAAAATTGACAAATGGGATCTAATTAAACTAAAGAGCTTCTGCACAGCAAAAGAAACTACCATCAGAATGAACAGGCAACCTACAGAATGGGAGAAAATTTTTACAATCTACCCATCTGACAAAGGGCTAATATCCAGAATCTACAAAGAATTTAAACAAATTTACAAGAAAAAAATCAAACAACCCCAACAACAAGTGGGTGAAGGATATGAACAGACACTTCTCAAAAGAAGATATTTATGCAGCCAACAGACGCGTGAACAAATGCTTATCATCACTGGTCATCAGAGAAATGCAAATCAAAACCACAATGAGATATCAACTCACACCAGTTAGAATGGCGATCATTAAAAAGTCAGGAAAAAACAGATGCTGGAGAGGATGTGGAGAAATAGGAACACTTTTACACTGTTGGTTGGACTGTAAACTAGTTCAACCATTGTGGAAGTCAGTGTGGTGATTCCTCAAGGATCTAGAACTAGAAATACTATTTGACCCAGACATCTGATTACTGGGCATATACCCAAAGGATTATAAATAATGCTGCTATAAAGACCCATGCACACGTATGTTTATTGTGGCACTATTCACAATAGCAAAGACTTGGAACCAACCCAAATGTCCATCAATGATAGACTCGATTAAGAAAATGTGGCACATATACACCTTGGAATACTATGCAGCCATAAAAAAGGATGAGTTCATGTCCTTTGTAGGGACATGCATGAAACTGGAAACCATCATTCTGAGCAAACTATCGCAAGGACAGAAAACCAAAGACCGCATGTTCTCACTCATAGGTGGGAATTGAACAATGAGAACACTTGGACACAGGGTGGGGAACATCACACACTGGGGCTTGTTGTGGGGTGGGGGGAGGGATAGCATTAGGAGATATACCTAATGTAAACGACAAGTTAAGGGGTACAGCACACCAACATGGCACATGTATACATATGTAACAAACCTGCACATTGTGCACATGTACCCTAGAACTTAAAGTATAATAAAAAAAAAAAAGAAGAAAAGGAAAAAAAAGAAATATGGCTTGGCATCTCAACTTTCTCCTGTGGAGGCTGCATACACACCCAGGGGAAAAATGGCTACAAGGCCAGGTGCGGTGGCTCATACCTGTAATTCCAGCACTTTGGGAGGCCAAGGCAGGAGGACTGGTTGAGCTCAGGAGTTCGAGACCAGCCTGGGCAACATAGACCTCTACTAAACATCTCTACTAAAATTAAAAAAAAAATTAGCTGGGCATGGTGGCACATGCCTGCAGTCCCAGCTACTCAGAGGGCTGAGGCAGAAGGATCATCTGAACCTGGGAGGCTGAGGCTGCAGTGAGCCCTGATTGTGCCACTGCACTCCAGCCTGGGCAACAGAGCAAGACCTTGTGTAAAAAAACAAAAGTGGTTACACACCAGGCTCATCATCCTGGGTCTCTGTTGTTCCCAGATCCTGGTCCAGCAATTCCACACCAGTTTCAGGCTCTCCGATTTCTTCAAGCAAATGCTTTAAATATTTTGTTCATTGTTGTCCCCTTTGGGAGTGTGAGTCTATCTAATTAGTCATCATCTAAATGGAAAATATTGCATAATGTTCCACTGATGTTTAGCAGCATCTCTGGCCTTCCCCCCACAGATGCCAGTAGCATCCTACCTAGTCATGATCATAAAAATTGTTGCCAGACATTGACAAATGTCCCCTGGTGGACAAAATGGCCCTTGGTTGGGAAGCACTGGGTTAGACCAACCGGAACCCACCTCTAACCCTGGCACTCACTTCCATTAGAACACTGGCCCACGTGGAGGACGTTTATCTCAACAAAAACAGGTTCTGCCAGCATGTCAGAAGAGGCACATGATGCTGGCAGGCAGCCCACAGTGTGCCTCACAGCTCAAACCAGAAGCAAACCCTACTTCTAGTCCAGTGCTTTTTCCCAGTCCCATGCTGTTTCAACTCCTTCCACTCTCAGGAGGCTGGGGTCTTCAAATCTGTAAATTCTAACAACTCCCCAGGTGTTTTGCACAGTCAGCCAGGCCCTGGTCCAGTCAACCAGTGTTTGGAGATCACTGACTAAGCCTAAGTTTTATTTCAACTTAAGATAGGGACCTGGATAGAGAGAACTTTCAAGCTAGGCAACAGGTGTTTTTGTTTTTGTTTTATTTTTTAGACTTTTGGGGAGGGGATGGAATATAACAAACTTATACAGAAAAGTGTACAAGTGTACAAACTTACATAGAAAAGTGTACATAAATATGCAGCTAAACAAGCTGATATAAAACAAAACCCAGGTAACCCCCTCCAAGGTCATGATACAAAACATCAGCATTTCAGATGCCACCCCCACCCATTCCTGATCATAATCTGTGTCCCATGGCTAAATCACAGCCTTGCAGAGTCCCAGCCCAGCAGAGGAGAGGGGTGTTTCGTCAGCGTCTCACCTGCATCCCTGCAGCCCCTCCCAGCCCAGAGCTGCCTCTCAGGTGTCTTCTGCAGGCGGGCAGTCCCTCAGGTCCCCAGTACAAATTGGTGGTGGCAGTGATTCTCCAAGGTCTCCAGTCTCAGAGACACTGGACTCAGGTTCCCCAAATTGGAATGCTCTACGTATTTCTCTATTTCCTATTTGCTTTTAAAGTGCTAATCTGTTGCAAATTTAGTTTTTAAAAGTATTTTAAAACTCCCAATGCACAAGCAGTACCCCAGACCAGTGATACCAGAATTTCTGGGGTGTCACGTAGGCATCTTTCCAGATGATTCCAACATGCAGCCAAAGTTGAGAGCCACTGTCTTAAAGTTCAGCCCCTCTGGGGTGACACTATAAAGCACAGCCACAATTCATGATGCCCGGTTGAAGCCTTTGCCTCTGCTGCCTGGCATACGCAGCTCCTTTTCCCTTCCATGGAATGCCTCTGAGTCCAGTTGCTGCCATTGTGAAGGTACCCACACTCTCATTATGGAGCCCAACACTGTCATGGCCTCCTGGCATAGGGCACTCGGAGGAAGGAAACTGGAGAAGCAGGACCTGAGCCATGGGAAGGGAAGGAGAAGGTGTTCATCTCCTTAGGGTTGCCTCTCTGGTGTGTGCATGTAAACAAAGAGTGGAGCGAGAAACTTGGCCCCTGAGAAAACGCAAATGCTTTAAGTCAGTTACTGAGTTCAGGAGACCTTCCTCCTGTGAGTTCATAAATGATTTGCTTCCCTATAAAGACTTAGGAGCTCTGTGACACTTACTGAAGTGAAAGCGAGAGTGTTCAGAGCTTGCGTCTGCAGTCACATACTGATAAACACGGCGAATAACACCAATCCAAATCCCCAGTGCCTATAGCAGTGCCCAGCATGTGAAAGTGCCCAGTGGTATCTGTAGAATGAAGAGTGAACAGACGTCACACTGACCTAGCTGATGTGTGGGAAGAACAGAGCTTTGGCCTGGTGGAGAAAGGCAGGGAATGGAGGCGCTGGCTCAGGCTCTGGAGTTCTGCAGTGGAGGGAGGGGAATAAACTGCTATGAAGGCACAGGGCAGACCTATGAAGAAGGCAAGAACTATGTGGGACACGAAAATCCTCCTGCCTGCTGCCTTGGCTCACAAGCATCAGAGTGAGGAAATGAGGGTGTCCTCACCCACCCTGCTCTCTGGAGGGCAGAAAGGGAAGAAACAGAGAAGATAGGCTCAGTTTATCCGTCTGGGGGAGAAGAGTCATGCTTTTGTTCAGTTGTCCAGCTGCTGCTTCTCCTTCTATTAAGGCCATGGGAGAGTGGAGGTCTCCCTGTCAACTTGCTCCCTATCAGCCATCCTACAGGAATGCCATTACCCCCCAAACTTGCCACTTGTGGGTGCCTGAGTTTGCACTTTGTTCTGTTCCAGTGGCTGTTGCTAATCGTGAAACTGAGGCTCCCACCTGTGCCAGTCTTTATTCCAGATACAAGAAAAGTTGTTGGTTAGTGCCCATGGAACTGGACCACAGGGAGCCACCCCTGGCTATGGAGGTGACAAGCTAGAGGGCAAGAAGCCTATCCTAAACAAACCCAGAACTAGTAGATGGAAGGGAGCTGGGTGTTCCATACCCTAGGACGTTACCAGTACGCACCTGAGTTTGGAAACCTTTTGAGATAACTAACATTGCCAACTTCTTTTGCAACAGGGTGGAACTTCTCTGGCAAGAGCCATCAGTTGGTTAATCTTGGGTTTTCTAGTCTCTCTGTTCCTGTAGATCCAAACTTTTGCCACACAGCCTTCTGCATGAACAAACACATTGGGCCAATTCCTTCCTAAAGAAGGACATTACCTCACCCAAACAACACATCTCTTCATTACTGAGAGCCAAAGAAACATTGAACTCTTACAAATATGCATAAGTTTTTTCAACAGAAAAAAAAGCAGGACAGGAATCATCAAAATGGAAATGATTACAGTTGACCCTTGAACAAAGTGGAGGTTGGGGGTGCCAACCCCCAGTCCAGCTGAAAATCCACATATAACATTTGACTCCCCCAAAACTTAACTATGAATAGCCTACTGTTGGCCGGAAGCCTTACTGATAGCTGTAAACATTGAATTAACACATATTTTGTATGTCCTAAGTATTATATACTGTATTCTTACAGTAAACTAAGCTAGAGAAAAGAAAATGCCATTAAAAATCATAAGGAAGAGAAAATATTTTTACTATTCATGAAGGTGAAGTGGATCATCATGACGGTCTTCATCTTCATTGTCTTCACATTGAGTAGGCTGGGAGGAGGAGGGAGGGGAGGGGTTGTTGCTGTCTCAGGGGTGGCAGAGGCAGAAGAGGTGGAGCAGGTGGAAGGGGAGGCTGGTGTAACTTTTATTGAAAAAACATTCTCCCATGAGTGCACCTGTGTAGTTCAAACCCATGTTGTTCAAGGGTCAAGTGTAGTTACTCTCAAGAGATGGTTTCTGGATGTAATAAAACATGATTAATGAGTGATCTGTGCTAATCATGAAATGTCAGTGTTAAGATTCCAAAGGGAACAAAGGGGCTGGCCATTCACTTTTCAACAACAGACAATCAGGAATGTACATGCCTGTGGTGGAGGTGACTGCTGAACGTCTTTCCTCCTGAGCACTTTTCCTGCCAAGTCTAGGTCGACCTTAAGAATCCTCCACGTGGGCAATTAGGGCAATTTTCCTGGCCAGACTCTCTTCAGTGCTCACCTCTGCTCCTCCCTGCTTCTCATGGGGTGACCACGCATTCAGTGAGCCTGTCCTGCCCTTCTGCCTACAACAGGGAGGCTGCTGTGTTGTTCCCGTTGAATGGTCAATGGGCCACGGGGTCTTATCCTCTAACATGGATCATCAACCTCACCAAAGTTGGGAACATCAGATTCTCAGTCCAGGAATCAAGACTTGGAGACGGAGACCATAGTTAGTTGGTGTGGGATACTTGAAATGGGAGAGCCAGGGAGAGTTGGGCTTAGGCGATGCTTTTTCACCATGGATATGTCCAGGTAGACAATGCTAGCCTGTTGGCCCTGAGGAGCAGTGCAAATTGCTCCCCTGAGAGCTGCCTCAATGCATAAAAGGACTGTTTCTCTCATGTGATAGGCAGCCCTGAGGTAGGTGGTTGCTGGCTGTGGTGAACAGCTCAGGGGCACCATTAAGGACCTAGGCTCTTCTGTTCTGGGTGTGTTTTTTAGACATCAAGGTGTATTCCTGTGGTGTTAAGATGCTGCTGCTCCATGCTTAACTCTCGGGTTCCAGGCAGGAGAAGAAGGGGCAGTGCTAGTCCCATTTGTCCCTTTTATCAGAAATGCAAAAACTTTCCTAAAGTTCAAAATAGTCACTATATTTCTGTTTTTATCTTGTGCCAAAATACTGCCTATGGCTGCATTAGCTTTGACAGCTGGATGAGTAACACTGATCTTTTCCAGCTCTCCAGGGGAGGGCAACAAAAGAGAAAGGGCCAGCCCAGCAGGGCGTGCCATGTGAGCACGGAGGGGTGCAGAGACAGGACAGTGTGAGGCACCAGGAGGCAGAGGGTGACTCTGCCCCTGTGTTCCCAGGTCTTTGTTCCAGTCCCTGTGAGGCCTGGCTGTACTTTCTGAGCCTGAGTTCCATAAGGTATCCCCAGATCCTTCCAATGCATCCCTCCCTCATTCTCCGCCAGCTTTGGTGGATGTCTGTTTCTGGTAGCTGCATGGTCTCTAAGGTGCTTTTCCTGCGGTGAACAAACTAGTGTACATTGCCTAAGTTTACTGTCTCCACTGTCCCACCTGAATTAAAACTGGAGCTTCCCACCACGACATCCCACCACGACAGAACAACTTCCCTTGCAGCCCTTTTCCGAGTTGGCAGCGCCTTCTGTGCTTTCCTGGACTTGTGGGGAAGAAGGGGTTCAGCTACTTCCTGCTCTGCTTTGCCCTTTTCAGACTATTCTTTCTTTGCTAAAAATATTTATTTTTATTTTTTGTTTTTGTGGGTACATAACAGGCGTATATATTTGTGGCTATTCTTTCTGATCACTCAGTAACCCTGATGTCCATCCCTGATCATCACCCCCTTGTTTAACAATCCCTGGGCACCCCACTCATCCCTCTTAGCCTGTTTCTTGTCCTTCTCTATCCCCCAACCTCCCCCTCCCCCCGCCATTATAATCTTATTTATCTAAGTCCTGGTGCAAAGCCCCTTCCTCCAAGAAGACATCTCTGGTCAGTCCCATCTAATAGCACTTGTTCCTCCTTGCAGCCCCAAGGTACCCTGCAGCTCTTCTGCAGCAGTGCTTTATAGTGTCGTTCGTTACGCTTCCTCTCTCCCCTCCAAGATGATAACGCCTGTGCAGGCTGGATCACTGTATTTCACCCTTGTTTTGTCACCGCACTTGGCATCTGGCAGGCTTTCAGGAGATCTCTGTGGAAGGAGTTGAAACAGCATGGGACTGGGAAAAAGCACTGGACTAGAAGTAGGGTTTGCTTCTGGTTTGAGCTGCGAGGCATACTGTGGGCTCCCTGCCAGCATCATGCGCTTCTTCTTCCATGCTGGCAGAGCCTGCTTTTGTTGAGATAAATGCCCTCCACGTGGGCCAGTGTTCCGATGGAAGTGAGCCTCATCCCCAGTGCCAGGGTTGGGTGTGGGTTTTGGTTGGTCTCACTCAGCGCTTCTCAACCAAGGGCTGTTTTGTCCTCCAGGGGCTATCTGTCAATGTCTGGCAACATTTTTTATCATCACGACTAGGTGGGATGCTACTGCCATCTAGTGGGGGAAGCCCAGGGATGCTGCTGAAACACCAGCGCACAGGAGAGGCCCCCCTCCGCCTCCTAACAGAATTATCTGGCCCAAAATATCAGTGGTGCTGAGAAACCTGATCAAATTAATCATAGTGGTCCCATTCCTCTGCCAACAACTGGCATCAGCACGATGAGAAACAAAGTCGGTCTGGTTGGAAGGTGGGGTGGGAGAACTGATAACTGAAACAAATACAACAAGCAAAGCGTGCTTCACCGTGACTTGAAAACAGAAAAACTGTACTGAACCCGTGCTATGCAGCACAAATGATCTAGCTCAGACCACTGTAACACCAACTACCTACGTGCTTCATGATAAGCCCACGAGCTGACCTCCTGATAACTCCGAATGGACTTACATGTCCCAGAGCTAAGGCCACGGTTCCTCCAGTGACTCCCGTTGTTAACGGATTCTGACCAACCCTGGGCAAGACTATCGATGGACTAACTCCAGCCCCCAAACCCCACAAGGAGTCTCCCATGACTCCCCCATTTTGAGGAACCTCACCGGTCCTCTGGTGCATTTCTTTGCTGCAGCAAGTTCAGTAAACCCAACTTACTGCCATTATTTTTCTTCTGAATGTGTCCCTGGGTGTTTGCAGTGCGTGGGCTTTAACACTGGGCATGGAACACAAATAGCTCCAATGCAGTGAGTTCAATGTTATGGCTGGGACATGTTTAAAGTGCCTTGAAGACAAAGAGGAAGATGTTCTGCTTGGGAAACTGGGAGAAGAATTTTCAGCAAGGATACTTGAAGTGGGTCCTGAATGATAAAAATAATTGGCCAAGTGGAGGTGAAGGAGAGTGTATCACAGGAAGAAGGAACCTCAAGGACAAAGGCAGCCAGGCATGAGATTAGACATGTTAAGCCATCCTGAATGTCTGAAATGGGGGGTGGGGAGCAAGAGGGATAGTCCAGACAGGCAGGAAGGCGTGAGATCATACAGTACTTTGTTAACACTATCCCTGATTTAATAGCTGTATTGGCTATTCTCAATGACACAGAATGAAGTAAAATGTTGTCGAGGCCTGAATTATTACCTGGGATCTCTGGAGAACTGGATTTGCACAGCTCTCCACTTCCCTCAAGCTGGTTCTTCCGCTCTTTGAATGAATAAATAAAAAGCATTCACATGGAATTCTAGTGCCATCTAGCATTTAAAAAGGTAAAAGCCTCCAAGAGGAAATTATTTCTTAACACTGCATTTTGAACATGGCTTTTCCAGAGATAATTCCTCGTGCCACTGGTAACGGGCTTTGATTTCTTCTGCCTGTCACTTCCTCCAGATTCGATTCCTCTTTGAATCTCAAATGCTCTCACAAGATTCAGCTCTTCCCTTTTGAAGCAATTATTACGTTTGATAATTTTACGTCTATTTTATGATGATGATCTGATTAAAGTCATCTTTCCCACTAGTTTAATTTCTATAAGGAGGGGCCTTGTCTGTGATTTGCCCACCATCGTCTCCCAGCACCTGGGAACATTTCTGGTTTCCTGCAATACTGTTGAAAGAACAATGCCTCTCTATGCTTTCTTAAACTTTGTTAGTGATAATTTCTACTTCTACCTGGACTTTACTTAAGGGTAATCCTTAATAAACTTTATCAAAACTTAATAAACTTTATCAAAACTTAATAAACTTTATCAAATGTCTGTTGTAATCGTCACAAAAAGATTTAATACTCAACATCTGGCCTTAACCAGAGGGAAACATTTTCTAGCCCAAGTTTTCCCCTTAACCGGCTGAGTCGGGGAAGGATGTAATTTTCAGGCAGAGGTGACTTCGTTCCAAGGGTGTGAATGCATTATTTTTGACGCTGCCTGTAAGAGCAGGGTCGCTGACACTGAATAAACAGCGCTATCCTCTCCAACGATAAAAGTGGCCAACATCTCGTGCTAGCAATTCCCAAGTGCGTCATGAGCATCCCCGTCCTCAGAAACGTGAGACGAAGGCGGCATGCGCAGGCACTGGGCTAGACGAGCCCGAGGTTGAACCACTCGCGTTCTGGGCCCCGGAGTCCGAGACAGGCGGGGACCCCGGCAGCTCCCGGTGCTATCTCTGAGCGGGTTCCGAGCCCCACTTCCGGGCGGTCAGAATTAGCCTCAGAGCGCCGAGCAACGACGCGCCGGGGACCTCCCGCCCATGAGGCCGGAAGGGGCGGGGAGAACGCTGCGGAATGGTCCCTGGGCGCAACGTCATTTCCGCGTACGGGGGAGGGCGGGCCTGGAGTCTGAGCCGGCGCCGCTCAGTGTGAGGTGGTTTCTGCGGGTGAGGCTGGCGCCCGTACCATGAGCGAGGCGGACGGGCTGCGACAGCGCCGGCCCCTGCGGCCGCAGGTCGTCACAGACGATGATGGCCAGGCCCCGGAGGCTAAGGACGGCAGGTAGGGCGGACTCCCAGACTGGGCGCTGGAGCCGGGCCGCTAGGAGTGGAGGGCGACCCTCTTGGACAGCGGCGACGGCAGTAACAGTAACCTGGGGATGCGGTGCCGAGCGCGTTGTCAGAGTCCTCTCGTTTCATCCCCAAGAAAAACTCATTTTTCCGAGGAAGCAGGCTCCGACAAGGCGGATGTACCTGCCAGGTCTTTCAGGTTCGGGTGCACCCTGCGCCCAGTCGCCGCGTTGTCCTCGGCTCTCCGGACCCGAGACCGCCTCGCGCCGCTCCTTTGCCTTCCCTCCCTCACTCCTGCCCCACCCTGCATAGCGGTTGCTTCCTCGCCTTTCCCTCGCTCCCCTCGCGCTGTCCTTCCTTTGGCTTAAATGATCCCCCTGAGCACAGCTACTTGGCCGGGGCCCTGCGTGTTCCTGGTTCCCCGCTCGCAATTTCCCGAAGGGAGGAGGTCCCACGAGATGCTGGGGTCCTGCCTCGTTATCCGGCGAAGAGATGGCTTCTACACTTGCTCTTCTGCACCTGCCCCCCTCACGCTGCGTGACCAGTCCTCACCGCGGTTCTTGGAAAGAGTGGAGAACAGTAGTGACATTGTAGGCAATTTTTGTGAGAATTCAGCCTGGCAGTTTTTCCTGATAGGGATGGAGAAACATAGGAAACTGTAGTTGTTGACACCTAAGAAATATCAGGTTTTGCCCTTTGCCTCCTCTCCCATCTTTCAGAATATAAGAATGCTGTGTTTTGTTAGCTAAAAACTGAATCATGATTCGTAAGCATAGATTTCAATATAAGATACTTAAAATTCACTTTTCAATTCTGTGTCCTGAATTTCATAACTTTTAAGTTTCAGGGAGAATCAAGAGGCCCCATAGACCAAGCTTGAAGTTGTGGGACTGATTGACTTATATTTGATAGAAATACTGGAAATATTTGTTCATCAGTAGTGTGCCAAGAGGTGGTGGGGTACATATGAATGAGAGGCAGTTTTTGCCCCTGTAGACTGAGTTTATTGACTGATGATAAGAGGAACACATTTGAAGGAGAGCGATGGCAGGAAGGAGCATTTAGGCTCTAGAGAGGCAATTTAGAGAGAAGACTTTGCGGTGATAGTTGACTCCTTGGGCCAGTGAAAAGATCGGGAAGATGCTCCCATATATCCTGACCAACCATCCTGCGTTGCCCTGGACTGGGGTTTCCAAGGATGTAGAACTTTCAGTGCTAAACCTGGGCAAACTGGGACAATCTGATCACCCTACTTACTGTGAATATTGTGAATTAATCATCTGTTGATGATTGAGGAGCCATTTAGAATGGACATGCAAGAATTGGCAACACTTTCCTACAGAAATCTTGAAAACAAGGCATTTTTACCTGAGAAATGGAAGAGCAGTGGCCTGAGTTTGTCATTAGGTGCAGTGTGTTGAAAACCAGGGCCTACAGCCCCTGAGGGCACCGGTTAGGTAGTCCCAACTCTCAAGTTGGCTGGCTCACACTTCTGGCCCCAGGGCAAGCAGGCAGACTTAATTGTTTTTTTCAGGTTCTCTGTGGGGATTTCTTCCTTAATGAGTAAGTAAATCTGATTCTAAAGTCATCTTTTACTGCCTGATCTTTTCCAGTGTGCCTTTTACATTTATGTTTACTTATTTCCTTGACTTCCCTGTCCATGAACATTGTTCCTGTTTCCCTGTGTTTGTCCTTCTTGTTTGTTTATCCCTTTTCTGTATATCTGTAATGATCTCTTTCAAAGTGAGGTCTTGTCACCACCCTTCCTTTCCGCAATTATTATTGTAACATGGTAGCTGTTTTTCTTATTTTTCTTCTGCATTTCTCCTATATTTTTCATTTATTTTGTGGTCATTTCTAGTAGTTCATGTAATAGTATTCTTGATTACCTTAAAAGTCGAGGGTTCAACATAAGCCAGGAAAGCCTGTGTATAGTGGGCGAAGTAAAGGAATCTAAATTCAGAAGTAAAAACACGAAACTATTAGAATAAACTTTAGCACTTTAGATGTGCTAAATAGAATAAAGGAAGCCTTGAAAGACATATTACTAAACTGACAGAACTAAGACATAGATTTTAGCAGTGGTAGGGACCCCTAGTAATACGTTGGGTGGTCTCCCAACTCTTGGCACAAAAGGTGGGTGTTTGCTTTGTTTTGCTGATGAGATCATTGAGGTCTATGTGTGTGAGGTGGTTTATATGAAGTTACAGAGAATAGAGTCAAAAGAGAAATGAAAATGAATGAAGAAGGATAGAACTGGCAGCTGGACAATGACTGAGAAGTGTATTTTTAAAATTATGCTTTGGAAATAAGACTTTATGCCAAAGCTCTTGAATTACTGTATTTGAAATATAATGGAGAATTTGGTTGGTAAATTCTTTTATTCAGTGTGGAACATAGATGAGCTAAGTACTTTAACATACCGGTGCAAGCTTATAATTATTATTTGACATTGATTTCCCGAAATGCTTTAGAAACTTAATTGTACTCTGTGGAACTATTCCTTTCTGTTTGAAACACAGTTCTATCTAGGAAGAGAACTGTTTAATGTCCATATGTGACTGTTTAGGGATGCAGAATAAATACATTGAGGATTTAATATGTTTCAATACATTAAATTCTGTATAATTCTCCTTTTTCAATAAACTTCTGAAGGATTTTAGTTTAATTAAAAGTCTGCTAGGTCCATTTTCCTTTTTCCTCTTGGAGACTGAAGAGTAAGGGAGGAAGTATGGAGAAACAGATTGGGCATTCACGAATTCATGAGGAGTAAGGCAGCTGGAGTGTTTGTCTCAGCTTTGCCCCAGGTGTGTATTTTCAGATGGCTTTTTAAACTTGTTTCTTGATTTCTTAATTTTTTTCAAGGATAAATTGATGAATCTAGGAGCCCCAGTTTAAAGGATTGTGAAAAATGAACAAATTCAAGATGCTGTCACTAAAAAAGATGGGTTGATGCTATCTGATTTTCTCAGGTTCCAGGGATCACCTTGACACATGAGGTTGCTGGTACCCCATGGATTTGGGGCTATCAGGTTTTCCACAACAATCACAGGTGAATTTTGATCTCTTGGAGTCTGCTTGTTGGGACTTCAGTTCAGGACCCAAGGCCCTAATGTCCTGTGTGCAGAGTTAGAGGATACCCTTCAAAATCTGCCAAATTGGCTGGTGAATCTACAGAAGATTGTGTAAATCATGGCCCAGCCAACAGCAGTTGTCAAATCCTGTTGCATCACTGTGGTTGTGCTCTTGCCTTCAGAGAGTGTAGGCAATTTCAGGGTGCAGATGTCCTCATGGAGATGGGCATCCCTCCAGGCTCTTCCGAGAGATTGGGGCAAACAAACTGATTTCTCAAACTGCGCCTGGGAACTAAGTTGCCAGCGTTCCTGGATGTGTCAGCACAGGTTGGGAACCTGCAATGCTTTGTCAGTGAAAATGGATAGGGATCGATACAGTGTTCTTTATTTAAGTTAAAAAAAGAGTAAGAGGGAGGCAGACACCGAGAAAAGACAGAAGAATTGTGGTTAACTGTGAGTTTACAGGAAGCAACACTGATGAGGGCCTGCCGAAAAGTTAATGGACCTTGGGCTAAAATAAGTGTGGCACCCAGAGCAGGGGTCCAGGAGCTGTGCTTACCTCATTTATATAACAAGCTAACTCCATTTCAAGTGCTCAGGAACCACACATGGCTAGTAGCTATTGTATTTCCATCGTTGCAGAAAGTTCTATTGGACAGTGCAGCTCAAGGAGTTTTGTTTAAATTTAAGCTAGTATTTCTAATACGTGACCACAGAACTTTCCAGTGGAGGCTGGATGCTGATCAGGTGAGGTTGAGGAGGTGTTGGTGAAGTCTGACTGGGAAGGGAGCTGCATAGAGTTAGTGGTGTCCAGCTGCACATGAGGAACAACCGATGAAAGAGTTCGCAGGCCCACCCTGTACCTACCAAAGCAGAATCTCTGGCCCAGGTCATCTTGATGTAGCCCATCCAGGAGTTGGCTGCCTTTGGGAACAGTAGACTGAGTGGCCTCTAAATTCTTCTCCAGCTTTAGGAGAGTGTTACTGGTATGGTAGATCCCGCAGCATTGGGACACAAATCTTTGTCAATGGACTTTTGGCCTCCTTTCTGGCTGTAAGCCCCGTGGCTTTCAGTCCTGGCTGGACTTTTTGTTTGGGACATAATTGAGCCTCTAACTATTGTGTGAAGGGGCAACCAGGTATTTAAATGGGGTGCCACCAGCTCTGAATCAGATTACCACATCAAGATTTTAAAAATATAAGCTGCAGTGTGGTAAAGTAGAGGTCACAATGTTGGAGTCAAGACAGATGAGGAAAATCTGCCTTAGGTAGAATGATGTTAGGCAAGGAAAAAGTAGCGTTTTGGCAAGATTGTTACTGTTTATAATGAAGGTCATGAGGTGAAAACACAATGTACCTTCCCTAGAGGGACTCTTCTCTCCTGGGAGTGGGGTGGGTGATGGCATCAGCTTCCTTTAAGGCAGGCAGTCCCTGTTGGACTCAGTACCAGAGTGCAGTGAGGGCAGCTCTCAGGGCTGGCAGCCACACATCTTCACCATCCACCTTTCCATATGCTTTGTCTCTCTTTGGGGTTCACACTGTCAGAAGCGTTTCTGTCATTTACTTGTAACCAGCCCTGCTTTATTGTACAAGTACTTCATTTCTATTGTGTTGGAAGACTTTAGGTCACTTAAAGAAAATCACTTGGGTTGAAGGGTGTCCTAGCCATTGGAGTGGCAGTTTGCATGGTGGAGTCACTGACTTTGTTTTGTTTTTGTTTTTTTTTAACATCTTTATTGAGATGTAATTCACATACCATAAAATTAACCTACTTAAAATGTTCAAATCAGTGATTTTTAGTATAATGGCCAGTTTTGCAGTAATTACCGCAATCCAAGTTTAGAACATTCTTGTCACTGTCAACTTTTTTTTTTAGTTGAGGTGAAATTCGCATAACATACAATTAACCACTTTAAAGTGCACAGTTCAGTGATATTTAGTGTATTCACAATGTTGGGCAACCACCAACTCTCTCTGCTTTCAAAACTGTTTCATCACCCCATAAAAGCAAGGTGTTTACCTTGTACTGATTAAGTAATCACTCCCATTTCCCCCTCCCACACAAATGTTCAGCAGATGAGTGGGGCTAGACATGGTTGCTCATGCCTGCTCATCTCAGGGTGCACTTTGGAAGGCTAAGGTGGGAAGACTGCTTGAGGCCAGAAGTTCAAGACCAGCCTGGACAATGTAGCAAGATGTTTTCTCTACAGAAAGTAAAACAATTAGCCACGTGTGGTGGTGCACACCTGTAGTCCTAGCTACTTTGGGAGGCTGAGACAGGAGGATCACTTGAGCCCAGGAATTTGAGATAACAGTGAGATATGATCATGCCACTGTACTCCAGCCTGGTTGACATACTGAGACCGTGTCTTTATATTTAAAAAACAAAAAACCAGATGAGTGGGCAGCAAGTTGTGGTAGATACATACATAATCAACTGGTAAAAGGAACCATGTACAGATACATACTGCAACTTAGATGGGCCTAGAAAACACACTGAATGAAAGAAGCTAGTCATGAAAGGTCACTTGTTGTATGATTCCACTTATATGAAATGCCTAGAATAGGCAGATCACCATGAATTTTCACAGAGCTTTCAAACTCCCGCTCTGAGGGCTCTAGGTCTGGGCATCCTCCACTCCCTCCTCTTGCTCTTGGCAGGCAGCGCTTCTAATGGTGACCGCAGCCATAGAGTCACATCTGGCTCTCAGTTGCGCTTTTCCAGCTCTTGCATTGGCTGTGGGAAAGCCACTTGAGCCTTTCCCTGCCCACTTCCCTCATTTGTGAAGGAGAGAGATACCTGGTTCCATCTGGTTGCCCACGTAAAGCACATTTCTTGGCATACTCTCATTTGGACTGTTTGCCATTCCTCTTTTCCTGGCCCTTACTCCTTTCCCTGCTGCAGACCTCTCAGGTTGCATGAGCCTGCCGTCATGTCAGGTCGTAGTTCTGTGCTTTGTAGACATTTTTATGCCTGTGGTGCTTATACCCATGACTGGTATAAGTCAGTCACATTAGAAGAAGATTATTTGGTCCTGGGGTTTGGAGACAGGACTGGGAGGGAGAGGTTGACCTGACTTTCCCCTTCATTCTCACCTGCCCTCTTCCAGGAGCTGGGCTCCCTTGGCCTCTCCCTGGTGTGTCTGTGGCATTTTGTTTGTGTTTGTAGGGTCTGGACCACCTCCTTTCCCACCTAATAAAAGGGGTAAGGACTGGCAATGTGGCATTTTACCTGGCCTCAGGTGTACGGGGTGAGCTCTGAACCCCTTATGAGTGAAGGGGAGGAAGTTAGGGACAAAATTCATTTTTGGAAGATTATTAGAAGAAAAATAGACACAGAATTCTCATCAGCAAAGGGAAATGGCAAAGGAAGAAGGCAGTGGTTAACACTGCCCTCGGGCCTGTCCTGCTCTGGAGGAGGAAGCAGCAGGAGAAACCGGGCCTTGCCTTCAACACTGTGCTGGGAAATGTCCTCAGCTGGGTCCAGTTTCAGTGTTTAGAAGCTCTGCTTTTCACATAACTGCAGGACGCGATTCAGCCAAGCTTTCTACCACTGTGTTACAGGATCCACTTTGCTCCAGTTTCCAATCCCATGCTCGTGACATCCTTCTGCACCCTCCCCAGCAGTGCCAGCAGTGTTCGTGCCCAGTTAGGTGTTCTCCCAGGCAATGGTTTTTTTTCCTGCTATGCTCCCCTCTTCCTTCTGAGACCTCACAAGTAGAGTCTTTTAACATCCGTAGTTTTACTAATGTGTTCAAGGAAATCTAGGCTTTTTCTGTGCTGCTCCTCAGAATTCTTCCTTCCTTCACCCACAGCTCTATTCCAAAGCTACTTCCACATTTTTTTAGATATCTGTTACAGCAACACCCCACTTCCAGGGTGCTGGAAACTAATTTACTTAGAAAACTGTTAATTTTTATGGCTGCCATTAACAAATTACCACACAATGAGTGTCCTGAACAACACAGATTTATTATGTAATAGTTTTGTAGGCCAGAAGTCCTGGGCAGGTCTCACTGTGTTAAGATCAGGGTGTCAGTAGGGCTGTGTTTCTGGAGGCTCTGGGGAGGCTCTGTTTCCTGCCCACTCAGGTTGGTGGCAGAACCCAGCCACTCTGCAGAGGTGCTGTCCAAAATGCAAGGGACACTTTGTGAAAGCTGCTCCCTCTTCTTCCCCTTAGTCTTTCCTTTGTCTTTATTTCCACCTACCCCAGTAGAAATAGAGGGATTTCTTTTCTTTTCTGCTTTATTCGTTTGTGAAAAATCTTGCATGTTCAGGACTGGATCATGCATGTTCAGGAAGTTACCCTGCCCAACACCCCGTTTCACACTGGGGGAAACTGTGGGTTTTGGAGTGGAGAAACTGGCCTGCAGTTCCCTGGCTGGTTGTTGGGAAAGAGGGCTTGGCCTTTATGTTTCTACACCATACCCAGAACAGAGTTTAACACGTCTAAATGGCAGAAGACTACACTTCTGTCAAAAATCAAACCCTGCCCCCTTAAATCAAGTCTGTTTTGTTAAGTGTGAGTCTTGACTTTTTTCTTTGTCAACACTTTTTTTCATGGAAGAAAAAAATTCTACCTTAGGAACTCATGATTTTGTTTAAGTTAATATTAATGCCAAGCATTTAGTAAATTTGAGTTCAATTCATGTAAGCAAGTAATGATCCTATGAGGTTTATTTAGTAGCAAGAGGCCAAATGCTTTCACTTGTTTGCCAGATGAGAGATACTGTATGTGAAGATTGGTTCAGAGATATTTAAGGCACTACTGGTCATTTGTCCAAAAACTTCACCCAGGATTCCCAGGGAAGCTTTCATATCTTCCCAAGGGTTCAGGAGTGATGACTTTGAATTGTAATTTTATAGATCCTGTGTGGATAACTGTCAGTATCTGCCAGACTTCTTCTATTAGGTTGAAGATCTGGGATTTCCTTTTAAATTCTTAGAAGTAGGTTGGGAAAAGTGATTGGGGAATTGGATCCTCAGGAAGTTGTTCTGCTTCCATTTCCTTCATGACTTTAGCTGTCTCTTCTATCTGTGAGAATCTTAGGGCTGCATAGTACTGAGTGTTGCTGCTTTGAATCCATACACCGGGAATGCGTAGCTTTTGAGAATTACCCACCTTTTCTGTGGATGAGTGTGTATCATTTATGTCATTAGAACTCTTTTTCCCCATTACATTTTGTGTTCATCAGTTCTTTGAGTTTGCCTTCTTTAAAACCCTCCTGGAGGATTCAAGATCTGGAAAGTAACTGATCCAACGTATCCCACACAGGGGAAGCTGGAAGATTAAAAAAAAAGAACAACAACAAAAGTGTGTTTGCCAATCCTAGCAAATAGTGCTAGAGTTTAATCACAAGCCAGAGGTCGGCCAGCTTGCAGTGGGGAAACTGGATGAGCGTCCCTGCTCCTGCCGGGAGGGCTTTCGGACCAGCCAACCTTGTCACTGTCTGAGACTCAGCTGATTGCCTTTGTATCTTTTATTTCTGGCAGCTCCTTTAGCGGCAGAGTTTTCCGAGTGACCTTCTTGATGCTGGCTGTTTCTCTCACCGTTCCCCTGCTTGGAGCCATGATGCTGCTGGAATCTCCTATAGATCCACAGCCTCTCAGGTAGGCTGCCCCGCAGTCCTCAGGAGGGGTTGCTTGACAAAATGTAATAGGCTGAAATAATTTCCAAGGAAAGGAGGGTGATTAAATCAATCTGATCTGAAAGGTAAGTTAGGAGAAATAGAGTTTTGTGATTTCTTTAGTACCTGGGTTTTTATGCTGAATTAGATGTTACTCAGGAAATATGCATGGTATTTTCCCTGTCATTGTTTTAAAAAAACTGCATCAACCAAAAACAAAAATTCAAAATTAGAGAAGCTTAATAATCATTAGACAGTCAACTATAATTCATTTCAGGTAGCAAAAACACACACAAATGGAGCTTCAGTTACCTCATTTAAATTTTGTAAGTAACTGATTTTCTACAAAACCCATAATTAGTGTTCTTTTTTTCCTAAGTTACCTTTCACCGATAGAGATCTATGAGTAATGCAGTCCATTATAATTTGAAAAAACTATTGTATATGTAAAGCCCCCTGAAATAGATTCATGTTTATAATTATAGTGGGATAGAGCCAGGCTCTCATCAGTGTGACGATCTATGACTTCCATGTTGACATAGTTGCAGGAGGGTTGTGCAGTCTGGTTCAGTAATTTCCTGGTTCCCCTTGCAACTGCTGATGGGGTGAAGCCATCTGAAGCTTATTTTAAATGAGTTAGTCCAGGTAAGGCTTTAAAAACTTCAGACAAGAATTATACCTAGTTAAAGAGTGAATATAACATACTAGCTGAATAATGTAGTGTTTTATCCATAAAAATTAAGGCTTTATATTGGATCCGATTCACTAAGAATGTAGAGGACACGGTTCTGACCTTAGATTGACATGTGTAGCTGAGTGAACTTTTTGTTGTTGGATTTAGAATAGTAAAGGCACAAGGTGCTGTAAACACACAATTTGCTCATGTAAGATTGAGAATGGGTGAAGGACTGGGGACTCTAGTCCGCTCCAAGAGTGTCAGCTCTGTAATTCCTGGTGTGCCAGTGGGTCTTCAGATGGATTTTTCTGCCTGAGCCAGGCCTGAGGACATCCTGTCTCCAAAGGAGGGGCGTCAGGGGTGGGTGGCGGGGGGGGGTCCCCTGATGTGTTGAGGGAGGGGCTTCTCTCTTTCTAACCCTTCTTTACAGAGCAGGATGGCTCATTCTAGCCAAAGGGAAACTGACCTGGGCCTTCTTAGATAGTCCAGTTGGCTAAGGTGGGGGAGTGAACTGTGTCCACAGCTGGGGATTAGAAGCTTGGGTTGGGGGGCTGGCCTTGGAAAAGGAGGCTGAGGTTGAGTTTTGAGTTGGAGAGAGAGGTTGGAGCCTCAGTGATTGAAGACCTTTGATCTCAGGAAAGATGATTTTATGTGTGGAAAGAGTGGTGAAGAAATGCATTGGGAAATGGGGTATGTGGCCCTGGCCAGACACTGAAAGGAAGCAGAGCCTACTGGGGATTGGAAGTTGTTTGTACAAAGTGAGTTCTATCTGTTGAGTAGAAAAGCCTGATGAGGAAGGAAAGGAAGAGAAGCAGTGGAACCGCTGCAGCCAACAGGGACCTCTCTCCTGGGCTCAGCTTTCGGAATGGCAGTGGAACCATCACAGCCAACAGGGACCTCTCTCCTGGGCTCAGCTTTCGGAATGGCAGTGGAACCATCACAGCCAACAGGGACCTCTCTCCTGGGCTCAGCTTTTGGAATGGCAGTGGAACTGTCACAGCCAACGGGTCTCTCTCTCTCTCCTGGGCTCAGCTTTCAGAATGGCAGTGGAACCATCACAGCCAACAGGGACCTCTCTCCTGGGCTCAGCTTATGGCATTGGAATCACAGCCAACAGGGGCCTCTCTCCTGGGCTCTGCTTTTGGCATGGCACACTCAAAAACAGGAAGATAGGCCCCAAAATGCAGAGCAGAAGCAGAAGCCTGGTACATGACAGAGCTTGGTGTGTCTCATGCAAGAACGTGGCCACAACACAGGCCATGCCCCATGCACGCCATCCCAGCGGGTGCTGACTCAGCTGCAGCCCTCTCAGCCCACAGTCACTCTGTGGAAGGACATGGTTTCTCTCCAGAAGGGAACAAAAAGTTTATTTTTCATAGAAGGATATGAATGTTTCTAGTCACTGAAAAAATATCAGTTAAAGTCAAATTTATGGTAAAAAAAAATAGAGCAGCATTTTGGAGAATGGATTTGGTTGCTATAATTTTAAAGACCAACAGAAAGAGTAATTCTACTGGGAGTTGAAAGTTGCAGTACTGTTAGAAGTACACATTTTACTATCGGGTGAAACTGTCAAACTGAGAGATATTAAAAAATAGCAACAACCTTTATGGGTGGTCTGGGACATCAAGAGCAAATAGAAGCACTGTATAAAACTCAGGCAGGGCCAACAGGAGACCCGCTGGGGAGGGAGAGAGCAGTGCCCCACACCCTGGCTTCCTGTGTTAGGGAGAGAGATGTGGGGGACCTCAGAGAGCTGGTTCTCAGAAGTGCTTAGGAAAACCTTTGTGCAGTCTGTGGGTCACAGTGGGTCACTTCTCTGCAGTTGAGTATTACTGCATTAGTGCAGGCTTTCTTCACTTGTGCCAGCCATCCGTGATCATACAGATGCCCTGTTACTCTGTTCACATCTCCCCACGTTGTCACAGGGATCTTGAAAACTACTCTGTACATGCTATAGGAATCAGGATGTCATATATGCTGTGTCTATGACAGCCCTCTAATCTTCCCAGAAAGAAGGGAAAGTGACTTTGCAGGGCAGGTTTTTGGCAAAGCCCTGCAGCCTTCCTGGTGATTTTGTTCTCAAGTACTGAAACCAGCTGTGTAATAGTCCAGACTGGAAGAGCGACCATCCTTCTCTTTGTCCCTCCATACTCCTGGTCTGCCTGTTCTCTGATTTTTTAGAGATTTCTAAGTGTGGTCTAAGCTCTCACGGGAGTGATGTAGTATCCTGGGTAGACTCCCAAACACCCGTCCATCAGCTGAGTGGCCGTTTCTGCCCCGTCTGCTGGCCTGATCCTCTTGACCATGGTGGCCCTGCGCTGCCTGGCGTGTAGAGGTGATGGAGGCCGAGCGAAGCTGGCAGCTCTGCTTGTCATCGTGGCATGGCCTCTTGACCATGGTGACCCCACACTGCCCGGTGTGTAGAAGTGACCGAGGCCGAGCGAAGCTGGTAGGTCTGCTTTTGTCATTGTGGCATGGCCTCTTGACCATGGTGACGCCACGCTGCCCAGTGTGTAGAGGTGACAGAGGCTGAGCGAAGCTGGTAGGTCTGCTTTTGTCATGGTAGCATGGCCTCTTGACTGTGGTGGCCCTGCACTGCCCGGCGCGTAGAGGTGACCGAGGCCAAGCGAAGCTGGTAGGTCTGCTTTTGTCATCGTGGCATAGCCTCTTGACCATGGTGGCCCCGCGCTGCCCAGCGTGTAGAGGTGACCGAGGCCGAGCATGGCCTCTTGACTATGGTGACCCCATGCTGCCCGGCGTGTTGAGGTGACCGAGGCCGAGCGAAGCTGGCAGCTCTGCTTGTCATCGTAGCATGGCACCAATTGCCCCAGGTGGGGTTTCCCTTCCTTCCTCTTTTGCTGTGAAGAGAGCTTTAAAGAAGCTCTTTTTGCTGTTGTCATAAACTTTTCCCCAACGCTTAGCTCCTTCCTGTTCTTGAATTCTCTGCCTTGCTGGAGGCAGGGGACAGGGGATAATCGGAAGATATTCCTCTCTACTTTGGTTTCCTCCAGCAGTGCTCGTTGGGAGCCTTCTGTGTGCCATGTTGGGTGCCAGATGCTGGGAATACAGTAGAGAAAAACACAGAAAGAAATCCCTGATCTCATGGAGCGTATGTTCTAGTGGGGACAAACAGACCATAAACATAACAGAAGCAGATCACACAGTGCATGAGAAGCTGGTGTGTGCTATGAGGAGCATGGAGTAGGGCAGGGGCCTGGGTTCGGGGGAGGTATCGGATATTTAGTTGGGTGGTCAGAGTGGGCCTCCTGGGTGGGGGATGGTTGCTGTTCCAAGTGGAGCAAAGAGCTGGTGTGAAGGCCCTGGATAGGGAGATGCTGGTGTGGTTAGGACCCAGCAGGGAGGGGCTGGTGTGAGGGATGCAGAAGGCACAAGGGAGAGAGGGGGCAAGAAGGTGCTGTGGCCAGGTTGCGGTGCTCAGAGGCTGCTGCCAGGACTTGGCTCTAGGTGAGAGGGGGCCATTGTGGGGCTCTGAATAGAGGAAGGTCATGATCCGGCATGGCTGCTGGATTGAGAATAGACTACAGGGGTCAAGGGAGGGAGCAGGGGCGAGGCGAGAGGATGGTGGCCCCAGCCAGGGTTGTAAGGAGGACATGGGGAGACGGGTTCAATGGTGTCTTTTCAAAGTGGCCTCAGCAGAACTTGATGGTGGGTTGGGAGGCGTGACATACTGGCATGTGGATGGGAAGGACGAGTAGAGGCAGGAGTTTCTGGAGCCGTGTCTGTGAGTAGAAGGGCTCCAGGGCCCAGCTCAGGCTCCTGCTTCAGGAAGAGCCTGGTGGGCCTCGAGAATATCAGCGGGAGGTGGCGTGCCCTGTGCTGGACCATGGGACGGTGGCTCCAGTCCCAGGAAGGTCTCCCCTTGCTCCTTCCATCTTCTCTGTGAAATACGAGGCCGGGTCATCAGGTGTGAAACGTGGGCACTGCCCCCCACCACCCTAGGTAGACTCCAGTGGCTGTAGGGCTGTGAGTCACAGGGGTGAGGAGGTCCAGCTGCCCTGAGGCATTGGATGGGGGTGGGGAGCTGGGGAGGCTGGAGGATGGGTGGGCACAGGCCTCAGGATGCTCTCAGGTGACAAGATTGCTGAAGGTCTTGCACTAGCACATTTATATTTTTATATTTCTTTTGTACCATGATGTTTTCTGATATCCTAGAACAGTTTTTTCTTAACCCTTGTATTTCTGGCAACTGAGGATGTTGTTAGAAAGTGCCATCTTTATCAAAGAACTGAGAGCAGGTGCTCGGTACACATTTTCTTCACATGTGTATTTATAGACAGATCTCTGGAATTGCATTATTTTGCAGCTTCAAAGAACCCCCGCTCTTGCTTGGTGTTCTGCATCCAAATACGAAGCTGCGACAGGCAGAAAGGCTGTTTGAAAATCAACTTGTTGGACCGGAGTCCATAGCACATATTGGGGGTAAGTCTAAGCTTGGGTGGGGGGGGAGCCTTCCAGGCTGTCTGTTGTCTGAGGGGGCGGGTTCTGTGGGAGCAGCTGCAGTGGCACGCTGCCCCTGGACTGGGGCCCTGCACATCCTTCTTAGCTGCGGACGTGGGACTTGGCCCTCAGACATCACATGGGAGGCCCTAGTGGCTCTTTCTGCTGGTCTCATCTGCCCAGTTTGCATGCCATTTTAGCACTGGGTGATTTTGAATTCATCTCTATGGAACACTTTGTTGTGCTCAAAGTGTTGTGAAAGGAAAAAGGCCAAATACAGATACTGATTTTTAGTTCATTTATCAAAGTTAAATAGCTATTTGACAGCACAGTATTTCTTAGTTCCATTTGCTTTGTATAGATTTCACTGTGATGAAGACAAATGGTTCTCAATATTTCCACTGTTTTTGTCTGACTGTTTGAAATCTCACCTTGATGGGTACACTTAAGGGTAACCATCTGCATCACACTTGCCCATGCCTCAGAACTAGAATTGGGTCTGGTTCTAATACTTGCATCTCTAGCAACCTTGAACAAGGCATTTTCTGTTTGTTAAAATGAGAATTAAGTTTAGTATTGGGAAGGCACAGATAGTCACAGATAGTTTAAAACTTAATCTGGTATGGGCTTGCTGAGCAGCTTCTTTGGAAGTGCCGCTTGTTATTCTGAAGCACACTGTTCTCCAGGCAGTGGGTGGCTGTGGATATGTGCACACAGGGTGCTTCTGTTGTGCTCTCAAGGCCGGTCAGTGGCCTCTCTTCTAGTGACGTTTGACCAGCTTCTCTTGCCTGGGCCCTGTTATTTGACACAGGCCCCAAGGACTGGTCCATTTCTGCAGTTGGTTTGTTTTCTTGGCTGTCAAAGTCAAAATTGTTTCAAGAAGAGTAAATATCATGATAGAACTTTGTATTTCTCTTAAAAAGACATTGGCATTTATTTGTGTAAATTTTAAAAGCTTTAGCTTTTTTTGGTGAAAAATCAAATCTTGCTCTTTAAAACTGAAACTTAACAGCAGTTGAAGTGCAAACCAATGATCTTACCTCCCAAAGAGAGCACTTTCCTGTCTTTTTCTTTTTCACTGGGTTACTTCTCATTGTACTTTGTCACCAGGTCCCAGCTTTTTCTCTTTCTTTGATGAGCTGGTGACATTTCTTGGCCAGGCACAGTGGGGTCCTCTCTGGTGGGTGTGAGCCGCAGGGACCTGCCACTGCTGTCTCTGCCACCTCATTTGGAAGCTGTCCTGGGGGCTGGCTGGCAGGTTGCTGACAGTGGAAGGAGGTACTAGCTCTGGGGAGTGCTGGGAGAGAGTAACCACCAACTATAGCAGGCTTTATTTTATTTGTTTTTAAGTAGACTTTATTTTTAAGAGCAGTTTTAGGTTCACAGCAAAATTGAGCAGAAGGTACAGAGATTTTCTGAAAAAGAGTTTTTATTACGATTGGGTGTTGCATTTCGTCAAATACTTTTTCTGCACACATGCCATGCACAGCCTCCCACATGATCAACATCCCCCACCACAAGGGTAAGTTTGTTACAAGTGATGTACTCACATCAATACGTCAATAGTACTCGGAGTCTGTAGTTTACGGTAGGGTTCACTCTTGGTTTTATACATTCTATGGGTTTGGACAAATGCCATGTATCCACTGTTATGGTATCTTACAGGGTGTTTTCACTGCCCTGAAAATCCTCTTTGCTCTGCCTGTTCATTCCACCCTTTTCTTTTAACCCATGGCAACCACTGATCTTTTTGCCATCTCCATAGTTTTGCCTTTTCCAGAATGTTATGTAGCTGGACTCATACAGTATGTAGCCTTTTCAGATTGGCATCTTTCACTTAGTAGTATGCATTTATTTAAAATTCCTCCATGTCTTTCCATGGGTTGATAGCTCATTTCTTTTTAGCACTGAGTAATATTCCATTGTATGGATGTGCCACAGTTTAGTTACCTACTGAAGTACATCTTGGTTGCTGCTAAGTTTTGGCAGTTATGAATAAGGCTGGTATAAACATCTGTGGGCAGGTTTTTGTGTGGACCTAAGTTTTCAGCTCATTTGGGTAAATACCGAAAAGCATAATTGCTGGATTGTATGGTAAGAGTTAAGTTTTGTAAGAAACCACCAAGCGTTTCCAAAGTGGCTGTACCATTTGCCTTCCCATTAACAATTAGTGAGAGTTCCTGATGCTCCATGTCCTCGCCAGCATTTGGTGGTGTCAGTGTTTTGGATTTTGGCCCTTTTAATAGGTGTATAGTGGTGTCTCGTTGTTTTAATTTGCATTTCTCTGATGATATTTGATGTGGAATATCTTCATATGCCTACCTGCCATCTGTATATCTTCTTGGTGATGTGTCTGTTCAGGCCTTTTGCCCATTTTTGTAATTGGGTTGTTCATTTTCTTATTGTTGAGTTTTAAGAGTTGTTTGTGTATTTTGGATAATAGTTCTTTATCAGACATGTTGTTTGCCAATATTTTCTCCAGTCTGTGGCTTCTCATTCTTTTGACAGTATCTTCTGTAGAGCAAGAGTTTTTAATTTTAATGAAGTTTCACTTATTAATTATTTCTTCATGTATCTCACCTTGGTTTTATATCTAAAAATTCATCATCATACCCTAGGTGTTATATCTAAAAATTCATCATCATACCTAGATTTTCTCCTATGTTCTAGGAATTTGTTTTGTATTTTATATTTAGGTCTATGATCCATTTTGAATTCCATTTTTGTGAAGGGTATAAGGTTTGTGTCTAGATTTATTTGTTTGCATGTGGATGCAAACAAATTTGTTCCAGCACCATTTGTGGAAAACACTGTCTTTTCTCCATTATGCATTGCCTTTACTCCTTTGTCAAAAGATCAGTTGATTGTATTTATGTGGGTCTGTCTCTGGGCTAAAAATTTTATCTGTTCTATTGATTTATTTTTCTATTCTTTTGCTAATACCACATTGTCTTGATTACTGTAGCTTTATAGAGAATCTTGAAGTTGAGTAGTTTCAGTCCTCTGACTTTATTCTTTTCCTTCAATATTGTATTGGATATTTTGAGTCTTCGCCCTCTCCATATGAACTTTAGGATTCATTTGTCTGTATCTACAAAATAACTTGCTGGGATTTTGATTGGGATTGCATTGAATCTATAGATTAAGGTTGGGAAAAACTGACATCTTGACAATATTGAGTATTCCTGTCCATGAACATGGAATATCTCTCCATTTATTTAGTTCTTTGATTTCTTTCATCAGAATATTCTAGTTTTCCTCATATAGACCTCGTGTATATTATATTATATTTATACCTAAGTATGCCAATCTTTTGGATGCTAATGTACATAGTATTGTGTTTTCAATTCCAAATTCCATTTGTTCATTGTTAGTATAAAGGAAGGTGAGTCAATATCTTGCAATATCCTGCAACCATGCTATAATTGCTTGGTTCCAGGAGGGTTTTTTGTTGTTGTTGATTCTTTCAGATTTTCTATCTAGACAATTATGTCACTTGCAAACAAAGAAAGTTTTATTTCTTTCTTCTCAATCTGTATACCTTTTGTTTCCTTTTCATGTCTTACTGCATTAGCTAGGTCTTCAAGTATGATACTGAAAAGGAGTGGTGATAGGGGCATCTTTGCCTTGTTCTTGATCTTAGCAGGAAAGCTTCTAGTTTGTCATCCATAAGTATGATGTTATATGTAGATTTTTTTATAGATATTCTTGATCAAGTTAAGAAAGTTTCCCCTCTACTCCCAGCTTGCTGAGAGTTTTTAATCATGAATGGGTGTTGGATGTTACTAGATGTTTTTTTCTGTATCTGTTGATATGATCATGTGATTATTCTTGTTTAGATTGTTGAAGTCTCTAACTGTGATAGTGGATTCTGTTTCTCCTTGCAGTTTCATCAGTTTTTGCCTCACATATTGGTGCTCTATTGTGAAGCATATACACATTAAAGGTTCTTATGTTTTTTTGAGGCATTGACCCCTTTGTCATTGTGTGATGCTCCTCTTTATCCCTGATAACTTTCCTTGGTCTGAAGTGTTCTCTGTCTGAATTTAATACAGCTATTCTGGGTTGCTTTTGGTTAGTGTTAACATGATGTACTTTCTTCATCCCTTCACTTTTAATCTATATATGTCTTTATATTTAAAGTGGGTTTCTTGTACACAACATAGAGTTGGGTCTTGTTTTTTGAATAATTCTGGCAATGTCTCTCTTTCAGTTGGTATATTTAGACCATTTATGTTTAAAGTGATTATTGATATATTGGATTAATATCTACCGTATTTGTTACTGTTTTCTATTCTTTGCCCTTATTCTTTGTTTCTATTTTTGCATTCTACTCTCTTTTTGTCTTTTGTAGTTTTAAACTGAGTATTTTATATGATTCCATTTTCTCTCCTTTCTTAGCATATCAGTTATACTTCTTTTTTTTACTTTTTGTAGTGGTTACCCTTGAGTTTGCAATATACATTTGAAAACTATGGAATGTTTTATGAATTTGTGTATCATCATTGCTCAAGGGGCATGCTAGTAGTCTTCTCTGTATCATTCTAATTTTAGTATATGTGCTGCTGAAGTAAGCACTTAATGTGCTGTAATTTTCTTCTAAAGGATTTCTGGCAGTTCTTCTCCTTTAGTTGGATATAATCAATATCAGCAGCAGACACTGATGTGAGGTGAATATGAACTCATGCCCCTAAGTGCTGAGTGTCAGCTTGAGTGCTTCAGGACTGGAGAAAATCCTCACAGTTCTCATCACTGACTGGTATCTGCTGCACCCTTGCTTTTGAGTCAGGTTCATGCCCACAGGCTGCTTCCCTAGGCCCCCGCAGTTTTATCACTGTAAGTTTTAAGGATTTTTCATATTCCCAGAAATTGCTTCTCTTCCATCTTGAGAATTGGCATTTCCTCTATAGGGCAGGGGGAACATGTAAACAAGCCCTCTTGTAGGAGAAGGCGGCTTAGTCACATTTCTTAGGCTAACATTGCTCTTCCTCCTTTTTGTGTTTTTAAACAGATGTGATGTTTACTGGGACAGCAGATGGCCGGGTCGTAAAACTTGAAAATGGTGAAATAGAGACCATTGCCCGGTTTGGTTCGGGCCCTTGCAGTAAGTTGGTGATAATCCCTCGATGTGTCTCTTCCAGTCTTTCAGAAAGATGTTGGATCGTTGTGTGGAACTGCTTTTCCCTAGAATGCCTGTGGGAGAAAAAGAACCTCTGACCATCTAGTAGATGGAACATGACGTCACTACGAGCTCTTCATTTGCCGGGTGGTCCTTGGGCCTCACGGTGCCTGATGGTCACCTACAGTCCCCATTTTGCAGCTGGGTAGTGGCTGTGGCCCCTGCTTGGTACTGCATGGGCCTCGCCCCTCACCATTTTATTGGGGTCCCCGTTTACCTTTGCGGTACTTCAGAGGCTAATAGGTGTTATCACAGTGCTGCTGTGGAAAAGTAGGTGGCCTTGTCATTACTTGGATGTGTAAGTGTTATTCTGCCTTGGTCTCAGGAATTTCAGCCCTGTAAGTGAGAATACCCTTAAGTCATTCAAATTTTGGAAAACTAGAGTAGAAGACTCACTGTTTAAAACTGATAGTCTATAGACTTAATAGTTATCATTTTTTAATAGCTGGAATGTTTTTATTAAAGTGATGTATTTTCATAAACACAAACAACACAAAGGTACAAAGGAGAAAATAAAAATCACCTGAGTCTTTTCAGATGTAATTGTTATGAACATTTTAGTGGTTCACTTTTCAGACATCTTTTTGTTCATGGACATGCACACCCACACGTATGATGGAATTATACCCTACATCAGTTCTTTAACCTGCCTTTTTCCGTGCCATTTTGGCAGTAAGCACCCTGCAGTGAGCATCCCACAGTGAACACCCTGCAATAAGCATTTGCAGTGAGCACCCATGGTCAGCACCTACAATAGCACCTGGAGTGATCACCCATGGTGAGCACCCTACAGTAAGCACCTGCAGTGAGCACCCCACAGTGAACACCCTGCAGTAAGCACCTACAGTGAGCACCTATAGTGAACACCTGCAGTGGTACTTGCAATGAGCACCCTACAGTTAATGACCCACAAAAGCACCTGTAGTGAGCACCCTGCAATAAGCACCTGTAGTGAGCACCCCACAGTGAACACCCTGCAATAAGCACCTGTAGTGAGCACCTTCAGTGAGGACCCCACAGTGAACACCTTGCAATAAGCATCTGCAGTGAACACCCCACAGTGAACTCCCTGCAGTAAGCCCCTGCGGTGAGCACCCCACAGTGACCACCCTGCAATAACACCCTGCAATAAGCGCCTGCAGTGAGCACTCCACTTGAACACCCTGCAGTAAGCACCTGCAGTGAGTACCTCACAGTGAACACCCTGCAATAAGCACCTGCAGTGAGCACCCCACAGTGAACATCTTGCAATAAGCCCCTGTGGTGAGCACCCCACAGTGAACACCCTGCAATAACACCCTGCAATAAGCACCTGCAGTGAGCACTCCACTTGAACACCCTGCAGTAAGCACCTGCAGTGAGTACCTCACAGTGAACACCCTGCAATAAGCACCTGCAGTGAGCACCCCACAGTGAACACCTTGCAATAAGCACCTGCAATGAGCACCCCACAGTGAACACCCTGCAATAACCACCTGCAGTGAGCACCCCACAGTGAACACCCTACAATAAGCACCTGCAGTGAGCACTCTACACAAACACCCTGCAGTAAGCACCTGTAGTGAGCACCCCACAGTGAACACCCTGCAGTAAGCACCTGCAGTGAGCACCCTGCAATAAGCACCTGCAGTGAGTACCCCACAGTGAACACCCTGCAATAAGCACCTGCAGTGAGCACCTCACAGTGAACACCCTGCAATAAGCAACTGTAGTGAGCACCCTGCAATAAGCACCTGCAGTGAACACCCCACAGTGAACACCCTGCAGTAAGCACCTACAGTAAGCACCCTGCAGTGAGCACCCCACAATGAACACCTTGCAATAAGCACCTGCAGTGAGCACCTGCAGGGCAGTTGTAGCTCTAATGCCATGGTCTTGTCTTGTTCTGTACAGCATGATGTATGGGAAGGGATGGATGAGATGCTTGGATACTGAGAACAGCACATGTAGAATCCGGGACCAGCTACCAATCCCCATCTGTTTGTTTTTCTAGAAACCCGAGATGATGAGCCTGTGTGTGGGAGACCCCTGGGTATCCGTGCAGGGCCCAATGGGACTCTCTTTGTGGCCGATGCATACAAGGGACTATTTGAAGTAAATCCCTGGAAACGTATGTGACAATATCTCGTTTCCTTCTATGAAGATTTTAGATCTTTTAAACAATATATGTATGTGTAGACTTAATAGGATTTGTTAGCAACAGTCTACTAAAGACTCTGATATTTCTTATTCACTGAACAGTACTGAAAACATTGCCTGCAAAAGTCAGCTAGTTTTAAACACCAGAAAACTCCCTACCCATGATTCCATTTGGTCCGTATCCTAATTTCCTCCTAGTATTTATATTTTAGCCACAGGGTCTCAAAAGGACTTATTTTGAGGAAGTTAGACCTCTTTCTGTCTTGATTTTTCTGTGTGTCTCTCTGCGTCTTGTCTATTTGTTTTCTCTCTTTCTTCTCTGTGGCCCTCCCCTTTGTCTCTTCCTTTCTGTTTTCTCCTGTAGTTCCTCCTCTTCTCTCCCCTGATTGCTCATGAGTCCCCTTGATCAGGCTGTAATACGTGCTGTGTGTCTCAGTGGAGGTTCCTGCTGGGGAGGAGTCCGTTGTCTTGTGCGTGGGGGCCCGAACATAGGCCCTGCAGCCCAGCTGCTTGGGGGCATTCCACTCTGCTGGCCACCAGCTGTGACTGCAGGTCCCTTAGTTGCTCTCTGCCCAGCTTCCTCATCAAATTGGGGTCATAGTAGCCCTGCCTGTGGGATTGTTGCGAGGGTTTAAAGGCGATCACACCTCGAGAGTGCTTAGCACTCAATCCATGTTCTTTCTATTATTTTTCAAAACTTACTACTACTTTTCTTTTCTAAAAGGAGATGAGTAGAATGTCATATTTCTCTCAAATAGAACTAACAAATAGAACTGAAGCCTGCCTAACACTTGCAGTAGATGTTATCAAGTCAGTTGGCCTTAGTAAAAGAAGGAATTCCTCATCCTTATAGAAAAGATTCTGCCTTTAATGAAATTAGTCTAAAAAAATCATTTAACACCTAATACTGTTTTTACTATAAGAAGGAATAAATCTTCTGACAAATGACATGGAGAAGTTTCAGTTTTTCTTTTTAAATCAGTTAGGTTGGTTAATATTTTGCAATTATTGAGAAGTTCCTAGTTCAAGTCAATCTTTTTCTTTCTTTTTAAACTTCAGGTGAAGTGAAACTGCTGCTGTCCTCCGAGACACCCATTGAGGGGAAGAACATGTCCTTTGTGAATGATCTTACAGTCACTCAGGATGGGAGGAAGATTTATTTCACCGATTCTAGCAGCAAATGGCAAAGACGAGACTACCTGCTTCTGGTGATGGAGGGCACAGATGACGGGCGGTGAGGCCTTGCTCCAGGTCTCCCATTTGTTGAGTTCACCAGCCAGGCCAGTTGCTTCAGCAGAGCCTGTTACTTCTAGGGACCAAGGGAGTATTTCCAGCATCATATTTCAGCTTCTAGGACAGGACCTTAGTGGCTTCTGGAGGCAGGTGATGGATGTCACAAAATGGAACAAGGTGCTTTCGTTTTCTCTGAGGAAATAAAACAGGCCAGTCCGTCTGAGGGTGCAAGTCTAGGCAGTCGAGAGAGACCCCGGAGGCAGGCCTGGGCTTTGGGTTGCCTCTCTGAGGGGTATTCCTGTCCAGCTCCCAGGTGAGCAAGATAACTGACCTTGGGGTTCCCTGGAGGGGACACTGGATCTGCTGTGGATGGGGAAGGGCCCCCAGGGGCCAGCCTCGAATCAAGTTTGAGCAGGGCACCCAGGGCCTGTTGCTCCGGGGTGAGGCGGAGTCACCTTCTTCAGGCCCATACCCTGAAGGCCCAGAGTGGGAGCCAGGGATTCTCCCCCATAACCCTCTGCTTTTGGTGTTCCACAGCCTGCTGGAGTATGATACTGTGACCAGGGAAGTAAAAGTTTTATTGGACCAGCTGCGGTTCCCGAATGGAGTCCAGCTGTCTCCTGCAGAAGACTTTGTCCTGGTGGCAGAAACAACCATGGCCAGGATACGAAGGTGTGTGTGGGATTAGCTGAGCCATCAGTTACTGGCCAGAGCGCATCATGGCCGGGGTGGGGTGGGCATGGAAATGGGATCGACAGAAATCAGAGGCAGCAGCGCACCTTCTGCATGGCATGTTAAAGAAAATTCAAGGGTGCGCTTTCTTTCTCCCATTGCGAGTCGCAGTCCGGAAGAGTGTCTTAAGGCTGACTGGTGCAGCCCGGGCCCCATTCCCCTGCTGGCAGGGCCTTGGTCCTCCCCTGACCTACTTCCCCTCTGTTCATACTGGGCCCTGTGCACAAAGGTTTCTTCTCAGCAGCTGAGCCTTTGTTCATGATGGTCATAGAGCACTTTCCATATATATATTTGGACCAAGACCAGTTTGGTGCTTGGCTAAAATTTTTTTTCTGAAATTGAGGGGCTATGGTTCACTCTCTGCTTGGGTGAATTTTTCAGAGTCTACGTTTCTGGCCTGATGAAGGGCGGGGCTGATCTGTTTGTGGAGAACATGCCTGGATTTCCAGACAACATCCGGCCCAGCAGCTCTGGGGGGTACTGGGTGGGCATGTCGACCATCCGCCCTAACCCTGGGTTTTCCATGCTGGATTTCTTATCTGAGAGACCCTGGATTAAAAGGATGATTTTTAAGGTAACTGTGAAAACTGTTATTCCAAGAAAGAAAATGGAAATGAATTGAATCATATTTTTTTGACCCTTATAGCTTAAAAATCTAGTTCTGCTTGTAGTATTTGGCTCTGAATGACACTTAGAAACACATTTCATTCTTCATCCTGAAATGCAGATTTAAACATTTGGACCCTTTGGTTCTTATGGTTTTCCTTTTTCTGGGTGTTTTTATTGTCACCCTCACCATCGTGGCTTTGGGCATCTGCCTGCCTGTCAGTCTCTGGTTCCCTGTTTCTGGGTGTTTTGATTGCCACCCTCACCATCGTGGCTCTGGGCATCTGCGTGCCTGTCAGTCTTGCTCCTCCATCTGCCATGGCTTTGCCAGGCCTTCTGTGCTCTCCACCCCCCTCTCTGCCTCCTCAGGGAAAGAGTCGGCAGGTGCCCTTTCCTCCCCTCCCTGCAGGTGTGGCCACCCCTGTAACCTAGTCACCACAGCTGCCATCCCGCCTGCTCCCTGCTGCCTTCTTGCAGCCTCACTGCCAGGCACTCTTCTCTATGGAGTTCTGCCCTTTGACCTCTTACCACACCCAAATCTTTCCCTTTTTAAAAAAAAGTCACCCACCCCCACCAATGGCCAGCCATGGCCCCTTCAACACAACAGCCCCTTCAACACAGCCTTTAAATCTTGCCATTTTCCCAGTGGCTTCCATGAAGCACCCCACATAATAACTCAGCACGTTTACACTGTGGAGGGGTCACTTGCTGATGTGGGCACTTGTGTAATACAGAGATCTGCTTTTCCAGCAAGCTCCGTGTCACAGGCTGAATAGGTATTTTAAATTGATACTGAATATTTGAACCGATATGGAAATACTAGCTTATGGTCCTGGGGCTGACAGGCAGCAGTTGCTGAGTCCTGTTGCTGGGCTGTGTGTCTGGACCCCTCCTGGGGGCTGCGTGCACATTCTCAGTTAGACTGGCTCACGGCCTTCAGTGATGTGAGTTCTGTGGGTCGCTGTGTGGGAAGTCCTAATCTGTTGAGAAATCTGTCCTTCTCTTTGCCTTATTGGCTCCAGAGACAGCATCTGTTCCTGCTGGGACCTAGGGGGAGGCAAAATGGCAGGTGGGCTAGCACAGGGGTTTTGGAGGCTGCCAGACCAGCTGTGGGATCCTGGGCCGGGGACTTGGACTCGCTGCCTCAGGTGCTCTGTCTGTAAAGTGGAAAGAATAATAGTGCCTCATCAGGTGCTGGGAACATTTAGTGAGAATCTGCACATAGTGCCCTTAGCGTAGGGTAGTATGAGTGGTGGTTGTGTCTCTTCCCCTGAATAGAATGTGCATACCATCAGAGCAGGTGTTTTTCTGTTTAGTTCATGCATAGTTCATTTGTCATCCTCCACACCTGCAACAGTGCCTGGCACATGTAGGTGCGAGGACGTACCGTTGATTGAGGGCACAGTTAGGGAGGGGGCTGCAAGCATGAGGGAACATGGAGTCTTCCTGCAGCTGGGTGAGGAGGGGTGAGAGGGAGGACCACAGCCCCATGGACTTGGAAAGAAGGTTCAGTTTTATTCAAAATGTAATCCAAGTCATTGAAGATTTTTTTGTTTTTTGTTTTTGAGACGGAGCCTCGCCCTGTCACCCAGGATGGAGTGCAGTGGCGTGATCTCGGCTCACTGCAACCTCTGCCTCCTGGGCTCAAGTGATTCTCCTGCCTCAGCCTCCTGACTAGCTGGGACTACAGGTGTGTACCACCACGCTTGGCTAATTTTTTGTATTTTTAATAGAGACGAGTTTTCACCATGTTGGCCAGGCTGGTCTCGAACGCCTGACCTCAAGTAATCCACCCGTCTCAGCCTCCCAAAGTTCTGGGATTACAAGCGTGAGCCACCATGCCCGGCCTGATTTTTTTCTTTTTTTAATTTCGAGGCAGTATCAAAGCTGTGGAAAGAGGGAGGGTACAAGGGATTTTTTTCCCAGCACTGTTTCCGAGTTAGCGGCTGGCCTAATGCCCTGTCACTCACTGCAGATGCCTGAGCATGTGTTTGGCACATTCTCCTTCATTACCACTGAGTGAAACCAGGAGATGCCCACAGCTCCCCTGTGACTGTCCGGTCTGCAGGCCCCATTCAGATTTTGCCAGTTGTCCCGGTGTTGTCCTTTATAACAAATGATTCAACCCAGGATCAGGAGTGGTGTTTAGTTGTCAGCTGTTTAATCTCCTTCAGTCTGGGGGATATTCAGCTCCTGTCTTTTTTTGAATTTTTGGCCTTGATCCTTTGAAAGCGTACAGGTCAGCTGTGTCCCAGAATGTCCCTCCAGTAGGGTTTGTTTTTCATATTTAGATTCTGCTCTCGCATCGTTGGCAGCAGTGGCGCAGCAGTGAAGCTGTGCTCATCTTGGCGCGGCTGTCATGAGGGCGCGATACCAGTTTGCTCTGTTGGGGTGGTGGCAACTTTGGCCACCTGATTCAGGCAGGGAATGCCAGGTGTCTCCACCTGGACGTGGTTCTTTCATGTCTAATTACTGAGTTGCTCGCAGAGAGGTGGTTTTTGTAAGTAATCACCAGTGCCATCTTATGGTTTCCCATGTTCTTAATGGTGATTATGTTACAGTCATCATTGATTTTGATGCTCAAATTACCCATCTGTGGCCAGGAGGAGCCCCTTCAGTGTGGCTTCTGGGCCTTTGGGCATGTCCTCTTGTCTTGGGCTAGCTCCTCACTTTCCAGCACATAAGTCGTTCCAGTTTCCTCTTGTATTGTCCCTGCTTCAGCTCTGCAATCGGCCATTTCTCCCAGGAGCCCTGGTTCCTTGTGGAGGAGATCTGGGTGCTGAGTGTACTCGCTGCTTTGGGTGTCGCTGCTCCCAGGTCCCTAAGGGACAACGCTGGGAGTACAAGCACACGATGCATACTCACATATACCTGCACGCGTAGACATCACACACACACACCACTCACGCTTATGCCTGCATCTGTCATCTGTAAATTGAAAACCATGACAACACCACAGGACTGATCCAAGTTTTCTCCCCTTATTTTTCCCCCTATTTGTACCTCTCCAACAGTGAGAAACCTGGATCCCATTGTCCTCCCTAGGTTTACCTGTTCAACCATTTTCTGTGCATGTGACCAATCTGTGGTTGCTGTGCCCTGTCACATGGCCCCATCCAGGGCTGTAGCACCCCATGCTGGGCTGTCCCCTTCCTCCCTGACCATGTGCTGGAGGCTGCCTTTCGCCTCAAGGGCTGTGATCCCTGCACCGGGCTGTCCCTGGGTGTACACCTCCTCACTTGCATGGGCTCTCACAGCCTGATCTGGGCCTCACTGTGGGGACACCTCCTCACCCCGTGTGGGCCCTGACAGCCCGTGCCAGGCCACTCCCCTGCAGGGACACCTCCTCACCCAAGCGGAGTGGGCTTGTCTGGGTCACCATGGTCTGCCATCCCCTGCACACATGTACCCTGCTCAGCCCCATGCTCCTGATGGAGTTGTTTAGGAGGGGAGTGATGTAGTACAAAGAATGTTTTTAAAGAGAACTGCAGCTACTGCAAGGAGAACAGCTTGCAGCAGGGCTCAGCTGGCTGTGGGAGCCTGTGTGGAAGCTGTCTCAGTGACTGGGGAGAGGCGGCAGGGCAGGGCCCAGGCCAGGGACACACACAACAGATGGCAAGACTGGCAGCTGGGCTTGTAGGGCACAGAGAGACTGGGATCAAGGGAAGGCTGGGGTCCTGGCCCTGTCTCCAGAGCTGGGGAGGCTGTTGAATTTGAAGTGCTATTAGAAAGGCCAGGCAGACATGGGTCCCAGACAGTGAGAAACTTAGCACTGGTGTTGGAGATGGCGATTTGAGAGCTTTCTGGGAAAGTGACTAGTTGTAATAGTGAGAGAGGATGAGATCTCTTAGGGGGAAGAGAGAAGAGAGGAGAGTGGGAAGGATCCACGGCCGAACAGCAGGAGATGGCATTTCCTAGGTAGTGGGAAGCCTTGGGAATTTTTTGAGCTGTAATGCAGTTGATCTATCGCTGTTGAACCTAGAGTCTAGTCAGCTTGTCTGTCTGCTTGAACATTTCCAGTGACTGGGAGACATTATTCGTTGGACACTTGTTTGGGTATTTTCCCTTGTATTAAAAGCTAGAAATCTGTCTGTTAATTTCCATTCCTTGGTCTTAGGCAGTGGAGTGCTTTGTCATAATTTCCGACCAGGTGTCCTTCTGCTCTGCCAGAAATCACGCCTCTCGCCATCTGTTCTCTGCTTAATACTCTTCAACAGTCCCGTGTGACCACAGAGTCCAGGTCTAAGCTCTTTTGCCTCCGTCCCTGTAGGCGTCCCTCAGGATCTGCACGCCCCGCTTTGAGGAAAGCAGTGGGATTTTGCTTTTTGTTTTGGAAGCCATGTTGTGTGGTCTGTGGACCTGCTTGCTTTTTTTGAATGTGAGCTGCTCTCAAATCTCCATCATTTGCACCTTGCCTATTTGAAATGTTTTAAATCTAAACAGAAGACTTGTGTATTCCAGGGAAGCTGCGCTGGTTGTGATCTGGTGAGTGGAGGTCATTCTGAGCCTTGGCTGCAGTGCTGTGACCACGTCGGATGTGATATGTCTCTCTCAGTTCAGCCAGGCCATCCAGAGATGTGCTTGCGTTGCTGTCCTTGTGCTGGGGAGCCTCTTTGGCCTGATCTTCACAGGGACAGGGGTGGGGTGGGGCCTGCTTTGGGGCCCCTGGGCTGGGAGTGGGAGCTGGATTAGCTGTCCTGTGGGGCACTGCCCTGTGGGGCTGCCCTGTCATGGGAAGGAGTCAGACCGTTCCTGGATGGTGGGGGCGGCACGGTTGATCTGCGCACAGTGTTCTTGGCCAGCTGGTGAACTTTCCCTGCACTGTGCTTCCCTCTAGCTCTTTAGTCAAGAGACGGTGATGAAGTTTGTGCCGCGGTACAGCCTCGTCCTAGAACTCAGCGACAGCGGTGCCTTCCGGAGAAGCCTGCATGATCCCGATGGGCTGGTGGCCACCTACATCAGCGAGGTGCACGAACACGATGGGCACCTGTACCTGGGCTCTTTCAGGTCCCCCTTCCTCTGCAGACTCAGCCTCCAGGCTGTTTAGCCCTCCCAGATAGCTGCCCCTGCCACGCAGGCCAGGAGTCTTCACACTCAGGCACCAGGCCTGGTCCAGGAGGAGCTGTGGACACAGTCGTGGTTCAAGTGTCCACATGCACCTGTTAGTCCCTGAGAGGTGGTGGGAATGGCTGCTTCATTCCTCGAGGATGCCCGGGCCCCACCTGGGCTTGTCTTTCTGTTTAGAGGGAAGTGTAACATATCTGCCATGAGGAACATAAATTCATGTAAAGCCATTTTCTCTTAAACAAAACAAAACTTTCTAAGTACAGTCATTCTCTAGGATTTGGGAAGCTCCTTGCACTTGGAACAGGGCTCAGGTGGGTGGAGCAGTAAGGCACTACCCAGAGAGCTTGCTGCTGCGGCCCTGTCCTGCGGCCTCAAAGTTCTTCTTTACTATATATAACGTGCGGTCATACCTTTCTTCGTTGTGGTGGGGATGGAAGAGCAGAGGGAGCATGGCCCAGGGGTGTTGAGGCCAGCGGTGAGAGCCGTGTTAGCCAAGACATGGAACTGTGTTCTCAAGGGTTATGTGGGGCGTGGGCTCTCCATAGTGTGTATGAAAAGCTTGTTGACTCTAGCGGCTCAGAGAGGACTTTGCTGGGTTTCTTTCTGTGAATATCTCCGTGCTGACCATGCTGGAATTGGATGATTCTGCAATTCGGGACCTACTGCAGGGGTCCGTTTAGTAACGTCTTGTCTGTGATCTTTGTTCTTGACCTCTAGACCCCAAGATGTGAACAGTGCACGTGTTAATGTCATCTTTGCTCATGTGTTATAAGCCCCAAGTTGCTGTATATTTTCACAAGTATGTCTACACACTGGTCATGATTTTGATAATAAATAACGATAAATCGACTTCTGCTGATTAACCTTTTTTGATGGTGTGGCCTGGGAGTTTCTTCTCTACTTTAATTAACAGTACTGAAATTTAATTCCATCAGGTGTCAATGTAAGGATTGTCTTGGTGAGGATGATGTTTTAAGGCCAAACAGTCCATCCGACTAGCTCAGGAGGGAAGCTGTGGGACTTCTCTCAGGCAGCCGTCTTCAGGCAAGGAGCAGGCGACCTTAGACCATCTGCTCTTGATGCCGACTCCCTCTGGCGTAAGTTGATATTACACTTCCCTCCTGTTTTCCAGCCTACGAAATGGGGCTGACATCTGTTCCTTTCTTTCCTGGGTATTTGTGAGAGTAACAAGAGATTGTGTCTCCAAAGATGTTTGGAATAACTTCACAGACAGTATTTTAAATAGATATCAAAGTCAGAAAAAAATCAGATAAATATGTAATGATACAAAAATTCAGAGAACTGATAGCTGTGGTAACATTGGGACCATCTGTGTGCACTGGCTGGCCTTGGACTCCTGTGTCCTCCTTTCCCCTGAGTGGTGGCCAGGCCCTGTTGGGGGAAGAGAGTTGGGAGTCTGATGGTTAATTCCCCCAGTGCTGGTCAGGCCCCATGTTGGGGGAAGAGAGTCGGAAGTCTGGTAGTTGATTCCCCCAGCTCTGGTCAGGCCCCTTGTTGGGGGAAGAGAGTCGGGAGTCTGATGGTTAATTCCCCCAGTGCTAGTCAGGCCCCATGTTGGGGGAAGAGAGTTGGGAGTCTGATGTTTAATTCTCCCAGCGCTGGCCAGGCCTCATGTTAGGGGAAGAGAGTCGGGAGTCCGATAGTAAATTCCCCCAGCTCTGGCCAAGCCCCATGTTGGGAAGAGAGTCGGGAGTCTGATGGTTAATTCCCCCCGGCGCTGGTCATGCCCTGTGTCGGGAGAAGAGAGTCGGGGGTCTGACAGTTAATTCCCCCAGCTCTGGCCAGGCCTCATGTTAGGGGAAGAGAGTCGGGAGTCTGTTGGTTAATTCCCCCAGTGCTGGTCAGGCCCCATGTTAGGGGAAGAGAATCGGGAGTCTGATGTTTAATTCTCCCAGCGCTGGCCAGGCCTCATGTTAGGGGAAGAGAGTTGGGAGTCCAATAGTTAATTCCCCCAGCTCTGGCCAAGCCCCGTGTTGGGAAGAGAGTCGGGGGTCTGATGGTTAATTTCTCCCAGCGCTGGTCAGGCCCCGTGTTGTGGGAAGAGAGTTGGGATTCTGATGGTCAATTCCTCCAGCGCTGGCCAGGCCCCATATTGGGGGAAGAGAGTTGGGAGTCTGATGGTTAATTCCGCCAGTGCTGGTCAGGCCCCATATTGGGGGAAGAGAGTTGGGAGTCTGATGGTTAATTCCCCCAGGGCTGGTCAGGCCCCGTGTTGGGGGTAGAGAGTCGGGAGTGTCCCCGCTTCTCAAGGCTGGCTCCTGGAGGCAGCACCAGTAGGACAGAGGCAAAGATTGGCTTCTGTCTAATTGGTGTGACCCACATTGTGTCAGATAAACAACTCAAAGTTTTTTGTGTGACTCTATAGGAAAGAAAATTAGTGGTCATTAGAAATACTTTTAGTAATAAATGATGTGCCTTGTATGTCAAGTATACAAAGAAAATAATACCTAATCATTCTGTCATACAAACAATTTAAATGTGCTGGGCTTATAGGTAGATTCCCTTTTTAAATTGAGAACAGAGAGCTTTGCTTTCAGTGCTTAATTTTCACAAATATAGAGAAGCTGGCAAACTGGTTTTCACAGTTTTTAGCAATGGAGTCTTGATGTTGACTTAGCTGTTGATTTTCTGTCTCCAAGTGTCATTTCCTGTGTTTTATCTGGTAATTTGACATGGTGAGGTGTGAAATAGAGTCTTCTTATTAGGTTTAAATATGTGATAGCTTTTGCTGTAAACATAAAAGGGATTCGTTCTAACCTGAATTACTAACATGCTCTTAATCAGGTGACTCATTATGTGCCTCTGTTATCCCTTACAGAAACTCCATCAAGATTCAGCTATTACGTTTCATAGGACAGAGATATCAGTTTGAGATTTTTATCATCAGCTTACTACACTTGCAGAGTGGCCTGTAGTTCTGAAAGTTGTTCACATACGCTGACTCTTAATGATTCCAGAAGACATGGCCTCATTGCACCAATGGGAACTGAGGCTCCAAGGGGTTAGGTTAGTGACTGCCAGAGTCACAGCTGGCACAGCCGAGCCAGCCTCCCAGGGATGTGACTGGAGAAAGCGCAGGTGAAGCTGGGAGCAAGGGTGACAGTGCCTGACTGGGCAGTGGCCCCTGCAGCCTGTGGATCATGGCAGGGCACTGACTCGAGCCTTGGCTGCACAGCAGAGTCCTCTGGGGCGCCCAGGGCTCAAGGTAGCCCAGTCTGGCACTTCTTCCAGTCTTCTTCCAATCCTGGTGCCCTCCAGCCCTCGGTGGCCTCTCCCTCCTCGTGCACCCCCAACAGAGTCATCTTCAGTGGGGCGTCCTCTCTGGAGGGCTCTGGGGAGCGGTCTGCTGCTCTGCCCCCACTCAGGCAGCAGGGCAAGTCCCTGGGAGGCCTGAAACTCAGGGAGGCACAGTTGTGGCCCTGCTCCTCCTGGTGCGGACAGCTCACCTGTTCTGGGGCTTTGGCCTTCGGGGGGTTATAGCTAGCAGCTCAGGCTGGCCAGCCCCCCAGAGGAAGTAACTTCAACTTGTCAGACCCCTTGGTAAGGGAGATCCCTGGTAAGGCTTGCCTCACCTCCCGACTCTCCCGTAAAAGGGCCGGCATGGCTGCTGCTGGCTGTTCATCTTGATTCCCAGTTGTGTTCATCACAACCGGCCAAGGCGCCCAGTGGCCAACAGTGTCCCCACCCACATCTCTGCTGATTATTCAGACCCAGAGCTGTACCCCTGCTCTCCTGGGGGCCTGTAGCCACAGGGGATCATCCCTTAGTTTCACAACTCCCTCCATTGACTCAGTCCCCTGCACCCAGACCCGGAATCTAGGTGGGAAGCCTCAGAAACAGGAGTTAATTTTAGAAGCAAATGTGATCTATTTAATCTGTTAGGAGGTGCTACCATGCTGCCATTCCAGCTGCCCTGCGGTGACCCAGTGGCACTTCACCCGCTCACTCGTCAGAGGCCTGAGAGGGTCTGTGAGGCTGGGTCATGAGGCGGGTGGGAGGGGACAAGGAGCATGCATCCTGGTGTTTGTCATGGCTGTGGTCTTGCTGAAGAGGCGGGGGTCAGTGACAACGGAGAACAGGCACCTCGAAGTGCTGGAGCCAGGGCACGACCCAGACTTCAGAGTAGCAGCTCAGAGTCTGAAACAGAGAAGGGCACACCTGAGAGCTTAGACTTTCCCTGCGGGGAGCCCTCTGCCCGTGGAGGGGTGGTCCTCATGGAGGAGCTCTTCTCCTGCCCCTATTTTTCATTTTGAAAAATTTCAAACCTACAGAAAACTTGAAAGAACGATTTAAGAAAATGTGCTTTTCACCTCTGTAATTGCTAAATGTTGCTGTGTTCCCGTTCTCTTGCTCTCTCTGCAGAGATATGCTATATATGATATACATATGATACATATCATATGTATGTATATGATACATATATAATTTCTGGATTGTTTGAAAGCTTTTCTTACTCTAACCCTCTCCACTCGCACCCCAGGACGCTCTTCCAGAGCTGTGTCTCCGCCTCTGGGACGGGAGGATGTCATCTGAGGAGCTCCTGGCACAGGCTCTACCTCCTGTTCTCCCGGATCCTCAGTCGTGCGGGAGTCTGGGAGGCCTGGCTTCCTCAGGGGTGAGGTTTGGGGCGCTGCGTTAGAGACGTGGTGACGGTGTTTTTCACAGTCCTGGGAGGGAGTGGGCTGGGGAAGAGAGGGCACATCTGAGAGAAGGGCCTGCTGCTTTACCTGCTTCAAGGTGTGGTTGGTTTGGAAGTCACAGTCATCCAGACGCAGGTGCTGGTTTTTCTTGCAGGTAGTTCTGCCAATTTCCACCTCCAGCATATATTTCAGGCCTTTCACTATCTGGAGGGAGCAAAGGGACTGGGTTACTGGGCACAGGGGAGGGAGGGCAGGCTTCTCCACTAGGAAGCAGGGCCTCAAGACAGTGGTGCAGGTGCCCACCGAGGAGAAGGGAAGTGGGCCAGCATCTTGGGGCAATGCTTCGGGCTTACGGCAGAGCCTGCAGACCCCTCCCACTCCCCTCCCTGCCCCGTGCTGGGTTTGTGCCCCTTCCTGAGACAGATGTCTCCTTTCTGGCCAGAGCTCTGCACTCAGGAGGGACGTCACACTAGGTCTCCTGCATGCCCTGCTGGGCCCGCCCTGCAGCCCTCACTCCAGCCCCATGATGGCTGTTTCTTGTGGCCTCTGTGTCAGGCCTGGGGTCTGCGGGCTTCCCCTCTCCATTCCTGGGGTCGGGAGTTTTGAGTTTCTGGACAGCCCTTCTCCACTTGGATATGGCAGCCGCCTTGTTCATTCTCATTTGTGGTCTTAGAGGAGTTGAAGAAAAATTCCTCAGGTTTTAGTCTCAGCTTTAGGGGAATTACGTTGTCCCCAATATCACCAAGCTAGAGAGAGACAACCTCCAAGTCCCCTCCCAGAGAACCCCAAGGACTCAGAACCAGGGCATCCCACTGGCCTACCCGGAGAAGGAGGGAGGGCCTGCATCACCCAGGGAAGATCCCCTGTCCCTGAGGCCAGGCTGCAGAGCGAGGACCCTGGCTACACACCCACGATTCTCATATGAAAACATGCTGTCCTTCACAAGTTTGCAATTGTCAAAAATAATTAGGTTATAAAAATCACCCCTCCCTGTGACCCAGCATAACCATGAACACTGTGAAGACTGCCTTGGACAGGGCTGCTTCTGCCCCTTACAGGCACCAGCACACGGTGGTGGGTGTCATCCACAGCCTGCATCCCACATTAGCAAGTGGGTGTTCTCAGGACACAGACAAGGGTCCTCTAGGAGGGAGGGTGCTGAGCGGGCGCAGTAGGAATGAGTCAGGGAAAGGGCAGTGGCTTGGGCAGAGCTCTTGGACTCTGGGATGTGAGTGAGCACTCCAGGGGGAAAGTGGCAAAGACACCTCTGGGCTGCAGGGCACGTGAGGGGTGAGGCCGGGTGAGGACCCTGGTCCCAGCAGGGGCAGCTCCTCGGACAGCGGCTTTCTCCCCCATCAGCCTTGGCGCCTGCCTCAGGAGCCCCATTAGGGCCCTGGCACCTCCTTACCCCATGCCTAGTAGGCTCTGGGCCAGGGGCCTGGTAACCACCCAGGAGCCGTGTGCTTTGTGTAACCTTTGCGCTTGGCCCTGGGGGATGCTGGCCTCAGCTGCTGCTGTCCACTCCCACCCCTTGTGCATCTGCTTTCTGCTCAGAGCTCTGCACTCAGCAGGGACTTCACATTATATCCGCCCTGCTCTCCTAGGTGTCGCGTTGTAGCAGCTCGGCTTCCTAGGGGTGTCCGTGATATGTGACCAGAACCCAGACCGTTACCTGAACTAGGGCCCTTGTGATGCGGGACTCCTTGAACAAGAACATGTCGTTCGTGCAGTTGTTGAACTTTTCAACACTGTATCTGGCTGCTTGGAGGACTCCTGGGTCATTGGTCTTTATTGTTTTAGGAAATCCTGGCTTCACACGTGAGTTAAGGTCCTGGGAACAAGTATCTGAAAGAGACAAAGAGCCAGACAAGAACACTGATGTTAGTGGGGCCTTCAGTCCAGGTGTCACGCCTCATGCCTCTGTGATGCTCAGTTCTCTGCTGGCGTGTGTGTCCTGGCCCTACCCACCCCTCACCTGCTCCCCCTCTTACCTACCCCTGTCACCTGTCCCTGCTTACCTGCCCCCACCCTACCCACCCCTAACCTGCCCCCCTCACCTGCCCCCTCACCTGTTCTCCCTCACCTGCCCCCTCTCACCTGCTCCCCTCACCTGCCCCCCTCACCTGCCCCCTCACCTGTCCCCCCCGACACCCCTGCAGTGCATTTATTGCTCCATTTTCAGAGCTGAGGACCAGGTGCCAGGGGGTGCAATGAACCTGTCCCCCACTTTCAGAACCCAGGGTTATTTCCAACGTAAGTGTTAAAAGCGGAACATGTCCCACAGGTGAGATCCTCAGTACGGGATGTAGCCTTAGGATGTAGGGAAAGTCAACCCCAGCCTGGCCCTCTGGGCGGTAGATGGAGGTAGTGCCTCCCACCGGAAGGAGATGGCGCCGTCCTCGTCTCAAGACCTTTTGCCCGCCTGGCTCTCAGTCTCAGGCCCAGCCCCCAGGAGGGCACCCCTCCTGGCAGCCTGCAGCACTTGGTACCCCTGCGCTGCCTCCTGACTTTCCAGGGACAGTCTTTTTCACTCCTATGAGTGACAGTGCACTGTGTCCCCAAGCTTCGTTGGGGTCGGGGAGGCCTGCCCTTCCTGTACCAAGGAGGGCTATATTTGGATAAAAGATGGGGAAGCAGCATCGGGGGCCTCCCCCACAGTCATGTCCCCTAGTATCTGTGCCTGAGGCTGCAGGACGTGCGTCTTTGTGCCTGCTATGGACTGGATGGAAAGCTGGGCCCCAGGGTGTTGAGGGCAGGGTGATTGGGGAATGGGAGGGGACAGGCTTCATAGCTGGGCACTGCAGGGAGGCCTTGCCAGGACGTCAGTGTCAACTCAGAGCGAGGGCCCCAGAGGAGGCCATTCCCACTGCTGTGTGAGGTCTGCAAGAGGCCTTTCCTGGGTCCTGGATGTCTGTGGGTGCACACCAGACCCCACCAAGGGTAGACAGGATGACGAGGTTTCTGGTCACCACGTGGCACCCCCAGGCTGGGTGGTGCAGCGCCGGGAGTGGGCAGAGAAGCATGGGACTGGAAGTTCTGTGGCCTTGGGATTGTCGCCCCATCCCGGTAAAGAGTCTCCATTGTGAAGGGAGGCCACCTGGCAAATGGCTGTCCCGTGGTTGGTTCTGGGCCAGAAGGTGAGCTTCATGGCTGGGCTTTGGATGACTGTGCCTGCCTTGTGCTTTAGCAGCCCAGGGAGCCTGGCCTTCCATCCCAAAAAAGCAGCGCAGTGCTGGTGCCCCACCCCATAGAGAATGCTGGCCACGTGCTGGTCCTGTGTGCTGGTGGATAGCTGTGTCCTGCGCTGGCATGCCCTGGGACTGTCCTTCACACTAATTAGTGTCACACACATCCCCCCTGAAACTGCTGCAGCCTTTGCTTAAGAAGACTTTAGGTGGCTCACGTCTGTAATCCCAGCACTTTGGGAGGCCGAGGCGGGCAGATCACGAGGTCAGGAGATCGAGGCCATCCTGGCAAACACGGTGAAACCTGGTCTCTACTAAAAATACAAAAAATTAGCTGGACATGGTGGCGGGCACCTGTAGTCCCAGGTACTCGGGAGGATGAGGCAGGAGAATGGCGTGAACCCGGGAGGCGGAGCTTGCAGTGAGCCGAGATCGCGCCACTGCACTCCAGCCTGGGCAACAGAGCGAGACTCCGTCTCAGAAAAAAAAAAAAAAAAAAAGACTTTAGGCCTCTGAAGATGGAATAGAAACCGCTCTGTTCCTGAGCACCAGGGGCTGAGCTTGGCCATCTAGGGGAGGTCCTGGAACCTGCATTTCCCCAGGCTCTCAGGTGACTCTGACACTGGTGTTGGCAGTGAGGGGTCCCTTGGGACCTGCAGTGTTACCATCAGGAAGGAGGGGTCCCCAGAGCCAAAGGCAGCTCCTTCTGGTCCTTGTGCTTGTTGATGACAGGAAGTTGAATGTGGCTTTTAGTTAAAACAAAAAACTGTTCTGGAAACCAGCTTGGTTTCAGCTCATCACTGTCATCTGAACAGCAGAGAAAGAGACACGTGTATGGAAGGGGTAGCATGTGTTCAGTGTATTTTTGCTGTCAGATTAGCGTTTTTTTTTGTTGTTGTTGTTGTTGTTTTGCTTTCTTTCCTCACATTACATTAATATGGCTGTCCATTGTTTTCTTTGTAAAAACTACATTTTATGGCTTTTTCTGACTATAAACTTACCTATTTTTGGTAGAAATTTGAAAAATACAGAGGAGCATAACAAAAAATAATTATTTTTAATATCTTAAAGCTAACCACTATTAACTTTTTTAAAAAATAAAATGTATTTACTTTTGCTTGAGATTAACAGAATTTTAAAAATGAAGTGAAACTCAGTTTACGCTGAACTTCAAATAAATTTCCCTTCCAAGCTCATGACGTTAGTTCCTAAAAGATTGTGGTAAAGTTACAAAAAGGTTATGAAAAATACTGAAATTGGTATTTTTTATTTAACTACATGTTTCCTAAAATGTAGGCTTCAAGTCAATAAACCTTTCACTGTCTTACAGTTGTCTAAACAGATATTAAAAGCTCAGTTTTTAATTTAAAATTGTTTAAAAGTCAAACCTATTTTTAGGATGATTTGTTTAGAGAAATTAACAAGGAAATGTTGATCATTAAGAATTAACACCCCAAAGAGGCCACTCATCTTCAGGGAAGAAAACAAGCAGTCCAGCAGGTGGTGAGCGAATGCAGCTCTTTGAGAGCCTCCGATGGAGTCAAGGAACTGTGAAGAGGACCCCCCAGGGAGGGGGCTCTGGGTTTGCTCCGTGCAACTGAAGGCAGGGAGCGGGAGAATGGGTGCTCTCCTCCTCTGCCTGCTCTGTCTGGAGGGCCCTGCGATGCTGTTTCTTCTCATGTGTGCCCATTCTGCAGGCGAGGAGACCAAGAGCTTGGAGTGCAGGGTGGGGGGCTAAACCCAGGTGTGACTAATTCGAAACACCACTCTCACTTTTTCCTCATTCAAGACGGACTGTTTGGCAGGTGCTAGGGGAGATGCAGGGTGGACTCTAAGACAGGCCCCGCCCACAGTGGTGGGGAGGCAGAGCAGGCCTGGGGCACAGGAGAGGACACCAACCTGAGGGTAAAATGGGTGAGCAGAGGGGCAGGGGATGGGGGAGCAGCTGCAAGGTGGCTGAACTGGCCTAGGGGAGGAGGGAGCTACGTGCTGGGAAGAGTTGGGGAGACCCCGCTGGAGGCTGCTGCTGGGTGCAGAGGGTGATGGTGGTGATGGCCGCGATGACGTCAACGGAAAGAACCCACGGACCGTCAGGCTTGTGAGAAGAAACAAAAGGCACATAAAATCCGTCTGTATAGAAACAATGCCTGGGGCAGGCCAGGCCTGCTCGAGGGGAATGGGGGACCTGCCATGTGCGAGGCTCGCACCAGGAGCCTGCCGGGGCAGCCTGACCCCAGCCCACCACTGCTTCTAATGCGGGGTGGGAGGGGAGGTGGGCCATGCCTGAGACAGGTAGGGAGCTTCCAGACGTAGAAGCTGGAGGTGAGGCAGGGGCGGGCAGGGCCTGATGATACCAGGTGCTGAGCAGGCCCCAGGACACATGGTCACAGGAAGGCAAATGAAACTGTCCCCTAAGGTTGACAAGAATTGCATGCCAGGTTCTGGACAGAAAGATACTCATAATTAAGCTTGAATCAGGCTGCTGCTGGCCCAAGATGTTTTTCAGATCCCAATTCCAGCAACCAGTTTGGAAACCCCCCACGGAGGAACAGGATCATCACGAAAATACAGCTTCTTCCTCTCCCTGTGCTGTGACATCACGCTGCCCCTTCCAGCTATCGAGCTCCAGAACCCTTAAAAACCCGGGCCCCAGCCTCCTCGGGGAGATGGATTTGAGTTTCCTCCATCTCCTTGTCTGGTGATCCTGCGATCACCCTGCTTTTCTGCTGCAGCCCCGTGTTTCTGAGCATCTACTGGCTGTGTGCATGGGGCAAAGTCCTGTCCGGGTGCCCGAGGACCAGTGTGCAATGGGGTGCAGATGTGAAGCTGCCAGGCCAGGGGAGTTGCCAGGGCCTCTGCCCAAGGCAGCAGGGAGCTGCAGTTTCTGACAGCTGCTGGGCATGCCCTGGGCAGGGTACGTTCCTGTCCTCAGAGCATAGGCCCAGTGGCAGAGCTGGCACTAAGCCAACCTGAGGAGAGAAAACATGGGCAGGGATCGCTGTGGTGGCACCAGGCAGACCCTTCCCACCTGCCTTTAGTAGGAAAATGGGTGGGCACAGCGGGGGCTGGCATTGCCCACCTCCTCCCTCTTTCAGGAGTGTTCTAGGTGTGGCCGGGAGGTTGGGAAGCCCCTGCTTGTGAAACCATCCCTGAGATGGGGACCTGGGTGCCGAGAGCTGGACGCAGATGGTCCCTGCTGGTGTCCCTCCCTGTGTCACCTCAGGGGGTGCCCTTTCCATGGGCCAGTACTGAGCTGGGTGGGGAGACCCTTTGAGAGGGGCCCCATCGGCCCCCATCACCCAGAGCATAAGGTCTGCATGGCTGTGCCTGAGCACTGGGGTGTTGGGGGGGTGCAAGTCCAGCTTAGAGGTGCTGGTGTTCACTCTGCCCACCTGGAGACGCTTCACCCCAAGCCCTCTCACATGACACCATCAAAATTCAGAGAGCCTGGGTCCTTGGGGCCACACCTGCCCGCTGTGCTCTTGGGTCTCTGCCTGATGGCTAATGGCGGAGTCTATCTTTTGAGGGCACACACATGCCCCTGGCACAGACAGGACACTGAGCTCTACCAGATCAGTCCCGACCTTAACCCACTGGGACACACCCGGAGTTTGAATTCCAGCTCTGCTTCTCACTGGCTGTATGATCTCAGGCAAGCTGCCTAACCTCTCTGAGCCTCCGTGTCCTCACCTGTAAAATGAGGATGCTGACGACAGTGAGAATATATGAGGCAACATACACGAAGCACTTGTCAATAAATGATGTGCAAAACTGTAATCATTATCAATATATCAAAATGCACATGGCCACAGCAGGGGTCTCAGGGCAAATGAATGCCCCCATTGGGAAAAACAAATCTTGCCACGTAGACGGTGGCTCAGCCTGCGGCAGCTCCCAGTGCTCCCCAGGAGGCAGGAGGTCCCCGGGCTGCAAGTGGTCTCTCTGCTACTGGGAAGTAAGGACTGACATCACCTTGCAGAGGGAAGCTGAAATGGCTCCCTGACCCCAGGGCCCCTGTCCAGGCAGATGGGCCGTTGCAGCTAGAGTGGAGGGGGCAGAGGATGACATGGCACCTGGCAGAGCTTCCCAGAAGAGATGCCCATCAGATTGAGAAAGAAACAGCCCTTTTCAAAAGGGTGGCGGAAGCCAGTGTGGCAATTTCCTAGGTTCTGAAAGCCTCAGGGAGGAGAGGTGCCCTGAGGGGCTCAGCGCTATGGTCTGTGCAGTTCAGTGCATGGGTGTGGAGAGAGGCCAGATGCTCAGACGGCACCACCCTTGGGGTCCCTGTTGCTTCCCCGCCCCCTACCCCCCTCAGTCATGAGGAAGGCTCTGTAATTTATTCTCAGAGGAGGCAGCGGAGGGGCTGTAGGAGTTGTGGAGTGGGGGCAGGACGCATGCTTGTGTCTGGGGCCCAGGTTCCCATCTCTTTTTTGCTGCTAGACTGGGGGCCTCCCAGCACCCTCCCTATACAGCCGAAGACTGAAGGCCCTTGCTGGAAGCACCAGAAATGATCACAGCGCCTGGGCAGGGTGCTGGGGGCTGTCACCAGCACAGTGGCAGAAGGGCCTGCACTAGACAGAGCAGGGGGCTGAGGCTGGCGGAGAGCACCCCATGCCCCATGTGCCTCCATGCCTGTGCCTTCCCCGAGCCACCTCTGTTCAGCCTCCCCAGGGCCGGAGACGGGGTGCAGTTATCTTCCCATTTCATGGATGGTAGGACTGAGGCTGAGGGCCCGCTCTGTGTGTGTGAACGTGGGCTCTGGAGCTTCTCTCTGGGGTTTGGTGGCTGACAGCAGGTCTGCTGAGAATGGAGGGAAAGGCTTGGTGCAGCATTACATACCAGCGAGGGGCCGGGAACACCACCCAGGAAAATGACGTTGCCAGCTGCCCAGCACATCGGCTCCCACGCCACCCTGTTATAGTCCCTAGCCTGCTCCGTGAGATGAGCAGAGCTCTGAAACCCCTCAGCAGTCAGTAGGTTTAATTAGATCCCAGGACACGCTAGGACAGCTGGCTCCATGTCCCCTCCAGGAGAGCCTTTTCTGAGGTGTGAGAACGAGCCACTTCTCTGGAGTGAACTTGCCTCTCTTCCCTGCTTCCCCCTTGGACCTTGGAGACACGAAGGGGCAGGGCACAGAATGGCAGCAGGCAGGCAGCACTGCATCAGGACAGGGCCAGGAGGAGAGGCCCCTGTGAGGCTGGGAAGCAGGTGGAGGGCTCCTTGCGTGAGCTAAGAAGGCTCCCAAGCTGGGAGGCAGGGCCGGGTATGCTGTCCCCAGCCTTCTGCCAGCCATGGGTCAGCTCCATGTTCGCTGAGCACTACCCAGAGCTGGTGGCGGTGGCATGTTCCCATCAGTGAGAGCAGAAGCTGCCCCCGGCCCCTCCTCCAGCCTGCCGTGTCCCCTTGGCTGCTCAGTCGCAGCGTCCGCCCTAGGCCAGGCCTGGGAGCTCGACACAGTGTCCCCCAGCATCACTGAGTCCTCAGTATCCTGACTCACCAGGAGGAGGTGAGAACCCTCCAAGAACCCCTTGGGTGCTCTGGAGCCATCCTCTTGTCAGTGGTCCTGCTGCACAGCCCCCACCTGGGCCCCTTTGGCCAGGCTCCAGCCCCCTTCTGTCCCTGTCTGCTGGGTGGGGGTCATATGACTTGAGCGGGTCACCTCAGCCCTCTGGTGCCAGCTTCCTGGTTGGTTAAATGAGGTGGGGGCCTCCCAAGTCCCCATCAGTATCCTGGTCTGATTCCTGTGCCAGGGAGGCCATGGCCCAGTTCCCTTTGGGGGAGAGCAGGTTGTCCCTGGCTGTGTGACTTGGGCAAATCACCTAGCCTGGCTGTGTCTCAGTTTCCCAGTGCACAGGCAGTGGCTCTTTCCTCCCTGTCCCCCCTCCCCCTGAGTGCTGACCCTCAGGGAGTGGATTTCAGGAAGGGTGAAAGAGTCTGATCGTTAGGGTCCCTGGAGCCAAGTCACAGGACAACAGCCAGCAGGAAGGAATGACAAGCCATCAGATAGAAGCGGCTAACCACAGGCATGTGGCTGCCCTGTCGCCTCCGTCCCGCAGAGGAGCTGCGGGAGACCTGCCTTACTTAGACCTTTCTCAGACCTCTGTGAAGAGCCAGAGAATAGAAGATGCTTCCCTTGCCCCTAGCCTTCTGGGGCAGCCCCCAAACCCTTCATCCCTGTAGCCTGCTACCCCCAAAGGTAGCTGCAGCCAGATGGAGCCCCTTGCCCCTCTCACCACTCCCAGCACCTCTCACCACCGCATGGTCCTGTGGGGGCTCCAAGCTAGGAAAGTGCCCTGGGGAAGACCCAAGGCACCAGTGGCCAATCTCAGGGAGAGACCCCCGGGGAGCGGACAGGGGAGAACGCCACTTACCTGGGGAAGGGCCCCCAGTGGTGCTCAAGACCAGGCAGCAGAAGGCCAGCAGAGTTCCAGCCGCTCGCATGGCTGCCCGGGTAGGGACAGTGCGGGGCAGTTGGGGGTGGCCGTGCAGTGCCTTCTCAGGCAGCATGGGGCAGTTGGAGGCAGTGGTTGGTGCCCGTGCCGAGCCTTCTTGGGTAGATGGCGCAGGGCAGGTGGGGGCAGTGGTCTGTGCCCGTGCCAATCCTTCTCAGGCAGCACGGGCCAGTGCCGGGCAATGGTTTGTGCCTGTGCTGAGCCTTCTTGGGCAGCATGGAACAGTGGGCTGTCCCAGCCCAGGGGCAGGTGCCAGGGCCACAGCATGGAACCCCACCCTGCAAACCACTGTGGGATGGGGCAGGGGCGGGGCTAGGGGGCTGCCTGCGTGGTGCTGGGGAGGGGAGTGTTTTGCTGCTGAATCATTTTGGCCAGAAGCTCTTCACCTTCAGATCTATCAGCCACAAAGCAACCGCTTCCTTTATAAAAGTTTCCGAGCAGCCGTCATTTGCTGGGGGAGGAGGAAGAGACATGAGACCCATGAGCAAATCCTGATGCAATGTTCTACCCCTGAGCCACACACGAAAGAGATGTTGCATGAAAAACATTAGCAGGAATTTTCAAAAGCAAAATCACTTGATTTTCCTTTTTCTTTTAATTACTTAAGTTCTGGGGTACATGTGCAGAACATGCAGGTTTGTTACATAGGTATACACGTGCCATGGTGGTTTGCTGCACCCATCAACCCATCATCTACATTAGGTATTTCTCCAAATGCTATCCCTCCCCTGGCCCCGGATCCCCAGATAGTCCTTGGTGTGTGATGTTCCCCTCCCTGTGTCCATGTGTTCTCATTGTTCAACTCCCACCTATGAATGAGAACATGCGGTGTTTGGTTTTCTGTTCTTGTGTTAGTTTGCTGAGAATGATGGTTTCCAGCTTCATCCATGTCCCTGCAAAGGACATGAACTCATCTTTTTTATGGCTGCATAGTATTCCATGGTGTATATGTGCCACATTTTCTTTATCCAGTCTACCATTGATGGGCATTTGGGTTGGTTCCAAGTCTTTGCTATTGTGACTAGTGCTGCAGTAAACATACGTGTGCATGTGTCTTTATAGTAGAATGATTTTTGAGTATATACCCAGTAATGAAATTGCTGGGTCAAATGGTATTTCTGGTTCTAGATCCTTGAGGAATCACCACACTGTCTTCCACAATGGTTGAACTAATTTACACTCCCACCAACAGTGTAAAAGCGTTCCTATTTCTCCACATCCTCTCCAGCATCTGTTGCTTCCTGACTTTTTAACGATCACCATTCTAACTGGCATGAGATGGTACCTCATTGTGGTTTTGATTTGCATTTCTCTAATGACCAGTGATGATGAGCGTTTTTTCATATGTTTCTTGGCTGCATAAATGTCTTCTTTTTAGTGTCTGTTCATATCCTTCACCCAATTTTTGATGGGGTTGTTTTTTTCTTGTCAATTGTTTAAGTTCCTTGTAGATTCTCGACATTAGCTCTTTGTCAAATGGATATATTGCAAAAATTTTCTCCCATTCTGTAGGTTGCCTGTTCACTCTGATGACAGTTTCTTTTGCTGTGTGGAAGTTCATTAGTTTAATTAGGTCCCATTTATCAATTTTGGCTTTTGTTGCTATTCCTTTTGGTGTTTTAGTCATGAAGTCTTTGCCCATGCCTATGTCCTGAATGGTACTGCCTAGGTTTTCTTCTAGGGTTTTTATGGTTTTAGGTCTTAAGTCCTTAATCCATGTTGAGTTAATTTTTGTATAAGGTGTAAGGAAGGGGTCCAGTTTCAGTTTTCTGCAAATGGCTAGCCAGTTTTCCCAACACCATTTATTAAATAGGGAATCCTTTCCCCATTGGTTGTTTTAGTCAGGTTTGTCAAAGATCAGGTGGTTGTTGATGTGTGGTGTTATTTCTGGGCTTCTGTTCTGTTCCATTGGTCTATATATCTGTTTTGGTACCAGTACCATGCTGTTTTGGTTACTGTAGGCTTGTAGTATGGTTTGAAGTCAGATAGCATGATGCCTCCAGCTTTGTTCTTTTTGCTTAGGATTGTCTTGGCTATGCAGGCTCTTTTTTGGTTCCCTATGAACTTTAAAGTAGTTTTTTCCAATTCTGTGAAGAAAGTCAATGATAGCTTGATGGGGGATATCACTGAATCTATAAATTACTTTGGGCAGTATGGCCATTTTCACAACATTGATTCTTCCTATCCATGAGCATGGAATGTTTTTCCATTTATTTGTATCCTCTCTTATTTCCTTGAACAGTGGTTTGTAGTTCTCCTTGAAGAGGTCCTTCACATCCCTTGTAAGTTGTATTCCTAGGTATTTTATTCTCTTTGTAGCAATTGTGAATGGGAGTTCACTTATAATTTCACTCTCTGTTTGTCTATTATTGGTGTATAGGAATGTTTGTGATTTTTGCACATTGATTTTGTATCCTGAGACTTTGCTGAAGTTGCTTATCAGCTTGTGGAGATTTTGGGCTGAGATGATGGGGTTTTCTAAATATACAGTCATGTCATCTGCAAACAGAGACAATTTGACTCCCTCTTTTCCTATTTGAATACTCTTTATTTCCTTCTCCTGCCTAATTGCCCTGGCCAGAACTTCCAACACTATGTTGAATAGGAGTGGTGAGAGAGGGCATCCTAGTCTTGTGCCAGTTTTCAAAGGGAATGCTTCAAGTTTTTGTCCATTCAGTATGATATTGGCTGTGGGTTTGTCATAAATAGCTCTTATTATTTTAAGATACAGTTCATCAAAACCTACTTTATTCAGAGTTTTTAGCATGAAGGGGTGTTGAATTTTGTTGAAGGCCTTTTCTGCATCTATTAAGATAATCATGTGGTTTTTCTCATTGGTTCTGTTTATATGCTGGATTACGTTTATTGATTTGCATATGTTGAACCAGCCTTGCATTCCAGGTATGAAGCTGACTTGATCATGGTGGATAAGTTTTGATGTGCTGCTGGATTCAGTTTGCCATATTTTATTGAGGATTTTCACATTGATGGGACATCAGGGATATTGGCCTGAAATTTTCTTTTTGTTGTGTTTCTGCCAGGTTTTGGTATTAGGATGATGCTGGCCTCATAAAATGAGTTAGGGAGGATTCCCTCTTTTTCTCTTGTTTGGAATAGTTTCAGAAGGAATGGTAGCAGCGCCTCTTTGTACCTCTGGTAGAATTCAGCTGTGAATCCATCTGGTCCTGGACTTTTTTTTGGTTGGTAGGCTATTAATTACTGCCTCAATTTCAGAACTTGTTATTGATCGATTCAGGGATTCGACTTCTTCCTGGTTTAGACTTGGGAGGGTGTGTGTGTCCAGGAATTTACCCATTTCTTCTAGATTTTCTAGTTTATTAGTTTAGAGGCATTTACAGTATTCTCTGATGGTAGTTTGTATTTCTATGGGATCACTGGTGATATCCCCTTTATCATTTTTTATTGCATCTATTTGATTCTTCTCTCTTTTCTTCTTTATTAGTCTTGCTAGTGGTCTATCTATTTTGTTGATCTCTTCAAAACACCAGCTCCTTGATTCATTGATTTTTTGAAAGGTTTTTCATGTCTCTATCACTTTCAGTTCTGCTCTGATCTTAGTTATTTCTTGTCTTCTGCTAGCTTTTGAATTTGTTTGCTCATGCTTCTTTAGTTCTTTTACTTGTGATGTTAGGGTGTCAATTTTAGATCTTTCCTGCTTTCTCTTGTGGGCATTTAGTGCTATAAATTTCCCTCTACACACTGCTATAAATGTGTCCTAGAGATTCTGGTACATTGTGTCTTTGTTCTGATTGGTTTCAGAGAACATCTTTATTTCTGCCTTAATTTCATTATGTACGCAGTAGTCATTCAGGAGCAGGTTGTTCAGTTTCCATGTAGTTGTTCAGGTTTGAGTGAGTTTCTTAATCCTGAGTTCTAATTTGATTGCACTGTGGTCTGAGAGACTGTTTGTTATGACTTCCATTCTTTAGTATTTGCTGAGGAGTGTTTTACTTCCAATTATGTGGTCAATTTTAGAATAAGTGCAATGAGATGCTGAGAAGAATGTATATTCTGTTGATTTGGGGTGGAGAGTTCTGTAGATGTCTATTAGGTCTGCATGGTCCAGAGCTTAGTTCAAATCCTGAATATCCTTATTAATTTTCTGTCTCATTGTTATAATATTGACAGGGTGTTAAAATCTCCCATTATTATTGTGTGGGAGTGTAGGTCTCTTTGTAGGTCTCTAAGAACTTGCTTTATGAATGTAGGTGCTTCTGTATTGGGTGCATGTATATTTAGGATAGTTAGTTCTTCTTGTTGAATTAATACCTTTACCATTATGTAATACCCTTCTTTGTCGTTTTTGATCTTTGTTGGTTTGAAGTCTGTTTTATCAGAGACTAGGATTGCAACCCTTGCTTTGTTTTTGGTTTCCATTTGCTTGGTAAATATTCCTCCATGTATTTATTTTGAGCCTATTTGTGTCTTCGCATGTGAGATGGGTCTCCTGAACACAGCACACCAATGAGTCTTGACTCCATTCAATTTGCCAGTCTGTGTCTTTTAATTGGGGCATTTAGCCCATTTACATTTATGGTTAATATTATTATTATGATTTTGATCTTGTCATTATGATGCTAGCTGGTTATTTTGCCCATGAGTTGATGCAGTTTCTTCATCGTGTCAATGGTCTTTACAATTTGATATGTTTTTGCAGTGGCTGGTACCAGCTGTTCCTTTCCATGTTTAGTGCTTCCTTCAGGAGCTCTTGTAAGGCAGGCCTGGTGGTGACAAAATCTCCCAGCATTTGCTTGTCTGTAAAGGATTTTATTTCTCCTTCACTTATGAAGCTTAGTTTGGCTGGATATGCAATTCTGGGTTGAAAATTCTTTTCTTTAAGAATGTTGAATATTGGCCCCCACTGTCTTCTGGCTTGTAGGGTTTCTGCAGAGAGATCTGCTGTTAGTCTGATGGGTTTTCCTTTGTGGGTAACCCAACCTTTCTCTCTGGCTGCCCTTAACATTTTTCCTTCATTTCAAGCTTGGTGAATCTGATGATTATGTGTCTTGGGGCTGCTGTTCTCAAGGAGTATCTTTGTGGTGTTGTCTATATTTCCTGAATTTGAATGTTGGCCTGTCTTGCTAGGTTGGGGCAGTTATCCTGGATAATATCCTGAAGAGTGTTTTCCAGCTTGGTTCCATTCTCCCTGTCACTTTCAGGTACACCAATCAAATGTAGATTTGGTCTTTTCACATAGTCCCATATTTCTTGGAGGCTTTGTTTATTCCTTTTCATTCCTTTTGCTCTCATCTTGTCTTCTTGCTTTATTTCATTAAGTTGATCCTCAATTTCTGATATCCTTTCTTCCACTTGATTGATTTGGCTATGATACTTGTGTATGCTTCACAAAGTTCTCATGCTGTGTTTTTCAACAACATCAGGTCAAAAAAAAAAAAAAGTTAGATGAATTGCTAACTAGAATAACCAGTTTTGAGAAATCACTTGATTTTCTTCTCCAAACCGTATACCCCTCCTGCCCAAACTTCTGGTGTTCCAAGTGGCCCCAGGCAGGAGGCTCTCTCTCCCTATGGGGTGAGTGGGCATCTGGCTGTGGCAACTCCATGGGAAGGTAGGTCCTGACTGCAGCTTCCGAGGATGAACATCTCAGCACGTGTCCTCCCCCTGCCTTTGGTGATTTCTGCACCTGGAAAACAGATGAGCAGGGTTTGCTGATGAAGCAATTGATCACTTTCCATCTTTGGCTCAAATTCTATAAAAGAGGGGAAAGAACAGTATGCAGCCCAGGAGGAAAGAACCCAGAGGTTCTGGTTTCCTGGCCTAAGCATTCATTTCCATGTTCAGCCCATGGTTGGGGTGGGGCCCTGGAGCCAGGTGGCCTGCATCAAAACCCTTGTTCTGCCTCCCAACACCTCGGTGACCTTAGCCAAGGAAGAGTCCCTCCCAACCTCAGTTTCCCCCTAGAAGCTGTGGTGAGGATTTGCAGACTTCCTCAGTGTAAATGCTCAGGGCTTGGAATAGAGCTGGCAGTTATGGCTTCAGCCTCAGGCGAGTTCCTGTACCCTCTTCTGAACTGGGCGGTGTAGGCAGTGGGAAGGAGAGGGAGACACCTGGGCCTTGAAGGTCATGGCGGGAGGAGCTGCTTGACCGGCCATCAGAGTCAGAGTCAGAACCTTCATTTTAACACCATCCCAGGGAAGCTGTGCCCCAGGTGGGTCCTGCTGGGTCATACCAGATTTCAGGCAGGGAGATCTGGGTTTGCAGGACTGAACAAGCCACATAATCTCTCAGGGCCTCTCAGGTCTTTGCCTACTTGGAGATTTGTTGTGAGGATTGTTACCAGGAAAAGGAATTTAGCACATGGTAGAAGGTGGCATTCAGGAAAAAGCAGCTGCTGCGACTGTCCCCCATTGCTCTGCCTGTCCTGCTCTGCTGGTCCTGAAACTCAAATCCTCTGGCTTTTGGCCACTGTGCACCAGGGCTGTGGGCGAGGACTCTTCTCCAGGCCTCTGTGCCCTGATTTCATGTGTCCCATCTGGGATTCACTCCTGCAGAGGGAGAGGCAAGACCTCAGGGGCCTCAGCATTGGTGACTTTGCCCATGACCAAACACAGGCAGGGAAACAGATTTTACCCTCCAGGGAGCCGGGAGGGCAGATTGTTGTCACTGCTTGCTGCTGCTGGTAGTGTCATGTGCTTTTCTCACTTTCAGACTCACTGGACGAAGCTCAGAGTGGATGTGGGACTTGGCTCGGTCCTTACAGCTTCACTCAGCCTAGGCCCTCCCATCTGTGAATGTGGGTGATGGTCGCTCACACTCTCTGGCCTTGCCATGCCGAGGCCTGCCAGGCAAACAAAGGCACATGGTGGCCCCAGTTAAGTCATAAAATGCCACAGTAGTGAGCGGCTACTGTTACAGTAACATGGTCATGGGTTCTGGGGAAATGTGTGCGTGTGTACATGATATGTGTGTAGATGTGTGTAAATGTGTTTGTGTCTCTGTGTCTGTATGCATGTGTGTCCAGAAGTCTGTCTTTGTCTAGTGTGAATGTGTGTAAATATTTTCTGAATGTATATGTGCTTATATGCATGTGTGTAAGTCTGTGTATGTTTGCTGTGATGGTTGATTTTATGTGTCAAATTGAACCATAGGGTGGCCATATATTTGGTTAAATATTTCTGGTTTGTCTGGGGGGCATTTCTGGATGGGATCACCATTGGAATTGGTGGACTCAGTGACACAGACTGCCCTCCCCAGTGTGAGTGGGCCTCATCTATCCATTAAAGGCCTAAATAGAATAAGAGGCTGAGTAAGAAAGAATTCTCTCTTTCTGCCTTTCTTTGAGCTGGGACATCAGTCTTCTCCTGCCTTTGGACTTGGACTGGAACTTGCACCATTGACTCTCCTGATTTTTGGATTTGTGGAGGAACTTACACCATTGGCTCTCCTGGTTCTCAGGGCTTCAGACTTATACTGGAACTTATACCATCCAGCTATCCTAGGTCTGGACTTCTGAGCCTCCACAATTGTGTGAACCAATTCTTTATAATAAATGTATGTATGTTTTTATATGTCTCTATCTCTGTCTTTCTATACTTCTATTGATTCTGTTTCTCTGGAGAACCCTGGTTAATACAGATTTTGTCAGGAGTGGGGTTGTAAAGGAATAAAATTTTAAGGATAAGTTTTCTGCATTTGTTCTGGAATTTCTGGAATTGGCTCTCTGATATGATTAGATTTAAAGACTGTTAGTGACTGTATTTCCAGTAGTAAAGAGAGCATTGGTAGTCTGTGTGTGTGCCAGAGCTGGTGTGATCTGGCAATAACAATATGAAAAATATCTTCTTTGGGTTCTGCTAATCAATCAGTTGTAAGAAACAAGTTCTGGGTGACCATGCATATAATACTTCCAAACGTTTTTGTAAATCTAACAAATATAATGGGGTTGGCTGGTTGTTCCTAATGTCACTGGACAAAGTGGTGAAAGTAAAAGATGAACTCAAGGATTTGAATTCCCAGCTCAATAGTGTTGCATACATGACCTGAAAGCTGCTTGGTATTCCCTGAAGCCACAAGGCTGAGATTGCTGAAAATCAAACATAGAATCTCATCTTTCCATTGGCTGAATGTAAGTTGAACTCTCAGCCTTGCTGAGGTTGACTGTTAAAGTGAGGGCATTGACTGGGAAAAAATGAGATCCTATAAGTTAGAATGGGGACATGTGGGAAGATTCTGATGAAACTGGAGACATTGAGCCCCTAAATTCTAATGGGTCTTCTTTGCCAGTGGAGAGGCCTTTCCATTTTCAGTGAAAGGTGCATCCCGCTCTCTCAGGAGTTAACTCTGCATTTCCTGAGGAAACTGTAATGACAATTGTCCTGGAAGGAAGACAATACTGATTCTTCTCAGGACCCACCCCCTTTGCTTCTAGGCCTATACCTAGGCTCAAGTCCCATCAGGTCCCTCAAGGTGAGGTACAGGGTATGACCCATGAGGAGATGTGCTAAACTCTTAAAGAGCTACTCAGGTTTTCTAATCTATGTGAATAGAAATCTAGGGGACATGTGTGAAAATAGATATTGAGGGTTTTGTATAATATAATGGTGGAAGAAACATAAAGTTGGATCAAGTTGAATTTATTGACATAGGCTCACTAAGCAAAAATTCTGCATTTAATGTTGCAGCTCAGAGAGTTAGAAAGGGCTTTAGCCGTTTGGCTCGTTGGTTGGCTGAAACATGGATCAAATGATGACGCATAGTAAGTGAATTGAAAATGCCTGGCCTGCTTTGGTTTAATGTAGAGAAAAGGATTGAAAGGCTTTAGGAGATTGGAGTGTTAGAGTGAATTTGTTATTTAAGGGCTACTCCCCCACTGGGAAGGCCCAAAAGACTCCCCTTTTACAACTCCTTTGAGAAATAGATTTGTGAGGGGGAACCCCAGCATCTTTGAAGACCTCTGTGGTCACTCTTCTCTTTGGGCCAAAATGGCAGCCACTCAGTTGGGAAACCTAAACGCAGTGGGAGTATTTGCATCCTGGGGTGACAGAGACCAAGAGGCAGCATTCTTGGCACCACCAAAGACAAGGTGAGAATGGTTATACTGATGGACGGCATGGTCAAGGCAGCAATCAAGTAGTCTGACTCCCATATACCCATGACATCAGCTAGTTGATCATGGTGTTCCTAGAAGTGAAATGGATAGGATACCCATTAAATTCCTCGTTGATCTGAATAAGCAGAAAAGTTCTAGGTCAAGTGAACAAAATTCGAACCTGAATCATAAAAACAGGGAGTCACACTCCCTCAATCAATTCAAAGACTTGAGCCAGTTTACAGACCCAGAATCCCTTGAATGAAGGGGACGTCACTTTCCTTTGAGAAAGAACCCCAGTACAGTCCCAAACATTTATACTGTCAATATTTCTCCCAGCCTTCTCGAAAGGGATCTACAGCTTTTTTTTTTTTTTTACCAGGGTTACTGTGCATTGGGAAAAAGGAAATAATCAGACCTTTCTGAGACTACGGGATACGGATTCTGAACTGATACTAATTCCAGGAGACCTGATATGTCACTGTGGCCCTCCAGTCAGAATAGGGGCTTATGGAGGTTAGGAGATCAGTGGAGTTTTAGCTCAGGTCCATCTCACAGTGGGTCCAATGGCCCCAGAGCCCATGCTATGGCTATTTCCCCAGTTCTGGAATGCATAATTGAAGACATGTTCAGCACATGGCAGAATCCCCACATTGGTTCCCTAACCTACATAGTGAGGGCTATTATGATGAGAAAGACCATGTGGAAGCCACTAGTGCCTTCTCTAACCACCCCCCACCAGTAGTAAACAGAAAGCAATACCACATTACTGGAGGAATGGCAGAGATTACTGCTGCCATCAAAGATTTGAAGGATGCAGAGGTGGCAATTCCCATTGCATTCCCATTCATCTCTCCTGTTGGCCTGTGCAGGAGAGAGATGGATCTTGGAGAATGACAATTAAGCATAGGCTTAACTGGGTGGTAACTACAATCACAGGCTTCTGTGCCAGATGTGGTTTCATTGCTTGAGCAAATCAACACATCTCCTGGTACCTGGTATACAGCCATTGATCCGGCAAATGTTATTTTTTCCTCTGTCCCTGCTAATAAAGACCACCCGAAGCAGTTTGTTTTCAGCTGGAAAGGCCAGCAGTCCATCTGCACTATCCTGCCTCAGGATGTATCAGTACTCCAGCCCCCTCCCACACTTTCATTCTCAGGGATCCTGATTGCTGTTTCCTGCCACAAGATGTCACACTGGTCGATTACATTGATGCCATGATGCTGATCAGAGCCAGTGAGCGTACAAGAAGGAGCAGATACTCTAGACTTACTAATAAGACATTTGTGTGTCAGAGCTAGGAAATAAATCCAACAAAAAACTCAGGGTCTCCTACCTTAGTGAAATTTCTAGGGCCCTAGCAACCTTTCTAAGATTAAGCCCTTCTAAGCCCTTCTAAGGATAAGTTGTTTCTTCTGGCATCTCCTACAACCAAAAATGAAGCACAATGCCTAGTGGGCCTCTTTGGATTTGGGGGGCAACGTATTCATTACTTGGGCTGCTACTCCAGCCCAGGTACCAAGCAACTAAAAGAGCTGCTAGTTTTGAGTGGGGCCCAGAACAAGACAAGGCTCTGAAACAGGTCCAGCTGCTGCACAAGCTGCTCTGCCAGGTGGGCCATGCGACCCAGCAGATCCTATGCTGCTTGAGGTGTCAGTGGCAGATGGAGATACTGTGTGGAGCCTTTAGCAGGCCCCTCTATGTGAATCACAGTGCGGGCCGTTAGGATTTTGGAGTGAAGTCCTGCCATCTTCCTCAGAAGACTGCTCTCACTTTGAGGAGCAGCTCTTGGCCTGCCACTGGGCCTTAGTACAGGCTGAACACTTAATTAACCATGGACCACCAAGTCACCATGCGCCCTGAGCTGTCTATCATGAACTGGGTGTTATCTGACCCCGAAAGCCATAAACTTAGGCATGCACAGCTGCACTCCATCACCAATGGAAGTGGTCTATACAAGATCAGGCCTCAGCAGGCTCTGAAGACACAAGTAAGTTACATGAAGCAGTGGACCAGATGCCCAAGGTTCCCATTCCTGTTAAGCTGCCTTCCCTCTTCCAGACACACTAATGGCCTCATGGGGAATTCCCTACAATCAAGGAAAGAGAAGAGAAAGAGAAGACTCTAGCCTGGTTTACAGATGGTTCTGCATGATAGGCAGGCACCACCTGAAAGTGGAGGCTGCAGCACCACAACCCCTTTCTGGGACATCCCGGAAGGACAGTGGTAAAGGGAAATCCTCCCTGTGGGCAGAACTCCAGACAAGAACTCTGCTTGGAAGGAGAAATGGCCAGATGTGTGATAATATATATATTCATGGGCTGTAGCTAATGGCTTGACTGATGGTCAGGGACTTGGACGGAGCATAATTGGAAAATTAGTTAGAAGGAAATTGGGGAAGAGGCATGTGGACAGATTCCTCTGAGTGGGCAACAAAAAGCATGATGATATTTGTGTTTTATGTGAATGCTCATCAAAGGATGACCTCAGCACAGGAGGATTTTAATAATCAACTGGATAGGATGACCCAGTCTGTGGATGCCAGTCAGCCTCTTTCCCCAGCACCCCCTGCCATCACCAATAGGCTCATGAACAAGGTGGCCATGGTGGCAGGGATGGAGGTTGTGCATGGGCTCAGCAATGTGGACTTCCACCCACCAAAGCCAAGCTGGCTGAATGCTCAATCTCGGGAGAGCCCTGACTAGAAACAAGTGACACAAGTGCACTTGTGTCTGTGCCTCTGTCTCAATGTGTGCAAGTGCATATTGTTTGTGTGTCTGTGTCTTCATGTCTGTGTGTTTGTGTTTATATGTGTCTGTGTTCTGTGAGTCTGGCTGAAAGGCTCTGTATATATGTCTCTGCATGTGAGTGAACATGTGTGTGAAACTGCACATGTGTGGATGTGTGCATGTCTGCGTGTATCTCTCTGTGTCCATGTGTGGTTGTATGTGTTAAGTGCACTATTTCTCATCCAAGGCACCACTGACCTGCTGCAGGGGTGATGGGCTCCGTGCTGAGTGTCAGTCCTTCATTTCTTCATTCATCCATTCATTCACTCACCCATCCTTTAGCCCCTTGCTACTTAAAATGTGGCCCCTGGGCCAGCAGAACCAGCGTCCCTGGGAACCTGGTGGAAATGCACATTCTCAGCCCTATCCCAGACCTGCTGGATTCGACTCCCCAAGGGTGGGGCCCAGGGTCTGTCGTCACAAACCCTCCAGGAGAAGTTTTGGCCTCCAAGGTTTGAGAAGCTTTGATTTAACCTGTGTTGTTGCTCCCCATCCTCTCCTTCCTGTAACGCATGATGTCCTCTGGCCTCCATGGTGTGCCCAGTGCTGACCTTGGCCAGTCATCTAACCTTGCAGAGAACTCAACTTTGCCCATTCCCTGGTCATAAGGCAGGGCTCCTGCACAAGATCTGTTGTCCCGAGGGCTGTGAGTGAATGTGGGAGGGACAAGGGGTGGCCTATAGACGTGGGCACAGCAAAGCCAAGGCTACAGGCATGTGCTTCTCCCCCATGGGTGTGCCACGCCCACTGATGCATCTTTCACTGGCTGTGAAGCCCCCAGGCTCTGTGGAGCCAGGACTTCTAAGGCTGGCCCATGCTGCAGGGAGCCTCCTTGCTCTCACTCAGGTGGGCAGGAAGGACTGTCTGTGTAATTGGAGGGATTCCAACAGTCACAGGCTGTCTTCTGTTCTCCTCCCCTGTGTGTCTCCTGGGAGCCCTTCCCTGCCTGGCCTTGGGGTGAAGAAGAGGGAGGTGGAGTGTGGGTGGCCTGGACCCCTGGGAAGCTGGCTGCTGGGTTTCCCCCACTGTCCTGTACCCCATCTCCTACAGCTCAGCACAGAGTTCAATCCCATTGTATTTTACTAGATAGGTCCCATCTCAGTACAGATGGCATTGCTGTGTAGATGCCCTGGATAGGCCCTGCCTTCAGGGTCACTTGCCTTGTTACTATGATTGTGGATCAATTCTGCAACCTGTAAGGAGAATCTAATGAAGTGGGCTGTTATTGGTATTAGTCATCTACTGCAGCAATGACAACGAACTTCACAGCTCAAACAACATACTCTTCTGTCTCATGGTTTCTGTGGGCCTGGAGTCTGGCCTGGCTGAGATGGGTGCTCTGAGTCTCACCAAGCTGGCCAGAGCTGGAGCAGGGCAATGTGACTGGGGCTGCAATGTAGGGCGGGCAGGGGCTGCAGTCTCATCAGAGGCTCAACTGTGGAAGGGGCTGCTTCTCAGGTGAAGGGCTTTCAGCTGTCAGTTCCTTGAGATAGTCAGTTTCACCTCCTTACTGGCTGTTGGCTGGAGGCCGCCTTGAGCTCCTAGCCATGTGGGCCTTCCTGACAGTGCCACTGGCTTCCTGAAAGCTGGCACAGGAGAGATTGCATCTTGGAAAAATGGGTTACAGTCTCACATGCCATTAACATGGATGTGACCTCCCATCACTTTTGCCATATTCCAGTGGCTGGAAGTGAGTCACAGGTCCCACCCACACTGAAGGGGAGGGACAGCACAGGGCTGGGACCATGGAGCCACCACAGAGCCTGTTGCCACACTTACTAAAGTTTACTACAAACCCTCGCTAACTCTGCACTGAAGAGGCCACAAAAAGTGACCAACCAGGTGGCAGTGAGCACCCCAAAAGTGGTTTCTCACTAAGGACTAAGGCTGTTGGAGAAATGGCTGATTCCAGGCCAGGGCAGGAAATGTACAAGATAAGCCAGAAACATCTCCCCTTCCAGAGAGCAGGGAAACCCTCAAAGCCTGTCAGGGCCATGTCAAAGGCATGGGAGCCAAGCTGAAGAGGCTCCCACCAGCCCAGGGAAGGGACAAGTTAGCATCAATAAGAATAATAACTACAGGGGATTAAAATACACAGATATTTAAAAAGCATCGAGATCCATATGATACTGATAATGATGACAATGAGAATCATTATAATCCCTCTGCAACCTCCAAGGGCTGTGGGGCCAGTGGGGCCCCTTCTCCCAGGCACTGATCCCTATGCCACATGCCCAGCCATGGTGGTGTCCTTCTGGCCTTCAGAAAGTTCAGGAAGGAGAAGTGGTGCCCAGCCCTTCTCTGCACTGGGAACCCTGCCACCCTCCTTGACCCATGGAATGACATGTTCCTGGGAGGCCTCAGGGGTCTCCTGGGTGCCGGCTGTGGGATGCAGGGGGCTCGCTGGACTTCCCCATACTCTAGTTTCCCTGTCTGTTACAAAACAAACCCAAACAAAAGAAGGGATAAAGGAGAGGTTTGACTGTTCATCTCTTAGGCTTCGTGTGAGGTGGAGAGGAGTGATGGGGCATGGCTCAGTTTGAGCTCCCTGACAGCTAGGTGGTTTTCTGTTATCCTTATAGCAGGAATGGGGCTTCCAAACTCTCAGATGTCAGGTGTGTGTACCCATACGTTCTCTTGCACAAAAACACATGAGGAATGTGGAGGTAAAGAAAACCAAGCAGTCTCTTGATGCAGGACTTCTCAGAGCCTTTAGAAGCATGTATAGTGTGCAGATGCTCATATTCACTTACAAAGGCAGATGGAACTGCCTCTGCTCAGAGCATCTCTGGTGCCATCTGGGGCTTGGGTTTGAGGGCCTTTGCATGGGACAGGTGGGGAGCCACAGAAATGAAGAACAGGGCAATGCCTAGAACTCTGAAGGGAGTTGCGGATCTGTCCTGCAGCTGCCCACCGTGGGGTTTTGAGGGTGCATGGGAAGGAAGGCCTGATGTGACACAGCATTCCTGGGCCTAGTCAAGACAGGATTCCTGTCAGGGCGGGTCCCATGCTGTTGACCCTGGCTGGGGGTGCTAGAGGCTGAGGGCAGTCAGGCCTGTTGGGTGGGCATGGGCCTGGTTGTCGGGGACCCTGAGTTTGGCCCCAGCTCAGCTGCCTCTGTGACTGCAGGTGGCACACAGGCCTTCTGAACCTCGGACTCTGCCCTGCACGAAGGGCCCCAGCCAGGTTCTGTGGGGCTGTGGGGAGTGCCGCACCTGTGAAGCCAGCCTTGGCCTCCATCTCATCTGAAGACATATGGGGGTGAAATGGCCAATGCTGGAAGCCCTGTGAGGGTAAATGAGACAGTGCCCTGGGGCACTTAGAGCAGTCCCCACACAGCACTCAAAAAGCAGCAGCTGTTATAGTCTTGATTGTGAAAAGCCATGTTTCCTGAAAGACATGTCAAAGCAGCCGGCTGTGTGGCCCTGCACCTGCGTTCCCAGGGTCGACTCACCTATACTGACACCCAGAGCCACCCCAAGAGCTGCAGCTGGAGGCAGCAAACGTGGAGGTGGCTGAGTGGATGGAGATCCTCAGAGTAGTTGACATGTACTGATGGCCTCCTGTGTGCGTTCTCACATTGGTTCCATTCATTTCATCATGACCCTTTCAGGTGCATGTGAGTGTCCCCACTTTACACATGAGAAAACTGAGGTTCAGGGCAGTGAGGCTCATTTACTCCCTGCCCTTTCTGACAGCTCAGGCCATGGTCTGACCATCTGCATAGCTGTCTGCTTGCAAATGCATCCATCTGGTGACTTGAGAACATTCTGGAACTGCAAGCCTAGGGCACCGCTGGAGGCTACCCCTTTTCTGAAGGGAAGGCCTGCAGGTCTGACCTGTGACTCCCTGAGTGTCTGTTGTTTCTGCAGAGGCAAGGATGAGTGTGGGGGCCAGAACACGGCTTGGTGGGTTGTGAGTTGGGGTCCTTGCGAGCGGTCATCTGAAGCAAGTGTGCTCAGTTCTGGGAAGGGGACCCTCTGTCCTTGCAGCTGGTGCTGACATCAGCATGGACCTCAGCATGCAGTCCTCACCACACCCAGCTGCAGGGCTGCAGGGACAGCAGGGTGTGGCCATCAGAGCCCCCACTGGGAGGGAGGTCGTGGTTGACCCAGAGTGCTGGGACTGGGCTCCCAGGAGAGGCTGGGAGGGCCGGGCTCCTGCAGGGAGGCATTTGTGCCATGTGGGTGTGGGTTGATGGAATCATGCAGTGCTCATGGTGGGGCTGTCCTGTCCCAGTGGCCCTGCCGTGCCACCCTGTGAGAAGGGCAGGGACCTGAGTTGACTTGTGGCCTCCAAAACTACAGCCTCCACCAAGGGCACCAGGGGGCCACAGGGTAACATAATATCATTAATTACAATGCTAGAAATAATAATGATGAGAGGAAGGTGTTTATAGTACTACGAGGCACCAGGCACCTCCTTAACACTGTATGACTTTCTTCCCTTTTCTCTTTAACAAAATTTATTTTAATTGACAAATACATATTGAACACATATGGTGTATAGCATGAAGTTTTGCAAGTATGTCTGTCTGCACTGTGGAATGGCTAAATCAAGCCAATGAACATCTACACTACCATACATCCTTATTGATGAAGAGAATGTAGCAGGATGAGCTGCAGACAAAACTCTTGAGACACTGGATTAAAGAAGGAAGAGGTTTTTATTTGGCCGGTAGCATTGGCAGACTCATGTCTTAAGAGCCAAGCTCCCCCAAAAAGAAATTCCTAGCCCTTTTAAGGGCTTACAACTCTAAGGGGTCCACGTGAAAGGGTCATGATAGATCAAGTAAGCATGAGGAATGTGACTGGAGGCTACATATATCAGCTAACAGAACAAAAAGTTTTACAGTGCTTTCTCATACAATGTCTGGAATTTACAGATAGTACCAGTAGTTTTTATCGGTAATAAGAAAAAGGATGGCTTAATAGTGCCAATAACACAACTGTCTGCCCATTCATTAGGTAACTGAATGTAGGCTCTCTGCCCACATATCCAGTATAGTCCAGCGAGAGCCATCCAGTCCTGATGAGATCCTGGACAAGCCCCCATTATATCAGGAGCTGGATCAGTGGGCACCAACTCTCAGGCTTCCCAAGGCCATCGGTCTCTGATAGTGGTTCCCCCGCATATATAACAAGAAGTAACATTAAGGGAATGAGCTACATTTTCTGCTAATTGGAGAAACAAATTTTTTATCTTTTTCAGAAGTTCTGGTGCTGGCAGATTTAACTCCTCATAAAAGGTTTGAAACACTGGTTTGGGAGAGTGCTTGTGGACCTCCCCTTGAACTAAAATGGCAACTTGGGGGTTTAACCCTGTCCCTTTGATCCCCAGGGTTACACATTCTCCCTTTTTCCAATGGGGATCTAGGGGATTGGTAATTATTAGTTCTAGTGGGTTACAGTGACTGGCAGCACAGGAGGGGTTGGCTTCCCCTTTCTGAAGATGAACCAAGTCCTTTTTGTTCTTTTTCCAAGTAGCCTAAATAACACATGGCCAAAAGGCACAATTTTCACAAACCCCTGACTCATGACAAACATATTTATTTTCTACTCTGTAGCTCCTTTCCCAGTTAAGAGAACCACATCCTGTTCCTAGCTTGTTACTATTAATGGCTGCACAAGCGTCAAATCTTAAAGTTACTTGTTTGGGGATTCCTTTTTCTTCTGTTCTAGTTATTATTTCACTTGTATCACCTAGGAAAAGGCCAGTTCTTAATCTTATTTCAAAACTGGTGGTTGTAGGGGGCTCAGATGGGTTATAACACACATCAGGTCAGTCATTTCCTGGGCTACATACCTTGTACTGAGTGGCATTATACAAACAAGTCTCTTTTAACGTTCCCATACATTGATAATAACTATAGAACAGAAAGATTGTTTTCATTTGCTGTCCTACCTCACTGACCTGATGAATACACTGGGAATAGTCCCCAGTTTGAGTAAGAACAGTTGAAGCCCTTACTGTAAGTCCAAAATTTAAGAAAAATGAAGCCCACAATGAGCTTCCTCATGCTTCGGCTGTGCGTGGACCAGTCAGCTTCTGGGTGTGACTGGAGCAGGGCTTGTCATCTTCTTCAGGGTCACTCTGCAGGGGTTGTCCAGACTTGGTCTTGCCTCCCAGGATTCAGGCGCTGCAGGTTTTACACGGTTGTGATGGATCCAGGCTAGGATTCTCTCTACGTTCACAGCAGTGGGAGTGATCAGGACGACAGTCTGGGGTCCTTTCCACCATGGGCACAAAGAGGCTACGTTCCAGTCCTTGATCCACACTCGAACACCTGGGGAGAAAAGGTGAACTGGGGAGAATAAGCTAACAGGGTCTCTCATTTACCCAGGCTGAGATTGTTTGTGTAATTTTTCCTAAAGCCTGTAGCTGTCGCTGTAACTCAATTTCACCTAACTCTCAGGAAGTGCCTGGAAGTCCCTGCAATATGGGAAGGGTCCCATGATATAATATTTCCTAAGGGGAATATCCTGTTCTTTTAGAAGGGGTACATCTAATTTTAAATAATACTATAGAGAGCATGTATCCATTTTAATCCTGTTTCCTGACATACTTTCCCTAAACTATTTTTGATAGTCTGATTCATCTGCTCTGCCTTTCTGGAACTCTGAGGCCGGTAGGCGGCATGCAGTTTCCAAATGATCCCCAATACCTTTGCTATCTTCTGTACCAAGTCAGCCACAAACGTTAGCCCATTATCTGAGCTGATCCGTAAGGGCAGTCCAAATCTAGGAATAAGATCTCGAAGAAGCACACAGGTTACTTCACGAGCTTTCTCAGTTAGTGTTGGATAAGCCTCCACCCACCCACAGTAGGTACACAAAAGAACTAGTAAATACTTGTTACCTCCACACTTTGGCATCTCTGTGAAGTCCACCTGGAGATCTTCAAAGGAGGCTGCTCTATAAGCTTGTATGCCGGGGGGGAACAGCTAGACCTTGCCTCACATTATGCTGTCGGCAGGTAACACACTGCTGCGTCACTGTTTTGGCAAGGGTTGACAAATATGAGATGTAGAAATACCGGCCTAACAACTTTTCAAGTGACTCCTGACCTAGATGGGTGGTTTCATGCAAAACCAGTACAATTGCGGCTCCTAGCAGCTGTGGCAGAGCTATTCTCCCGAATAAGTAGCTACAAGATCAAGTGCTTGAGGGAGCAGGGGGTCTGTGACTGATGCCTGGAAGGGGGCAGATGCTGCTTTTCGAGCCTCTGAGTCAGCGCAGGAATTCCCCAAACCCACCAAGATGGAAGCTCGCTGGTGTCCTCTGCAATGCATAACTGCCACCTTGTGGGGTTTCCATGCTGCTTCTAATAATTGCAAAATTTCTTGTTGATATTTTATGTCCTTTCCCCCAGAGTTCAATAGGCCCTTTTCTTTATATAACGCTCCATGCACTTGAAGGGTTAAAAAGGCATACCGAGAGTCAGTGTAAATGTTTACAGTCTTACCTTCACTGAGTTCTAGGGCCCAAATTAAAGCAATGAGTTCAGCTCTCTAGGCTGAAGTGCCCTGGGGCAATGATCTGTCTTCAATAACAGTGTCCAGGGTTACCATAGCATACCCTGCACATCTCTCTCCTTGTGGGTTGATGAAGCTGCTCCCATCCACGTATAGTTCCCAGTCTACTGATGCCCAAGGCCGGTCTCAGAGGTCAGATCTGCTAGAGTAGACTGAGTCCAACACTTCTACACAGTCATGCTTGACAGGGCTCTCTGATACTGGGATCAAGGTAGCAGGGTTCAGGGTGTTACAAACTTTAATGGTTATACAGGGATTTTCACAGAGCAAACTTTGGTACTTGGTGAGTCTAACATTCGTTAGCCAATGATGTCCTTTAGTATTCATTAATGTCACCACAGCATGGGGAGCCTTTATGTTCAGGTTTTGCCCAAGAGTCAGCTTATCTGCTTCTTGTACTAGCAGGGCAGTTGCTGCCAAGGCCCTCAAACATGGGGGCCATTCTTTAGAAACCCCATGTAGTTGTTTAGAGAGGTAGGCCACCGGCCTCGGCCAGGGCCCCACAGTTTGGGTTAAAACTCCAACTGCCATCTTTTCTCTCTCTGACACATACAATGTAAAAGGCTTTGTCAGATCGGGTAGCCCCAGGGCTGGGGCTGACATAAGTTTTTCCTTTAACTTATGAAAGGCTTGTTGTTGTCGGGATTCCCATTCAAAAAGTTCCTGTTCCCCCCACTTTGTGACCTCATACAAAGGCTTGGCTAATACTGCAAAGTTTGGGATCCACAGTCTGCAAAACCCCACAGCTCCTAAGAATTCTCTCACCTGCCTTCTGGTCTTAGGCTCTGGTAGATTGCAAATGACCTGCTTTCTTTCTGATCCCAGGCTGCGCTCCCCCTGTCAGATAGTAAATCCCAAGTAACGTACCTGCTGTCGGCAGATCTGAGCTTTTTTCTTGGACACTTTATACCCACAGTCCTCCAGGTGCCAGAGTAGGGCATCTGTTCCCTTGGCCCACCCGACTGCCGTGGGGTGTCCCAGCAGAAAGTCATCAATGTACTGGAGCAACATGCAGCCTAGGTCTCTGGTGGGAAACTTCTGGAGGTCTCCTCCCCCAAGATGGTGGGGGAGTTCTTGAACCCTCGGGGAAGCTGGGTCCAAGTGTACTGAGTAGTAACACCTGACTCTGGATCTTCCCACTGAAAGGCAAACAGTTTCTGGCTCTCAGGGGCTAATCTGATGCTAAAGAAAGGTCCAAGCAGGTGAGCCAGCTGTCCTCAGCTGGCAGCAACCCCAACAATGTGTACGGGTTAGGTACTGTTAGATGTAAAGTCACTGTAGCTTGATTAACCAAGTGCAAATCCTGTACCGGCCTTTAGTCCTTGGTCCCAGGCTTGGGAACAGGCAGGAGGGGAGTGTTCCATGGAGATTGACAAGGAGCCATAATTCCAAAGGTTCTTAGGCGCTTGATGGACCTGGATACCTTCAAGAGCTTCTCTGGGGACCGGGTACTGTTTTTGCCTAACTGGCTGGGCCCCAGGCTTAACTTCTATAAGTACGGGGGCTTGGTTGACTGCCAACCCTGGAGGGTTGTCTTCTGCCCACACTCTTGGCCACCACTTGGCCTGGCTCATTAAGAAAAGTCTCCATTCCTCCTCTCGGGGGACCGTAAGGGTCATAATAACTCCCGTTCTGGGTAACTTTAGCAGCAAAGAGCCATGCTCTGTAAAAGAGACAGTGGCTCTCAGCTTGCTAAGCAAGTCCCTTCCCAACAAGGGCAAGGGACAGTCAGGCATGTACAAAAACTGATGAATCACTTTATGTCCTCCTGCAGTACAAGTCCGGGGCAAGCAGAAAGCTTGCTTTGCTGAAACCCCCATGGCTCCAATTATGTTGAGTCTTTTTGGATAAGGGGGCGACCGGGGTGGTTACTACAGAATGTTCAGCACCGGTATCTAAAAGAAAATCAATGTCTTTACCCCCAACTTTCATCCTGACCACAGGCTTTTTGGGGGCCCTTGAGCCCAGTCCCCCTCATTCCAGTAACCCTTCTGCCAGGTTGAGCAGGGCCCCATCCTCCTTGTCTGGGGCCTGCTGCTCTGAGTCACCTTGTTTTCCTTTTAGCTGAGGGCATTTGTTCTTCCAATGTCCTATTTCTTTACAATAAGCACACTGGTTACACTGCAAGCTCTGATAGCCAGGCTGAGTTTCTTTTTTTTTTTTTTAATTACTGAAAATAACTTTTTATTTTATTTTATTATTATTATACTTTAAGTTTTAGGGTACATGTGCACAATGTGCAGGTTTGTTACATATGTATACATGTGGCATGTTGGTGTGCTGCACCCATTAACTCATCATTTAGCATTAGGCATATCTCCTAATACTATCCCTCCCCCCTCCCCCCACCCCACAACAGTCCCCGGAGTGTGATGTTCCCCTTCCTGTGTCCATGTGTTCTCATTGTTCAATTCCCACCTATGAGTGAGAACATGAGATGTTTGTTTTTTTTGTCCTTGTGATAGTTTGCTGAGAATGATGGTTTCCAGTTTCATCCATGTCCCTACAAAGGACATGAGCTCATCATTTTTTATGGCTGCATAGTATTCCATGGTGTATATGTGCCACATTTTCTTAATCCAGTCTATCATTGTTGGACATTTGGGTTGGTTCCAAGTCTTTGCTATTGTGAATAGTGCCGCAATAAACATACGTGTGCATGTGTCTTTATAGCAGCATGATTTATAATCCTTTGGGTATATACCTAGTAATGGCATGGCTGGGTCAAATGGTATTTCTAGTTCTAGATCCCTGAGGAATCGCCACACTGATATCCACAATGGTTGAACTAGTTTACAGTCCCACCAACAGTGTAAAAGTGTTCCTATTTCTCCACATCCTCTCCAGCACCTATTGTTTCCTGACTTTTTAATGATTGCCATTCTAACTGGTGTGAGATGGTATCTCATTGTGGATTTGATTTGCATTTCTCTGATGGCCAGTGATGATGAGCGTTTTTTCCACGTGTTTTTTGGCTGCATAAATGTCTTCTTTTGAGAAGTGTCTGTTCATATCCTTTGCCCACTTTTTGATGGGGTTGTTTGTTTTTTTCCTGTAAATTTGTTTGAGTTCATTGTAGATTCTGGATATTAGCCCTTTGTCAGATGAGTAGGTTGTGAAAATTTTCTCCCATTTTGTAGGTTGCCTTTTCACTCTGATGGTAGTTTCTTTTGCTGTCCAGAAGCTCTTTAGTTTAATTACATCCCATTTGTCAATTTTGGCTTCTGTTGCCATGGCTTTTGGTGTTTTAGACATGAAGTCCTTGCCCATGCCTATGTCCTGAATGGTATTGCCCAGGTTTTCTTCTAGGGTTTTTATGGTTTTTGGTCTAAAATTTAAGTCTTTAATCCATCTTGAATTAATTTTTGTATAAGATGTAAGGAAGGGATCCAGTTTCAGCCTTCTACATATGGCTAGCCAGTTTTCCCAGCACCATTTATTAAATAGGGAATCGTTTCCCCATTGCTTGTTTTTCTCAGGTTTGTCAAAGATCAGATGGTTGTAGATATGCGGCATTATTTCTGAGGGCTCCGTTCTGTTCCATTGATCTATATCTCTGTTTTGGTACCAGTACCATGCTGTTTTGGTTACTGTAGCCTCGTAGTATAGTTTGAAGTCAGGTAGCGTGATGCCTCCAGCTTTGTTCTTTTGGCTTAGGATTGACTTGGTGATGTGGGCTCTTTTCTGGTTCAATATGAACTCTAAAGTAATTTTTTCCAATTCTGTGAAGAAAGTCATTGCTAGCTTCATGGGGATGGCATTGAATCTATAAATTTCCTTGGGCAGTATGGCCATTTTCACGATATTCATTCTTCCTACCCATGAGCATGGAATGTTCTTCCATTTGTTTGTATCCTCTTTTATTTCCTTGAGGAGTGGTTTGTAGTTCTCCTTGAAGAGGTCCTTCACATCTCTTGTAAGTTGGATTCCTAGGTATTTTATTCTCTTTGAAGCAATTGTGAATGGGAGTTCACTCATGATTTGGCTCTCTTTTTGTCTGTTATTGGTGTATAAGAATGTTTGTGATTTTTGCACATTGATTTTGTATCCTGAGACTTTGCTGAAGTTGCTTATCAGCTTAAGGAGATTTTGGTCTGAGACAATGGGGTTTTCTAGATATACAGTCACGTCATCTGCAAACAGGGACAATTTGACTTCCTCTTTTCCTAATTGAATACCCTTTATTTCCCTCTCCTGCTTAATTGCCCTGGCCAGAACTTCCAACACTATGTTGAATAGGAGTGGTGAGAGAGGGCATCCCTCTCTTGTGCCAGTTTTCAAAGGGAATGCTTCCAGTTTTTGCCCATTCAGTATGATATTGGCTGTGGGTTTGTCATAGATAGCTCTTATTATTTTGAGATATGTCCCATCAATACCTAATGTATTGAGAGTTTTTAGCATGAAGGTTGTTGAATTTTGTCAAAGGCCTTTTCTGCATCTGTTGAGATAATCATGTGGTTTTTATCTTTGGTTCTGTTTATATGCTGGATTACATTTATTGATTTGCATATGTTGAACCAGACTTGCATCCCAGGGATGAAGCCCACTTGATCATGGTGGATAAGCTTTTTGATGTGCTGCTGGATTCTGTTTGCCAGTATTTTATTGAGGGCTTTTGCATCAATGTTCATCAAGGATATTGGTCTAAAATTCTCTTTTTTGGTTGTGTCTCTGCCAGGCTTTGGTATCAGGATGATGTTGGCCTCATAAAATGAGTTAGGGAGGATTCCCTCTTTTTCTATTGATTGGAATATTTTCAGGGGGAATGGTACCAGCTCCTCCTTGTACCTCTGGTAGAATTTGGCTGTGAATCCATCTGGTCCTGGACTGTTTTTGGTTGGTAAGCTATTGATTATTGCCACAATTTCAGAGCCTGTTATTGGTCTATTCAGAGATTCAACTTCCTCCTGGTTTAGTCTTGGGAGGGTGTAAGTGTCAAGGAATTTATCCATTTCTTCTACATTTTCTAGTTTATTTGCATAGAGGTGTTTGTAGTGTTCTCTGATGGTAGTTTGTATTTCTGTGGGATCAGTGGTGATATCCCCTTTATCACTTTTTATTGCGTCTATTTGATTCTTCTCTTTTCTTCTTTTTTTTCTTCTTCTTCTTCTCTCTTTTCTTCTTTATTAGTCTTGCTAGCGGTCAATCAATTTTGTTGATCTTTTCAAAAAACCAACTCCTGGATTCATTAATTTTTTGAAGGGTTTTTTGTGTCTCTATTTCTTTCAGTTCTGCTCTGATTTTAGTTATTTCTTGCCTTCTGCTAGCTTTTGAATGTGTTTGCTCTTGCTTTGCTAGTTCTTTTAATTGTGATGTAAGGGTGTCAATTTTGGATCTTTCCTGCTTTCTCTTGTGGGCATTTAGTGCTATAAATTTCCCTCTACACACTGCTTTGAATGTGTCCCAGAGATTCTGGTATGTTGTGTCTTTGTTCTCGTTGGTTTCAAAGAACATCTTTATTTCTGCCTTCATTTTGTTATGTACCCAGTAGTCATTCAGGAGCAGGTTGTTCAGTTTCCATGTAGTTGAGCAGTTTTGAGTGAGTTTCTTAATCCTGAGTTCTAGCTTGATTGCACTGTGGTCTGAGAGACAGTTTGTTATAATTTCTGTTCTTTTACATTTGCTGAGGAGTGCTTTACTTCCAAGTATGTGGTCAATTTTGGAATAGGTGTGGTGTGGTGCTGAAAAAAATGTATATTCTGTTGATTTGGGGTGGAGAGTTCTGTAGATGTCTATTAGGTCTGCTTGGTGCAGAGCTGAGTTCAATTCCTGGGTATCCTTGTTAACTTTCTGTCTTGTTGATCTGTCTAATGTTGACAATGGGGTGTTAAAGTCTCCCATTATTATTGTGTGGGAGTCTAAGTCTCTTTGTAGGTCACTTAGAACTTGCTTTATGAATCTGGGTGCTCCTGTATTGAGTGCATATATATTTAGGATAGTTAGCTCTTCTTGTTGAATTGATCCCTTTACCATTATGTAATGGCCTCCTTTGTCTCTTTTGATCTTTGTTGGTTTAAAGTCTGTTTTATCAGAGACTAGGATTGCAACCCCTGCCTTTTTTTGTTTTCCATTTACTTGGTAGATCTTCTTCCATCCCTTTATTTTGAGCCTATGTGTGTCTCTGCACATGAGATGGGTTTCCTGAATACAGCACACTGATGGGTCTTGACTCTTTATCCAATTTGCCAGTCTGTGTCTTTTAATTGGAACATTTAGCCCATTTACATTTAAAGTTAGTATTGTTATGTGTGAATTTGATCCTGTCATTATGATGTTAGCTGGTTATTTTGCTTGTTAGTTGATGCGGTTTCTTCCTAGCCTTGATGGTCTTTATATTTTGGCATGTTTTTGCAGTGGCTGGTACCGGTTGTTCCTTTCCATGTTTAGTGCTTCCTTCAGGAGCTCTTTTAGGGCAGGCCTGGTGGTGACAAAATCTCTCAACATTTGCTTTTCTGTAAAGGATTTTATTTCTCCTTCACTTACGAAGCTTAGTTTGGCTGGATATAAAATTCTGGGTTAAAAATTCTTTTCCTTAAGAACGTTGAATATTGGCCCCCACTCTCTTCTGGCTTGTAGAGTTTCTGCCAAGAGATCCACTGTTAGTCTCATGGGCTTCCCTTTTTGGGTAACCCGACCTTTCTCTCTGGCTGCCCTTAACATTTTTTCCTTCATTTCAACTTTGGTGAATCTGACAATTATGTGTCTTGGAGTTGCTCTTCTTGAGGAGTATCTTTGTGGCATTCTCTGTATTTCCTGAATCTGAATGTTGGCCTGCCTTGCTAGACTGGGGAAGTTCTCCTGGATAATATCCTGGAGAGTGTTTTCCAACTTGTTTTCATTCTCCCCGTCACTTTCAGGTACAGCAATCAGACGTAGATTTGGTCTTTTCACATAGTCCCATATTTCTTGGAGGTGTTGTTTGTTTCTTTTTATTCTTTTTTCTCTAAACTTTCCTTCTCACTTCATTTCATTCATTTCATCTTCCATCACTGATACCCTTTCTTCCAGTTGATTCCATCAGCTCCTGAGGCTTCTGCATTCTTCATGTAGTTCTCGAGCCTTTGCTTTCAGCTCCATCAGCTCCTTTAAGGACTTCTCTGCATTGGTTATTCTAGATATCCATTCGTCTATTTTTTTTCAAAGTTTTTAACTTCTTTGCCATTGGTTTGAATTTCCTCCTGTAGGTCAGAGTAGTTTGATCGTCTGAAGCCTTCTTCTCTCATCTCGTCAAAGTCATTCTCCATCCAGCTTTGTTCCATTGCTGGTGAGGAGCTGTGTTCCTTTGGAGGAGGAGAGGCGCTCTGCTTTTTAGAGTTTCCAGTTTTTCTGCTCTGTTTTTTCCCCATCTTTGTGGTTTTATCTACTTTTGTCTTTGATGATGGTGATGTACAGATGGGTTTTTGGTGTGGATGTCCTTTCTGTTTGTTAGTTTTCCTTCTAACAGACAGGACCCTCAGCTGCAGGTCTGCTAGAGTTTGCTAGAGTTCCACTCCAGACCCTGTTTGCCTGGGTATCAGCAGCGGTGGCTGCAGAACAGTGGTGGCTGTAGAACAGCGGATATTGGTGAACTGCAAATGCTGCTGCCTGATCGTTCCTCTGGAAGTTTTGTCTCAGAGGAGTACCCGGCCGTGTGAGGTGTCAGTCTGCCCCTACTGGGGGGTGCTTCCCAGTTAGGCTGCTTGGGGGTCGGGGGTCAGGGACCCACTTGAGGAGGCAGTCTGCCCGTTCTCATATCTCCAGCTTCATGCTGGGAGAACCACTGCTCTCTTCAAAGCTGTCAGACAGGGACATTTAAGTCTGCAGAGATTACTGCTGTCTTTTTGTATGTCTGTGCCCTGCCCCCCAGAGGTGGAGCCTACAGAGGCAGGAAGGCCTCCTTGAGCTGTGTTGGGCTCCACCCAGTTCGAGCTTCCCAGCTGCTTTGTTTACCTAATCAAGCCTGGGCAATGGCAAGCGCCCCTCCCCCAGCCTTGCTACCACCTTGCAGTTTGATCTCAGACTGCTGTGCTAGCAATCAGTGAGACTCCGCAGGCATAGGACCCTCCGAGCCATGTGCGGGATATAATCTCCTGGTGTGCCATTTTTTTAAGCCTGTTGGAAAAGTGCAGTATTAGGGTGGGAGTGACCCGATTTTCCAGGTGCCGTCTGTCACCCCTTTCTCTGACTAGGAAAGGGAACTCCCTGACCCCTTGCACTTCCCGAGTGAGGCAGTGCCTCACCTTGCTTTGGCTCTCGCAGAGTGTGCTGCACCCACTGTCCTGCTCCCACTGTCTGGCACTCCCTAGTGAGATGAACCCGGTACCTCAGATGGAAATGCAGAAATCACCCATCTTCTGCATCGCTCACGCTGGGAGCTGTAGACTGGAGCTGTTTCTCAAGGCTGAGTTTCTTTCCCAGGGCTCCCCTTCCCTTGCCTCTTTGGGGGTACCCCTCTGATTGCTGCAGCTAACAAACAGGTCGGTGTTTCGCCGGGCCTGACGTTCATTCTCTTTGCAATTTTCCTTACAGCTTACTGCATCCCTGTTTACAAACACCTGGTTAGCTACTTCTAATAACTGTGATGTATTCATCCTTGCAAACCCATCCTGTTTCTGCAGTTTTCTTCTAATGTCTTCAGTGCTTTGACTAACTAAAGCCATGTTAATCATGCACTGATTTTCAGGGCTATCAGGATCAAAGGGAGTATGCATACGATAGGCCTCACACAATCTCTCGTAGAATTGTGCTGGACTTTCTTCTTTTCCCTGAATGACCTCAGAGACCTTGTTAACATTTGTGGCCTTCTGGGATCCCCTCTTTAATCCTTCCAAGAGAGCTTCCCTGTATCAGTTTAGCCTTTGCATATCCTCTCTTTCATTTGGGTCCCACTGGGGTTCGGTTCCTGGTAACTGGGTCCTTACATACTCTTGGGGATTTTGGTAATCAGCCAGTGCACGTTCCTCTAGCCACTTAGTTGCTGCTTGGAGCACTCTCCACCTTACATCTGTGTTAAAGAGGAACATGAGCAGCTGGTGGCAATCAGCCCAAGTGGGGTTATGGGTCTGGATAATAGTTTGGAGCAAATCAGTTAGAGCTTGTGGCTTTTCAGTATAGGACGGGGTATTGTTTTTCCAGTTGAGAAGGTCGGCAGAGGTGAAGGGCTGGTATGCAAAAACATGCCTCTCCACAACATGACCATCCTCATCTATCCCAGTATACTGCTGCTCTCTCAGGAGCATTTGTATCCCAGTTTTGGGTCTTAAATGAGCTGCCAAGGGAGGAGTTTCTCCGGAGGCTTCAACTCCTCTCTTGTTTACTCTGGGTGGCCTAAGGATATGTTTGTTTTGTGGAGGTGCAAGCACTGTGGGCTCAAGAGTGGGGAGCCTCTTTCTCTGGTAAGGGGAGGGCACCACTGGGATCACTGGTGCCATCTCCTGCAATGGATCTTCTGATGTTGGGTTGAACAGAACTTCGGGAGTTGATTTCCCTTGGCAGGTGGAGCGGGATCCTTCCTTGGCTATCTGTCCCTTTGCTACTAGCACTGCTGCTGCCTGCCCTTTTAGCCACTGTGGGGGGTCTAGCACCAGCTGTAACCAAGTGTCTATGTACGGGAACTGGTCTGAGTGTCCTGACTTACCAGTTACCATGTGCCATACCTTAGAAACAAGGGATCTGTCCAGGCTTCCTTCTGATGGCCAACCTACTTCTAATGTTGGCCAATCTATTTCACACAAAGTTCTAAGTTTCTCTGATGTCATAGTAACCCCATAGTGTCCATTAAATCCCTTCTTAAAATTTTTCAACATAGTTCCTAGTGGAGTGAGCTTACTTTGTGTCTGACCCATGTTTCCTCGAGACAAAACACCAAGCTCATACCACGCACACCACAGAACAAAGAACGGGTTAAAAGGGCACAAACACACTTTTTCAGTTTACACCAAACAGAATCAAAACCAAAATCAGAGCATCCAGAAATCCAAGCCAGGTCAAAACCAAAACCAAAGTATCAAGCAATTCAAGTCAAGTCAAAAACAAAAACCAAAATGCCAGTACAGGCACACCATGGGTGATCAGGCCACGCTTCCACTCAAATGGAGTGGGGCAAGTTCCAAAGACCAGTCTTACCAAGTTTCAGATGTCCAGACTTAAAGTGCCAGTTCCTTCCTGGTGTTCAGCCACTGCGTTGATCCTCCATGGGGGCCTGCCATACACTGCTCTGATGAGGCGTTCCACAGGGGCAAGTGCCTACCCGGGAACGCTCTCAGGATCCACGTCGCTCGAGCTGGCCGGAGTCCCCCGCAGGGATGCTCCACAGGGCAGGCCTAAGCTGCCTAAGGGGCTGACTCGACCATCCAGTAATCACCTCGCTTCCCGGTCAGGGAACCAAGAAATGTAGCAGGATGAGCCGCAGACAAAACTCCTCAGACCCGGATTAAAGAAGGAAGAGAAGGAAGAGGTTTTTATTCGGCTGGTAGCATCGGCAGACTCAAGTCTTAAGAGCTGAGCTCCCCGAAAAAGAAATTCCTAGCCCTTTTAAGGGCTTACAACTCTAAGGGGTCCACGTGAAAGGGTCATGATAGATCAAGTAAGTGTGAGGAACGTGACTAGGGGCTACATACATCAGCTAACAGAACAAAAAGTTTTGCAGTGCTTTCTCATACAATGTCTGGAATTTACAGATAACACCAGTAGTTTTGGTCAGGGGTTAATATTATTATTATTGTTTTAACCACCAGGGCCAGGTGGCGGCGCCAAGGTCGTCTAGCTATTTATCTTACTTCTGTTTCTTTCCAACTTTTTGCTTTCTCCCTTTTCTACTGTCTTATAAACTAGGGAAAAGGGGAGGTGGGGAAGCTGGGAAGGACAACAGGAGAAGTGGTGGTCTCATTCCATAAGAACACTTAAGATCCTATGTAGCAATGTTCAAGCAGGTGTACACTGTCACTAACTAGAGTCACCACGTTGTACAACAGATCTCTTGAACCAGCTGTGTCTTCATTGAATCCTATCATTTTACAGACAAGGAAACGGGCATGCAGAGAGCAAGAAGTTGCCAGAAGTTACGCAAGGCTGGGGATCAGGCCCCGGCAGCATGGTCCTGGCTCCTGGGTCCTCAAGGCTGTCCGCCTTGTGGGCAAGGACCACTCAGGCCCCTGCTGGGCCCAGGCCTGGGATTGAGTGACCCGTGAACTCTGCCTGCAGACGCCAACTTGCCAGTGGGGTGGGGGTGGCCTCTGGCTGTGGCCTGCGTGTGCCAGGAGACAGAAGGGCATCGCTGATCCAGGAGTGTGCACAAAGTGTGCAGGGCAGGAGTGAGGTGGTCTCAGGAGTCTCATGTGTGCATGAGAGAGACTTTTTCTGTGCAAAAACAATGTATGAAAGAAACACAAAACCTCCTGGGGCAGATTTCCAGAGAAAGAGAGGAGTCAGGGGGAGGTGGCGTTCACTACCTTTCTGTTCTGTTTGCACTCGACTTCTAAAAGTCAGTGGTGGTTTTCTTGCTGCTGGGCTGGAAGATCTTTTTCGGTCTGTGTTTCTCCATGAAGAATGCAATTCAATTTCTCCAGACTGTTGCGAGCCGAAGGAGAGCGTCGGCCACAGGGTGGCGCTGTGATCCCAGCCATGAGCACGGCCCGGCCTGAGCGCATTTTCCAGCTTTCCGTAGGCCCCGGCTGGCTTCCCTCTTCAGCTGTGAGACCTTGGCAGCGCCCCCGCCCCCCTCCCCTGTGCCGGGACCTGCCCCAGTCCCTAGCCTGCTCCGCAGCGGCGGTGGGGACCTCAGTCGCCCTGAGCCCTTTCCGGGAAAATGCAATTTGGGGCATGAGACAGGGCCTCTAAACCGCAAGGCCTTCTGCGATTTCAGTTATGAGTCCGTGGGGAAAATCCTGCAAATAAATCTCCCAGGCTTGGCAGGCCCCTCACCCACCCACCGGGCCTCTGGCGTGGAGAATCTCGGCGTTTGGGGGTTGGAGGGTTCCACTTAACTTAGCTGCACGGGTCACTGCAAAGCTTAGTCCTGGAGCCACCATCCCTTCCATCATTCTCAGACCTTCTGAGGCCAGGGATCGGGACCACGTGGTGGGGGCCTGTGGCCACCAGGTCTGGGATGCTAGCTGGGGGATCCGAGGGTGGGGCCTGGCATCATGGAAGGCTCTTCCTTCACATATCTGGAGTGGCGCTGGCTGCTGGCTGGATCTCGGTGGGCTGGGGTGGGAACGCCTCCACGTGGCCTGCCTGGTGGCCACCTGGGCTTCCTCACAGCCTGGTGGCCGGGCTCTGAGCATGAGAGTTCCCTGGAGCAGCAAGTGGAAGTCATCCTTTTTTATGACTTAGCCTCGAAAGTCACCTAGTATCACTTTTGCCAGAATTGCAGACCCGCTCAGATTCAAGAGATGGGAAACCAAGCAGACCCCACCTCTTGGTGGGACAGTGTCAGGTCCTATCACCAGAAAGCAGATGGGAGGGACGTACTGGTGTGGCACCTTTGGAACGTCATCTGCTCAAGTGTGTCCAGAGAGAATTAAAGTCTAAGCCTCCCAGGAGGGCTCTCGGTTCTTCGGAGAAATGCCATTTCCAGCCTCTCTAGCCCTCACCATTCCCCACTTGCTGGCCACTGGCAACTCTCACCCCTGATACTGACCCAGCCACAGAGCTGCTGCTCACCTGTGTCAGCTGCAGCTCCTCCATGCTGAAAAACAAAGCCAACCAAAACTGGAGAACCCAACTGGAATGGTTTTAAACAGTAAAGGGATTTCTGAAACTCCTACCTGGAGAATCTAGCAGTAAGTGAGCTTCATGAACCTGCGCAGGGGCCGCCTGCTTCCCGCAATGCTGGGCACAGCTGGGGCAGTGGAGACTGTGGTCCTGCAGTGCCCGGTGCAGGAGGGGCCGGCCCATTCCAGCTCATGCAGCGATTCTTCTTGGCCCACTTTGGTTCAGTTGCTTTAGAGGTGGGCAGGGATGGAAGGTGGCTCAGTCAGCGTCTTGTGAAAGACTTATGTTCTATCATTGTGGGAGAAAAGTATCTACCCCTCTCTCTGTCCCACTTTCCCTCCCATGGATATGTATGAAGCTGTGTGTAGCCCCTAAGCTGCTGACAGCCTTTTTGGTACACAGGGGCAGCCAGGCTCAGGAGAAGCTGGAAGGGGGAGAATTGTAGAGACTCAGTCATGACAAACCCCTAGATCGAGCCCACCCTGAAACTCACTTACCACTAGATTTTCCAGGTAGGAGTTCCCATAAATCCCCTTACTGTTTAAGATGATTCCAGTTGAGTTTTCCGGTTTTGCTTTCAGCATGGAGGGACTGTAACTGACACAGATGAGAAGCAGCTCTGTGGCTGGGTCAGTATCAGGGGTGCAAGTTGCCAGTGGCCAGATCATCAGGAACGGGGGAGGGTTGGAGAGCCTGGAAATGATATTTACTGGAAGAACTGAGAGCCTTTCCCAGGTGATGGAAGACAGGATTGAAGGTTAGAGCTGATGACAGGGGTTATGCATGGTCAGTTCTGAGCAGGCAAAGGTGGGGTTGGTCCTTGGAGGCAGATGAACCTGCCTTGCTGTGCCCAGCACTGTGGTGTTCACCCAGGGATGACTTTCAGGTCTTGTGTGGCTTCCCTGCTACCTACAGTGGCCAGTAGAAAGACTAAGTTTGAATTTCAGATAAACAACACAAAAATATTTAGCATAAATATGTCCTATATATTGCATAGGATGCGCTTATACTAAAAATCATTCATGATCTGAAATTCAAATTTAACTGAGCATCCTGTGTCTTTATCTGTGAAATCTGTCAGCCTACCTTTCGGTAGCCTGGAGAACTTTATAGAAGGTTGAAGTGGCTGGCTCTTTATGTGGGCTTCTGTCTTGTGGAGTTGGGGAGCTCACAGCTTGGAGCCCTGGGGGGCCAGCCTGACCACCATGGCCAGCCTGTGGGTTCGGGCTTGGTCACCAGCAAGGGAAGCACCTGGTATCGGCAGGACAGCACTCCTATTGCCCTTTGCGCCTTGGCCCCTCATGGCTTGCACGCACGAAGCGCTCTCAGGGGCCCTGATGTCACACTCAGCAGTGTGGGGTCTGCATTCTGGCCCTGGCCAGTGGGCTCATTGGAGAGTTTATCAGGGCTGGCTGCTGGCATTAAGCTCCTACTGGGGGTTTTGAAGGCTGCAGTGGTTTCTCCCTTGAACTCCAGGTGGGAGTCGGGAGATAGCAGATCTGTCTGCAGAGCTCTCGGTGCCTGCCTAAGTGTTGACTGAGGCCCAGGCTGGATCCAAAAGGCTCACCCCTGGAGGGGAGGACAGACATCGCTTAGACAGGGATGAACCTGTCTGCAGAATCTGCAGGGAGCTGGGGATGGAGTTGCTCACTTGACCTGAGGCTGCTTGGTGGACTCGGTGCACCACTCAGGCCCCACAGCAGGACTCAGATGCTCACCCCCCAGCTGCCTCTCTGGAGTTGCCCTTGGCAGAAAAGAGCCACTTACCACAAAGTCACGCCCTTTGTAAGGGCTGCTGTGGCTCATGGCAGGACATCTGTGCAGGCCCATCGCAGCCCGGGTTCCCACCACCCGCGTCTCCCAGGCTCCTGCTCAGAGCGCCTTCTCCTTTGACCACTGGGTGCTCACATGTAACAAGTGGGACACACAGTCTCCGTAGAAGGGGTATTTAAGTTGGATTGTGATGCTGGTGTAAGAGTTTTCTTGGAAGGGAAAGAGGGGTGAAAGCAGAGGGACAGCGTGAGCAGAGGTGTGGCCTGTGGCATGGGGTGCTCCTTGTTAGGGCACTGAGGCAGCTCACTGTGGCTGGAGCAGGGTCTGGGGGGTTCTGCTGCCCATCAGACATCATGTGGTCCCCCATGGGTCTCTGGTCACTTCTTGGAGTTTCCTGACCCCAGAACGGTTTGCTCCAAGGGAAGAAGTTGGTTCTGCAGTCATCAGCAGGGCCACATGTCCAGTGGCTCACCCTGCAGATGGACATGTGACCTGTTTCCTGGCACTGAGAGAACCGAGGGCTGTCTGTGGATCTGGACTCCGTGTCCACCCTAAGACGACCCCACCCTGCCCTGCTGAGAGCACCTCCAGCTACAGCCCTCAGATGGTTTCATAGCCTAGAACTAGTAGCCTCTCCCCCAAGGACGGGACCTGGAAATCTGGGAAAGCCTTGGGAGAGGCCGAGACCTGAGGACAGGGGAGGCGCAGGGCAGGGAGCTGAGGCCTGAGGACGGGTGGGGAAGGAGCAGGGCAGGGAGCTGAGGCCTGAGGATGGGAGGGGAAGGTGCAGGGCAGGGAGCTGCTGGCACTGGGGCCTCAGGGGAACCCTGGGGGCTGGCAATGGCTGAGGGAGGCAGCTCTCTGACCCTCTACCCTCTTCATGTCTTTCTGACCAAAGCTGGGAAAGGTTCCTCACTTTTGAGAACTCACATGATAAGATTTAGGCTCCACCTGGATGATCCAAGCCAATCTCCTGTCTCAAGGCACACAGTCACAGGTTCCAGGGTTAGGAGGGGCATCGCTGGGGGCTGCAGGGCTTATCAGGAAGGAGGAAGAAGCAGCCCCCTGTGCTGCCGGGGAGCTCCGGCCGGACCCGTCTGGCCCTTTGTGTGTGTGTGTGTGTTGGGGGGTAGTGTTCCCAGACCTAACTGAGGGTTGGGCTGCTATTTCTGGCAGCCCATTAACAAGATGCAGATGAACTGGGGAGGAAGAAAGTTTTTATTTCTGTAACCGGGTATAGGGAGAAGGCCTGGAAAATATCACCAGACCAACTCAAAATTACAAAGTTTTCCAGAGCTTATACACCTTCTAAGCTATATGTCTATGTGTAAGTGTGCAATCATCTAAAGACATAAGTGATTAACTTCTTCTAATCTATAACTGAGGTCTGAGTCCTGAAGACCTTCCTTTGTAGCCTCAGTAAATTGACTAAATCTAGCTGGGTCCAGGTGCTGGGGTGATTACCCTTATCTTGTCTCCTGCTAAATCATGGAGGTTTGGGGAGTTCTTTCAGACCCCAGTAAACTTGTTTGTGGAGGACTGGGGAGTTTCTTCAGAACCCCCAGTAAAACTTGTTTAATCCTAAATAGATTCTGTTAAGAATTCTTTTGTTATTTTGTCATGCTTCAAGGCCCAGGAAAGGCCTAGGCAAAACTCTTGGTGGGCTTTTGTTACATTCCAGCCTCTGTATAAGGGGACTGGCTCTCTCGGCTTTTAGTATTTAACTTAACCACTCAGTCAGAGCTGAAACAGTTGTTATGGAGGCCTGTGTTAGTGGGACCTGGCCTGCCACAGTAGGGGGCTGGTAAGGGCTCCGGGGCGTGCCCTGCAGCTCAGACCAGTTACAGCCAGGTAGCCTTCATCCTCATTCCCCAGGTAGCCTTCATCCTCATTCCCAGGTAGCCTTCATCCTCATTCCCAGGTAGCCTTCATCGTCATTCCCCAGGTAGCCTTCATCTTCATTCCCCAGGTAGCCTTCATCCTCATTCCCCAGGTAGCCTTCATCCTCATTCCCCAGGTAGCCTTCATCGTCATTCCCCAGGTAGCCTTCATCCTCATTCCCCAGGTAGCCTTCATCCTCATTCCCCAGGGAGGATCTTGTGCTAAGTCCCCCAGAACAGACCCTGAGACACAGGTTGCAGCACAGGCAGTGCCTCTGGGCGGGCACCCCAGAGAGAGATGAAATATACTAATAGGTGACCGCCAGAGCACGCAGGACGGGAGAACTCGGACCCGTAGCCTGTAGCACCAGCCCAGGAAGCCAGACCACTACTGCCCACAGGCTTGGCCAGTAACTGCCAGTTTCCCTCATCCTTCTTCAACTGAGGATCAGCCAGAGAAGAAAGCCAGACATGCTCCGCTGACCAGTCACAGGGGCTACCCCACTTCTAGCAGCCCTTCCTGCTTGCCCAATAGCCACCCTCACTGGGGCACCTCTGAAGCCCCCTCTTTCCTCTATGAGGCTTTCCCACCCCTGCCTGCATGCAGGTCCCGCCTGGTGGTGCTGCCTCCCACTGCTGCATGCCTTGAGCCCCTAGGCTCCTTTGGATGGTCTTTGTCTGTTTCTGTGCCAGGGCACATGGCGGGAGGGCAGGCTATGGGCCGGGCAGGGTCATGAGCCATCTGAACAGGGAGGGCTAAGGCAGCTGTGGCCATGGACACTGGGGCTCAGGCTCCCTGGGAGCCTCATGCTGGCCACAGGAGGGGAGGTGGCTGCTAAGCTCAAGGTGGAGGGCAGCAGCCCTGGACTGTGCCTCCCGCATGCAAGAGCAGGCAGAGATGGTGCTGGCGGTGGCCCCTGGGTCAGCGGGTTGGAGCCCAGAGAGGCACTGGGGTGTGGGTGGGGTCCCTGGGGCTTTCTGGCTCTTCCAGTGCTGCTCATCAGAACAGCCAGCAAACCTGGGAACACGCAGCCAATGTTCCTCAAGGACCCCTCATTCTTCTCCATGAAAAACTCCATAAAATATTTGAATAAATTTATTCTGTGCCACATATAAGGACCAAGGGCCCATGACACAGCCCCAGGAGATCCCCAGGGTGATCGGGCTGCAGCTTGTTTTTGAGTTTTAGGGAGACATAAGACATCAATCAATACATGGAAGGTGTACATTGGTTCAGTCCAGAAAGGCAGGGCAACTCAAAGAGGAGGAGGCTTCCAGGTCATAGGTGGATCGGCAACTGGCTGAAAGAGTTATTATCCAAAGACCTGGAATCAATAGAAGGGAATGTATGGGTTAAGATGGGGGATTGTGGAGAGCAGGATTTATCACGCAGATGAAGCCTCCAGGTAGCGGCTTCAGAGCTCTTATCAGACCTGAACGGGTGCCAGGCCCTTAGTTAATTCTCTCCTGGATCATGGAAGAGACCTGGAAAGGAAGGGGATTCTCTACAGAATGTGGATTCTCCCCACAAGAGACAGCTTTGCAGGGACATTTCAAAACATGTCAAAAAAAGATATTTTAGTGTAAAATACTTCGGTTTCTTTCAGGGCCTGCTGCCTGTCATGTGGGGCTATACTAGAGTTAGGTTGGAATTTGGTGTCTCATTGCTACAGGGTCTTGCCCTATTTTGATGTCAATGCTGGTCAGCTGTGCCTGGATTCAAATGAGAGGAGGAAATAATGAGGTCTGTCCGGCCCCCACCTTCCCATCATGGCCAGAATTAGATGTTCAGGTTTATGTTGGAATGTCCTTGGCTGAGAGGAGGGGTCCAGCAGTCGGTTAGGGGACTCAGAATTTTATTTCTGGTTTCATTCTGTAGATCAGAGTGTGGAGCCCAGGAATGAGCATTTCACAGGCTCCCATGCACCCAGGTAGAACCTTGTGCATGGTGTCTCCACGGGGTTCACAGGCAGGCTACCCAGCTGAGGCTCCTGCCCCGCCTCACTCACTTTCTCTCCAGGACCTCCCTCCTGTTTCTCCCAGCATGAGTGCTGATGTAAATTTATGGAGATGGCGTTTCTGCCTCAATCCCCTTCTGCTCTGATGACCCATTATGACTGTGTAATTAAGCTCCCGTGGATCTTCCCCGCAGGCATCTGTAGCTCCCGGGTGTCACTCATCTGCCCAGTGCTGACATGGAACTGAGGATAAATGTATTTCACCGGCTTTTGTTCTATCATTAACTTCTGTAGCTCTTGTGTAAATTTCCAGGTTGCAATTTCTGCATTGGTCTTTATTGAGCAAACCCCCCTTTGTGTGGATGAGTTTAGGGTTGATTTCCCCTCTTCTCTCGCCCTTGACCCATCCTTGGTGACCGTGGTTAGTCTCCAGGGGGCTCTGCCCTAGGTGTGTTCAGCTGGCTTAGATTTGCAGATTATTCCATGTGGTTGGTGTTGGTGTCAGTTACCACCTGATGTGGGAGAACCGCGATCCGGGATTGGAAGGGATCTCACTCAGTTCTTCATTTGATTTCTTCCTGCAACATTTTATTATAAAGGTTTTTAAACTTTTCCAGGAAAGCTGGATGAATTGTTCAGTGAACACTCACATGCCCACACGCTAGATTTCACAGTGAACTCTTTCTTCATTTATCCTGTATCTATCCATTTATCCATGCATGAATTTGATTATTGTTTTGGCACTTTTCAAAGTAAACTGCACTACAGTGAATGTTAAATTCCCAGGACCCCCCCGTCCCAATGCCTGCTTGATCTCTGTTCAAGAGATGGAGAGCACAGGGCTGGGCCCATGCCCAGGTCTTCTTATGCAGGGGACTCTCCAGCTTCTCTCACCAGCTCCCAGGGGAGGCTGGTGCTGCCCACCCAGGGCCCCACCTGGAGAATTGCTGGTCTAAGCTTACACAGTTTCCTGGGGAATCAATTGTCCCTAAAAAAGCCAGAAGGTCTAGAGTGGTAGCCAGAGTCCTGGGCGTCCTGCCTGAGGATGCCTGTCTTACTCTCGAGGCAGCCATACCAGCCCCTCTGCAGGTGGCCTCAGGCACTCTGGCTGCCAGCCAGGGGCAGGTGCCTCCCTGGAGCAGGTTGCTTGCATTTGGTGCATGGCTCCCTCTCAGGTGGGGTCTTCTCAGGGGCTGGCCAGGCCATAGAGTACCCTCTGTGACTCTCTCCATTCCCACGTGTCACTAGCTCTGCTGAGCACCTGGGGCTGGGGTCCTGGCCAAGTCCCCAGAGAGTGGTGTCACCATTAGAACTGGATGAACCCTGGCACCCAGCAACCCATCTTTGCCCAATTTATTTCCTCACTGTCCAAAGCTAAAATGTTGTATTAAAAGACAAATGCGTGCCTGGACAGTACTTTTACCTCTTTATGCAGGCTGGGGAATGCTGAATTTCACCCTCTGCTCTTGCAAATTAAGTAATTAAGGAAAGAGTGAACCTGTGATAATTGTAGGTGCTTATTGTTACTGATGAAGATGTCCAGGCAGGGATGAGTGTGGATTTCATTAATTTCTCCATGCTTTGGGGTTTGGCTTGAACTCAAAGGCCTTCCTTGAGTGAACTCTTATAAAATCTTTAATTAACTCTTGCCGGTGTCAATATGTTTTATTACCTTCTGCAGCCCACAGCCTCCCCTGGTGTCCAATTTACTTCGATGCTCCTGGGCTGCCAGGACGGAGGCTGGTGCTATGCTCTGCCATGGGGTGGATTAAGTTGCTTTATGTGTTCTGGCTAGAGGGCAATTCCTCTCCATCAGAAATGATGATGGTCACTTTTCTACGGGGGGGCACCCAAGGTTGCAGTGAGAACTTACTGCATCAGAAACAAAAGGGCTGAACTTGGAAACAAGACCTTGGCCATCAAAGGCATGCATAGACGTGGCCTGTGAAGACTCATGCTCGGGTCCAGACCATCGCTTGTAAGTGGTGGGGTGCGGATCAGGGATGTTGCCCTACAGAAGTGAGGCAAGGGGCTCACCCCAGGCCCCATGTGGGCACATCACTGCTGACCCCTGAAGTTTACTGGGCTGGGGTCCACAGCTGGCCAGCCCCCCTGGGGAAGGAGCAGGAATTAAGCTTTTCCATTTTGTGTCTCGGGGCTGTCAAGGGGATCGGATGTCAGCAGTGTGTGGCTCCTCCTGGGGTTACCTGCCCATTGCATCCCCGCCCACAGAACCAGGAGGGCTGGGAGGCAGCCAGCCCCAACCAGGGAGGGACAGGGTCAGTGGGTGAACACTGCCTGCCTATGGGGGGCCCCCGAGGGGCACCTTCCACAGTGTCAGAACTCCCAGCGGGATGGGTGAGACAGTGGCTGAGCTGTGGGCAATAGTGAGCCCCTTTCCGGGCCTTGCCACCCACCCTTGTCCTGTTGCCTGGAGTAGTCCTCCCAGTAAACTGCCCACAGCAAGCCCTTTCTCCCAGTATGCTTTGGGGAAGCCCAATAAAGACAAAGATGTCAGAGGTGAGGTGATGTGGGGAAAGGTCAGAGCATGGACGGCGGTCTGAGGAGGAGGCCGTGGAGAAAATGGGAAGAAATAATGAGAATTTCATTTGAAATACACATTTGTACACATCATTCCCCAAACCCAGGTCATAAACTCCAGCACCCTGGAGCCAGGAGGTCCCTGGCAGGTAGTCACTGCCCTGAGGCACAAGACTGAGGTCTTTCATGGCTGAGGGGTTGAGTTCTGTTGGGTGGAGGTGCCTCAGCCTGCCTTGAATTCCCTGTGACACCAAATCCAAATAAATCCAATGTTGATCTTTGAGGCTGGTGTCTTAGTCTGTTTTCTGTAGCTATAACTGGACACCAGAGACTGGGTAATTTGTATAAAAAAAGAAATTTATTTAGCTAATGGTTTTGGAGGCTGGGAAGTCCAAGGGCATGGCAGTAGCTTCTGGCATGAGCAGACAGCATCACAGGGCCGGAGGAGCATCACAGTGCATCACAGGGATGCACTGAGAGCCAAATCAGTTTTTCTAGAGAACCCACCCTGGTGATGACTAACCCACTCCCTCAATAACCTATTAATCCATTAATCAATCAAGGAGTGGATTAGTCTATTCCTGAGAGCAGGACCCTTGGAACTCAGTCACCTCCCAAGGTTCTACCTCTCAGCACTATTGCTTTGGGAACCAAGTTCCAACACATTTCTTAAGTTACTGAATTTTAAATTTTATTTAAATTCAATGAATTTCTGTTTCAATTTCTTTTTAATTTATTTCCAACTTTTATTTTAGGTTCAGGAGTACATGTGCAGGATGTCCAGGTTTGTTACATAGGTAAGCACGTGTCACGGTGATTTGCTGCACAGATCATCCCATCACCTAGGCATTAAGCCCAGCATCCATTAGCTATTATTCCTGAGGCTCTCCCTCCTCCCACCTCCCACCCCTCCAACAGGGCCCAGTGTGTGTTTTTTCCCCTATGTGTCCATGTGTTCTCATTGGTCAGCCCCCACTTATAAGTGAGAACATGCAGTATTTGGTTTTCTGTTCCTGCATTAGTATGCTGGGGACGATGGCCTCCAACTCCATCCATGTTCCTGCAAAGGACATGATCTCATCCCTTTTTACGGCTGCATAATAGTCTATAGTGCATATATACCACATTTTCTTTATCCAGTCTATCATTGATGGGCATTTAGGTTGATTCCATGTCTTTGCTATTGTGAATAGTGCTGCAATGAACATATGCATGCATGTGCCTTAATAACAGAATGATTTACATTCCTTTGGATATATAACTAATAATGGGATTGCTGGGTCAAATGATATTTCTGCTCTCTAGGTCTTTGAGGAATCACCACACTGTCTTTCACAATGGCTGAACTAATTTACACTCCCACCAACAGTGTAAAAACATTCCTTTTTCTCCACAACCTTGCCAGCATCTGTGGTTTTTTGACTTAATAGTAGCCATTCTGACTGGTATGAGATGGTATCTCATTGTAGTTTTGATTTGCATTTCTCTAACAATCAGTGATGTTGAGCTTTTTTATCATGTGTTGGTTGGCTGCATGTATGTCTTCTTTTGAGAAGCCAACAGTTGAACTTTTGGGACACCCATTCAAACCAGAACAGCTGGCAAATTTGTTTTGATTGAGGTAATATTTATCTACAGTGAAACATAAGATCTGAGATTCCATGAGCTTTGATACATATATACACTTGGGTAACCCACATCCCAATTGAATTAGTGAATCTGTCACACAGAATCTCCCTGGTGCCCCCAGCAGTCAGTCCACCCTGCTTCCTAGGCAACTGTTATTCCAATTCCATCACCTAGGTCAGCCTCGCTTGTTCTTACTCTGTGTAAGTGGAATCGTATAGTTCACTCTCTGCTGTATCACACTTCATTTGTGTAATGTAATGTTTTTTGAGGTTGAACATGCTGTGTGTGTTAGTCATTCACTCATTTTTATTGACCAGTAGTATTACATTTTATAAACAGACCACATTTTATCTGTTAACTTGTTGATGTATGTTATCTTTTATCTAGTGTTTGGCTATTATGAAGAATGCTGCCATATCTGCCATTGCACAATAAACTGTGTGGACATATATTTTCATTTCTCTTTTGGGGGAATTGTTGAGTCATTGGGTAGGTGTGTGTTTAGTTTTATAAGAAACTGCCGGACCATTTTCTAAAGTGGCTACACCATTTTGTATTCTCACCAGCAATGAATGAGAGAGTTCCTGTTGCTCCACTTCCTCATCAGCACTTGATGCTATCTGTCTTTAATTTTAGCCACTTTGGTGGATGTGGAACAGCATCTCATTGTGGTTTTAATTTGCATTTCCCTGATAACAAATGATGCTGAGCATACTTTCATGTGCTTATTGGACATCAATATACTTTATTTTGTAAAACATATTTTCATGTTTTTTTACCCATTTTAAAATTGGATTGTTTGTCTTTTTATTGATTTGTGTTTCTTTATATATGCTAGATATTGGTCCCTTATCAGATATACACATCATAAAAATTTTCCCCAGTCTGTGGTTTGTCTTTTTTTCTCTAAATATAGTCTTTTCATGAGCAGAATTTTGATGTGTGCTTTCTACTTTCTACAACTTCATCTACTTTTGACTGAGATGCAGTTAGACCTTTTTTTTAATTATTTTTTTTTTATTAAAGTTTTAGGGTACATGTGCACATTGTGCAGGTTAGTTACATATGTATACATGTGCCATGCTGATGCGCTGCACCCACCAACTCGTCATCTAGCATTAGGTATATCTCCCAATGCTGTCCCTCCCCCCTCCCCCCATCCCACAACAGTCCCCAGAGTGTGGTATTCCCCTTCCTGTGTCCATGTGATTTCATTGTTCAATTCCCACCTATGAGTGAGAATTCGCAGTGTTTGTTTTTTTGTTCTTGCGATAGTTTACTGAGAATGATGACTTCCAATTTCATCCATGTCCCTACAAAGGACATGAACTCATCCTTTTTTATGGCTGCATAGTATTCCATGGTGTATATGTGCCACATTTTCTTAATCCAGTCTATCATTGTTGGACATTTGGGTTGGTTCCAAGTCTTTGCTATTGTGAATAATGCCACAATAAACATACGTGTGCATGTGTCTTTATAGCAGCATGATTTATAGTCCTTTGGGTATATACCCAGTAATGGGATGGCTGGGTCAAATGGTACTTCCAGTTCTAGATCCCTGAGGAATTGCCACACTGACTTCCACAATGGTTGAACTAGTTTACAGTCCCACCAACAGTGTAAAAGTGTTCCTATTTCTCCACATCCTCTCCAGCACCTGTTGTTTCCTGACTTTTTAATGATTGCCATTGTAACTGGTGTGAGATGGTATCTCATTGTGGTTTTGATTTGCATTTCTCTGATGGCCAGTGATGATGAGCATTTTTTCAGGTGTTTTTTGGCTGCATAAATGTCTTCTTTTGAGAAGGGTCTGTTCATGTCCTTCGCCCACTTTTTGATGGGGTTGTTTGTTTTTTTCTTGTAAATTTGTTTGAGTTCATTGTAGATTCTGGATATTAGACCTTTGTCAGATGAGTAGGTTGCGAAAATTTTCTCCCATTTTGTAGGTTGCCTATTCACTCTGATGGTAGTTTCTTTTGCTGTGCAGAAGCTCTTTAGTTTAATTAGATCCCATTTGTCAATTTTGTCTTTTGTTGCCATTGCTTTTGGTGTTTTAGACATGAAGTCCTTGCCCATGCCTATGTCCTGAATGGTAAAGCCTAGGTTTTCTTCTAGGGTTTTTATGGTTTTAGGTCTAACGTTTAAGTCTTCAATCCATCTTGAACTGATTTTTGTATAAGGTGTAAGGAAGGGATCCAGTTTCAGCTTTCTACATATGGCTAGCCAGTTTTCCCAAAACCATTTATTAAATAGGGAATCGTTTCCCCATTGCTTGTTTTTCTCAGGTTTGTCAAAGATCAGATAGTTGTAGATATGCGGCATTATTTCTGAGGGCTCTGTTCTGTTCCATTGATCTATATCTCTGTTTTGGTACCAGTACCATGCTGTTTTGGTTACTGTAGCCTTGTAGCATAGTTTGAAGTCAGGTAGTGTGATGCCTCCAGCTTTGTTCTTTTGGCTTAGGATTGACTTGGCGATGCAGGCTCTTTTTTGGTTCCATATGAACTTTAAAGTCGTTTTTTCCAATTCTGTGAAGAAAGGCTTTGGTATCTTGATGGGGATGGCATTGAATCTGTAAATTACCTTGGGCAGTATGGCCATTTTCATGATATTGATTCTTCGTACCCATGAGCATAGAATGTTCTTCCATTTGTTTGTATCCTCTTTTATTTCCTTGAGCAGTGGTTTGTAGTTCTCCTTGAAGAGGTCCTTCACATCTCTTGTAAATTGGATTCCTAGGTATTTTATTCTCTTTGAAGCAATTGTGAATGGGAGTTCACTCATGATTTGGCTCTCTGTTTGTCTGTTATTGGTGTATAATAATGCTTGTGATTTTTGCACATTGATTTTGTATCCTGAGACTTTGCTGAAGTTGCTTATCAGCTTAAGGAGATTTTCGGCTGAGACAATGGGGTTTTCTAGATAAAGAATCATGTCGTCTGCAAACAGGGACAATTTGACTTCCTCTTTTCCTAATTGAATACCCTTTATTTCCTTCTCCTGCCTAATTGCCCTGGCCAGAACTTCCAACACTATGTTGAATAGGAGTGGTGAGAGAGGGCATCCCTCTCTTGTGCCAGTTTTCAAAGGGAATGCTTCCAGTTTTTGCCCATTCAGTATGATATTGGCTGTGGGTTTGTCATAGATAGCTCTTTTTATTTTGAAATATGTCCCATCAATACCTAATTTATTGAGAGTTTTTAGAATGAAGAGTTGTTGAATTTTGTCAAAGGCCTTTTCTGCATCTATTGAGATAATCATGTAGTTTTTGTCTTTGGCTCTGTTTATATGCTGGGTTACATTTATTGATTTGCGTATATTGAAGCAGCCTTGCATCCCAGGGATGAAGCCCACTTGATCATGGTGGATAAGCTTTTTGATGTGCTGCTGGATTCGTTTTGCCAGTATTTTATTGAGGATTTTTGCATCAATGTTCATCAAGGATATTGGTCTAAAATTATCTTTTTTGGTTGTGTCTCTGCCCGGCTTTGGTGTCAGAATGATGCTGGCATCATAAAAAGAGTTAGGGAGGATTCCCTCTTTTTCTATTGATTGGAATATTTTCAGAAGGAACGGTACCAGTTCCTCCTTGTACCTCTGGTAGAATTCGGCTGTGAATCCATCTGGTCCTGGACTCTTTTTGGTTGGTAAGCTATTGATTATTGCCACAATTTCAGATCCTGTTACTGGTCTATTCAGAGATTCAACTTCTTCCTGGTTTAGTCTTGGGAGAGTGTATGTGTTGAGGAATTTATCCATTTCTTCTACATTTTCTAGTTTATTTGCGTAGAGGTGTTTGTAGTATTCTCTGATGGTAGTTTGTATTTCTGTGGGATTGGTGGTGATATCCCCTTTATCATTTTTTATTGCATCTATTTGATTCTTCTCTCTTTTTTTCTTTATTAGTCTTGCTAGCAGTCTATCAATTTTGTTGATCCTTTCAAAAAACCAGCTCCTAGATTCATTAATTTTTTGAAGGGTTTTTTGTGTCTCTATTTCCTTCAGTTCTGCTCTGATTTTAGTTATTTCTTGCCTTCTGCTAGCTTTTGAATGTGTTTGCTCTTGCTTTGCTAGTTCTTTTAATTGTGATGTTAGGGTGTCAATTTTGGATCTTTCCTGCATTCTCTTGTGGGCATTTAGTGTTATAAATTTCCCTCTACCCACTGCATTGAATGCGTCCCAGAGATTCTGGTATATTGTGTCTTTGTTTTCATTGGTTTCAAAGAACATCTTTATTTCTGCCTTCATTTCGTTATGTATCCAGTAGTCATTCAGGAGCAGGTTGTTCAGTTTCCATGTAGTTGAGCGGTTTTGAGTGAGATTCTTAATCCTGAGTTCTAGTTTGATTGCACTGTGGTCTGAGAGAAAGTTTGTTATAATTTCTGTTCTTTTACATTTGCTGAGGAGTGCTTTACTTCCAAGGATGTGGTCAATTTTGGAATAGGTGTGGTGTGGTGCTGAAAAAAATATATGTTCTGTTGATTTGGGGTGGAGAGTTCTGTAGATGTCTATTAGGTCCACTTGGTGCAAAGCTGAGTTCAATTCCTGGGTATCCTTGTTAACTTTCTGTCTTGTTGATCTGTCTAATGTTGACAGTGGGGTGTTAAAGTCTCCCATTTTTAATGTGTGGGAGTCTAAATCTCTTTGTAGGTCACTCAGGACTTGCTTTATGAATCTTGGTGCTCCTGTATTGGATGCATATATATTTAGGATAGTTAGCTCTTCTTGTTGAATTGATTCCTTTACCATTATGTAATGGCCTTCTTTGTCTCTTTTGATCTGTGTTGGTTTAAAGTCTGTTTTATCAGAGACTAGGATTGCAACCCCTGCCTTTTTTTGTTTTCCATTTGCTTGGTAGATCTTCCTCCATCCCTTTATTTTGAGCCTATGTGTGTCTCTGCACGCGAGATGGGTTTCCTGAATACAGCACAGTGATGGGTCTTGACTCTTTATCCAATTTGCCAGTCTGTGTCTTTTAATTGGAGCATTTAGTCCATTTACATTTAAAGTTAATATTGTTATGTGTGAATTTGATCCTGTCATTATGATGTTAGCTGGTTATTTTGCTCGTTAGTTGATGCAGTTTCTTCCTAGTCCGGATGGTCTTTACATTTTGGCATGATTTTGCAGCGGCTGGTACTGGTTGTTCCTTTCCATGTTTAGTGCTTCCTTCAGGAGCTCTTTTAGGGCAGGCCTGGTGGTGACAAAATCTCTCAGCATTTGCTTATCTGTAAAGTATTTTATTTCTCCTTCGCTTATGAAGCTTAGTTTGGCTGGATATGAAATTCTGGATTGAAAATTCTTTTCTTTAAGAATGTTGAATATTGGCCCCCACTCTCTTCTGGCTTGTAGGGTTTCTGCCGAGAGATCCGCTGTTAGTCCGATGGGCTTCCCTTTGAGGGTAACCTGACGTTTCTCTCTGGCTGCCCTTAATATTTTTTCCTTCATTTCAACTTTGGTGAATCTAACAATTATGTGTCTTGGAGTTGCTCTTCTCGAGGAGTATCTTTGTGGCGTTCTCTGTATTTCCTGAATCTGAACGTTGGCCTGCCTTGCTAGATTGGGGAAGTTCTCCTGGATAATATCCTGGAGAGTGTTTTCCAACTTGGTTCCATTCTCCCCATCGCTTTCAGGTACCCCAATCAGACGTAGATTTGGTCTTTTCACATAGTCCCATATTTCTTGGAGGCTTTGCTCATTTCTTTTTATTCTTTTTTCTCTAAACTTCCCTTCTCGCTTCATTTCATTCATTTCATCTTCCATCGCTGATACCCTTTTTTCCAGTTGATCGCATCGGCTCCTGAGGCTTCTGCATTCTTCACGTAGTTCTCGAGCCTTGGTTTTCAACTCCATCAGCTCCTTTAAGCACTTCTCTGTATTGGTTATTCTAGTTATACATTCTTCTAAATTTTTTTCAAAGTTTTCAACTTCTTTGCCCTTGGTTTGAATGTCCTCCCGTAATTTGATCGTCTGAAGACTTCTTCTCTCAGCTCGTCAAAGTCATTCTCCATCCAGCTTTGTTCCATTGCTGGTGAGAAACTGCATTCCTTTGGAGGAGGAGAGGCGCTCTGCTTTTTAGAGTTTCCAGTTTTTCTGCTCTGTTTTTTCCCCATCTTTGTGGTTTTATCTACTTTTGGTCTTTGATGATGGTGATGTAGAGATGGGTTTTTGGTGTGGATGTCCTTTCTGTTTGTTAGTTTTCCTTCTAACAGACAGGACCCTCAGCTGCAGGTCTGTTGGAATACCCTGCCATGTGAGGTGTCAGTGTGCCCCTGCTGGGGGTTGCCTCCCAGTTAGGCTGCTTGGGGGTCAGGGGTCAGGGACACACTTGAGGAGGCAGTCTGCCCATTCTCATATCTCCAGCTGCGTGCTGGGACAACCACTGCTCTCTTCAAAGCTGTCAGACAGCGAAATTTAAGACTGCAGAGGTTACTGCTGTCTTTTTGTTTGTCTGTGCCCTGCCCCCAGAGGTGGAGCCTACAGAGGCAGGCAGGCCTCCTTGAGCTGTGGTGGGCTCCACCCAGTTTGAGCTTCCTGGTTGCTTTGTTTACCTAAGCAAGCCTGGGCAATGGCGGGCGCCCCTCCCCCAGCCTCGCTGCTGCCTTGCAGTTTGATCTCAGACTGCTGTGCTAGCAATCAGTGAGACTCCGTGGGCGTAGGACCCTCCAAGCCAGGTGCGGGATATAATCTCCTGGTGCACCGTTTTTCAAGCCCGTCAGAAAAGCGCAGTATTCGGGTGGGAGTGACCTGATTTTCCAGGTGCCGTCTGTCACCACTTTCTTAGACTCAGAAAGGGAACTCCCTGACCCCTTGCACTTCCCGAGTGAGGCAATGCCTCGCCCTGCTTCGGCTCGTGCACGGTGCACACACCCACTGACCTGCGCCCACTGTCTGGCACTCCCTAGTGAGATGAACCTGGTACCTCAGATGGAAATGCAGAAATCACCATCTTCTGCATCGCTCACGCTGGGAGCTGTAGACTGGAGCTGTTCGTATTTGGCCATCTTGGCTCCTCCTTGCAGTTAGACCTTTTTAAGCATACTCACAAATCAATCAGCCCTCTAGGTGGGAGAGTGTCCCTGAGAGAATTCCACAGGAAGATAGAGGTGTCTTCTGTGAGTTTGCCTGTAGGCTGTCTCAGCTGTGACCCACATGTGTGGCCAGCCTAGCTGCTGGGACAGTCACAGAGGCGCCCAGCATCAGGGGAGGAAAGCGGAACCCCCCGACCCCCACCAACTCCAAGCTGTCTGACTGCAGGTCCAGCCTCATTAGACCCTCGAAATAACTCAAGATTTTCCTTTATTTCCTTGTGTGGGGTGGTCCAGCAGGCCCATGTGAGGGGTCCCTGCTCCATCCCACTGGTAGGAGCCCAGGCCTCCTGGAATGCACAGGTAATGTGTGCTATGGGCAGTTGGAAGCAGAGGTTAGTGGGGCATGAGAGAACTTGTGTCCCGCAGCAGGTAACAAGCTCCATGGAAGTGCCCTTTAGCCTGGGCCTGAAGGTCGGCAGCATGGGCCTGCAGGGGTGTAGAGGGCCCTCCAGGTGAGGGGCGGTGTGGGAGAGATGCTTGGAGGTGGAAATCCCAGGGGATTTCCCCAGGGGGAGCATGCATATCCACTGCAGTGAGGCCAGCTGCCTGTGAGAAGCCACTGGGAGTTGGAGGACAGGATCCAATCTGTGTGTCTAGAGGTGCATGCATCAGCCAGAGCAGGAGTTAGAAGGCTCTGTTCAGAGGGGTTTTGGGAAATAGTAATCAACTGTGTTGACCTAAAAGGAAGAGGCTGAGACATAAAATGTAATTTAAAGAGTTTACTTGAGCCAAAGTGAGGCCAGTTGCCTGGGACACATTTCCAAGTTGCCTTGGGAAGTGCTCCTGTTCAGCTTTTGTTATAAGCAGGTTCTTAAGGTAAACAGGGGAAAATGAGTGTGCAGATATAAAAGTGTTTGACAGGAGTGCTCTGTGTTTCACAGGAAGAGCTTTGATTATGATAGCAACGGGAGGCAGCCAAATGCCCAGGTAGATGGGATGGGTCCTGGTGAAACCCCACCTCCAAGCTGAAGGCAGTTTAAAGCCTGACAGCCAAGCTACAGTTAAATCCTCAGACCGGATTGAGAATGTGTCCTCCTGTTTTGGTGTGATTTCCTCTGATTGGTCCCCAGCCTTCACCTATTTTATATATACCTACCCTTTCCTAATTGTTTTTCTACACTGTCATGCCTACCTTTGAATCAAGTAAGATATTCCCCTGTGAACAAAATTTGGTGCATATTTATTTTGCTCTGCCTGGTTTCTCTAGAATTTGGAAACTATTTGTGAGTATTCTTAAGTTATGGCAATATGGTTATTGCATCTGTGCAATAAGAATCTCACTGTTGTCTTCCCAAAACAGTGCCCCTTGTTGGCAGGAAGCAGTTAAGATCAGTCATCGTCCCTATTCTTATGGCAGTTAGATGTACCTCTTCAGAGGGGTGAAATGATAGAGGCAGGAGGCAGCCAAATGCCCAGGCAGATAGAGGCAGGTCCCGGTGAAGCCCCACCTCCAATCCAAACCCTGAAAGCCAAGCTACAAGTTAAATCACTGGATCAGATTGAGAACTTGTCTTCCTGTTTGGTGTGATTTCCTCTGATTGGTCCCCAGCCTTCACCTATTTTACAAATATCTACCCTTTCCTAATTGGTTTTCTACACTGTTGTGGCCACCTTTGAGTGGTGTCCTCCCTTTAACCTTTTTTGCATGCTCACAATCAGCATGCACTCCCCATTCTGAGTCCATAAGAGGCCCCAGGTCCCCTCTCTGCTGAAAGCTGTTTTCATTGCTCGATAAAAATCTTCTCTGCCTTCCTCACCCTTCAATGTCCAGTGTATCCTCTTTCTCTCTGGGTATGGTACAAGAGCTTGGGAACCACTGAATGTAGGTACAAGCTATAACACAGGTGAGCTGGGGCATGCCAGCATGGCTGAGTGAGGCCCGAGTGGGGCATCACTGGCTGGGGGTCCCTGGCTTGCAAAGTGACTGAGAAGAAAAATCCTACATCGGTTACAGAGTGGCTCCTGCTGTCAAGCTGCAGGGTGTGAGTGATGGCATCAGCCCTTGGTGTTTGATGGTTGCATGACATCAGTCCAGAGCCCATGTGGCAGCTGCCTTCAGGAGGTGATGATTTAGCTTCAGGGGCGAATGCAGCACTGACTGCTGTTTCATTCCAAAGCTGTTCTGAGCCTGATAATTTAAAGGAGCTTTGCATTCCTCAGATAATAAGGGTTGTTTGTTTGTTTGTTTTTCTTTCTCTACTGGTTATATGAAGAAAAAGAAAGTGAGAGAGAGGCCCTTATTGGTTTTCAGGCATAGGTACTTCCACCCATGCCAATTCCAGCCGCATTGTGAGGTCCCTGGGTGCAGGTGGAGGAGGCCAGTGCACATCCACACTCCCGAGCCTGGCTGGGCTGCTGGAGATGGTTACTCACTCTGATACCTGAGATCTGTATTTGGTCTTTGACCCATTTCCTAACACACAACTCCTAAAACCTGCGGAATCTCTAGCACAAAGAATGTCTTTTATATCCTAATGCGATAGCTGGTGGCTGGGTGCCCTGGGTAGTTTCAGGGTGGGGCTGGTCATCTTAAACACCAAGGCAGGTTTGAGGGTTAAGGTTTTCAGCCTAAACCCCTGACCTCTGGGGAGGGGAGAGAGGCTGGGGGTCGAGTTGATCACCAATGGCCAGTGGTTTAGTCGATTATGCCTACACAGTGAAGCCTCCACAAACCCCAGAAGGACTGGGTTCCTGGAGCTTCCAGATAGCAGAATGCATGGAGGTTCCTGGAGGGTGGTGCCCAGGAAGGTGTGGAAGCTCCGTGTCCCTTCTTCATACCTAGCCTTACACATCTCTTCATCTATATCCTTTGTAATATCCTTTATAATAAACCAGTAAATGTGTTTCTCTGAGTTCTGTGAGCCACTCTAGCAAATTAGCTGAACCCAAGCAAGGGGTCATGGGAACCCCTGATTTATAGCCAGTCCATCAGAAGCACAGGTCATAACCTGGGGCTCACACTGGCCTCACAAGATGGGGTGGGGGAGCACCCTTGGGAACTGAGCTGTGTGATTTGGCTCTGTCTCCAGGTAGACAGGGTTGGAAATGAATCGAATTAGAGGACACCCCGCTGGTGTCTGCTGCAGAATCGCTTGCTTAGTGTGTGGGGAGGCTCCCCCATATTTGGTCATGGAAGCATTTTGTGTTTATTGCCGTGTAAAAATGTCCTGCTGGATCCTGTTGACACCAATGTGACTGAGAGGCTGAAGAAGAGACCCATAGCTGTGGAACGAGATGTAGGGTTTATCAAGGACTTACATAACGGGCAATCCAGGAGTGGTTGGCTGGACAGGAAAACTGCTGCCGTTCACAAAAAGCATGCAGTTCTCTAGCATTTTCACTTAGCACCCTCCACCTGGCAACCTCCATTTAACCCAAAACAAAGGGCCTTGCTTCCTTGCATGTTCTGATTTCCAAGGAATGAGTCAGGGGTCTTATCTGCAAAAGTCCTTTGCAGATAAGGTGTGAGCCTCCAGGTTGGCCACTCCTGATTCCCTAGCTCGGGACCCAGCCCACATCCTTCTTAGACCCTAGGGTCATTCTTAGGATGAGCTTGAGTTGTTGCTGTCAGGTGGTTCTGCCATACAGAACGCAGAGGAAAAACTATGTGTGTATGTGTTTGTGTGTGTTTTTACACACAGACAAGCCTTAAAAACAGTGATCAAAATGATTTAACTCTTTATTATAAAATGTCCAGCATATACAGTAGTAGAAGAACAGTATAATGAGTCCCCGTGTTCACATCATGGCTTCTGCCCTTGGCAGGTGTTGCCAGGCCTCTGTTATCTATGCCTCCCAGCCCCAAGACAGAAACTACCCATTTTTTCTTGTTGGAATGTTTTGAAGCAAATCCCACACATCATGTCATTTCACTAGAAGATACTTTATTACACATCCCTGCCTGGTGAGGACTTTCTACAAGAACATAACCTCCCTGCTCTGTCATGGCCCATTCCTAACACTGTCTCATTCCCCCCACCAGGAAGATGGGAACTTCTCACAACTGTTTTGATTGAATCTGCCTCCAGACAAGGGTCACACATCAAGTGGCAGCTGTGCATGTCTTAATGCTGACATGCAAAAACACGATACACACACGCAGTCTGCACCACAGCAGGTTAGAGCTGCGAAAGGGGCTGCGTGGATGCTATTGACCTCAGAGCACTTGTAGAGATGGGTCTAGCTTCCCATGGCCACAGGACATATGCAGGGAACATACAAGCCTCCCACATGAGTCACAAGTTTGTGACTGGAATCCCACAATCTCCATGTGTAAGCTGTGTGTAAGGGGATCCCGGGATGGCTCTTCCATAAAATTTCCAGTGTTTGCGTGACTGCATTTGGTGGCCAGCCCATTTCATGGTTGGAGGGCCCTGCTTTCCCTGAATCGGAAACAAATTTGATTGCAGCACCCTCATCCTGGTTTTGGGAAGGCATTCCTGGCCAGTTAGTCAATGTCTCTCTTAAATGAGGGGACCAGCACTCTCTTCCCACCCCGCTGATGAGACTCCTTGGAAGTAGCCCTCCCTAGGGCTGCGTGGTCCTTGACTCAGTCCTGCAGTCTCCCTTCCCATAGGACGCAGGTGGCATGACAGACAGGGTACCATTGGTGGCTCTTGAGGGCTGGCCCAGGTCTTCGTGCCCTCCCAGCAAAAGGCTCAGTAGTATTGAGTGAAGAACAATGGTTCCAAGTGTTGAAGTCAAATAAAAAATGTGGAGAGAAATCTCTAAATTTACTGTTTTATTTGGGATGCAATAATAGTAGTTTGAGGCTGATGTAGTTTGGATTTGTGTCCCCGTCCAAATCTCATGTCAAATTGGGATCCCCAGTGTTGGAGGAGGGGCCTGGTGGGTGGTGACTGGATCATGCGGTGGACTTCCCCTTGCCGTTCTTGTGATAGTGAGTGAGTTATCATGAGATCTAGTTGTTAAAAGTTCATAGCACCTCCTCCTGCTCTCTCTTCTTCCTGCTCCAGCCATGTAGGACATGCCTGCTTCCCCTTTGCCTTCTGCCATGATTGTACGTTTCGTGAGGCCTCCCCAGCCATACTTCCTGTACAGGTTGTGGAACCGTGAGCGAATTCAACCTCTTTTCTTTATAAATTACCCAGTCTAGTAGTTCTTTATAGCAATTGAGAACATAGTATTCAGGGGTGTTCTCACAGATTGAGTGGTCTTCACTATATCCAAAGGACAAAGAGGAGGTTGCAGTTTTACACAAAGAAAGGATGTATTGTTTGTCCAGGATGCTCATTGTCACTTTTAAGGTTATGGGAGCTGGCAGGCTCTGACTGGTGAGTGACCTTGGTGGGTAAAATTAGTCTTAGAGTTGTAGCAGCTTGTTTCAGTAGCCACAGATAAAACTGGTTTCAGGCAATAGCAGGCAGTCTCAGCAGCCAGGCTTGCAGAGAATTACATTTTTGAGCAATGTCTTGTGCCTTGAGTGGTTTTCTCCCCTGGCCTCTCAACTCTGTTTTAGTTGGGTATGACAAAAATGACCTGATTTGTATGATCGACTTCCACACAAGTCCCTCCCCTCTCAGCTGTGAGAACATACTTGCTTGGATTTTGTGTTTTTATGGATCCCAAATGGGGTCATGACAAGCAGCATCTATTGAGCATTAATATGTGCAGGCCCCCTCCTGAGCTTCCTAAGCTCCTATCAATCCTCACGCCACTTCTATCCTATGAGGCATAATGTAATGATAAACTGTCATTCTCTCAATTTCATGACTGAGGACACCACGGCACAAAATGGTCACATAACTGCCCAAGGTCAGCAGTGAGAAGCTGCAAGGCAGGATCTGAATCCCAGACGTCTGGGTCTAGAGCCGGGGCCTGTCTCTACTGTGCCACACTTTCTTCAGCTGTTGATGTGGGCTGGGCTGAGTTGCCTCTTCTTGGTCATGTCCACTGAAGGCTGATCTGCACCCCATGCTCACTGCCCCATCCCTGAGGCAGCTCTAGAGCCTGGGTGGATTTGGGATGTGGGAAGAGGACAGGAACAGGGCCCCATGTATCTGGACACCACTGGACTCTGCATTTAGTAAGGAACAGAGGGTGGGAAAAATGGACCATTCTCAGCATTTTTTCGTCCTGCAGTTTGCTTCACGGGGGTGGAAATCATCCATGTAACAACTCCCATTACAGGGAGCCCTGCAGGGGGAGTGTCCAGTACACCCTGAGCTTGGAGTGGTCTTCCAGTAACTTTACCGCATCCGTAGGATCCTGCGGAACCTGAGAAGAGGGAGATAGTCTCCCTGCCCTTTGCTCTGCAGCCATGAGCACACCTTGGCCCTTACTGCCACGACCACAGCTAGCAGTTATGAAGCACCAAGAGCATTCGCTATGAGCAAGCTGCTTCCATGCGTGACCTCGATTCATTCTCACTGCAGTGAGGGGTCCTAATTCTGCCTTCCAAGCAAACTGCAGCTGAATTTGGGTTTGGTGAGTAAGCCCAGCATTGTACCCAGATTGCAGAGCTCCAATGTGGCCCAGGTCACTGGCCCTGCAGCCTCACACTCCCATCCCCTAACTGAAGACTGAAGACCCCAAACCTATTACTTCAGAGATAGAGAGAACCTTTGGCTTGCTTCTCAAACTTTGGCATGCATGTGAGTCAGGTGCGGATCTTGTTTAAAAAAAGTCCTGGGCCCCACACAGAGACTCTGATTCAGTTTAGCTAGGGCAGGGCCTGGGAGTCTGCATTCTTGACAGCTCTGGGTGTGCTGCCGCTGGGAGAGTTCAGGGGCTTGTGCAAAATCCACAGGGGGTTCGTGGGAGCCCAGTCAGATGCTTGGGATTCAAGCTCAGCGGGGTCAGGCAGGCTGTGCGGGACTTGGGGCTCCACCTGCCTGCTCTCGGAAAGGCTGTGGCAGCCCCATGTTGTCCTCTCCTTTTCTGCGCATTTGCTCCTAGACTTCCAGCTGCTTCAGGTGCTGGTGGGGGACACCACAGGGCGGAATGTGGGCATCAGAAACTCCCTCAGGTCCCCTTTCCTCTACACGTCAGTGCCTGACTGGCATCTGCCTGTCCCGGGGGCTCCTCAGACCTGCAGGTGGTTGACTTTGTGTTCTGCCTAGAGTTTTTATCTACTGGAAGGTTGGTCTGAGAGTTTACTTGGCTTTCGCCAGCAGTGGAACCCATACGAGGTCTTTGGATGTAGGGGAGCTGCCACACAGTGGAGGAAATGCCGTGATCTTCCATGCTATAAGATGCCATCCAGTTCCTGTGCCTTGCTGGGTCCTCCCCCATTTCTCGCCCACCTCCACCTCCTCTCCCTCCTACATGTCACTCCCCCATTTCCAGCCCCACCTTGGATGTCCATCCCCCCACATGGGGGCAGGGCCTTGGCCAGGGTCCTCCAATCTGGACCTCACGCCAAGCACTCATCAGGTGGCCCCAGGCGAGGACCCCACCCTGGGATGCCCGAGTCTGACCTCATCCCGAGCACTCATCAGGTGGCCCCAGGCGAGGACCCCACGCCGGGATGCCCGAGTCTGGGGGACTCTGCTTCTCATGCCACTCGGTCATAAAATTTGGTATTGTGACCAAATGACTGCTTGAGGTGTTTTGCTCCCCAAATGGGCCAAGTCCTAACTGAGTCAGGACCCCGAGAGAGCCCTACCACCTACCCAGACCTCGTGAGACCTCCCATGAATGGGCCAGAGTTTGGCACAGGTTGGGGCCACTGCCCTCGCCTCTAAACCCCTGCCAAGCCTGCAGCTCGCTCAAGCCCACGCTCAAGACCCTGCTCACCCCCTCCCTTGCGGTCCCTTGCTCTCCACCAGCCAGCCCGTCTCCTCACACAGATGCTGCTCAGGCCCCAGGGAGTGGGAGGCATCCGGGAGATTAGCCCCTGTTGGCTCAATGAACCTCTCAGCACAGCCTGCCGGCGGGTGAGAGCCTAGTGAGGGTAGAAAAGAGAAGCTGCACCTGTCCAAAAGGGCAGAAGACAGCCCCTGTGGCCGGAGACAGGGGGCCCTGGCTGTTGGAAAGAAAGGTATTTCTTCAAGGAGAGGAGGTGACCCCAGTGTGTCCTCATTGACATAGCTGGACCGGGCACCTGTAGCCATTAGGGTTGGCCAAAGGCATGCAGGGAATGGATGTTCGTTGTGGGCACTCCCAGAGACGTGAGACATTTGGAATTGTTAGGACGTTTCCGTCTGTTGCAGGGCATCTGCGGGGCTGGGGGTGTCCGTGCAGCAAGGGTGGGCGGCTGAGATCAGTCTACACCCCGAGCCTGCTGGAGTGGTTTACACCCAGGGCCAGATTTCGAGCCACGATGTTCCTGTTGTGAGAGGACAACAGAAGGGCGGCATCTGGGGTCCCGCTGGCCTTTGCCCTCCTGGGAGCGGATTCTGTGCACGTCTCAGGCCCATCTACCCCTGTGAGGACCACCTCCACAGGGGAAGCTGTGGCCGCCACAATCGCAAAGGCTGGGAGGGGCTCCCGTCCGGGTCCTTGAGTCTCGAGAACCTCGGGGCCCTTTGGAAGGAAGCTGGATCACCAAGGACAGGAGCCCTCAGGCTTCTGACCCCCAGGAGGCATTCCCCGAAGGCTGCGCGGTTGTTGCTGCTGCTGCGGCTGTATGCGGGCCCTTCCCGGTGCCTTGCTTCTCACCCCATCCCGAGTACCGGCTGCCTGGAAGCTCCAGGGATGCTGGGAAGAGAATGGTGGGTGCCAGTCATCTCGGGATCCTGGGGAAAGGCAGGCAGCTCAGAGGGTGTGGCTGGCGAGGGCCTCCATCTCCACCTCCCCGCAGAGGCTGATCATGTGTAATCGGATTAAGAGTGCACCTGACTCCCCTTAACACTGCGGGCAGATTTCACAAGCGCACCCTTAGACTCCCGAACGCTGTAGTGGCCTCCCTCCTGCTAAACCACTGTAAAGTTCCACACTCCCCCTTTGCCTAGGTCCTAACCCAGCACCTTCTTTTTGGGATATTTTTCCTCCTTGTTCATAAATTTCAGGGCAGATTCTGGCTCCATAGAAGAGAGACCAGCCACTCCACCAGGACTACAAAGCTAACCGAGGTTCTTGCTCTTTAAAACTGATACTGACTTTAAAATTATGAAATATTTCAAACTTACAGAAAAGCGTCACGGTCCTATCACTGTACACCTGTCACTCAGATTCAACCAGTGTTCATGATTTATCCTCTTTGCTTCAGATTAACTTATTTTTTAAAGAAACAAACATTATTGGCACAGTTGAAAGCCATTTCTGCACATCCTTAACTACAGTCCCCTCCCTCCAACTATTCGGAAGCGGATATTCAGCTTTTCTATCCATGTTTTAGTATTATTATTGCATGTATATGTGGCCATAAGCAATGCACTTTTTAGAAGGTTCTCTAGGGCATTGTTGGGAAACAGAATTTCCAGTTGCAGGAAATGGTCTCTTGCAGCCTTTCTAGCTGAGGGCAAATGGTTTTCTTGTTGGGTGTACCAGTTACTTTTCCTATGAGCAAGAGTTCCCCTAGCTCCACATTCTGGCCCAGTCTTAAATTTTCAGATTTAAAGTTTTCATTTCTTCCCCAGTCTGGTTGCTGTGAAGTTGTAATTCTTTACGGTTATATTTTGAATTCTCTGATTAGAAATGAAGTTAAGCACCTTTTCATCTGTTTACTGACCATTTGGGGTTTGTCTTCAGTGAAATGCAAATCTATGTGTTTTCCCATTAGATTGTTTGTAATTTTTATATTTTTAAAGAGATCTGCATATATTGTGGCTTCAAAATCTCTTTTAAGAAACATACCTTGCAAATATTCTCCTAGTGTTTGACTTATCTTTCCAATCTCTGTAGACTGGCATCTGTTGAACATTTTTAAATAACAAAAGCAAATGTACCAGTATCGAATCTCATGTCTTGTTGAATGAACCGTTTTCTTCTATAGAGTCCTGACGATATTTTCTTGTGTTAGCTCCTAAAGTCTTCATGGTGCTACATGTGCATTTAGTCTCCATCCAGCCGGAATCGGTTGTGTGTATGGCAGAGCTGGCGACCCATTTTCACTCTCTTCCACGGCACTCATGCATGTCCCTCTCCACTGGTCTGAAGCTCTGCCTTTGCCTTACACTAGGTTGCGTGCACTCGGGGTCTGTTTCTGGACTCTGCATTCTGTTCTGTTCTTGCCCACTCTTTATCTCAGTGTGAATTATTTGGTTTTATATTGAGTTGTAGGGCAAGTCTCAAGTAGGGCAAGTCTTCCCCTGGACTTTCCCTCCTCAGGTAGGTGTGGGCTTTGCTAAGGCCTTTGACTCTCCACGTGCATTTTAGAACCAACGTGTCAATTTCCAAAAAAAAATCTTATGAAGATTTTGATGGGATTACATTAAATCCACTGATGGTTGTGAAGGACTAACATTGTGATATCAAGTCCTCCTATCCATAGCTTTTCATTTAACCATTTTCCTATCCATACATATCCTAAAACATCATATTGTAAATCTCGAATATACACAATAAAATGTATTTTAAAATATTTAGATCTTTTAAAATGTCTCTCAATCAATCTTATGCATTTCCCCCCCATAAAGTCTCATGTATCTTTTGTTAGACTTATTTTTATGCACTTTTAAAATTGATTTAATTAAAAAGTAAACCACTGTAACTGTTATTTTTCAAATTTTCTATGTTTTTCTGGTCTATAGAAATACAGTTGAGTTTTGAATATGATTTCATTATCTAGGGCTCTTGCTAAATTTGAATTCTAATAATTTGCCTGTCACTTCTTTTTCCTTGGGTTTTCTATGTAGACAGCCAAATCAATTGTAATTGGCACATTTGTTTCCTCCTTTCCAATTCTTACATGCTTAAAAAAGAATTTTACTTGTCTTCTTTTGCTGGCTAAGCACCTCCAGTGGATGTTGAATAGAAGTTGTGAACACAGATGTCCTTGTTATGTTCTGATTTTAAAGGGGTCTGCTTTTCAACTTTGTGCATTGTGTATGAGGTTTGCTCGAGTCTTTTTGCTCAACTTGTTAGGTTGGGCAAATGTCTTTGTACTCCTAATGTGCTAAGACTTAACAAACGTTTTTATCAAAGATATTTTTCCAGTTTTTTTATTGTGATAAAACACACATAACATAAGAAACATAAGATTTCCATTTTAACCATCTTTTTTTTTTTTTTTTTTTTTGAGCCTGAGTCTCACTCTGTCACCCAGGCTGGAGTGCAGTGGGGTGGTCTCGGCTCACTGCAACCTCTGCCTCCTGGGCTCAAGTGACTCTTGTGCCTCAGCCACCCGAGTAGCTGGGATTACAGGCGCCTGCCACCATGCCAGGCTAATTTTTGTATTTTTAGTAGAGACAGGGTTTCACCATGTTGTCCAAGCTGGTCTCGAGATCCTGGCCTCAAGTGGTCTATCTGCCTCGGTCTCTCAAAATGCTGGCATTACAGGTGTGAGCCACCATGCCTGGCCTTAACCATTTTTAAGTGTAGAGTTCAGTGGTATTAGGTACATTCATATCATTGTGCAACCACCACCACCATCCATCTCCAGAACTCTTTATTTTGCAAAACGGAAGCTCTATGCCCATTAAACACTAACTCCTCATTCTACCCTCCCCCCAGCCCCTGGCAACACCATTCCAACTTACTGTCTCTATGATTTGGACTACTATAAGTGCCTCATATAAGGGAGTCCTATGATATTTGTCTTTTTGGGGTTGGCTTATTTCATTTAGTATAAGCTCCTCAAGGTTTGTGTATGTTGTAGTGTGTGTCAGAATTTCTTTCCTTTTCAGAGGTGAGATTCCATATAGATTCTCTGTATGCACCAAATTTCACTTTCTGTATGCACCAAATTTCATTTTCTGTGTGCACCAAATTTCACTTATTCTTTCATCCATTGATGGACACTTGGATTTCTTCCATGTTTTAGCTATTGTGAATGGGTGTACACATATCTTTTTGAGGCTCTGCTTTCTTTTGACTACATGACCTGAAGTAAAATTGCTGCATCATGTGGTAATTCTATGCTCAATTTTTTGAGGAACCGCCATATTGTTTTCCACAGTGTCTGCACCATTTTATATTCCTATCAACAGTGTACAAGGGTTTCAATTGCTTCACGTCTTCACCAATTCATCTTATTTTCTGTTTTCTTTTGATAATAGCCACCCTAATAGATGTGAGGTGGTAGCTCATTAGAGTTTTGATTTGTATTTCCCTAATAGTGATATTGAACATCTTTCCGTCTGCTTATTGATCATTTTTACATCTTCTTTAGATAAATGTCTATTAAAGTTCTTTGCCCATTTTTAAATTGGGTTGTTTGTTTTTCGTCATTGAGTTTTAGGAATTCTCTATGTATTCTGGATAACAATCCCTTATCAGATAGATATAATTTGCAAATAATTTCTCCCATTCTATGGATTGCCCTCTTACTTTGTTGATAGTGTCTTTTAATGCACAAAATTTTTAAATTTTTACAAAATAAAGTCTAATTTGTCTACTTTTTTTTCTTTTGTTGCCTGCACCTTTGGTGTCATATCTAAGAAAACACTGCCAAATCCACTTTCATGAAGATTCCCCCTATTTTTCTTGTAAGAGTTTCATAGTTTTACCTCTTACATTTAGATCTTTGATCCCTGTTGAGTTAATCTTTGTATATGGTATTAGGTAAGAGTCTAACTTTATCATTTTGCATGTGGAAATCCAGTTTGCTCAGCCCATTTGTTGAAAAGAGATCTTTTTCTACTGAATGGTCTTGGCACCTTTGTTGAGAATTATTTGGACATTATTGTGAGGGTTTATTTTTGGCCTGCCTAGTCTATTTCATTGGTCTAGATGTCTGTCTGCCCATTTTTAAATTGGGTTGTTTGTTTTTTGTCATTGAGTTTTAGGAATTCTCTATGTATTCTGGATAACAATTCCTTATCAGATAGATATAATTTGATTCTCCAACTTCAGAATTTTCTTGACAATTTAGGGTTTCATGATATTCAGTATAAATTTCAGAATGGGTTTTTAAAAATTTCTCTAAAACACATCATTGAAATTTTGATAGGGACTGCATTAAATATGTAGATTTTCTTTGCCTAATATTGACATTTCAGCAATATTAGGTATCCCAATCTATAATCAGGAGTGTCTTCCATTTATTTATGCCTTATTTGATGTTTTTTCAGAAATATTTTATAGTTTTTATTGTACAAAACTTTTATTTCCTTGGTTAGGTTAATTCCTAAGTATTGCAAATGGAGTCGTTATCTTAATTTCCTTTATGGATTTTTTCCATTGTTAGTATATAGAAATGCAAATATTGACTTTTGTGTGTGGACTTCGCTGCTGCTTCACTGAATTTGTTTCTTAGTTCTAGCAGTGTTTTGGTGAAATCCTCAGGGTTTTCTACATATGAGATAATATTATCTATGAGCAAAGACAATTTTACTTCTTTCTTTCTTATTTAAATTCCTTTCATTATTTTTTCATGCTTAATTGTTCTGGCAAGACTTCTAGTACAGTGTTATATAGAAGTTTTGATGGCAGGGATCCTTGCTTTGTTCCCAATCTTAGCGGAAAAGCTTTCAGTCTTTCACCATTGAGTATGGTGTTTGCTGTAGGGTGTTAATATATGGTTTTTATTATCTTGAGGTAGTTTCCTTCTATTACTACTTTTGCAGTGCTTTTATCATGAAAGGATGTTTTGTTCATAATATCTTTACCTGACTTTAGTATCAGGGAATACTAGCTTCATAGAATGAATTAGGCAGTGTCTCTTCCTTTTCAATCTTTTTTGAAAAGTTTGAGGAGTGGTGTTAGTTCTTCTTTAAATGTTTTGTAGAATTCAGTAGTGAAACCAATCAGCTACAGGGCTTTTCTTTGTCAGGAGATTTTTGATTAGTGATTCAATTTCCTTAGTAGTTACAGATCTATTCAGATTTTCTATTTTTTTGTGGTTTAATCTTGGTAGATTTTGTATTTATAGACATTTTCCCATTTCATCTAAGTTATCTAATTTGTTGGAGTGTAGTTGCTCTTGGTACTATCTTATAATCCTTTTTATTGCTGTAGAATTGATGGTGATGTCCCCACTTTCATTTCTGATTTTAGTAACTTGAGTCTTCTCTTTTTGCTTAGTCCATCTAGCTAAAGATTTGAAAAAACAAATTTTGGTTTTGTTAATTTTCTCTTATTTTTATATTCTCTATTTAACTTGTCTCTAGTCTTTATCATTTCTTCTGTTAGTTTTGGGTTTAGTTTGTTCCTAAGATATAAAGTTAAGTTGTTGATTTGAGAGATCTGTCTTTTTTTTTTTTTAATGTAAGCATTGATAGCTATACATTTCTCCCTTAGAACTGCTTTCACTGTCTCCCATAAATTTTGGTATGTTGTATTTTTATTTTCATTTGTCTGTAAGTATTTTCTAATTTTCTTTTGGAATTCTTCTTTGATCCATTGATTAAGAGTGTGTTGTTTAATTTCTAAAGCTTTGCAAATTTTTCAGTTTTCCCTGTTATTGGTTTGTAATTATATACTGTCATGCTTGGAGAAGATAATTCATGTGATACATATCTTTTGAAACCTATTGAAATTTAATTTGTTGCCTAACATATGGCCTATCCTGGAAACTTCTCAAGTGCACTTGAGAAGACTATGTATTCTGTTGTTGCTGGGTAGACTGTTCTTTAGACGTTTGTTAGATCTAGTAGGTATTGTTCAAATCTTCTGTTTTCTTACTTATCTTCTGTCTAGTTATTTTGTCTATTATTGAGAGTAGGGTATTGATGTCTCCAAATTTTATTGTAGGACTGCCTGTTTTTACTTTCAATTCTATCAAGTTTTGCTTTATATATTTTGATGGTCTGTTGTTAGATGTATAAATGTTTATATTTTCTTGCGAATTGAAGCTTTTCACAAGAGCTTCAATTCAAAATATATAACACTTTTTGAAGAGTGTTATATTTTCTTGTGAAGTGAAGCTTTTATTAATATATAATATCCTTTATGTCTCTTGCAATCTTTTGAAGTTTAAAGTCTATTTTGTCTCATATTAGTATAGCCATGATTGCTCTCTTTTGGTCACTATTTACATGAAATATCTTTTTTCATTCTTTCACTTTCAACCTCTTTGGATCTAAAGTAAGTTTCTCATAGACAGCATGCATTTGGATCATGATTTTAAAAATCCATTCTGCAAATCCCTGTCTTTTGGTTGGAAAGCTTAAGCCCTTTTACACTTAATTAGTAATAACAAGGTGCTATGGTTTGAATATTAGTCCCCTGCAAAACTCATGTTAAAATTTAATTGCCATAGCAACAGTGCTAAGGAGTGGGGCCTCTGAGAGGTGATTAGGTCATGAAGGCTCTTTTATTGTGGGTGGGATTAATGCCCTTTTAAATGGTTGAGTTTGATGCCCTTGTGTCTTTTGCCCTTCTGCCTTTTGTCATGTGATAATACAAAAAAGGTGCTTTGGACTTTGACTTCCCAGCCTCCAGAACTTTGAGAAAATAAGTTTATATTGGTAAATTACCTACTGTGTGGTATTCTGTTATAGCAGCACAAATGGACTAAAACAAAGACTTACTTCTGCCATTTGGCTATTTACTTTCTGTGTGCCTTATTGCATTTGTGTCCCTCATTTCCTCCATTAGTGTATTCTGTCATGTTTAGTCAATATTTTTGTAGTAAAACATTTAAAGTCCCTTCTCATTTCCACTTGTGTGTATTCTTTAGTTATGTCTTTTGTTGTTGCTATAGGGATTACATGCAACGTCCTAAAGTTATAATATTCTAATTTAAATTTATAACAGCTTAAACGTTAACAACATAGAAAAATTCTCTTCCTTTAAGAGCTCTGCCCTCATCCCTTCATTTGTTGATATCACAGAATTACATGTTTATACGTTGCATGTCCAAAACATAAACTAATAATTTTTTAATGCATTGGTCTCTTAAAAAGTGGAAAACAAATGTGGAGTTATAAACTAAAGTTACAATAATACTAACTTTTAGTCTTTTTTTAAAATGTGTTAGTCTCTTATATCATGAAAGAAAAGTGAAGTTACACATTATTGTTTCAACAATACTAGCTTTTATAATTTCCTGTGTATTTTCCTTTACTAAAATTTTAATTTCTTCATGTGCCTTCAAATTACTGTCTAGTGTTCTTCCATTTCAACATGCAGGATTCCCTTCAGCATTTCTTACAGGGAGTGTCTAGAAGTAACAGACTTCCTTAGCATTTGTTTATCTGAGAATGTCTTAATTTTCTCCCTCACTTTTATAGGACAGTTTTCCTGGGTATAGGATTATTGGTTTACAGGCTATTTTCTTTTAACACTTTGAATATATCAGCCCACTGCCTTCTGGCTTCCAAAGTTTCTGATGAGCAATCTGCTAATAATGTTATTGAGGATCCTTTGTGTGTGCCAAATTGCATATCTTCTGTTGCTTTCAAAACTCTCTTTTTGTCTTTGGCTTTTGACAGTTTAATTGTAAAGTGTGTTAGTGTGGGTTTCTTTGAATTAATCATACTTGAAATTCATTGAGCTTCTTGGATGTCTATATTCATGTATTTCATCAAATTTGGGAAGTTTTTTTGATTATTATTTATTCAAACATTCATTCTGCCTCTTTTTTGCTCTTCTCCTTCTGGGATTTCCACAATGGGTATGTTGGTCTTCTTGGCGCAGGTCCTTTTGGTTCTGTTTACTTTTTCTCAATCCTTTTTCTTTCTGTTCCTCAGACTTGATAATTTCCATTCTCCTATCTTCAAGTTTGCTGATTCTTTCTTTTGCTCACTCAAATTTGCTTTTGAATCCTCTACCAAATTTTATTTCAGTTACTATACTCTTCAGCTCCAGAGTTTTGTTTTAGATTTTCTATCTCTTTGTTGATATTTCCATTTTGTTCATAAATTGCTTTCTTAACTTCCTCCACGTATTCCTGTAGTTCTTTGAGCATCTTTAAGACAGGTGTTTTAAAATGTTTATCCAGTACATCTGCCATCAGGTCTTTTGTAGGGACAGTTTTTGCTGATTATTTTTCTTTTGAATGGGCCATAACTTCTTATTTCTTTGTATGCCTTGTAATTTTTTGTTGAAAACTAGAACTTTGAGTCTAATAATATGATAATTCTGAAAATCAGATATTTTCACTTCCCTAGGGCTTGCTGTTTTTTTTATGTGTTAGTCTCTTATATCATGTTATTATTTTTTGATTGCTATAAGGCATCTCTGTGCCAAGGATCAACCTAAAGTGTAAACTCAAGATCTTCTCACGTCTTTTCTGAGTCTCTGCCTTTCCTTGGGTCTGTTTCCCCTTAAAAGTGGTTGGGTCTATTTCCCACTTAAACCTTGGGTCTGTTTCCCACTTAAACCTTGGGTCTGTTTCCCACTTAAACCTTGGGTCTATTTCCCACTTAAACAGACCCCTTGGGTCTGTTTCCCACTTAAAAGTGGTTGCTTTTGAGTGACTTAGTCTTCAATGCCTAGCTCCCAAGAAGGGAAGAAAAATAAAACAAAGGGTATGGTGGGAAGGGCGCTAGCCCTTTAAATGCCCTGGATGTCACTTTGGCCAAAGGAGAGGGGCATACAATAATGTGGTGAGGGCCTGGGAGTGCCACAATGGCCACTACCTCTGTCTCTCTGCATCTCTGTGATCAGGAGCAGCAATCAGAGCACCAATCTTAGATATATGGAGGACATGATCTTTTTGTCCACTCTGGAATCCACTAGTTGTGTGCTCCAGGAACATGTGCACAGCTGCCTGCCACAGGGCTGGGGGCTGGGGCTGTGTAGCTGGTACTAAGGGTAGCTAAGAGCTAGAATTGACTGTAGTTAACTGCAATTGAATGCCCTAACATTTTCCATGAAGTTACCGTCTTAAATAGACTCTAGAGTTCCAAAATAGCTACGTCAGAGAGATTCCACCAGTGCAATTGTCATCTTGGTGGAGAGACAGATTTGCTTTCTATTCTGCTATCTTCCCAGAATGTTTGCTAAGAGTTTTTAATTCATGAGCTATTGAATTTTATCAAATGCCTTTTTTTTTGCATCTATTGATAGTCTTGACTTTTTCTTTTATCCATTATGTGGTAAACTACCTTCAACAATTTTAAACCAACATTGCATTTTTGAGATAAACCTTACTTTGCCATGCCATCAGTTTTTAATTACTACATTCAAATTCCTAAAATTTGTGTAGGATTTCAGATTTATAGTTTTGAGTGATCCTGCATTAGAAGTCATTTAGGTTTGGTCATTAGGTTTGTGTAGGATTTCAAATTTATATTTTTAAGTGATCTTGCATTAGAAGTCATTAGGTTTGAGTGATCTTGCATTAGGAGTCATTTAGGTTTGTTTTACCATCCTTGTAACTCAAGTGCTTACATGCTCTGGAGAAGTTGTGCAATTGCAGAGAACTTTTGTTCAATATGTCACCTGACTGGAAATTGCCTGTAAAGCCATCTGGGCCTGGTGCTTTTTATTTGAAAAGATTTTAACTTTTAATTCAATTTAATTTTAATTGTTATGAGAAAATTTGAGCCATCATTCTTAAGTAAGCTTTTCAAATGGACTGTAACATACATATGGAAAAATGTCCAGTTCATTAGTTACAACTTCAGGAATTTTTACAGTGAACACACTTATATGACCATCATCCAGATCAGTCCCATTGTAGCCCCTCCTGTCCCCACCTATGTGTGGGTGTTTTATCAAATGCTTGTCTGCACTTATTGAAATGGCCATAGGTTTTCTCCTTTATTATGTTAATGTGGTGAAATACAAATGATAGGTCAAGCTTGCATTTCTGGAATAAGCCCAACTTGAACATTCTATTACCATTCAAATATACTGTTGAATTTGATTTGCTAATATTTTCTTTAAGATATTTGCATTTATGTTCATGAGAAAGAATGACATCTAATGTTCCATTCTCAAAGTGTCCTTTTCAGGTTTGGGAAGTAACGTTATCATGGCCTCATAAAACAAGTTGCTGCATCTGTGTGTTTGTTGCTTTCAATTGCAAGGAATTGAGCATCCAGACTTAACAGAAAAAGTCACAGAATTATTTCACATTACAAGTAGAGAGGGAGCTGGTGCCAGGGCTGAATCAGTGGCTCATTGCTGTCATCCAGGGCCCAGGGTCTGTCCATCTTTTCTGTCTGCCACCCTGGGTCTGTTGGACTTTTGTCTTTGGGCTTGCTGCATCGTGTTCACAAGACAGCTGCCTCAGCTCCAGGTTCTGTTTTCCCACACTATCTCCCCCATGTATAATGTTCAGAGACAAGATCACAGGCAAGCAGCAAATCGATTGCCTGAGAAGAGAGGGGGTGAAAAGGGAGGGAGTGAGAGAGAGAGAAAGAGATGCATCTTGGCTTCTCCTTTCTTTTTATCATAGAGGAAAAATGTCTTCCTCAAAGTCCGCAGAAGATTTCTCCTAATGTCTCATTGGCCAGTACTGGGTTGTATGTCCACATATGAACAAGTCACTTCAAAAGGAATTAGTCTTCTTAGACTGGCTTGGCCCAATTTATGATGCACCCTCACCCCCTTGGAGTTAGGCTGTAGTTGTGTGAACACCAGTGAGGTTTGCTGGCCAGAAAAAGGAGAAATGCCTGTCAGCTAACTTTATTTGCCACACTAGTGTCTTAGAAATGTAGTAGGCTGGTAACTGTCTGTAGGGAGCACTGGTCCATGTTTCAAGACCTGATTTATGCAGTGAACTGGGCTCCTAAAAATTCCTCAGTTTTCCAGGAGTGAAGGTAGATGATGCTATTTAATTATGTTAGTAATATAGAAGTTAGACCTATCATGTATAAATACAAATGACCAAGGACTGTGCCCCTAAGCTGAAGCAGGCTGAAAAACAAGATGTCCCATACCTCTTAACCATGAGACTTGGAATGAGTTTACAGTTGCTGTTAAAACTTGAAAAAGGGTAGCTTTATTTTTCACACATTTGTGAACAAGGCTTGGCTGGGAAGTTGGAGACCACAAGTTGGCACATTCCCATGAAGGCTGCCAACAGAGAGTCCAATCACACACCAGTCTCATGCACGGAGCTGACAACCACATCCCTTAAAGAAAGGCCCTGTGCCATTTCCAGAGCTTTTCTTTTTTCTCGTCATGGTGTTGGCTTTTAATGGAAACCAAGAAACTTGATGCACCGAGCCCAAGAAACAGAAACAGAAGCAGAAGCAGAAAGCTTCAGTGGAAAACAGCTATCCAGTTAAAGGTAATTTCAGGAACCTTGGCTCTGTTCCAGGAAGGGTGGCAAGAAGACAGCAGAGTGCTTTGCCTGGGACCCAGACAACCTGTGTTTAACTTACAGCATCATCACATACAACTGAGATGATCTCGGGCACCCCTGCACCCCAGCCTCCTCAGCAGGGTGGGAGAGTGATGCCCACACTGCTCACCTTGCAAGAAGAAATGACCATCGAGCCAACCAGTTCTTGCTGTGTAACCAAGGGTGCTGAGGCCCAGCGGCTGGGCCAGCTGGCTGGGAGTTGCTGATGGAGGCCAGGGGCTGTGCTCCCTCTGTTTCCAGTGCTCCAGCAGGCAGGCCTGGGAGTGTGCACGTGGTCCTGGGAGAAGCACGACAAGGCAAGTGGAAGAACACAAGGCCTCCAGGGCTTTTCTTGGGGTCGGGGCACCATTACTTCTGCCCTTTTCTATCCTATTGGCCAAACCCAGAGGCCAGGGGCAGGGAAATGTCCCCTGCCTCTTAAGTGGGGCAACCACAAAGTGCATGGCAAGGTTCTGGATGTGTAATCTTGCTACTCAGAGTAAGGTGGTGCAGTGGATTGAATTAGTGTTCCGATGACCATAGTGCCAGTCAGTGGACCCTGTGAATAGTCTCGTGACTTGTATGCAGTTGAGAATAATGTCGGCAGATGTTGCTGAGCTTTAGCTCTGATCCAGGTGCTCCGTACCCCAGGCCCTCTGTGCTGCCTCCTTCTCACTTTATTTGGAGTTGTTTGAGCCCAGTGGCCATTGCTGAGGAATCAGGGTGTGGGGCTCAGGGAAGGAGGTGGCTTTGTCTAGGCACTTGGCTTTGCTGCTTCCACTCTGTGTGGCTTAGGGATTCTCAGTCTCACGAAGGCTCAGTTTTCTCAGGCATGGCCAGAGGCAGCTGTGTCTGGCATGGAGAACCAGTCCAGTTAATGGTTCTCATTGCTGCAGTTTTGTGAGGCCTGTCCTGGTAGCTCCAGGGCCCACTGTGGACAAGAGTCCTGCACGTGGTAATGACAATTTGTCATATCAGACTCTAGTTGGTGAGGTCTAGGCCAGTCTGTCTTGTCCAGCACTGCATAGGGCTATCAGAGTAATCCCCAATTTCTGCTTCCCTCCAGCAACTCTCCTGATGAAGAGCCCACAATGGATCCTAGCCTATTCTCTCCAGTCTGAATTTCTCACTCGATTTGACATCTGTGCATATGCAGTGCTGCTAATGTCCAGAAGAGAATGTGCATATAAAGAAATGAGGTGTTCTTCCTCTTTAAATAATCAATAAGTCATATGTAATGCCTCCAGGAGATTGATAACAACATAATGAAGCCAATAGTTTGCACGTGTTCTTTCAATTATAATGCTAACCACTTTTATGAGGTCTAACATGAAATAGAGCTGGTGAGGAGCAGGGTAGAGAACTTAAGACCAGCCACCTTTCCTAGTGTGTCCCATGTGCGGGCTTCGCAGCTCCCGGCAGGTCCATGGCAGTCCTTGGGTCCCCAGGTCATTGCTGTGCAAACAAGTCTCCGGCCTGGTGCTCAGCTAAGTTCTTGTAAATAGGCCTGTGAATAGTGCTGCAATAAACATACGTGTGCATATGTCTTTATAGCAGCATGATTTATAATCCTTTGGGTATATACCCAGTAATGGGATTGCTAGGTCAAATGGTATTTCTAGTTCAAGATCCCTGAGGAATCGCCACACTGACTTCCACAATGGTTGAACTAGTTTACAGCCCCACCAACAGTGTAAAAGTGTTCCTATTTCTCCACATCCTCTCCAGCACCTGTTGTTTCCTGACTTTTTAATGATCAATGAGAACACATGGACACAGGAAGGGGAACATCACAGGCTGGGACCTGTTGTGGGGTGGGAGGAGTGGGGAGGGATAGCATTAGGAGATATACCTAATGTTAAATGACGAGTTAATGGGTACAGCACACCAACATGGCACATGTATACATATGTAACTAACCTGCACATTGTGACATGTACCCTAAAACTTAAAGTATAATAAAAAAAATGGGGCTGTGGCCAGGAAAGGTGGAAACTATCCGTTTTTTTTTTTTTTTTTTTTTTAATCTGGCACAGAAGAATTGAAATTTTGAAGTTTCTGGTGTGCCTTGTGACTTACAGGCAGATGCTAATGACCACAAAATACTAACTGTCCCAGCACCAAAGGCCAAGGGCACAAGCCTTCCCCAGTGCCTTGTGCCAGGTGGTGGCCACTACTAAGATTTTTTCTCTTTTTAAATAGTTTTATTGAGATATAGTTCATATATTATACAATTCACTCAAAGTATACATTCAATGGCTTTTGGTGTATTATTAATTTAAAAATTTGGTAAAATACACATAACATAAAATTTGCCATTTTAACCATTTTTAAGTATATAATTCAGTGGCATTAATTACATTCACAGTGTTGTGGTTACTGCTATTCATTTCCAAAACTCTTTCATCACTCCAAATAGAAACTCTGTAACCATTAACCAGTAAGTGCCCACACTTCCTCCCTCCAGCCACTGGTATCCACTATTCTACTTTCTGTCTCTCTGAATTTGCCTATTCTAGGTATATCATGTAAGTGTAATCATACATTATTTATCATTTTATGTCTGGCTTATTCCATTTAGCATAACGCTTTTGAGGTTTATCCACATTGTAGGATGTATTGCACCTTCATTCCTTTTTAAGGCTAAATAACATTCCATTGTGTGTGTACACCGTGCTTTGTTTATCCACTCATCTGTCGATGGGCACTTGAGTTGTTTTCATCTTTTGGCTATTGTGAATAATGCTGCTATGAACATAGGTATACAAATATCTCTTCAAAACCTTGCTTTCAATTATTTTGACTGTATATCCAGATATGAAATTGCTGGGCCGTAAGGTAATTCTATGTTTAGGTTTTTGAGGAGCCACCATACTATTTTTCCCAGCAGCTGCACCATTTTATATTCCCACCAGCAATGCACAAGCGTTCCAATTTCCCCACGTTCTCACTGATATTTGTTATTCTCTCTCTTTCTCTGTATTTTGACCATCCTAATTGGTGTGAGGTAGTATCTCATTGTGGTTTTGATTTGCATTTCCCTAATGATCTGTCATGTTGAGCATCTTTTCATGCACTTATTTAAAAAATTTTAAAAATTTTTAGTAGAGATGGGGGTCTCACTATATTGCCCAAGCTGGTCTCGAACTCCTGGCCTCAAGTGATCTGCCCACCTTGACTTCCCACAATGACAGGATTACAAGCATGAGCCACCACACCTGGCCTCATGCAATTAGTGGCCATGTTTATGTCTTCTTTGAAGAAATGTCTATTAAGTCCTTTGCCCATTTAAAAATGGGATTGTTTGTTTTATTGTTATTGAGTCTCAGGAGTTCTTTATAAATTCTGGATATTAATCCCCTACCAGATAAGTGATTTGCAAATATTTTCTCCCATTCCATGGGTTGCCCTTTTACTTTGTCGATAGTACCTTTGTTGCACAAAAGGTTTTAATTCTCATGAAGTCCAAGTTGTGCATTTTCCTTTTGTTGCTTGCACTTTTGTTGTCATATCCAAGAAATCATTGCTGAGTCCAATGTCATGAACCTTTACCTGTTTTCCTCTATGAGCTATATAGTTTTCCCTCTTATGTTTAGGTCTTTGACCCACTTTGAGTTAATTTTTTGTACGTGGTGTGAGGTAGGGCACAACTTCATTATTTTACATGTGACTACCATGTCAGGTTGTGGTTACTGTTAACTTTTACAACTAGGAATGAGAAGACTCAGGAAGTCATATGATTTGGGGCTTATTGAATCTTTGTGAAGCTTTTCTATTCAATCCAGGCTTGGCCGGGTAACTTTTGACTCCAGTTATGTGGGAGACATGTCATAAATGTTTCTAAGTTTTGGTCACTCACATGTTTTTGGTCTTAATTCACATTGTCCCTGGATTCTAAGGGGCATGGCTTTGGGAGAGGGATGAAGTCCTGTATACCAACAGACTTGTCTTTAAAAATGTGCTGTTGGTGGGGTGTGGTTGCTTATACCTGTAATCCCAATACTTTGGGAGGCTGAGGTGGGAGGATCACTTGAGACCAGGATTTCGAGAGCAGCCTGGGCAACAAAGTGAGATTCTGTCTCTACAAAAATTAGAAAAAAAATTAGCCAGGGATAGTGGCATGCACCTGTAGTCCCAGCTACTCAGGAGGCTGAGGTAGGAGGATCATTTGAGCCTGGGAGGTTGAGGCTGCAGTGAGTCAAGATCACGCCACTACACTCTAGCCTGGGTAACAGAGCAAGACCCTGTCTCAAAAAACAAACAACAAAACAACCAAACAAATGTGTTGTTGATATTTGGACACAGAACAGAACAGCAGCAGCCAGGGGCTGGGGTGGGTGTGAGGCTGACCACAGAGGGACGGCATAAGGATTGTTTTGCGGTAATGAGACCATTATGAATCTTGATTGTGGTGGTGGTTGTGTGACTGCATACAGTTGTCAAAACCCTTAGAACTGTAACCCCAAACAATGACTTTTACTGTGTATACATTTAAGAAATAACTAAAGCATGAACAGTGTGCTGTTGCCAGGCAGTACTGAGCAGGGTAAGTGCTCCCTCTCAGGGCAGACCCCTGGGTTCGAGTCCCGGCCCCTTTACTTAGCTGTGTGCCTTGGTTCCCATTTCTGTAAAAGGAGGGTGATGATCCCTACTGCATAGAGTTGGAATGAGGATTAAATGGATCCAGCTCTGAATCAGGCTGGGGTGTATAAATTGCCACCTGAGGCATTTCTCCTCACTGGGATCTCCAGGCCCCAGGTGTGTGTGTCTGTGGGGATAGAGGAGGAAGAGCTGAGGACGTGGGAAGCTTATGTTCCTGCAGGGTGCTCTGTCATCCGTTGACTTTATTTGCTTGCATCATACCGTGAGTGCTGGGACCCCTTACGGGTGGGGTGCTCTTTGTCTCCCACAGCATCAGTCGTGTTCTGGGCACATGCCAGGCACGCCCTGGACACAGGGCAGCTGAAGGTTGGGCTGGGCTGGCTGGTCCCTCCTGGGCAGGCGAAGCAGGAGGCCTGAGCTCTGAGGTCCTGGCTGGGTTGGGCTCTTTCTGGCATAACCCATTTTGCTGGTCAGCAGTCACAGGGAGGGAGAGCCAGGTGAGGGAGAGTCCTCGCCTGGACTTGGGAAGGTCTCACTTTGCTTTTGGTTGCCCCAGGTCCAGGAGCTGCTCTGAGCAGGAAGGAACATGCTGTCTGTTGGGACCTGATGGGACAGGCCAGTCTCCTTGACTTTCCTGCTTAAGGGGCAGGAGGTGGGTCCCCCTTCCTTGGTGTGTCCTGCTGCTCTTTCCCAACGATGCTTCCCAAATGTCCCCTCCCTGTGGTTGAGCCCAGGCCTCTCTGGGTCCTTCCAGGAAGACTTGCCCACCTGCCTGTATTTTGGGATGCAGCTCCCGCCCTGTTTCATCACCAACACGTTTCCATCTGCTTCTGCCTTCCAGAAATTGATTGTAATCTCGTGCTGGCTTGCTGACCACCTGCTTCCAGTTCTTTTTGTGGCAAGAGGTTCATTCCCTGTAGAATTCATTTGCTGGCCTGGGAGGGAAGAGAGGCAAGTACATGCTGAGCCACAGACAGGAGTGCCCTCCTCTTAGAAAGCAGCCACGCGTCAGGGAGCCAGTCAGTCATTTACATTCCAGCACAAATGATGCCAGTGGCCTGTCCCTGAAAAGGCATCTGAAGCACAGGTTGCTGGAGAAGGCCTGCCACGTCTGAATGGGAGGCCTCCACCTGTGTCTGGGGGCTTCCAGGAGGCTGACGGTATTGAGGCCCAGCGTGAGCAGGAAGAAGGAAGAACAGGGGGTGCAGGGGTGGCACCAGATGCAAGAGCAGTGGATGAGACCCCACACTGATCTTGAATTGGAGACCCAGGCTTGCTTTGTTCTCTGTGGGGCCTTCGGGGTGGGGCTGCAGCGGGGAGTCTAGAGGGTGCTCTGGGGGCCTTGTGCCCAGATAGCAGGACATTCTCCTTTCTCCCTGCCAGGCCCCAAACGTATACATAAACCAATTTTATCAGGTAGAAAGCAAGAGGTTTAGAACTCTAACAGGCGGATATCGGACAGAAAGCTTTCACCCGAGCCCTTCATTTGAGAACACAAAAGGAAACAGTTCTCGTGCCGCATTCTCACAGTCAGGTGTAGGGTCCTTCTCAAAGGCCTGGGCAGACATTCGGGAACCCCCACTCATGAAGGCTTCGATGCTATCTTGCTCTTCCCCATGGCATCCTGGGCAGGAGTGAGGACAAAGTCTCTGAGTGGCCATGTGAACCCCTGTCTGGGCAGTCCTTGGCTCAGGAATTGGGGGTGTGTAACTGTTCTCCACCCTCTGCCCTCCCTTGTGTAATCCCTCCTGGGGTGAGGGCACATGGTGTGGGGTGAAGATTTGAGTGGTGGGAGCTGACCCAGGGTGCGGCATGGGACAGGGCCCCAGACAGACGTTAGGGTCCAAGGTGGTGCCAGACACAGTGGTCATGAGGAGGCCGTGGCTTTGTGTGTGTTTTTGGCTTCCTTTGGAAAGGAAATGATTGGTGGTGGTGGCCTCCTACAGCAATGTTTCCTTTCTCATTTGGAGCCCTAAGCAGTTGGGCATCCTCTCCTCCAACAGAGACCTTCTGATGGAGCTAGCGTGCTGAAGTCATTGGGCAGAGGGCGAGGTGGCCTCAGTACCCCTGTGGTCGGGGATGTGCTCCCTTGGACGAGGCCTTCCTGCCATGACCAGACAGGGGCAGGGGTGTCAGGAGGAAGTAGGATCAGGACACCCAGCGATGACAGCGGCCCCGGCAGTCCCTGTCTCCCTGCGTGCTTCCTTCCTGTTCAGCTGCTCCGTCCTGTGCTGCCTCCCTCCAGAGGACACCAGAGAAGACGCGGCAGTCTGACCCCACGAGAAGCACCCCCACGGAGGCTGGCCTCCTTCCCCGCAGCCTGCGGGGTTCACGTGCCCGGCCGGTGGAGCTGTCTGGTCCCTGAGTCTGGGGGCCGAGGCTCTCCCTGCAACCCCAGTGATCAGGTCACCATCTCTGTGTGTCTGCTTTGCCTCACTCAAGGGTGACCCACCCAGCACACTCCAGTGAGCGCTGTTTTTGTTTCATCTGTCGTGTGTCAGTCAGTGGGGGCAGCGAGGACAGCCGCTCCACTCCCTGGACACGGCCCTCGCCCACAAGCACTGTCCTTGTGTTGCACAGGCGTTGCACAGAAGCAGCAGCGCCTCCAGCCTGGGTGGTTTTACACACAGTCCCCAGCACGGGAGCTGGGGTGCTTGGCCTCCCTTGGAAGCTGCTGCCGTTACCCCACTTCGAGGGAGGAAGCCTGTGTGCTGAACACAGGCTCTGCTGAGGCTTGTCCCCATGCACCACCTCCCCTGCCACCTCCCAGCAGGTTCAGACCCCGGGGACCTGCACCACCTGGGCAGCCCGACCTCGGTGCCTGAGCGCCCTGGCCCCCAGCCAGCTGCTCACCAGCTCTAAAGAGTGAGAAGCAGGAGAGGAAATGAAGTCGGGAACCCCCATCCCTCCTCACAGGGTGCAGGGGCCAAGCTGGAGGGCAGCCAGGCGGCAGCAGAAGCCTCTCCTCCTCCTGGTCCCCATGGTGGGGGCTGGTTGCCACCCTCCCCCTTCCCCTGGGGATGCTGCTGGTAGTCACTATGGGGATAAAGCGATTATGTTTCCAGACCATAGGGAGCCAACTCCACCTGCAGGCCTGAGGGCCCTAGCCCCACTGCCGCCTGGGCATGTCAGGGAGAGGGATCACAGCTTTGCTTCCCACTGAGTGTCCTGGCCCCAGACAGCCCATGCCTAATGTGGGGCCACCTCCCTTTCCTTCTAACATGAGCTGCCTCTCCTGACCTCAGATGGCCTTGATGCCTGACTGCTGTGTCCTGCTGGAGGAATGAGGGCTGTAGGTGAGTGACCGGGTGACGAATGTGTTGGTGGTCTCCAGGGCCACTGTGGGAGTGCATGTGTGTGTGTTTCAGGGTAGAGTGGGCTTACCTGGGGCTCAGCCTGGTTCTGCTCTCTCTTCTCTAAGTATCAAAGAGAGCCCCTAGTTGCAGGGGCTGATGGAGAGCCCCACTCTGCTCCCCTGCTGCATCATGAGAGGAACCCTGACGCTGCTGTGTGCCAAGGCTCCTAGTGAAAGGCCTCCCGTTTATCTCATTGATTCCAGTGCAGCAGATAAAACCCCAGCCCAGAATGGCCCGCCTTGCTTAGGGCTGCACTTGCTCCCCTGAGAAATATCTCAGAGCCTCGCTGTGCCTCCCCCATCCCACCTCCCAGCTCCTCTCCTGTCCCTCCCTTCTTCTCCTTCTGCGCACAGCAGGAGGCTCTGGAAGGAGGACTTGGCAAGGAAAGGCAATGAGTGGGAGTTAGGAGCCACTGACACCCTCTGGTCTTCCCACCCTCGCTGCACATCCAGCCACACTCCCTTCCCTCTGGCGTCTCCTCATGGATACTTGGGTCTTGAGGGGCAGCTGGGGAGCCCGGGCTCCAGGAGGGGCAGGGAGGAAGGTGGAAGCAGGAGGAACTGGCCTGGGGCATGCCCGTGGCTGCAGGATGTGCAGGCTTAGCCGGCAGATTCTCAAAGCACCCTGTGCCTGGGGCAGGAGCAGGGGCTCCCTCCAGCAGAAGGGTGGTACCTCGAGGGGATTTTTGATGTTGTCTGATGGGGTCAGAGGGCATAAGATCCTGGGCTGAGTACAGCCTGATGCCAACAGTGCGCCTCCATGTGGGGTCCTGAGGGCGTCACCCACACAGGTTGGGCAGAGGCCAGTCCAAGCATGGCTTGCTTGATGCTGACAATCTGCTGCTAAAATGAGACTTCCTGTCTGACAGCACAAACCGGGAGCCTGCTCCCATTACTTTAAATGGGAAAAATGATAATGCATTGCTTGTTGCCCTAAACCCTCCATGCAAGTCCCCAAAATGTATCTAAAACACGATAAAGTGCTTATTTATAATTAAGATCCCTGAACAAGTCCCCCAAACATAACAGAAACATGAGATCGTGCCTCCTGGTGAGGGAGAATCTGTGGGGCTGTGATGACCCATGCTCAGCCTGTCCCTGCATGGTCAGCGGTGCATGACTTCAGCACAGCTGTGCAAGGACCACAAGGGGTGACTGCACTGCCCTTGGACCAGCCCTGTTCAGGGCAATCGCCACCGCAGCTGCAGTACTGTCACTGTGTGAAGGCTGACCCTACAGCAGGGGGCCCAGGGTGGCCATTTTGTTGTGCTCATAGTTTCTGTGAGTCTGGGCTGGGGAGGATACAGGGGCCAGCTGGACTTTGCTCCACAGTGTTGGGGCCTCAGCTGGGAAAGCCCAAGTCTGGCAGCGGGGGGCCGTGTCATCCCCCAGCGCCCTCTCAGGGGCTCTGCGTGTGGCAGCTCATCACAGCGGGACTTCTGACATGGCCAGGGCTCCAGGAGTGAGGGCTGCAGAGAACAGGTGGAGCTGCCTTGCCTTAGGACGTGTCTCAAAGTCACATCACGTCACCTCTGTCTGTTGGTCGGTAGGTCCAGGGAGGAGGGCCTTCTCAGTGGAGCAGTGTTAGGGCTGCATTGGAGAACAGCTTGTGGAGTAGAGAAGTCATGTAGTTGTAAACATCACATGTGATTCACACATTCTACTAATTGTACTTGGAAAGTGGCTTGAGACTTTTTTTGCCATCATTTTGTTAAAACTTGTGTACTGAAATTTTTGGAACGTAAAAATGAAATGTTCCCCTGTAAATCCGCTGAGGCCTGCTAGGAGAGCTACGATATAAAAGATGGATGGTAACAAGTGTTGCTGAGGATGTGGGTCAGTCAGGGCCCTTGGCCACTGCTGCTGGGAATGAGAGTGGTGCAGCCACTTTGGAAAAGAGTTTGGCAGTTCCCCAAGAAGTTAAGCCCATCCAGCAGTCCACTCCTACATATACATCTAAGAGAATTGAAAATGTGCATTTGCACAAAACCTTGTACATGAACGTTCATAGCAGCATTGTTCATAATATCTAAGAGGTGGGGACAGCTCAGACTCAGATGTTCATCTGATGAATAGGTCAACAGCATGTGGAATAGCCATAGGAGGAAATATCCAGCCATAAAATGGAACAAAGTACTAACTTATGCACCAGCATGAATAATTCTTGATGCTAAGAGAAATAAGCCTGACGCAAAAGGCTGCGTATTGTAGAATTCCTCTGATATGCAAATCCATGGATACAGACAGTGGATTGCTGGTCACCAGGGCTGGGGACAGAGAGGTGGAGAGTGACTGCTAATGAGGATGGGATTTCTTTGATGAAAGTGTTCTCGAATTAGATAGTTGTACAACCTTGTAAATATACTAAGAAGACCCACTGAATTTTATATTTTGAAAGGGTGAATTCCATAGTATGTGAATTATGTCTTAATAAAAATTGTTTCAGAAAAAAAGTACAGACATAAATTGCTCAATGACAGATACGTTCTGAGAAATGTGTCCTTATGTGATTTTGTTATCGTATGAACATGGAAGTGTACTTACACAAACCCGGATGGCAGACCCTACTGCACACCTAGGCTGTATGGTATGGCCTATTGTTCCCACGCTGCAAATCTGTACAACATGTCCCTGTACTGACTACTGTGGGTAACTATAACATAATGGTCAGTATTTGTGTATCTATACATATCTGAACATAGAAAAGGTATAGTAGAAATATGATATTATAATCTATGGGGCCACCATCCTATATGTGGTCTGTTGTTGAACAAAAGGTCGTCATGCAGAGCATGATTGCATTTAAAAATCAGCTGAGAGATATGTCCTTTCTGTGAACTCTGAGTATTAAATGTCAAGTGCCTTTCTACTGGGAGAGGTTCTTCAGGGCATGGCTGTGATAAAGGGATGCAGGCACCCCCACTGTTTCCTCATGCAGGGCCACTGGAGGAGGATGGGTTGGAAATGTAGCTGACACTGGAGGGCCGAAGCAGGTATCTACCTCAAACCCAATGTGAATCTCAGGACAGGTTTGCTCAGCTTGGTGGGTGGGTTGGGAGAAGATGCGATGACCAAGAAGCAGAAGTGGAGCCTTAGAGTCAGGCGAGGATGGTGAATTTGAAGGCATGGGAGTCCTGCCCACTAGTAACATGGGCCTCATGAATGCCTGGCCCTGGCCAATCCCATCAGCACTTCCTCCTCTGTGTGGGTGATTGGGGTGTGTGGGCACGAGGAGAATAGGGGTTTAGCAGCAGTGAGACTCAGGCATTTTCAGGCTGGTAGGAACCAAGCCGCTCTGAGACTCAGTCTGGCCACAGCCACCATCCCTTTGGGAGGAGAGGGTGGGCAAGACCTGATGGGCCGTCAGGGAGTGGCCTGAAATTTAGGTCAGAGGTTCTGCCCAAAGGGGAATGGGATTCTGCTGGAGGACCAGGATGCAGCCACAGTTGGGGAGCAGGGGAAGGTGGGAGGGAGCAGGGATGCTCCAAGTTTAGGGGCACATTCTGCTGGAGTCGGTCACTTTGAGGTCACTGGTGAGCAAGCCTCCTGGTATCTATGCTTCGGGGTCCCCCGTCATGTGACTCACTGTAACCAATGAAGCAGGAGGGAGTGACAGGGAACTGTGCCAGTTCCAGGCCTAAGCTCGAGGAGGCCTAAGCTTTTGCTTTTGCACTGGGGGAGCCTGAGCTGCCGCAAAATGTGCTGAGCCCCGAGACTTGTGGAGAGAGTGAGGTGCAGCTGCCCCAGCCTCCCAGCTGAGCCCGGCCCCACTGACCCTTCAGCTCCACGCAGCATGTGCCTGACCGCTGGCTAGGCCAGCAGGAGATGTCCCCAGCTGAGCCCAGCCCTGCTTGCAGAATCCTAGCAAACAAAGTGACCGTTAATTTAAGTGGCTGAGTTTTGGGGTAGCTGAAACTCCCACTCCAGGTCTATCCTCTAACTCCTGCCTGGTGGGCAGAGGTAGCTGATCCACCTCCTGCTCTGGACAGACCTGGCTCTGGCACTGGGAGGACTTGATGACGCAGGGAGAGACTCCATGAATGACACTGGCGTGGGCAGGCTGGCAAATAGGGTACCAGCAGGAGCGGCCTGAGTTGGGTGGTGTCTCTGTGTCCATGGGTTCTGGGGCAGACACTCCCAGGCAGTGCTAATCTGCCCATGGCCCAGGGGACACCTTGGAGCTCAGCTGACTGTTTTTTGCAGACTATGGCTCAATCTACAGTGTTGTCCAAAGCATCCTTCACAGGCTACCAGACATAAAGCATGTCTAGGTCATCCTGTTCTTCACCGAGTAGGCGTCAAGCTCAGCATCTGACATAAGTGGGCTCAAAACTAGCTACATGGAGGAGTGTGTGAGAGGGGAGTCTTCCCCTGGGGCTTCCATGGTGGATCCCTTATAGCCCTCATCAGACCCTGAGCTATTCTCTGTAGCCAGACTGAAGGCGTTGGGAGGCCAGGGATGGATCTCTAAGGGGTGCCGGGCGCACAGGAAGTGCCCAGCAATGCTTGTGGTAGGAAGAAGTGTGGGAGACGGACAGCCTCAAACTCTTCTGGATGCTTTTACTGCAGGCAGGTGTGGCGTGCGCATGCACAGGACAGAGCTGATAAAGAATGACATTTGTCTCCTCCTGGGAGGCACAGAGAGTCCGATGTCTGTTATGTGTCAATAATTCTGCGTTATTCAAAATTTAGCTATTGTGACCAAAACACATTTATAAACTCACCTGTCAGTATCTCTTTCCATCTTCTCATCCCTTGAGGGTCAGAGGACCCTCAAGATGGATCAGCAGTGACCTGGTGTGTGTGAAGAGGGGTCCCGGGGGTGTGGAGCCTGCAGGGCATTGCAGAGCTGGCAGTGCCTCTGCGTCGTTGCTCCATGGACTCTGTCTGCCCCCAGCTCCGCTCCTCCCATGTCACCATCCTCAGCCTGCCCCACACACTTCCACTCTGAAACTCTGTGAGATGTGAAGGTCTATCTGTGTGTTTTCAATGAATGCAAGTGCACTATCCATCTCCTATTTCTTACCTCTGCTCTCAGCCTGATGCTTTTCAGATTCACACGGTCCTTCCTGGGCCTCTGGCATTGCTTTGTGCAGCTGTTAGTGTTTTTTTTTTTTTTTTTTTTGAGATGGAGTCTCAATCTGTAGCCCAAGCTGGAGTGCAGTGGCGCAATCTCGGCTCACTGCAACCTTCGCCTCTGGGGCTCAAGCGATTCTCTTGCCTCAGCCTCCCAAGTAGCTGGGACTACAGGGGCACACCACCACACCTGGTTAATTTTTTTCTATTTTTAGTAGAGACGGGGTTTCACCATGTTGCCTTGAGTGGTCTTGAACTCCTGAGCCCAGGTGATTCACCTGCCCTGGCCTCCCAAAGTGCTGGGATTACAGGCATAAGCCACTGTGCCCAGTCAGCTGTTAGTCTTTTTATGTGCCTTTGACATTCAGTTACTCCCTCCTTCTGATGGTGGCATGTGGGTTGTCTTGAATGCTATCACGACACCTGAAGAACATTCCTGTGTGTTTCCTCAGGACACCTGGGAGGAGGATCAATGGGTCATCATCACCTTTTTTTCCCCAGATTTATCACTAAGTATTTTGTAGTTTTTGATGTTTGTTATAGGTCATATTTTCCTATTTCTTTATGCGCTTGGTAATTTTTGATTGGCTGTCATAGATTGTGAATTTTACCTTGTTGGGTGCTGGGCACTTTTGTATTTCTAAAATATTTTTGAGCTTTGTTCTGGGATGCAATGAAGTTATTTGGAAACAGTTGGATCCATTTTGGTCTGACTTTTAAACATTATTAGTGGAACAAGCAAGAAAGGCCTTTAGTTGAGGGCTGATGTTCCCACAAATGGGGCCAGATTCTTCGAGGACTCTTCTCAGTGCCTGGTGTGGCTGGTGGGAGCTGTCACCACTTCTGGCCCTGAGTGGGAGTGACTACAACTCCCTTTCTTCCTTTCCAGGGTTCTTTCCTGTGTCAGGAGGCTTCCTTGCAGCATGTGCTGATCAGTTCCCATCTGATCCACCAGCTGTACAGAGAGGTACAGGAGGCAAGGCACTGAGACTATCTGTCTACAGCTCTGTGAGTGAGCCACCATGGATGTGGGTTCTCCTGCTCAGTCACGCCTCCATGACCACAGTCCCAGCTGCACCTTGACCACCAGCCTGTGAGAGACCCTGAGTCAGAAACTCCACACCCAACTGAGCCACTCCCAATCCCTGCCCTCAGATGTTGTGTGAGATAATACATGCTTGGAGTGCTAAGCCACTAGGTTTGGGTAATCTGTTTTGTAGCAGGAGATAACCAGCACTTATGCTAATGTGTGCCCACCTGTACACCTATGCACACATGCTCCCTCCATCCACACTTTCCACTCCCTTCTATCCCCATGTTCCTGACCAACCCCTTTCGAGGCTCAGCTTCCCTGCCAGATGCCCTTGATTCTTTTAGAGGGAGGAACTGCTCCTGTGAATGACCCTAGAGCCTTCTCTGTGCCTACACTTTAAGGACACCTGTATTCTACCTTGTTATCACCTTTCCTGTGTGATTTTTGTCTCTCTTCCCACTCTGTGTTTCCTGAGGGCAGGAGCTGAGCCAGAGACATGAACATCTGTGGCTCCATATCTGGTTGTCCCACTGTGGAGATGTCACATGCCCTCACACACCACAGCAAAACTGTCTCCCACACCTGGCCCTGCAGAGCTCATGTGACATGACACATGCATCCATACCTGGGTTTCCCATATTATGGGTCAGGGAAACAATTTCTCACACCTGCAGGGCTGGCTCTACTCACACACCTGAGACTTGGGCCAGGAGGAGCCTTTCAGGATATGGGACTGCTATGGTTTGAATATGTTCCCCAAACTTCAGGTGTTGGAAACTTAGTCCCCAAATCCATATGTTGATTGGAGGTAGGGCCTTTGGGAGGTGATTGGGGTTACAAAAGGTCATCCCAGTGGGGCCCCCATGATGGGACCAGTGGCTTTATAAGAAGAGGAAGACCTCATCTGGCACATTCTTGTCCTGTCTCCATGTGATGCCCTCTTCCATGGGAAGCTGTAGCAGGGAGATCCCCACAAGATGCCAGTGCCATGCTCTTGGACTTCCCAGCCTCCAGAACTATGTGCCTAAGACTGGATCATTTGTAAAGAAAAGAAGTTTAATTGACTCACATTTCCAAATGGCTGCGGAGGCCTCAGGAAACTTACAATCATGGCAGAAGGTGAAGGAGAAGCAAAGGCACATCTTACATGGTGGCAGCCAAGAGTGAATGAAGGAGGGAGCCCCTTATAAAACCATCAGATCTCTTCTCACAGTTCCACTAGGCAGTGCTCCAGTGGGGACTCCCTGTGGGGGCTCCAACCCCACATTTCCCTTCCATACTGCCCTAGCAGAGGGTCTCCATGAGGGCTCCACCCCTGCAGCAGACTTCTGCCTGGACATATAGGCATTTCCATACACCCTCTGAAACATAGGTGGAGACTCCAAATCTCAACTCTTGTCTTCTGTGCACCTGCAGGTCCAATACCATGTGGAAGTAGCCAAGGCTTGGGGCTTGCACCCTTGGAAGCCATGGCCCAATGTGTACCTTGGCCCCTTTTAGCCATGGCTGGAGCTGGAGCAGCTGGGACTTGGGGTGCCATGTCCTAAGGCTGCACAGATTAGCAGGGCCCTGGGCCTGTCCACAAACCATGTTTTCTTCCTAGGCCTCCAGGCCTGTGATGGGAGGGGCTGCTATGAAGAACTCTGAAATGCCCTGGAGACATTTTCCCCATTGTCTTGGCTATTAACATTCAAGTCCTTGTTACTTATGCAAATTTCTGCAGCCAGCTTGAATTTCTCCCCAGAAAATGATTTTCTTTTTTTTTCTACCACATGGTCAGGCTGCAAATTTTCTAAACCTTTATGTTCTGCTTCTCTTTTAACCATAAGTTCCAATTTCAAACCATCTTTGTGTGAATGCGTATGACTAAATGCTTTCAGAATCAGCCAGGTCACTTCTTGAATGCTTTGCTGCTTAGAAATGTTTTCTGCCATGTACCCTAAATCTTCTCTCTCAAGTTCAAAGTTCCACAGATCTCTAGGGTAGGGGCAAAATGCTGCCAGTCTCTTTACTAAAGCATAGAAAAAGTGACCCTTGCTCCAGTTTCCAATAAGTTTCTCATCTCCACCTGTGACCACCTCAGCCTGGATTTCATTGTCCATATCACTATCAACAGTTTGGTCAAAACAAGTCTCTAGAAAGTTCCAAATTTTCCCATATCATTCTGTATTCTTCTGAGCCCTCCAAACTATTCCAACCTCTGCCCATTATCCAGTTCTAAGATTGCTTCCACATTTTCAGGTTATCTGTATAGTAGTGCCCCACTTTTGGTAACATTTTCCTGTACTAGACCATTTTCACACTGCTATAAAGAATACCTGAGACTGGATAATTTATAAAGAAAAGAAGTTTAATTGACTCACAGCTCTGCATGGCTGGGGAAGCCTCAGAAAACTTAGTCATGGTTGAAGGCGAAGGGGAAGCAGGCACTTTCTTCACAAGATGGCGAGAGAGAGAGAGAAGTCCTGCACTTTTAAACCATCAGATCTTGTGAGAACTCACTCACTATCACCAGAACAGCAGGTCCCTCCATCAACAAGCAGGCATTACAATTTGAGATGACATTTTGTTGGGGTCACTGAGCCAAACCATATCAAGCAGTGACAGGGATGTGGGGAAATGGAATTTCTTAAACATGAGAGTTGAGGTTAGTGCAAATGCTTGCAAGAGAAATTTGGCTGAAAAGATGTATTGACTCATGTTATTTAGAAGTGTATTGCATAATATCCAAACATATGGGGATTTTCTAGTTATTTTAAAATGATTTCTAGCTTAGTTACATGGTGTATGTTCCCCATATGACTGGTCCTTTGAACTTTGTTGAGTGTTGCGAATGCTCCAAGTACTCTCGGAAGCAATGCACACTCTGCGGTTGTTGGGATTCAGGTCAAATTGGGTCATTGTGTTGTTTCTCCTAGATCTCTGCTGATTTTTTCCCTTCATGTTCTGTCAGTTATATATAGAGAGAGGTTTGAATCTACCCCTATGGTCGTGGACTTGTCTACTGCTCCTTTTGGTTCTGCAAGGTTTTGCTTAGGATGCATGTTATTTCATGCCAATAGTTTAGAACATTGCATTTCTGTTTGGTTGTCACCTTCTGTCATTCTAGAATGCCCCTTATCTGTATTACTGCTTTTTGTCTGATGTTAGCATTGCCACAATAGGTTTTTCTTATTATTTTAGTTTCAACTCTTCTGTAGCCTTATATTTCAGATGTGTCTGTTATATGTTATTCTTGCATTAATTATTTGGCTAATTTCATTCCCTAGACATTTGCTGATGACCATGCCAGATGCCCACTTGAGAGCCTGGAGAGAGTGGCGTGTAGCACCCTCTGCCTGCTGAGTAGCCTGCATGTGCCCCTGGGGTCTCTGGCTCCAGGGCCTGTGTTTATCCTGCTATGGCAAACCGCGCTGCCTTCTCTAAGGCAGCATCTCCTGGTGGGAACGGTATTATCTGCTTTGAAGTTCTGATAAGGACCGGCTAAGTGAGTGCCCACTTGTTAATCATTCAACATGATGTATGGCACACAGCAGGCTCTCGGAGGTGATGTCAGCTGTGCCTGTTGGTGTGGTCTTTGACCAGCAGTGCCAGTATCACCTGGGATGCCAGCATTTCAAGTTTATCTGCGGGGATTCTTTGTGGTTTGTGTTGAAAATACCTCCAGGCAGGATATAAGTTTGCTTCTGTCAGGTGCCTGGAGACTGCGGATCTAGGTCTACCTTAACCTGGATTTTCAGTTTGTACTTTTCCACCACAGAGGCAATGGGACTTCCAGCCCCAGCCCACAGAGGTGTTGTCTTCTCAGCAGAGAGGTCTTTCTCTTTCAAAACTCCAAGGTCTCCTTTCAGCATCAGAACTGTGTCAGTTCCCCCTGCTGTACAGCCGAGGCTCTGGCCTTGTTCCCTGACAGGTTCTGGTGTTAGACAAGCTCCTTGCCCCCACAACCCCTTCTGCCTCAGCCAGATCCCAGGGCCCACGCTGCCCTGCGGGGGCTTTGCAATTGCTTTCTCCTTGCAAATCTTCCTCCTCACCCACTTCAGACATATGGTAAGTCCAGCCTCACATTCTGGCCTTACAACTCAACAGCTGTGTGACCCTGGGCTACCCTTTAAAAATTTCTCTCAATCTTGGTTTCTATGTCTGTAAAATGGCCACATATTAGTACCCTAATGGCAGCTATTTCTTTCTTCTCTCTTTGTCTGTTCTTTCTATCCATTTTCCTTCACTTTGAGTGACTATTAAACCAAGGCCAATAGAAACCTGACCACGTATTAAATTAGATGGAAGCTTGACTTACAATATTACAATGGTTCCTTAGAAAATATTTCACCTTTAGATCTATCCTGCTGGCATCTTATTGCCTCTCTGATTTGCCAAGATAACAGACAACAAAACAAAGGGCCTTAACATAAAAATATCTCTTGATAGCTGATGTAATAAAGCTTCAACCAGAATTCAAGTAGCTCTTGCTTTTAAGTCATGAGAGATAAGTAAATAGCACTGCATGAAATGACAACCAACAAAAGTGCAGACCTTTAAAGGCGTTCTGGATGTTGGCATTTAAACACCACTAGAATGTTTTCCAATCACTGGACCCTTCTCAAGATCTGGGCATTAAGTCCTTTGAATGTTTCTCAAAGGATAAAAATACACTGATTGCCCATATATTTTGAGTCCTGTACACGTAATGAGTGCTTTTGCTGTATTGCCAGATGCTCTGAAAGGGGATAAGATTTTAATTAGTAGTCAATAAAATTCCCTTCCATTTTTCAATGTAATGGATCTGCAAACAGTCACTGCTCCCTACTCATTATTCAGCATGGCTTCCAGAGTCACTGGTTGCTTGGCAGTTGCAGGCTATGAAAAGTTCAGGGAAGTTGCTTTGCCTCTCCTCTTCTGGGTGTCATTCCCTCTATCTCATTTCCTCCAAGGGATAATTTCCAACTGGAGACAGTGATGCAATGACTTTCCTCTGGTCCTGAGGACTTCCTTTAGGAACTCATCTGTGGCTCTCACACCCATCTGGAAAGGCCCCCTTCTCCTTCCAGCAGCTAGGGTCACAGCTCCCATAAGCAGCTCAAGAGGCAGCACCCTGCTATGCCCCAAAGCTCCCTCTGCCTTTTGGGTCTTATTAGAGATGCCTGCCATATACATGTTCGCACACTGGTGGGCCCTGGGCTGGCTTTGGAAGGACAGCACCTGCTGCTGTAAAAGCCACCAGGAGAAGATGCCTGATGGAGACTTAGCTAGTGCAGCAGGAGGGGGCAATGTAGTATACAAAGGAATGGAGGGTAGACCCCACTCACTCATCCATCCACCCATCCACCCACCCATCCATCCATCCATCCATCCATCCATCCATCCATCCATCCACCCACCCACCCACAGTTCCCTCCCTGCAAACCTGCTTCCACCCAAAACTCCCTCCCTTAGCTCTCTCCACCGAAACCTCCATCCACCCAAACCTCCCTCCATCTATCCACCCATTTATTTAGGCATTAACAAACAAACAAACTAACTTTTCTGTATAAGCATTTGAAGACTCTGAGCCTGTTGCTGGGGTTACAGAAACAAGACATGGTCTTGCCCTCAAGTTGCTCAGTCTTGTGTCTGAGACTGACACGTAAGCAGAAATTCATATACAGTGTGATGAGTGCCATCACTGGAGAACATTCAAGCAGAGAGGAGAAGATTGCTTTTGGAGTGGGGAGCTCGTCACAGAATTGACATTTGCTAGGAGCGGTGGAGACTTACCAAGGAGCTGGGGTGGGCTGAAATGGGAGTGCCTACTGACAGCGCCTACTGACAGCGTGGTAGGGACGAATGTACAGCAAGGGGGAGGGGGTCCTACATAGACTGGGAGTGGCAGGCAGGTTGGGAGAGAGTGCAGGAGCTGGGTCACGAGGGCCCTCAGAAGCGTTGCTGCAGGGTTTGGGTTTTACTCTGCAGGAGATGAGGAATGTGGAGAAGAGGTGTGATAACAATTGGAATTGCATTTTGAAAAATAATTCTGCTTGCTCTTCGGTGAATGGACCAGAGGAAGTGAAATGAAGAAAAGAGACCAAATGGGAGGCTGTTGCTGTGGCCCAGGCAGGGGGTGCTGATGGCAAGAGATGCTGGTAGCCAGAGCCAAGGCAGGCAGTCACTGGTCAGCAGAGGATGCCCTATGGTAAGTGGTGTTGGCAGAGGGTGAGGAAGAGGAACGGGGATGGATTCGAGACAACACTCAGGCATCTACGCTGGTGGCTGTGGTGGTGCTGGGGCCACCTGGAGCCGTGGGAATTGGGCTGCAGGCTTGACAGGAACGGTTATGGCGTGATTGTGGCAGGTGGACAGTGGGTGCTGTGTTCACTTTTAGGTGTCTGTGAGATGCTCAGGCAGAAAGGCCTCGCGGGTAGATGAGACATGTCTGAAGCTCAGGTATGAACTGCAAGACGAAGACGGAGTGGATACTAGCGATGTGAGGGTGATGGAGGCAGAGACAGGGAGGTGACTGGCGGCAGCCACAGAACTCCTTGGAGCCTCTGCAGATGCCCCAGCTCATACACTAACAGTTCTAATAGCCAAGTTAGTGTTGGTTCATATGGAGGCTTCTGAGGAGTTAAAAATGTTCTGCAGTTCCACAGGAACTGCTGGTAATTTGAGTCTCTTCTATATCATTTCTGGATAATAAATGTTTGAGGTCAAATGCAGGACCTCACATCAGGTGATTTTTGGCCCGATGCTAGCCCACCAGGGCCTCTCTGATTTGCTGTCAATAGATGCGCCTTCCCTCCCAGCCCTGTGCCCCTCCTGCCTGGTGGGTCCCGCAAGGGTCCGCCTGTGCCCCTCCCGTGTGGTTGGTCCTGCGAGGGTCCGCCTGTAGGCTGCTGATCAAAGTTGACTAGAACAGTACCTGGGGGCGGCTTCCCTCAGGGGTGCAGGGACTGGACGCTGGGGATTTTCCTTTGGGGGTGGTCTGTACCCCTGTGAACCCGCCTTTAGGTATCTGAGGACCTCCCAGTGCTCTCCTTTGGGCACCAGGATGCTGGCACCAGGGCCTTCCTGTCATCCTGACAGCCCCTAGAAAGTGTGCAGGCAGAGGTCCTGTGGTTGGTGCACTGCCAGCTGGCCTCCATGCACCCAATCTAACTCGTGATTTTGGTCCCTCTGAGAGGTGAAGCCAGCTGGCCTTCTGGATAGGGTAGGGACTTGGAGAACTTTTGTATCTAGCTAAAGGATTGTAAATGCACCAATCAGCGCTCTATATCTAGCTAAAGGATTGTAAACGTACCAATCAGCACTCTGTAAAATGGACCAGTCAGCAGGATGTGGGCAGAGCCAAATAAGGGAATAAAAGCAGGCCACCCGAGCCAGCAGTGGTAACCCACTCGGGTCCCCTTCCATGCTGAGGAGGCTTTGTTCTTTCACTCTTCACAGTAAATCTTGCTGCTGCTGCTGCCTCTTTGGGTCCCTACTACCTTTATGAGCTATAACACTCACTGCACCGGGGTTTGTGGCTTCATTCCTTAAGTCAGTGAGACCACGAACCCACCGGAAGGAACAAACAACTTTGGATGCTCCACTTTTAAGAGCTATAACACTCACTGCGAAGGTCTGCGGCTTCACTCCTGAAGTCAGCAAGACCACGAACCCACCGGAAGGAAGAAACTCTGGACACACCTGAACATCTGAAGGAACAAACTCCAGACACACCATCTTTAGGAACTGTAACACTGCGAGGGTCTGCGGCTTCATTCTTGAAGTCAGCCAGATCAAGAACCCACCTGAAGGAACCAATTCCGGACACACCTCTTCCCTTCATTTGACGGATTTGGAAGTTGGAAGGCCATGGGCTGCCCATTTCTTTCAGGACGAGAGTGTGGAGGAACGGGAAAGTCCCCCCTCTTTGTGGGGCACTGTGGAAACCCAAATCGCAAGGTCATCTCTTTGTTATTTGTGAAAGAATGGACAATTGTGTAAGTGGTTAGAAATCTTTAATTTCACATTTCTTAAACATCAGGTTTTCAAAAATGGGTAGGTCAATCATAGAGGAACTGCATGTGGGCACGGGGCTGGGTTGGTGGGCAGCACCACGTGGCATGGGGAGCAGGCACCGTGTGTGCACTTAGCGGGCCCTGAGGGCTTGGGAGGAGGGAGCAGTGCAGGGACCTGCAGTGGCATGATGGTGCCAGAGTTGACATGGCTCGTCTTTCACATTCGCAAGAGGCAAGACAACTTTCTGTGGACAAGTAATATTTCCCAATGGAGGATTAGCAGGTTGAAAAGCTGTAAACGGGCACAAACCATGTATCTTCTGCCCTCTGAGTCCTTGGGAGGGTGAGATGTGGAGTTCAGGCCGCACCCAGACAGAAGGAAGTGTGAGGGGTACCCCTGTCTGCCTCTCCGCTTTCTTTCCTGGGACCTCAGCACCTCTGCAGCATCCCTCATCTCATCCTGCTTTGTGCCCTGGAATATGGACAAGGGATTCAGCGCCCAGGGCTGCAGGGCCTCCCTCGCCCCTTGTGGTGGGAGCGTGTCTTTTATCCTCCGTCTGAAGGTGAGGGTGTGATAATGGCAGCCCCCTACCTGCAACAAGCCTGAAGATGACACCCACTCACTCCCACTCCTCAGGATGGGATGGCCCCTCCTCGGCCACCATCTTCACAGCCCTGAGCGCTGGGCGGTGGGCTCTTTAGGGACGTCTGGCCCCAAGCAGCAGGCAGGGATGGACTCTGGGGAGGTCTTCATAGAGCTCAGGAGGCCACGGAGGGTGGCACTTGCCCTGCAGGTGTTCAAAGACCAGATTTAGGAAGGGAGCAGATATAGAGGAGGTGGCTCAGAGAGCCGGGGGATGGTGCTCCAGGGCTGCCCTGTCCTTTAAGCTCATTTTCTTTAATTTTTGACCCATTAGCATAACTATCTCAAACATCTCCTCCTTCAAAGGCTGGGCTCTCCTCTTTCATGTGTTACTGTAATCACCCAACAGGTGCTTCCTGCCACAGCACAAACCAAATAAGCTCACTGAGACCAGGGCATTGAAGAAAAGAAGAGTTTAATGAACGCCAGGTCAGCCATATGGAAGGTGAAGGTTTCACTCAGTCTCTCTGAAGGCTCAGAGGTCACGGTTTTCAAGGATGGTTTGGTGGGCGGAGGGCTAGGGAATGGGTGCTGCTGATTGGCTGGGATGCAATCATAGGGGTGTGGAAAATGGTCCTCCTTCATGGAATCTGCGTCTGGATGGGGACCACAGGACTGATTGGGTCATGAGTCGAGTCCACCTCTGGGTGGGGTCAGTCAGTTGCCAGAATGTAAAAATCTGAAAATTATCTCAAAAGACCAATCTTAAGTTCTATAGTAGTGATGTCATCTGCAGCAGCAATTGGTTAAGTTGCAAATCTTGTGACCTTCAGAACAATGGCTGGTATTCGTTAACTACATCTATATCTTAATCCCTCTTATAACCCTAACTGTGGCCTTTCATTAGTTTTACAAAGGTGGTTTAGTTTTGGGAAGGACTCTTATCATCCTTGTTTTAAAGTTAAACTATAAACTAAATTCCTTCTAAACTTAGCTTGGCTTATGCCAAGGAATGACCAAGGACAGCTTGGAGTTAGAAGCAAGATGGAGTCAACTATGTCAGATTTCTCTCACTGTCAAAATTTTGCGAAGGTAATTTCATTATGCCTAAAATTGTCATGATTTAAAAACACCAGACAGCAAGTCCCTTCAGTCAGTTGAGTAAAAACAATCATTTGAGATAATGAGCAGATAAGTTAGCTACAGGGCAATTTCCCCCATTTTCACTTAGTGGTTTTGGCTTAGGTAACTCAGTGTAACAGATATGGCAAGACATTTAACCCTGGGGCATGGAAGTGTCTTAAAGACCTCCTGGTCTGGTTCTCTGATTTTACAGATGAGGAAACTGAGACCCAGAGATGGGATGTGATTTGTCCAAAGGCTCTGTGTCTTATTCAGGGGGCACAGTGACCAGGCCAGCTTTCTGACTGCCTGTCTTGTGACTTCTTAGCTAATAGGTGAAAGCCACCCAGTCAGTTTTACAGAGTGGATGCACATATGGGTGTTTGTGGCACTGAGAGGCTGTGAGGAACCCCCACATAAGCGGACCACCCACTGGAGCTCTGTTGGCTTCTGAAATCCTTTCATCAGAGAGATCTGTTACAGGAGTAACCAAAGGACATGTCTGTGTTTTATCTCTCATTGACAGGTTACCACAGAAGGATGTTGAGGGCTCTGTGACTTGGTCTTGCTACATTCACTGAACAAGTGGTGCAAAGAAAGATGGGGGCATCAGCACTGGGAAGAGGGGAGGGTTCTTGGCAGAAGTAGGGAGCATCCAACAAGCTGGGGCTTGGGGTCTTGACAGGGGGGAAAGTCAGTGCCCATGCTCTAGGTCACAGTGAAACTGACACAGGTGCCCCAAGGAGGGACCTCCAGTGCAGGCAGAGAAGGCCTTGCCTGTAGAGAATTTTACAACGATAATAAAACTGACATCTCTCTGCTTGTTGTTATGACTGTGCACTGGCAATACTAAACAGTGTCAGTGATAAAATATTGCTTCCTGAAAAAAAACTCTTGTTGGTCTAAGCTCTAAACAATTGCTTTGATTATTGTTGAATATATATATATATAATGTGTATTGAGAAATAAAGAAATTCCAAGCTCCCTCAGCTGACTGAATGGATCCCCTCTTGGCCAATGGAACACCAGGGGAACCTTGGAAGCTGAATTCACGGCCATGATGAGATGGGAGATCAGACATAACCTCACTGACCCCTCCCTTGTGAACAGCCATTAGGTTTTCTTCCCTAAGAGTTAAAGAGAAATTAGGCCTTTCGAAAGACTGCTAGCTGATCTTCCCAGGTACAGAGCAAAGACAAAGCATGAGATTAAGCTCATCATTCCTTCACCCCTCCCCAAGATCTCTGCTTGCTCCATTCCCTTTTTCTTCAAATGTTCACCTTATCTTATGTAAAATTTAGATTTACTTGGCATTAACTCAAATCTCACAATTATGTAATCATTTCTCTCATTGCTGTCCCCCTCCTTTTTAAGGAAAATGTCTATATAAGAACCCCTCTAAGAACTTCTTTGGATAAAACAGCCACAGATGCCTCCGTGACTTGACTTTCTCCTGGGCACATCCTCCAGCTGGCTCAAAAAGCCTTAGTGGTTTGAGACTTATGCTGCAATCACTCATTTTGGTTGTCAGTTTGTATATTATATATAAGCTTCAAATTAACAGACATGTATTATCTTTTAAAAAAGTATTTTCTACAGAACAGTTAATCGGCGAACTCTCACCTACAGAGGCAGCCCCGGCACACCTAGATTTAGCCATCTGATTTTGTTTTGAGTGTCCATCCACAGCCATGCAGGATTATTTGAGCTTGACTCAGGTGTGTCTTTGCAGTTGATGGCTTCAAACCCCATGGTCCTCCACATTCCTGTGTTTACACTGTTGGTTCTGTAATCACCCAATGTGTTCTTCCTGGCTACAGCACAGACAAAACCAATTCACTGAGGCCATGGTATTGCAGTAGAGAAAGAGTTTAGTTGATGCAGGGCCTCTGAGAGGGAGGACTGGAGTCATCACTTGAATCAGACTCCCTGAGAACTCAGAGGCTAGGGTTTTTATGGATAACTTGGTAAGTAGGGGACTAGGGAATGAGTACTGCTGACTAGCTGGGGATTAATTAATAGGGATGTGGAAAATGGTCCTCATGCACTGAGTCTGCCTCTGGGTGGGGCCACAGGACCAGTTGAGTCATGAGTTCAGATGGGATCAGTTAGTGGCCAGAATGCAAATATCTGAAAAGCATATCAAAAGGCCAATCTTAGGTTTTACAATAAGTAATGTTACCTATAGGAGCAATTGGGGAAATCACAAATCTTGTGACCTCTGGCCACATGACTCCTGAGCAGTAAGGTATTATAGGAACTATGCTGATATCTTAGCAGAATTCAGCCCTCTCCTGTAATGCTAATCTCATTGCCTTTTAGTAGTTTCAGTCCCTGAGCCAGGAGGGAGTTAGTTTTGGGGAGGGACTTTTATCCTTGCCTCCAAGTTAAACCATAAACCAAATTCCTCTCATGGTTATCTTGGCCCATACCCAGGAATGAGTGAAGACAGCCCGCCTGTGAGGCTAGAAGCAAGATGGAGTTGGCCATGCTAGATTTCTGTCACTGTCATAATCTTTGCAGAGGTGGTTTCAATTCTAAATAAAACATGATTGCAATGTATCTGTAAAGGCAATGAAGAGAACTTGAGTTATTAATTCTATCATTCTGTGTGACCATTCAGTTTTAATTTATGATTAAAATTTAAAACAGTGAAATAGAGAATGACTTTTGAGGTTTTCTTTTCCTTTTTTTTTTTTGTAAGAGCAAATTTTGGTTCTTATGTAAAGCTAAAAGGAGGAGACTGAAACACAAAATATAATTTAAAGAATTTACTTGAGTCAAGGTGAGGAGAGCTACCTGAAAGACTCAGCCTCAAGTAACCTGTTACAAGCAGATTTTTAAAGGCAAAAAAAGTAGCAAGGGACAGGGAGGTGGCTGATACAAAGTTGTTTGTCAGGGATTCTCACTGGTTTACAGAAATAACATTGATTAGTGATGGGCCGTACATTGTTAAGCTGTATGTAGGGTGCGGGTAATAGTGTCTGGTGTGGCATTATTCAGTTAATTTACAGCTACTTGTGTCATTAGGAAGTGGTTTCAGGAGATGTTCACATAGCTCAAGGTTGGGTAGGATGCGATTGCTGTCTCATTTAACTCTCTCTGGATCTGACAATTTAAAAGGACTTGCATTCCTCAGGCAAAAGTTCTTTTGTTTTCTCGCAGGAAATACTTTGCTGAATTTGATTAATAACATTAGCAGAAATTTCTGCTTCCATTAAAATTGTTAATCACTTTAAATCTAAACAAACCAAGAAAATAATGATTATTAATGATTATCACATGACTGTTTACTTTTAAAGTTAAGTTTATTGAGGTATAATTTGCAGATTAAAACTCACCCTTTTACGTGAACAATTTGATGATTTCTCTTGGGTTAGAACCTAAGAGTTTGACTATGGTGTTGTATGGTAAATATATGTGAAACCGCCTTTGCAAAATTATGACAGTGAGAGAAATCTAACAGAGTTGACTCCATCTTGCTTCTAACTCCAAGCTGTCTTTGGTCATTGCTTGGCATAGGCCAAGCTAACTTTGGGAGAAATTTAGTTTATAGTTTAACCTTAAAGCAAGGATGATAATAGCTCTTCCCCAAAACTAAGACACCTTTGTAAAAACTAATGAAAGGCCACAAGCTTAGGATTTTGAGAGGGGCTGAATTCTACTAAGATGCAGGTGTAGTTAACCAATACTAGCCATTGTTCCAGAAGTCACAAGAAGTGTGACTTCTCCAATTACTCCTGTAGATGACATTCTTATTGTAGAACCCAAGATTGGCCTTTTGAGATTTTTTTCCCCCAGACTTCTGCATTTCTGATAACTAGTGATGCTACCTAGACTTGAGGCTTGTGACTCAATGGTCCCATGCCCCCCCCAAAGAGGTGGACTCAGTGCACAAGAACTGTTTTCCACACCCGTATGATTTTATCCCCAGCCAGGCAGCAGCACCCATTCCTTAGACCCTGGCCCACCGAACCGTCCTTGAAAAACCGTAACCTCTGAGCCTTCTAGGAGACTGATTGAGTGATAACTTGAGTTATCCTGCATGGCTGGCCTGGTGTTAATTAAACTTTTTATTTACTGCAATGGCATGGTCTCAGCAAATTGATTTTGTCTGTGTAATGGGCTGGAAGAACCCATTGAGCAATTACATATACTTAACTTTATTAGAAACTGCCAAACTCTTTTTCAAAATGTGGTACTACTTACATTCCCACCAGCCAAGTATGAAAGTTCCATTCACTTCATACCTCACCATCACTTGTCATTATCTGTATTCTTCTGTTTAGATTATCTATCTATATATATATATAGCCACAAATATATAGCCACATATATAGCCATATATATATATATATATATATATGATATGGGGTCTCTCTTTGTCATCCAGGCTGGAATGCTGTGGTGCAATCCTAGCTCACTGCAGCCTCAACCTCTCAGGCTTAAGCTACCCTCTCACTTCAGCCTCCTGAGTAGTTGAGACTAAAATCATTCGCTACCATACCTGGCTACTTTTTTAAAATTTTTAAAATTTTGTTAGAGATGAGGTCTTGCTGTGTTTCCTAGGCTGGTCTTGAACTTCTGCGCTCAAGCAATCATCCTGCCTCAGTCTCCCAAAGTGTTGGGATTACAGGTGTAAGCCACTGCCCCCAGCTCGCTGTCTGTACTCTTAATTTTAATCATTTTAGTGTGAGGTGAGGTGAGGTGAGGGCTCATTTGCATTTCCCTCTTGCCTAGTGATGCAGAGCCTCTGACCACCCATAGCTCTTCTAAATGGAGTGTCTCCTCAAATCTTTTCCCATCTTTTTAAGTTAGACTGTTTGTTTTCTTATTATTGAGTTTTGAGATTTCTTTATATACATTCAGATACAATTCCTTTATCAGGTATGCAGGCCTTAATCAGTAAATATTTTCTCTCAGTGTGTGGGTTTTGATTTTCTTAATAGTGTCTCTTTGTAAAACAAAAGGTTTTCATTTTCGTCAAGTCTAGTTTATCATTTTCTTCTTTTATGAGTCATTTTTGGTATTCTAGCAACAACTTACTTTTCAAACCAATGTCACAAAATTTTTTTCCTCATGTTTTCTTCTGGAAGTTTTGTAGTTTCAGCTTCTGCATTTAGTTTATGATTCATTTTGAGTTAATTTTTGCATATGGTGGAAGGTAAGGGTTGAAGTTATTTTATGCATATGATTGTTCACTTGTTCCAGCACCATTTGAAGAGACTATCTTTTCCCTATTGGATTACCTTGGCACATTTGTAAAAATCAATTAATTGCTGGGTGTGGTGGCTCACTCCTGTAATCCCAACACTTTGGGAGGCTGAGGCAGGGGGGCCACCTGAGGTTGGGAGTTTGAGACCAACCTGACCACCATGGAGAAACCCTGTCTCTACTAAATACACAAATACTTAGCCAGGCATGGTGACACATGCCTGTAATCCCAGTTACTCAGGAGGCTGAGGTAGGAGAATTGCTTGAACCCAGGAGGTGGAAATTGCAGTGAGCCAAGATCACGCCATTGCACTCCAGCTTGGGCAACAAGAGCGAAACTCCGTCTCAAAAAAAAAAATCAATTAATCATATATGCATAGTCTATTTCCAGAAAATTTTGTTCCATTGATATATGTGATGACCTGTGCCAATACTACACTGGTTTTATTTTTGTAAATTTGTAGTTGCTTATTACTGAAAATAATTTTATCATATAGAAGAGGTGGGTTTTAAAAACTGCTCTGCTCTGAATGTTAAGCACACCTAAGACATCACTGACTAGAAGAGATGAATACAAAGCAGATGAGAAGCTTCTGAGTGGGGAATCTGTAGCCTGACTTCCCCTGCAGCTCCCTGAGCAGAAACCAGAGGTACCCTAGCCTGGGGGAGAAGGATTGTGGTCCCCTGCCCCATGGCAAGAAGCTCTGTTTGGAGCAGTTCCTGGTGTGGCCATGGGCTTGGTGCTGGGGAATACCCTGGAGAGCTGTTGTCCCTGCAGGGTTTGAACCAAGGGGAAGAGATGCTCCATGCCGTGAAATCGGTAGGAGATTAGAGTTTCCATGAGCTGCAAGGCAGGGTTTCACCTGCACATATTCATAGAATGAGTCCTCCTGCTCTCAGGCTCTGGTGTTCATTTCCAAGACACTGGCTTGAGGCAGTGGACAGTAAATCAATAGTTCATCTTGTAAAAACCTCGTGTAATTAGCTTGGGGGCTGTAGTGAGGAAAGAGAGCCTTCTGGGCTGCTGATGCATTTGACTTGAATGACATCCCAGAAGAACACCTTTCAGTTCTCTTCAAGCCATTTTTGAAGATCCAGAGCTTCCTGTGTGGGAGAGCACGTTGGGGCACTGAGCCCAGTCAGCGAATGGCACAACTGCAAGCTCAGTTGGCCAGAGCAATGGACCAGCATGGCAATGGCTGTGGTTTCTATTCTGGGTGTAGACAGTCCTGCAGGAGAGCTGACGTTTGTCCTACTGAGCTCTGCTCTGCTGACTTACAGGTGGTATTGTGGACACCAGTGTCAGCACTGGGAAAATAATCCATGTATACCCCATGGAGCAGGTTGGTGCATGGAGCAAACTGCAGCAGACCTGCAGAAGAGGGGCCTGACTGTTAGAAAAAAAAAAAAAAACTAACAGAAAGCAACAACAACATCATCAACAAAAATACCCCCCCGCCCCCCCAAAAAACACCATCAAAAAGTCATCAGCCTCAAAGATCAAAAGTAGATAAATCCACAAAGATGAGGAAAAACCAGCACAAAAATGCAGAAAATTCCAAATGCCAGAATGCCTCCTCTCTTCCAAATGATTGCAACACCTCTCCAGCAAGGGCACAGAATTGGATGTAGAATGAGATGGGTGAATTGACAGAAGTAAGCTTCAGAAGGTGGGTAATAACTAACTCCACTGAGCTCAACCAGCATGTTCTAACCCAATGCAAAGAAGCTAAGAATCTTGATAAAAGGTTACAGGAGCTGTAACTAGAATAACCTTGTAAAGAGAAACATAAATGACCTGATGTAGCTGAAAAACACAACATGAGAACTTTGTGAAGCATACACAAGTATCAGTAGCTGAACTGATCAAACAGAAGAAAGGATATCAGAGTTTGAAGACCTCTGAAATAAGGCATGCAGACAAGATTAGAGCAAAAAGAATGAAAAGGAATGAACAAAACCTCTGAGAAATATGGGAATATGTAAAAAGACCGAACCTACAATTGATTGGAGTACCTGAAAATGACTGGGAGAATGGAACCAAGTTGGAAAACATACTTCAGGATGTTATCCAGGAGAACTTCCGCAACCTAGCAAGACAGGCCAACATTCAAATTCAGGAAATACAGAGAACACCACTAAGATACTCCTGGAAAAGAGCAACCTCAAGACACATAATCTTCAGATTCTTCAAGGTTGAAACACAGGAGAAAATATTAAGGGAAGCCAAAGAGAAAGGTCAGGTCACCTACAAAGGGAAGCCCATCAGACTAACACCAGATCTCTCAGCAGAAACCTCACAAGCCAGAAGAGAGTGGGGGCCAATATTCAACATTCTTAAAGCACTTTGGGAGGCCAAGGTGGGTGGATCACAAGGTCAGGAGATTGAGACCATCCTGGCTAACACGGTGAAACCTCGTCTCTACTAAAAATACAAAAAATTAGCTGGGTGTGGTGGTGGGCACCTGTAGTCCCAGCTACTCAGGGTGCTGAGGCAGGAGAATGGTGTGAACCCAGGAGGCGGAGCTTGCAGTGAGCCAAGATTGTGCCACGGCACTCCAGCCTGGGTGACAGAGCGAGATTCCATCTCAAGAAAAAAAAAAATTCTTAAAGAATTTTCAACCCAGAACTTCATATCCAGCCAAACTAAGCTTCATAAGTGAAAGAGAAATAAAATCCTTTCCAGACAAGCAAATCCTAAGGGGTTTCATCACCACCAGACCTGCTTTGCAAGAGCCCCTGAAGGAAGCACTAAATATGGAAAGGAAAAACTGGTACCAGCCACTGCAAAAACACATGAAAATATAAAGACCAATGACACTATGAAGAAACTGCATCAACTAATGTGCAAAATAACCGGCTAGCATCATGATGACAGGATGAAATACATGCATAACAATATTAACCTTAAATGTAAATGGGCTAAATGCCCCAATTAAAAGACACACACTAGCAAATTGGATAAAGAGTCAAAGCCCATTGGTGTGCTGTATTCAGGAGACCCATCTCAAGTGCAAAGACACACATAGGCTCAAAAGAAAGGAATAGAGGAAAATTTACCAAGCAAATAGAAAGAAAAAAAAAAGCCAGGGTTGCAATCCTAGTCTCTGATAAAACAGATTTTAAGCCAACAAAGATCTAAAACGACAAAGAAGGGCATTACATAATGCTAAAGGGATCAGTTCAATGAGAAGAGCTAACTATCCTAAACATATATGCACCCAAATCAGGAGCACTCAGATTTATAAAACAAGTGCTTAGAGACCTACAAAGAGACTTAGACTCCTACACAATAATAGTGGGAGACTTTAACACCCCAATGTCAATATTAGATCAACAAGACAGAAAATTAACAAGGATATTCAGGACTTGAACTCAGCTCTGGATTAAGTGGACCTAATAGACATCTACAGAACTTTCCACCTCAAATCAACACAATATACATTCTTCTCAATGCCATATGGTATTTATTCTAAAATTGACCACATAATTGGAAGTAAAACATTCCTCAGCAAGTGCAAAAGAACCGAAATCATAACAGTCTGTCAGACCACAGTGCAATCAAGTTAGAACTCAGGATTAAGGAACTCACTCAAAACCACACAACTACATGGAAATTGAACAACCTGGTCCTGAATGACTCCTTGGTAAATAATGAAATTAAGGCAGAAATCAAGAAGTTCTTTGAAACCGGTAAGAACAAAGAGACAACATACCAGCATCCCTGGAACACAGCTAAAGCAGTGTTAAGAGGGAAATTTATAGCACTAAGTGCCCATATCAGAAAGCTGGAAAGATCTCAAATCAACATCCTAACATCACAATTAAAAGAACTAGAAAAATTAGCAAACAAACCCCAAAGCTAGCAGAAGACAAGAAATAACTAAGATCAGAGCAGAACTAAAAGAGAGACAGGAAAAACCCTTCAAAAAATCAATGAATATAGGAGCTGTTTTTTTGAAAAAATTAACAAAATAGACCACTAGTTAAACTAATGAAGAAGAAAAAAGAGAAGAATCAAACAGACACAATAAAAAATGATAAAGGGGATGTCACCACTGACCCCACAGAAATACAAACTACCATCAGAGAATACTATAAACACCTCTACGCAAATAAACTAGAAAATCTAGAAGAAATAGATTAATTCCTGGATACATACACCCTCCCAAGACTAAAACAGGAAGAAGTCAAATCCCTGAATAGACCAATAACAAGTTCTGAAACTGAGGCAGTAATTAATAGCCTACCAACCACAAAAAGCCCAGGACCAGATGGATTCACAGCCGAATTCTACCAGAGGTACACAGAGAAGCTGGTACCATTTCTTCTGAAACGATTCCAAACAACTGAAAAGGGGAGACTCCTCCCTAACTCGTTTTATGAAGCCAGCATCATCCTAATACCAAAACCTGACAGAGACACCATAAAAAAAGAAAACTTCAGGCCAATATCCCTGATAAACATTGATGTGAAAATCCTCAATAAAATACTGGCAAACAAAACCCAGCAGCACATCAAAAAGCTTATGCATCATGATCAAGTTGGCTTCATCCCTGGGATGCAAGGCTGGTTCAATATATGCAAATCAATAAATGTAATCCATCACATGAACAGAACCATTGACAAAAACCACATCATTTCCTCAATAGATGCAGAAAAGGCCTTCAATAAAGTTCAACATCCCTTCATGTTAAAAACTCAATAAACTAGGTTTTGATGGAACATATTTCCAAATAATAAGAGCTATTTATGACAAACCCATAATCTTACTGAATGTGCAAACGCTGTATGCATTCCCTTTGAAAACCGGCACGAGGCAAGGATGGCTTCTCTCACCACTCCTATTTAACATAGTATTGGAAGTTCTGGCCAGGGCAATCAAGCAAGAGAAGAAATAAAGCATATTCAAATAGAGAGGAAGTCAAATTGTCTTGTTTTGCAGATGACATGATTCCATATTTAGAAAACCCCATCATCTCAGCCCCAAAACTCTTTAAGCTGATAAGCAACTTCAACAAAGTCTCAGGATACAAAATCGATGTGCAAAAATCACAAGCATTCCTATATACCAACAATTGACAGTCAGGGAGCCAAATCGTGAATGAACTCCCATTCACAATTGCTACAAAGAGAATAAAATGCCTGGGAATACAGCTAACAAAGACATGAAGGACTTCTTCAAGGAGAACTGCAAACCACTGCTCAAGGAAATAAGAGAAGACACAAACAAATGGAAAAGCATCCCATCCTCATGAGTAGGAAGAATCAACATTGTGAAAATGGTCATATCGCCCAAAGTAATTTATAGATTCAATGCTAGTCCATCAAACTACTACTGACATTCTTCACAGAATTAGAAAAAAACTACTTTAAATTTCATATGGAACCAAAAAAAGAGCTTGTATAACCAAGACAATCCTAAACAAAAAGAACAAAGATGGAGGCATCACAGTATCTGACTTCAAACTATGCTACAAGTCTACAGTAACCAAAACAGCATGGTACTGGTACCAAAACAGACATATATACCAATGGAACAGAACAAAGACCTATGAAATAATACCACACATCTACAACCATCTGATCTTCAACAAACCTGACAAAAACAAGCAACGGGGAAAGGATTCCCTATTTAATAAATGATGCTGGGAAAACTGGATAGTCATATGCAGGAAACTGAAACTGGACCCGTTCCTTACACTTTATACAAAAATTAACTCAAGATAGATTAAAGACTTAAATGTAAAACCTAAAACCATAAAAACCCTAGAATAAAACCTGGGCAATACCACTCAGGATGCCCATTCAGGATGTAGGCATGGGCAAAGACTTCATCACAAAAACACCAAAAGCAACTGCAACAAAAGCCAAAATTAACAAATGGGATCTAATTAAACTAAAGAGCTTCTGCATAGCAAAAGAAACTGTCATCAGAGTGAACAGACAACCTACAGAATGGGAGAAAAGTTTTGCAATCTACCCATCTGACAAAGGTCTAATATTCAGAATCTACAAGGAACTTAAACAAATTTACAAGAAAAAACCAGCCCCATCAAAAAATGGGCAATGGATATGAACAGACACTCTCAAAAGAAGACATTTTATGCAGCCAAAAAACATGAACAAAGACTCCAACATCACTGATCATCAGAGAAATGCAAATCAAAACCACAGTGAGATACCATGTCACATCAGTCAGAATGGTGATTATGAAAAAGTCAAGAAACAATACATGCTGGTGAGGCTATGGAGAAAAAGGAACACTTTTACACTGTTGGTGGGAATGTAAATTAGTTCAACCATTGTGGAAAATAGTGTGGCGATTCCTCAAGGATCTAGAACCAGAAATAACATTTGACTCAGCAATCCCATTACTGGGTGTATACCCAAAGCTATATACCAAAGGAATATAAATCATTCTACTATAAAGAGACATGCACATATATGTTTATTGCCACACTATTTACAATTAGCAAAGACATGGAACCAATGCAAGTGCCCATCAATGACTGACTGGATAAAGAAAATGTGGTACATATACACCATGGAATACTATCCAGCCAAAAAAAAGAATGAGATCTTGGGAGGCTGAGGTGGGCAGGTCACCAGGTCAGGAGATCGAGACCATCCTGGCTAACACAGTGAAACCCTGTCTCTACTAAAAATACAAAAAAAATTAACCGAGCATGGTGGCAGGCACCTGTAGTCCCAGCTACTTGGGAGGCTGAGGCAGGAGAATGGCGTGAACCCGGGAGGTGAAGCTTGCAGTGAGTGGAGATCATGCCACTGCACACCAGCCTGGGTGACAGACTCTGTCAAAAAAAATAAAAATAAATAAAACCAAGAATGAGATCATGTTCTTTGCAGGGACATGGATGAAGCTGGAAGCCATGGTCCTCAGCAAACTAACACAGGAACAGAAAACCAAACACCACATGTTCTCACCCATAAGTGGGAGTTGAACAGTGAGAACACATGGACACAGGGAGGGGAACAACACACACCAGAGCTTGTCGGGGTAGAGGGCAGGGGAGGGAGAGCATTAGGACAAATACCTAATGCAGGTGGGGCTTAAAACCTAGATGACAGGTTGATAGGTGCAGCAAACCACCGTGACACAGGTATACCTATGTAACCTGCAATTCTGCACATGTATCCTGGAACTTAAAGTAAAATAAATAAATAAATAAATAAATAAATAAATAAATGTAAACTATAAATAGGAGAAGCTATTAAGAGAGAAGATTTGATTCTACAAACATTCAAATCTCTGCCCATCAAATCTTAAGCAAAATTGAAAGGCAAATGGCAACTCAGAAAAAACATTTACAATGGGGGCTGATGATTAGATGTCCTATGATTCTGATTTGCTCCAGAGAGTCCTGGTTTCTGCCTGTTTTCGTGCATAATTATTGACTGTAACACTTCTACTCTCAAATGCCCTGATTTAGACAATAAATTACACTATTATCCTAAAAATTCTTAATATCTATAGTATATAGAGTGGCAGGAGGCTGTTAAAACTAAAACAGGTAAGAACCAGGATAGAAAATGCAATAAAGCCACACACAGGTAATGCATACATACAGATTCAAACAAACGGTCAGTTCATATCGAAAAATATTTACTGTTGATAAAAAAATAGAGGCCACAATAATGTAGTATTTTAAAATTAACAATTGCAAAGCTCCATAAACAAGTACACAGGCACACAAACATATACATGCACATACATGCACACACAGACACATGTACACACACAATATGTATATACACACATACACACAGACACATATACACACATGCACATACACATACAAGCACATATATATACACACAGGCACATACAGACACAGACACACATAGTGTTGTACAGATCTGAAGCATTTCCTACTCTCTTGGATGTAACAACTTGGAAGACCCCTCCTGGGAGCAGTTTTGCAACTTGCATGAGAAAGTTTTCCACTTCAAGTAATGTGCCTTCAGGAAATATCTTACAGTGAGCAGAATGACTCGGCTATTGTAGTTGTCATTGCAGCCTTGTTTATAGAACACTTGAAAAAAGGGCAGTGTCCCAAAAAGAGGAACTGGCTACATTGTTATTAGCTGGTGGTGATGAGGTCGGGTAAACTCAGCATAAATGGTATCTGTGGTCTCTGCCACTCTCTCATGAGGGAGCGAATAGGAAAAACACACTGCTTTCCGCAGTACTCCACTATTACTCTCGATACTTCATTTCTGACACCAGATGTGTGGGTTTTCTTGACCAATTCTCCAATACGAGCTGGTGTTCTCCAATTTTACTCACTTCTGAAACCAACCTGAGTCAGGGCAGATCCCCCAGGTTAAGAGCTCATTTTCATAATGCCATCCCCCACCTCAGGTGCCAGTTGCAGGGAGGGTGGTGGCAGGAAAATGTGACACTGCCTGGATGACCCGAGAAGCACCCTCTGTGAATCTATTTTCCTCCCTGTGCTCCACCTCACCTGGGTTTCCTCCCCTACTCTTGAGGATGGCCACTGACGTGGCACATCTTATAGGCTGTGCTGTGGCTATCAGCTGGCCCTGCCTCTGTTACGGGTCTCCATTCTGCGGCCAGGTTTAATGGCTTAGCGTCCCAGGGCCCTGCCCTGCTGGGAATGCTACAGAGACCCCTTCCACCTCCTCTTCTTATCACGGATGTGTCTGTTCCTGCTGTGTCTTCCTCGCTGCTCAGCAGAAACAGGCTTTTCACATTTCTGTGCTTCACATCATGCATGAACTAGTGGAGATGTAGAAATGATGAAGAAATTGAAGGCCTATGATTCAAACAAGGAGGGACCCCTCCCTGCATGGGAAGGAGGAGCAGAGGCCCTGTCACGCACCGGGCAACCAGGGAAGGCGAGGCTGAACTCCCAGCTCTGTCCCTCCTGACTTTACACTGTAACTGCCCGGTGGGTTCACCTTGTCTGCTGCCTAGACAGAGCTGATTTATCAAGACAGGGGAATTGCAATAAAGAGTAATTCACACAGAACCGGCTACATGGGAGACAGGAGTTTTATGGTTACTCAAATCAGTCTCCCTGAGCATTTGGGGATCAGAGGTTTTAAGGACACCTTGGTGAGTATGAGGAAGCCAGTGGCCAGGAGTGCTGACTGGTTAGGTAGGAGATGAAATCATAGGGAATTGAAGCTGTCCTCTTGCGCTGAGTCAGTTCCTGGGTGGGGGCCACAAGATCAGATGCCCAGATGGGCATCTTTTTTCTTTCTTTTTTTTATAAGTAAACCCTACTCATTTATTCAAAATTAGCCAATATCAGTGATAGCTCTGTTAATTTACAGAATACAGTTACATGTACACACAGTCTTTTCATTTATAAATTTAAAAATATTTATAGTATGCAAGGTATTACCTTAGGCATAGTAGAAAACTTAAGGTTGAAAAAATGTTTCACTTGTCAAGCACATCAGCATCAAGTTCAGGAAGTAAAATATGTCATAACATAGCATATAAGTTAACAGTAAAGGTTTATGATTATTTGGAAGAGAATAAAGAGAAGAGTTCCTAGGAGGGGTTGCCATGATCTCTTTTCTAATGACCATCCTTCCTCCTCATTTGTCAATTGATGCAAGTTAATGCCCAATCACAAGAATGGTTCCCAAGGATGAGTTGATTAATGCTTATATATATAATATGTATATATATATTTTAGAAAACACAATTTTAACTTCTAAATTCAGGTGGTATGTGTGCAGGTTTGTTACTGGGAATCGTACATGATCCTGAGGTTTGGGGTATGATTGATTCCATCACCCAGGTACTGAGCATAGTATCCAAAAGCTAGTTTTTCAATTCTTGCTCCCCTAATTCCCTCCCTCCTCTATCAGTCCCCAGTGTTTATTGTTGCCATCTTTATGTTCATGAGTACCCAATGTTTAGCTCCCATTTATAAGTGGGAACGTGCGGTATTTGTTTTCTGTTCCTGCACTAATTCGCTTGGGATAATGGCCTCTAGCTGCATCCCTGTTGCTGCAAAGGACATAATTTTGTTCATTTTTATGGCTGTGTAGTATTCTATGAGGTATATGTATCACATTTTATTTATTAAATTCACCATTGACTGTCATCTGGGTGGATTCCATGTCTTTGCTATTGTGAATAGTGCTGGGATGAACATGTGAATACATTTGTCTTTTTGGTAGAATGATTTGTTTTCTTTTGGATATATACTCAGTAATGGGATTGCTGAGTTGAATAGTAGCTGAGTTTCATGTTCTTTGAGAAATCTCCAAACTGCTCTTCACAGGGCCTGAACAAATTTACATTCCCACCGACAGCATATAGGCACTCCCCTTTCTCCACAGCCTCACCAGCATCTTTTGATTTTTGACTTTTTAATAATAGCCATTCTCACTGGTGTGAGATGGTATCTCACTGTGGTTTTAATTTATTAATTCTTGTATTTTGATTCTTGGAGAAAATAAACAATAGGCACAAAAATTTAGGTAGCTGGAACTTTAATATTAATAAAAACAGGGATCCTCCATCCCCCACTAAGCCAACCCAAACTGACAAACACACTTGCTTTTAAACAAAACCAGCAGGACAATTTCTCCAGCAGAGGCTCATTTTTGCCTCTCCCCGCTAGACTCATGCAAGATCCTGACAATGCAGAGGGCTTCATGTACTCCAGGAAGCACTGGGGCCAGGCAGCATTAGACGATTGGGATCACTTCTGAGTTGGCGAGTGGCTCGCCTTGGGTTCCTGTGGCTGCACCGTGTGTGATTTCAAAAGAGAAAATCAACAAGTGTTTCTGTGGTCCCAGGAACCAGGGCTGAGTGCCTAACAAACAGGGTTTTATTATTAACTTTTGATTCTGCACGTATGTTTCAGATCATCTCATTCAAACAAGACTGGTGAGAGACACATTTCCAAAGAAAAAGAGGAATGTGTCTGGGGTGAGGATAGAATGATAGATGGGGAGGCTATGGATGGAGTCAGACATGCCCAGAGTTTATGTGGCAGAAAGAAACCACTGCGAAGATCATCTGGCTCAGGCATTTCCTACATGTTCCCTGGGTCCTAATATTTTACAGGAGTGCCGAAGGAGAGGCCAAGGATAATTGGCTGGGGTGGGTCTGGGAAGAGTTTGCACTGGAAGAGTTTGCACTGGGCCCCAAGCATGTCCCAACTAGAGCATTCACTGCAGGCAGTTTACATAGGAAATATTCCTGTTTTATGATTTCTAGGTCTATTACAACAGATAAGCTATGTTGACATTTATATGTGCTGGGGTTTAACTGAAAACAGTTTTCTATTAAATACCTTGGAGCTCATTGAATCTTCTCACTTAACAGCTCAGGAACAGGGGCAAAAAGAGGCTCAGCCAGATCACTGTGGGTTCTCCAGGGAGTTGATAACCTGGGCCTCATCAACACCAGTCCAGGCTTTTCTCTACTAAACCAATTATTTGATTGAAACATGGTCAGTTCCCTTGAAGTGGGAGGTCAGACCCCTGTACTGGCTGCAGGATGACCTGCAAGAGTGGCATGAGTGGGCGCTGAGTCTGGTCCCCCTGGGCCCTGGGCTTAGCCATGTTATGTGGCCCAGTGCTGGGTCTCTCAAGACTCTTCCTGACTACAGAGTTTTGTCTTTTTCCTAAACTTCCCCTAAATCAAATTCTGCTTTATATCTCTCTTTTTTAACTTTTTGCCTTTATTTATCCCCAACTCTTGAAATAATTGCTCTGCTTTTTCCACGTGGTCCTAAAGCTGGCACCATCACCATCAGTGCGCTGTATACATTGCTCTGGTCAGGAATATGGTCGATATGCTTGTTAGACATTTTTGCTGTGGGAGATGGCATCCTAATTGAAGCCAGTGAAATAAAACACAGGTTTTATTATAAGAATCCTGGAATGTATTACAGAACCCAAGTGTGAGAATGTGGCTAGGCTTCAACTAAATGAGTCAAAACTGGAAACAGAAACGGAAATGCCATTGGCTCTCTTTCTCTCTGTGTGTCTTCTCATTCTATTTTAATGTTGGCTCTGTTCTTCTGCCTCACCGAAGCCAGTTTTCTCCATGTGGCAGGAAACTTGTCCACTGAATGCTGCACATGTTACCTCTTGTGGCTTCAGTCTCCCAAAGAACCCGACAATGTCTGGGGCAGGGCTGTTGGCCCACCATGGGCCTGCGCACACACGCACATGCACACACCATGGATGGAGGGGTGGGTTGGTGGTACAGGGAAAGTTTCAGGGGAGGCCAGTGCGGGGAACATACAACTAGATAGCCATCTTGTAAGGCCATCCAGGGTTCTCCACCTTGGCTCCTGGATGTCCTCACACACAGAATCACAGAAAAGAATATGTCAAAGAGGCATTCTAAAACCTCCAGTGGCTAAAGGTCCCAGGTAGGGCCCATCCACCTCACCAGGGCTCAGGCAGATGGTTGGCAATGGGGCGGTGGCTGTGGATGAAAAGATGGGGCATTACCCAAGGCAGTGCTCTTGTGCAGAGCCTGGCTTCTTCAGGAAGATGACAGGAGTCCATGTGACTGTGGATGAAAACATGGGGCATATCCCAAGGGAGTGCCCTTGTGCAGGGCCAGCCTTCTTCAGGAAGACAACCAGAGTCCATGTGGTGTGAATCACCCTTTACCTCCTTCTGGAATCCAGGAGAGGAGACATTCTAGGAGGTTCCCAGCACAGAGATATCTCCCTTAGCTGTGTTTGTGTGTTTACTGGGATGCTACACAGAGAGATGCTTCCTTGCCCATTGGAAAGGCTGCCAACATTGATGTTCTTCCTTTGTGATATTTTTGCGACTGCTGTGCAAAAATAAAATACCATTTTTTCAATGATTCTAAGACATACACATTTAAAAAAACACATCTTAACTTCTCCAAGATTGGAGTACATTGCAGAATTCATGGCATGTCACAGCTCTCCTGCCAGAGGATTTCTGTTGTTCGCAGTATATAAAGTAGTGGTGTTATATCAACAGCGTCTTAAATTCAATGAAGTGTGATAGTTGCAGAGGCAGATTTCCTTGAAAACAATGACAGCGAGTCATGGTAGAATGCACCAACCTGTCAACCTTAGATCATGAGATTCAGAAATCATGATTAAGTGCTGAGTTCATTTGAGCAGGAAGCTTAGGGTTAGCCACCTGGGAAACACAGACTCCAAAGGAACAGGGTCAAGGCTCCACAAGTTGGGAGTTAGGGCTTCACTTACACAGACAGAGACAGAGAAGTTTAGGGGATTCCAGCATCTTCCATGCAAGGCCTGTACATATGTTGCAGTGATTTGATCGGTGGCAGCTTGCTACATTCTAAGGAATATTGCTTTAGCATTCCATGAGCAGGGTTGACCATCTGAGGGGTCTTAGTTCTGGCGCCACAAGGTCTTTCTGAATCACTTACAGGAAGAAGCCAGAGCTACAGCTGCGTGCTGCGTGACTCAGGCCACAAAGCCACATTCCTGTCAGGGATCAGAATAATCTAAAGTTCCAACAACTTTAGGTTTTAATTATTTAATTTCATAAACCTGATGGATAAGCAAAGGAAAGTCTCATCTTCGTGGCAGCAAGGGTGGGTTTTATGGCTGAGCCAAATGGGCTTCTGAGCTGTAGGAGAATCTGCCTACAGAGGGAACACACGCTTGTCTCTGGGAACCTTAACATCAGGAAATAAGGGAGCTTTAAACAGCAGGTGGGCTACGTGTGAAGAGGAGTTGTTTTCTGTTGTTTTACTAAATACTGGAATCAGTTTTAAATCAGTTTAAAAAGGCGACTGTGTAGTTCCATTTTAAAGTGACTTCTAAAGGGAAGGCAGGTCCCCATTGTCTGGGATGAGATGAGAAACTTCTGCCTAGCAATAGGAGGTAGATTAGTTGACCCTCAATCAGAGTGACTTGGGTGCAAATTAACTAAAAATGTTCATTCAAATTGGCTTAAATGGGAAAATAATTTATTATCTAACATGAAAAGAAGCCAGTAGTCCAGATTCCAGAAATCCTCATTAAACTGTTGACTTTCCTCTTGCTTTTCCCAGTTAGTCCTAATTAAACTATCTTAATTTTTCTTAAGGTAAAACAAAAGAAAAGCCACTCTGTCTTTTGTCTGGAAGGGAAGTGATTACATTAACCTCTCCTTGCCCTGGGGCTTGACTGTGCTGCCAAGGACCCGAGTCTCTCTGACCCGCAGTTGAGTGATGGGCTCTTGGCTCCAGGCAGACCCTTCCTGGGCTGCAGCCGTCAATGTCCGTGCATGGTAACCACCAGATAAGGAGAAGGAATGCTCTTTCCCAGTTGATAGGGCTTGGATCTGTGTCCCCCCAAATCTCCTGTCACATTGTCATCCCCAGTGTTGGAAGTGGGCCTGGTGGGAGGTGACTGGATCACGTGGGCAGATTTCCCTCTCTGTGCTGCTTCTCGTGATGGTGAGTGAGTACTCACGAGATCTGGTTGTTTAAAGTGTGTAGCACCCTGCCACTCCCCACCTTCTGCTTCGGCCATGTAAGACATGCTTGCTTCCCTTTTGCCTTGTGACATGATTGAGAGTTTCCTGAGGCCTCCCAGAAGTCCCCTGTACAGCCTGCAGAAATGTGAGCCAATTAAATCTTTATAAATTACCCACTCTCAGGTATTTCTTTATAGCAGTGTGAGAACGGATTAATACACCAGTGTTAACACTTTAGGAGCAAGAAGCCATTCCCAGACTCTCAGCAGACTTCCTCTTCTGTCTCATTAGTTAGAAACAGGCTAAGTCGAGGGGAATGGGATCACAAGATCCATGTGGTCCATCAGAAGTTGCAGCTGAGGATGAAGTGGGGACCCACATAAAATCATAGCTCTATCAGCAAGGAAGAAGGTTCCTTTGCTGCATGGACTTTCCAAGGTCACTTGCAGAGCTAAGGGATTCTGAGTACCATGTGCTTGTTGCAGTTTGCAGTACTGAAGTTGGCATTTGGTGTGTGGGTGGGTGGTGTATAGGTTCCTGATGTGTAGGCACGTGGTTTTAGGCACATGGAGGGTAGACACGTGATGGGTAGGCATGTGTGGAGGGTAGGCAGCTGGAGGGTGGGTGTGTGGAGGGTGGGCAGGTGGAGGGTGGGTATGTGGCAGGTAGGCATGTGGAGGTTAGACTCATGGTGTAGAGGCACATGGTGAGTAGGTATGTGGTATGTAGGCATGGAGAGTAGACATGTGGCATATAGGCATGTGGCATGTACTGCGCTGGACAAGACATGCCCCTGTTCTAACCCCTTAGCCATTTGAGCCCAACTGGACAGAAACAAAGGGCCAACCACAGAGAAAGCCACCTGTCAGGGAAAGGTTAATGTAATCATTTATCATCCTGGAAAATTGCTCAGGGGACATTTTGTCCATATCTTAACACAACTTAGAACAGATTAATTGGAGGGGAGCTCAGTGGACATTTCTGGAGAATAATGCTGGAGACCACATGTCCGCTGAGCCAGGAGACATCATGATCTCGCTCAGGGAGCGGGCAGAGGTCCCAGGTGGAGAGGCCTGGGTGTGGCCAGGATTACTCCCCTCCCTGCCCAGCCTAGAGGTGATGACAGTTTCAGGTGAGCCACATAAAATCACCAATATAGTCCCATCCCATCTTTGACTTACAAAAGTGGCAGTTTTATGTGGTTCAACCTAACATTTAGTGAAGAAGTGGAGAGAGAGGAACAGCTCCAGTGGAAATGAATGCTAAATATTTCAAAGTGATTTGTGTTGCAAGAAATCCAGCCAGGAGGAATACTGCTTCTGAAAAAGGGCTTCCTAACCCCATCTCCTGCCCTCCTCGCTCCTTTTCCTACCTCCGTTCAACCCTGCCAACCTCTCTCCTGTCTCACTGGATCATGGTGAAGGGCCGGGTCCTGGAGCCAGCAGTTGGGACAGTGGCCTCTGGATTCCTTGACTCCTTGGCCATGGGGGAGGCAGACGTTCACAGCGGGCCAGCTCTGTGCATCTTCCTGGGCTGCTCCTGGAGGGAGGAGTGACCAGCTTATGCCAGCCCCTCCAGCCCTTCCAGAAGATTGGCCATTGCTCAATTCCCTGTATCAAACCCTTCCTGCTCAAATGAACTGGTGAGGTTTCTGATACTGATCAGGTGCATCTGATCCTGACTAGTGTTTACCAAGAACACCAAGAACAGAAGGGTAAATGAATTTTCCATCTTCTTCTTTCCTTAAGGACAAGCTTCACTGGTCATAGATTTCTGAAGGTGCTACCAAAACACAAACTGAGTGAAAAGCTACCTTAAAAGGGTCTCCTGGAAATGTATCTAAAACTAGAACTACCATGAGAAGTCTCATAGGCTAACATTTTCATCTAGATGAGAATGTAACTGCCTGTAAATTTTAGTGAAATCACAAAAAGAAGAAAATTCCATACATTCACTACAGAACAGATGTGTTAGCTGGAAAAATGCTGATGGACACACAAATGCACCTGGTGCATTTTTGTATATATAAGATGCTGATACAAATATGCATTTTATAATTCAAACACATACCAAAAGGCCACCTCATGATTTAAAAAAGAGACTCATCACAATCACCTTAATTAAACAGCTGAAGTAAAATATGACGGTTTCCTATAACCCAGGTATTCACCATTTCAGGAATATTTATTGAATAAATTGATATACACAATGTTGCTTCAAAAGTGAGAACGCTGCCTCTCTGTGGGGCTTTGTTGAACAGTCATCACTACCATTTAAGTGGCAGGTATTATACTGAATGTTTACATGAGTGTTCTCATCTAATCTTATCAACAGCCCCATGATGAGGAAACTGGCACACAGAGAGGTTAAGTGACTTACCCAAGGACACACAGCTTGTGAGGGTAATAGCTGGGACTGGATTGCTCAGTGCTCCCAAGGGTGCTGGGTGTCATCTTTTCTAATCTGCTTGCCTTCTGTTGTAAGGTCCCCAGGCCTGCACATTTGGACTCTTACACTTCCACCTCCTTAATCTATCTCTGGCTGCTCTTCTCTCAGGATGGGAATCTCACAATCCAAAATGCTTTTTGGATCATTACCCTTTTATTTTACTTGAATTTTAGAAATTAGCAGGGTAAAACATTTTTTTTTTCTTAACCGTCTCCACCATTGCAGACTCAACACACTGTGACACAGTTCAGTGTCCACGCTGGGTCTTCACGTGAACTAAGAGCACCTTTCCCATCCATCAAGGTCCTGGTGAAACTGAACCATGTCACTGTCTGCAATGGTGACTTTAGAATCTGGGAGGGCAGCTGCCAAGTGCCCTTGTCGCGTTAGGAAGATTGGAGTCCAGGGCCACGGGCTGAGGGTGACAGGAGCAATCGGCCTAAATTCTCCTTTACACTCTCTCAAAGAGACACATCCACAGAACAGAAGTAGCCGATTCTATGCATTTTTACAGCTTAGATCACTGCATTCAGAAGAAATGTGGTAGGCCTGCCAGATGGCAGGGATTTTGAACCATTGTCTGCTTCCTGCACGCAGACCAGGTTGAAGGCCAGGCTCTGGCCCAGTCACGTGGTTATTGCTTGCTCAGCCTTGCCGCCCCTCTGTGAAGTCACCCATCACCATTAGGAACAACCTTGGCTTGTTCTTTCTGAGCTCACTTACCTTTTTTCTGAAGGGTAACTGGGTTCTTTGCTGAGCAGGGCATGGTGAAGAAATGTCCCTGAAGGTAGGCCACAGTAAACTGGGCCACACGTGTGTCTCCCATGAGGTTTGGGGCATCTCCAGGCGAATCATGTCTCCCTGGGGCCATCAGCATGGCAGCCTCCAAGAACATAGGAGCTCTTCAGTCTCCCAGTTCTCCCTGGTTCACTTAGGTGGGTTTATTCTCTGTTTTTCATAGCTGCTTCTTTAACTTAGAATCGGACATATTTGGCAATAGTTTGAGAATGTCCTCCCATCGTCTCTCCTGCTCAGCGATGAATTCATGTTCCACCTTCCTCCAGCTGAAGCCAGCACTCCCTCTGGGCCCCTCAGAGCACCCCGTCTCTGCCCACTGGTGATGCTGACCACAACGTTCGACCACGATTCTTCTGCTTTCCTCTCATGACCAGACAGTGAGCTCCAGCGTACTCAAGAGGTGTTTGCTGAAGTGAATTGAATGATTTCATTCAAGCCTCTAAACCACCCAGCAAGTAGGCAGATCCCCAGATAAGGAGGAGAAGCTGAGACTCAGCGATGTTCAGTGCCCGCACATAAGCATCATGGCATCGGGGATAGAGGCGGGATTTGAATCTTCAGGCTCCCAAATCTTAGGTTCTGGGCAGCTTTCTCATGGTTCTTTGGCTCATTTGACCAAATTACACTTGTCTTTTGAGACTGGGCCATGTGCTTTTAGGAGAGCCTGTTCCAACACCATTCTCACTGATTTGAAAGAGAGTTTCAGCACACCCTGAGGATGCGGATGGCAAAAGGCAAATGGGCACCCTATTTTCAAGGCCATCCTTGGAGCCATCAAAATGTTAGCCTCATGTTCAGGGGAGAGGGGTCATCCCTGGACACCTCCCTGAGCCTCAGGCCTTAGACCAGGCTCCTCCTCTTCTGTGGTCCCCAAGGCATTGGGAGGGTGCCTGGTTACCATGACAACCTCTTCCCACACGGCAGTCCCAAGCCATAGTCCCATAGGGGTGCATCCCAGTGACCGATCCCACAGCAGCCTGTCTGCTCTCCATAAACAGGGAGGTTGGGAAGTGTAGGACTTGAGATTCCATGTTGGAGGGCAACATTGACACCAGGAGAAGCAGTACAAATAGGAGGCGGGTGTGAATGATGGGGAATTGCGAGTGGACGATGACAGATGTCCTCTGTGCTGCAAGTCCTTCTTCCTCACCTCTTTTGTCTTCATCTAAACAAAGATAAGGATTTTGGAGGCTCTACTTGCAATCAGTGTTCAGGTTCTCTCTGGTGCACTGTCCCTGAACACTGGGCAGGACAGGAGAAGGGGAGATCCCGGTGGTCGGCACCTAGCTTTCGGGAACATCTCGGCTTCCCAGGTGCTGATGTGCAGGAACCAGATGCCATGGCTCCAGGGCTCCAGGCTGCCATGGGGAAGGTGGGAGGACCCAGGAAGAGTTCGCTGGAAACCTCTCTGCTCGTTGCAGGCAACGATTTTGAACAGAGAGGATTGTGTTGGACAGTCACAGTGCACCATGGTGTGGAGATTTGCTTCTATAAACTAGGTCCCTGTTTTCAGCAACCCCAAATCTCTGTTAGTCAGTTCAGGCCACCATAACAGAATACAGAAGACTGTGTGGCTTAAACAACAGAAGTTTATTTCTCAGTTTTAGACACTGAGAAGTCCAAGATCAGGGTGCCAGCAAGGTAGGTTTTATTCTGAGGGCTCTTCTCTTGTTATCAAACTGAACTGGGGTCGTGGCCAAACACTGACATCAGTATTGCAGCGAGAGAAAGTGAGGCATTTATCGCAGGGCACCAAGCAAGGAGAATTGGGCAGCTCATGCTTAAGATCTGACCTCCCTCATGGCTTACCCTAAGGTAAGGGTTTTCAAAGGAGGGCACGCAGAGGTGATGGCCGAAGTCATAAATCAAGACATGGAGGCTGTACTTTGGTTTGACCCAAAGAGGCAGGACATCTCCAAGAGTGGACCCACAGGTCATAGGTGGATTTAAAAACATTTCTGATTTGCAATTGGTTAAAGAGACAAAGCTTTGTCTGGAAATTTGGGATTAGCAGAAAAGAATGTGGAATATGGCCCATGGGCCCAGGCCGCTCAGGAAGAAATTTAGAGCAAAGAACAGAGGTCAAGGTTCAGTCCAAAGTTCACCTTATCTGAGGCTTAAGCACCAGCAGATCCACTTGGTGGGGGTCTGGGTTTCTGAAAGACAGCTGAAAGACATTTGTTAAGATGCTATCTTTAGCTTCTCTGGGAAACCAAACATTTCCTGTCTTCCCTGGCCACTGTTTTAAGCTACTGTTACCTTCTTGCTTATCAAGTTGCTCATTTACTTCTCAGGGCTATCTGGGTGCCTGGAATTTTCCTTGAAGGAACTCAAGATTTTCCTTTATTTCAATGCTTGGGGGCCTGGAAAGTCCCTGAGAGGGGTCCCTGCTGCATCTCACTCTGGCTTGTAGTTTGCTCACATGACCTGCCCATGAACTTGGTGGGGGTGGAGGGGAGAGAGAGAGAGAGAAAGCTCTCTGGTGTCTCTCCTTATGAGGGCACTAATCCTACCATGAGGGCCCCACCCTCATGACCTCATCTAATCCTCATTACCTCTCAAGGACCCATCTCCAATACCATTGCATTAGGGGCTAGGGCTTCAACATATGAATTTTGTGGGGACACAAATATTCCATCCACAGCAGTCATGATGCTGATGCGGGTGCATTTTCTATATCCTCTGGGTCTAGACTGCCTGAATTCAAGCCTGCCTCTGCCCCTTGCAGACAGTGGGGTCTTAGACAAATCCCTTGATCTCTCTAGGCCTCAGTTTTCCTATCTGTAAAATGGGCACGATAAAAAGATCCCTACCTTGGAATAAATAGTAAGTGCCAAATGAGGATTTGTTAAACCATAATATCTACTTCCACTGTCTTTCACAGGTTATAAAGTTCCCTGAGACCTTACAAGCCAAGCCGGTGTTGTCCCCTCTCCTTTCCTCAGGGAAACAAGAAGTATGGCTCTGATAACCCTTCACAGGCCGGAAGCCAGGACACCAGGAGAGGCATCTCTGAGCTGTCATCTTGTAACGAAAAGCCTTGTCTGGAACAAGTATGCCTGTATGACTTCCATAGGCTCTACATGGTTTATTGGCAATTAAGCACATCTGTGCTGTGTGCCTGTGTGCATGCGTACACCTACACACATTGTACATAGCACGCCCTGGCATAACCATCTGGGGGCCTTCCACCACTCATCAGGATTCTGCCCCTCAAACCGATGGGCAGAGTTAAGGTTTTTGTGTGGTCTAAGCCCTCCCACCTCTTCTCCCCTTTCTGGTTCTGTGCTGTCTTTGACCTGTGATATCCACTTGTGTGTCTGGCACTGGTTTGTGGTCCTGAGGCTTGGCAGTCTCCTGTGTGCAATGGTCAAAGTGGAATTCCCAAGAACTGCCCTCCTATTACTTCTAATAATTTTATTTTTTGCATAAATCTGTGCCTCATGGGAGCTGCAGGGAATATGGTTCCCTGGGTGACCTCCTGCAAATAAGCAGGATGAGGCTGGCTGGGAGGCTTCATTCCTGCTAGTGTCCCCTGCCTCTCCCCTGGGCCTATGCACAGGCTAAGTCTTAAGGATGGTGTGGTTTCAGGAAGGGTATGTTACTTCCCTGGGGCTGCTGTAACAAATTACCACAAAGTTAGTGGCTTAAAACAACACATTTATTTTTGTACGATTCTGGAGGGCTGAAGTCCAAAATCAGCCTTAGTGGGCTGAAGGTGCCGTCAGGGCTGGTCCTTCTGGAGGCTCTGGGGAGAAGATGTGTCCTGGCCTGTCCCAGCCCCTGTGGCTCCTGCACGCCTGGGCTCCTGGCCCATTCCTCTGTCTTTGCTGCGGCAGTGTGGTCCCTGCCCCCTGCATCCTCTGTGGTCAGGCTGCCACCTCTGTCTCTGCCTCTCGTGAGGACCCTTGTGGTGACCTTGGGCCCACCTGACTCATGTCCCCATCTCAGAATCCTGAACCTAACAGTATCTGCAAGGCCCTCTTTGCCATGTAAGGCAACATACAGGTTCTGGGGATTAGGAGGTGGACATCTTTGGGGGCCAATGTTTTGTCTGCCACCAAGTGGCAGGCTGCATCCCTTCCCATGTTCAATGTGTGCAGACCCTGCCCGTGTGTCAGTACTGGGCCAGGGCTCCCTGTGGGGCCTTTGATTTAATCCTTATGGCAACCCCGCATGGTGGGCACACTCCAACCTCAAGGTTGGAGGTCACTGATAAAGGAGCTGAGGTTGAGGGAGGTCAGCTCCCTAAGGCCACACAGGTTCCAAGGGGTGAAGCCAGGACTCAGAGGGTGCAGCATGGTCTGTTTTAACTGTTGGTGCCTAACGGCATGCTCCAGCCCCTCCTCCCAGCCACCCCACAGCGTGTGCCCCTCAGTCTGCTGGAGGTTCGCTGTGCCAGGCTGTTGCCCTGCTCCTCCCTCTGGGGCCCTGCATCACCTGGGCCCCACGCCCACTCCTCAGGCATTCGTTAGTCACCTGTGCTGTGTGACAAATGGCCACAGACACAGTGGCTTGGAGCAGTACCTGCTCAGTGTCCCACAGCTCTGTAGGACAGAAGTCCGTGTCTTCAGTGGGCTTCTCTGATCTCACAAGGTGGAAGTCAAGGTGTCAGCTGGGCTGGGCTCTTCTTGGGTCCTGGGGAAGAATCTCCTCCCCGGCACACTTAGGTGCTGGGCAGGACTCGGTTCTTGGTGACTCAGGCCGCGTGTTAGCCAGGGGCTGCTCTCAGCCTGGGGGCCCCTGTGTTGCTCACCATGGGTTCCCTCTGTCTTTAAAACCGGTGATGCCATGTTGACACCGTAAGGTCATGGAATCTGGCTGACTTCATTTCTTCCACTAGTTGGAGAAAATTCTCTGCTTTTCAAGGGTTCATGTGGCTAGGTCAGGTGCAGTGGGATAATCTCTCATTTGTCATATAACCTAACAGGGTCACAGGTGCTCCATCTCATATCTCAAGGGGAAGCTCACTGGGTCAGGGGTCACATTAGAATTCTGCCCACTTGGGCAGTCTGTGTCCTCTAATTCATTCCATTTCAGTTCCCAGTGCTAGGCTCTTTCCCTCCACACAATTTGAAACCTGGCTGTGGAGGCCAGAGGGAAATGGCTATGGAGAGAGAAGAGCATGTTTTCTGTGCTGGCCAGGGGAGGGGTGCAGAGAGCAGTGAGACCCAGAAAGGCTGTGGAGTTCAGAGATGGCTTTCTGGGCATGAGGAGTGTTTTAAAGGATGATCTTAAAAATTCTGTGAATTCTCCTGGAACATTTCTGTGGAATCTGTGTTTCATAATTCTTTCCAAAGTATATCTAAGTCTACATTTTACCAGTTCTTCAAAACATTTTGTTGGTCCCCTGTAGAGAAAATGTTTTAGCTTTGTGACTGTGTGGGCAAACAAGCGATTTAACTGCTCTGTGGCTCAGTTTCTCCACTGGTAAAATATGGATGATCACTGTGTCTACCTCATAAGGTTGTTAAAGGGTTAAACAGAGCAAATGCAGGCACATGCTTAGAACACAGAAACACTTGTCAAGTGAGTAAAACCAAATAAAACCACATGTCTACAGAAAAGGTCATTTCAGTTTAATTACTCGGTTTAGAGTTGCAGCTGAAAAGTGTTATAAATGTATGGAATAGAGTGGATTCTTCACTGTGAAAGCAAATTAAATGTCTTTAGTGCTGGGGAATGTTTAGGTGAATCAGTAGAGAGCCAACAGTGTTAGCGAAATCATCCAAGGTGTGGCTGGCCCGAGGCAGGTGTGATGCAAAGCACATTGGCTACCAGGGTGCAGGTGGAGGGACATGGTGCTTGGTCACTGAAAGGCACTGAAAGGTGATGAAGGTGCTCCTCTGGCCCCACAGAGGGGAAGAAAATGTGGAGGGTGCAGGAAAAGAAAGACAAGGTCAAGGCCTTCAAGACAGCCCTGAGGTCATCCTGCACTCTTCCAGCTCTCTCAGGTGAACGACTCGCTCTTTCCTCTTCAGTTCACTTGGACTCTTCAGAATTCTTTGGGATCCTTGAATTTGTTTTTAAAAGATTTTATTTTATTCTATTTTATTTTGAGATGCAGGTCTCATTACACTGCCTAGGCAGGCCTCGAACTCCTGGTCTCCAGATCCTCCTGCCTCAGCCTCCCGAGTAGCTGGGATTACAGGTGCAAGCCACTTCAGCTGGCCCCTTGGAGAGTTTCAGATTTTTTTCAGCAGTTTATTGTGACAGTGTCACTGAAACTTATGTTGCTCTAAACCAGATATCAGTGTTGCTTCATCATTGAAAGTTGTCTATGACCATGATTAGTGATGGTTCAATTTGCTTTGAAAAGTTTCTGGACTAAAAATTTTTTGGCTATGTTAGAAAGTGGAGAAATTATAAACATGAGTGTTTGCTGCAATCAGAATTGTCATGTGTGGGTGAGTGTGTGTTTATTAGGTGTGTATATGTGTGCATATATGAGTGTATATTTATGCCTATGTGTATATGCCTCTGTATATTTGCATGTATGTATTTGCATGTTCATGTATATGATGGCATGTGTGCACATGTGTATGTATATGTTGATGTGTATGTGTGTGCATATATGGGTTTGTGTATACGTGTGTACATTTGCATAGATATGTATATATGTGCATATACATGCATGCATTATATGTTTGTGTCCATGTGTGTATGTGTGTGTAAATCTGGTCCCATATGTAAGTTCTTCCATCCAACTTCTCTTCAGGGTTGGATCGTCTTGTTAAGGGCCTTGGTTAGTCTTATACATTTTCATGAAAGATCTGTCTACTCAACCTTTCTCATTTGATTAGATTATTTAATTTTTGGCAATAGAGAGAGAATATCTGCCCACCAGGTTCTGATCTGAGATGAGAACCCTGAATCATCAGTTGTTTGCCCTTGTTGAGAGGAAGGGCATTTGTGCAGGGTCTTTGGAGGGCATGCAGAACCTCCATTCTTTGGGGTGTATTGGGCTGAGTCTCTGGAATTCGGAATCTGTCTTGCTTCCCAGATAACTGTGAATCCATGCTCACTGCATTGTGCTTGGTGCTCATGATGGGCCCTGGTTGCCCGTAAGGTCCGTAAGGGAAATTCCATGAGACCGCCCAGGCCTGCATTTGCTTTAGAAATGCTGCCAAGGGTTTTCTACCATGATAATCAGTGCCGCTTATATGAGGTTCACAAGGCAAACTGCTTTCTTGCTCTGTGAGTTGGGAAAAAATTTTGCTTTTTTAAGGAGTTGGATTATTTTACTTTTGCACAGATAATTTTCTTTTCTTTTTTAAAAATTTTTTTGAGACAGAGTCTTACTCTGTTGCTCAGGCTGGAGTGCAGTGTTGCAATCTCAGCTCACTGCAACCTCCACCTCTGCACAATTAATTTTCTGTGGTTTTGTTTTTGCTTTTTCCACTAGGGAGCTCAGAGTAAAATTTATGTTTCAGCTTTAGGAACTGGATGAGACATGAGAGTGTGGCCTTCAGCCTTACCCTTAGACTGGATTTTCTTTGCTGATCTGGATCTTCCATGATCTTGCATTTTAATCTTTTATCAACACTTTTTCATATGTGTGCTAGTCATCTCTATCAAGCCCTCAGGGGAACAAGTCAACAGCAAATGATGAACATTTAAAAACTCTGTGATTTTTGCTTATAGGCCAGTGGAGGGCAGGGAAGAAGCCACAGAGGTGAGGCTGGGGGCCTACAGCTGGAGAGATGGTGGATCATAGTGTGGGCTCAGGAGCTGGGTACCTGCACCCAGGCACTCAGTGCACACAGAAGCTGGCCCCCAGACCAGCTGGAGAGATGGCGGACCATAGTGTGTGGGCTTAGGAGCCGGGTGCCCGCACCCAGGCACTCAGTGCACACAGAGGCTGAAACTAACGGCCACTGCTCGGGTCTGGGGTAGGAGCCCCTGCTGTCACTTTGGGTCCTGCCTTTTCATGGCTCCACACATGCACTGGCTGAATCACCTGGGCACATCGCCTTACCTCTTTGAGCTTCAGTCTTCTTCTCTGCAAAATGGAACTAGTAATAGAGTTAGCTTCATAGAGGATTGTGTGTTTTAAATGAGACCAGTTTTTAGGTGTGGAACAGAGGGCCTGGCACGAAGGGCTAGCCACCACTATTATTATTAGTAGTAGTAAAATCAGAAGACCTGGAAATTGTGTGCAAATGGAGGGTGGGGAATACTTGAACAGAGCTTGATTTTTGAGCTTATGGTGAGTATTCCTAACTCACCAGGTGTGGGAGGCAGAATTCTAATATGGCCTTCAAGATTTCCCACTCTAATCCCCAAGACTTTGAAGATTGGATTCACTGATGCAGGTGTAATTAGGTTTACTGCTATGGTCTGAGTGTGTCCCCCAAAATTCATATGTTGAAACTTAATCACCCAAGTGAGAGTATTAAGAGGTGGGGGAATGAAGTCACGAGGATGGAACCCCCATGAATGGGATTCACATCCTTATAAAAGAGGCTGAGGGGAGCACCGTAGGCTCGTGCCCCCTTTGTCTTCTACCATGTGAGGACACTGCGTTCATTCCCTCAGATGACACAGCAACAGGTGTCATCTTGGAAGCAGACACTAGGCCCTCCTCAGACACTGAACCTGCTGGCTCCTTGACCTTGGACTTGCCAACCTCCAGAACTGTGAGAAATGAATTCTCTTCTTTTTGAATCCCCAGTCTCAGGTATTGTGTTGCAGCAGCACAAGTGAATGGAGAAAGTTCCTAATCCTTCGACTTTAAAATAGCAGATTACCCAGCTGGGCTGAGCTTCACACACCCTTTACAGCAGAAGATATTCTCGAGCTGGTGGTGGAAGTGGAAGTCGGAGGGACCTATGGGTGACAGAGTGTTTGCCACCAGGGAGCTGCTCCATTCCTGATGGTGATGTGGAGGGGGTCATGGGTCAGGACCTGAGAGCAGCCTTCATGGACTGAGAATAGTCCTTGGCTGATAGACACGAGAAAACAGGGACTTCAGTCCTGGAACCACAAGGAACTGAATTTTGGCACAACCTGGATGAGGCCGGAAGCTGATCTTCCCTGGAGCCTCCACCCACAGTACAGCGGAGCTGACACCGGTTCCAGCTTGTAAGGGCAAAGGCAGAGAGCCCAGTCAAGCCTGCCAGGACTTCCGAGCTGCAGTGCTGCACGGTGGCAAATGGGTGTTGTTTAAAGCTGCTAAGTATATGGCATTATGGAGCTATAGATGGCTAATACGTTGAGTCACTTCCACATGGTACTGTCCACCTTCCGGGCATCAAGAAAACACCAAAACGGCTGCTGGGCAGGGGGGATGCACCACACAGTGGCTCCCCATCAGCCTCTGGAGCCTATTGGTGGCTGCTCCCGCCTGTGGGGAGGGGACACAGTGAGTGTCCCTTGCTGCTCCAGTGATGCAGTGACTGGCAGGTCTTGGGCCAGGGGCTCCAGGTCGCAGATGCCACCCAGTGGGAAGAGACATGCCTGTGCAAAAGAGCATCTGGAGCCCTGTTGGTGGCTGCTCCCCGCCTGTGGGCAGGGGACATAGCAGGTGTCCCTTGCTGCTCCAGTGATGCACTGACTGGAGGCTCTTGGGCCAGGAGCTCCAGGTCGCAGATACCACCCAGTGGGAAGAGTCATGCCTCAGCATCTGGGGGTCCATGGGACTCACTGGGAGAAGGACGTCTTCTCAAGCGCCTTCTGACTCATCAGCCGCTTCTCCCTGGAGGGCAAGATGTGACCCAGAAGGCTGAACAAAGACAACCAGCTCCAGGGATAGAAGGTCCTTGTGATCTCTCTTTAATTCAGCTTTTACTTTGATTGGTGAAGCCCTTCTGGTGAAATGTGTGAGGCTTAAACCCAAGACTGTAAACCTAATAGGAATTCGATTCACTTCATGAGTCAAGATAATTGTGCCCTGAAAAATGTTTTCAACATAACATTAATTTCGACCTTTACGTACAGACTGACATAAGTGTGTTTTTAAAATGGATATTCATGCATGACACAGTTTTCATTATCATCTTATCAGATTTCCTGAGTTGTTGCAGCAGTGATAGTTCAGGTGTTTCAAATAAGCAATCACTTATTTTTATGCTCTTGCAGGGACAGGTTATGGTGATTGAACGGGATTTTCTTTTTCTTTTTTTTTCTCCTACAGGAGCCTCAAGAACAAAGGCCATCAGAGAGGCCGTTTGCTGGCATGGAGCCCCCCAGGACTCATCAACCATGGTTGAGGTTGACTGAAAACAGAGCAAGAGAGGCCCCCGCCTGTCTCAGGTCCTCTCCATGCCCCCTTCCTGGTGGGATCCGTGAAAGGAACTGGCAGCATGTTTCTATTTCTTGGGATTTAAGATCCTTTGTGTGAAATATTTTAAAAACCAGGTTATGGTTTATCCGTAAATTCTAGCTGGATCCCACTGGCTTCCTGGCACCTTGTGGGCCATTTTTCCTCCCCTGGTAAGCAGGTTGTGGGGCCACTTTCCTCACCCCACCCAGGGCATGCTGACAAAGGAGCCCTGGCCAGATGCTGCCACTGCAGAATTTTAAAAAACGGATTAACCAAGTAGAGTTTATAAAATTGAGGTAGAATTCACATAACGTGACACTATTTTAACAATTTTGAAGTGTAGGAAATAGTGGCTTTTAGTACATCCACAATGCCGTGTGACCATCACCATCTAACTTCAGAATGTTTACATCACCCAGGAAAGAATCCCTGCCCTGTTGGCGGTGACATCCCAGTCCCGCCTCCCCTGCCACCTGACAACCAGGAATCTGCTTTCTGTCTCTACAGATTAGCCTATTCTGGGCATTTCATAGAACTATATCAACTAGTGTGTGTCTTTTGTGTTGGCTTCTTTCACCAAGCACAGTGTTTTCAAGTCCATTTTGTGGCAGCAGGAGGGATCACAGCTTCCTTCCCTTTCAGGGTTCCACAGTGTTCCACCGTATGGATGGACCACATTACCTTATGGATGGACCACATTTGGCTCATCCATATGCCCACCAGTGGCTGCTTTCTGGGCATTATGACTAACACTGATGTGAGCATTTCTGTACGTTTTTCTTTGACTCCCTGCAGAATTTTGGTGTGGTCTGATTCTCGGGTCTCACTTGACACGGCCTCCTCTGGCAAGTGCCTGCTAAGACTGTAATTCACTGATTGGCTATCCTGGGATTTGTTTTCCTCAGATGAGACTGGTGTTTTTTGCAAATGGATTACTTAAAGGTGTCTTGAAGGGGTATGATACTGCGATATGCACCTTTCACTGCCTGGAATCTTCCTGAGTTTTGTCTTGGTCGAGCTGCCTTCCATGTACAGGTGACGTCTCTCTCTCTCTCTCTCTCTGTCTACTATGTTTTTCGAAGGATCCTCTGATGCTATTTTTGGATTTTCCTGCTACTGTCTCTATTTCCCGAAGACCCACCCTGTTCTCACATTTATCAAAGCTTTGAGACCAGAGGTATTTGAGGGATGAGATCAACTCCATTAGTGCCTTAGGAATTAAAGATGCCAGGCCCGTTTCCTGAGAATGCTCTGTTTTAGTAATCACGGCTTTGTGCCACATTATGCTGTATACATCTATTCTTTTGCATGGATGGCATGTGCTTTCAGTAAGATTGGTTTAGGGCTGAGGTGATTGTGAGCTGCATCTCTGGAAGAGTGGGGATTGGAGGAAGATGGTGATCCCCTGTCCCACCCAAGCTGTGGGTACATCATCTCTCGACCACTACCCCCAGGTCAGTGCAAGCTCTCTCCCTGAGAAGGGCAACCAGGGCTATGAAGAGACAGCAAGTATGGCAGTGGAACCTTAGCAAGGAGCTGTGTGAACAATGCTGAGGAATGCATTGCTCTCATGCAGAGCAGAGTTGGTCCGGATTACAGCTGGGATCTCCTGTTGGCTTACAGGGTGGAGGCTGAAACCCATGCAGACATCCCCAGTCACTCATGAAGGCCTGCTGTTCAGGGTTCCCTGCTTTATTCCCTGTGCCATGCCCTGCATGATGCCAGTACCGTGGGGCCCATGGGTTACCAATCTGCAAACACGAGAGACACGGCTCAACAAAACCTCTCCACAACCATGGAAAGCACGGGGCTGCTGAGCGCGACCCAGAGAACCGCAGAGTGTGTGTCTCAAGCTCTCTGGCCACATGAACCTGTTGGGTGGGTTTTTGGGTCCCACTGGCTGCCCTTTTTACATGGCTATTTTTCTGGGCCTTTCTCTTTAAAATGTTGACCAACATGAATTTTAAATTGTTGAGTTTAGGTGCATAAAATGTATATATAATGGAATTTGTCAGCTTTTCAAGATGCAGCATAGAGTCTCTGATCCTTTGATGGCGTCCCCACTTCCCTGTGGACATAGGGCTTGCCCTCTTGCTTATTTTAGCAGCTCAAGTCCTTTGCCCTCAATTTTTTTGCTTGTCTTATCCAGCAGAGTCTCATGCACGGTTACTTTTAGTTATCAACACACTTCCCTGCTCATTTGTTGGTTCCTTTAACTGACCTTCAAGAGATCCTAGAATCAAGATGGTGCCGTGATCAGGGAGCAACCAAATAACCTTTGCAAATCTATCTCTAAATACATACACACACGCCTGCACACACACAAATGCATTCATATGTGCGTGTGTATGTACACACAGATTGAGTATCCCTTATCTGAAGTGCTTGGGACCAGGAGTGTTTTGGATTTCCAATATTTTTGGATTTTGGAATATGCACATACATGTAATGAGCTATCTTGGAGGATGAGACCCACTTATGTCTAAACGCAAAACTCACTTATGTTTCAAACATACCTTAAAACACAGCCTGAAGGTAATTTTATATAATAATTTAAATAATTTTGTGCATGAAACAAAATTTTGACCTCTATCACATGAGGTCAGGGGTGGAATTTTCAGTGTCATGTTGATGTTTACGAAATTTTGGATTTTAGAGCATTTCAGATTTCAGATTTTCAGATTATAAGTGCTCAACCTGTCTATATAAGTGTGTTCATTAATTTGCTTTCAGCCCCCTCTGAAGATGTTGGAAAGGAGGAGAAGGAAGAGGAAAGCAGAGGGGATCGCCCCGCAGAGGCCAGCCTGCAGCCTGGGCTCCATGCACCTCTGGCTGCTAACGGGATCCACCTCGGGTCAAGAAGGTGCTGGCTCACACTTTCCTCAAGATTTTAGAGATGCATGTATCCCAGTGCATGTCCTGGAAAGCCTTTAAAATTCAGAGAAAACAAGCAAAGCTCTGGCTAATTAAATGTTTTCTGCTTACCGTTGTTAACATATTAATGAAACAGGTTAAATGTATTACTCAGTGATGAGGAAGCTCTTAGCTTCTATGCACCCCTTTTTGAGAGGATTTCTCCAAGTGGCATCAGTGTTTACAGTGCACTGGCTTCCTGTTCATAGGACTTTTATGTGGGGGTGGTGGCAAGGCAGAAAGCATCCCCAGGGTGAGAAGGGGATGGGGAGGTCCACGTTGCAGTTCAGACCCCCTCGTCACCTGCCTTTGAGACAGCCACGTCCCTGAGCCTTTCCTGTCAAATGAGGGTAGGTAAGTTTCTAATGTTCCCGTTTTGACCTCTCAGACTCAGGGACTGGGGCTAGAGCACGGGTCCTCTCGTTGAAGTCACTGTAGCACTTCAGAGGCATCAGCACTCTTGCTTTATTTTGCACATCCTTGGTTGTCAGTTATTATGGGTACACAGCAAGCTACCCCAAACTTAGTACAACAACAACCGTTTTGCTGTGCTCACGGATTCTGTGGGTAAGGAATTTGGAAGGGGCCCAGGGTGTGGTGTGTCATTTGGGAAGATTTGAGTCAGTAGTAGGTTTGCTCACTCCCATGTCTGTGGCGCACGTGGCCTCTGTGTGGCTGGGCTTCCTCACAGCATGGCGTCCTGAGCTGCCTTTCATGGGGGCTTACTCAGGGCTCCCAGCACAAGGGTTCCAGCCAACAGGGTGGATTTCACAGCGCCTTTTCTGGCCCAGTCTCTGCCACACTGAATCATCTATACCTGGCGAGGTCCTGACCTCCTTTCTGCCAGACCCTTCTCTGGTCCTCAAGGTCCATTACTGTTTTTGCCGTTGGTTATAGCCTGCTGTGTACCTGTCCTAGAGTGTTGTGGTTAGGAGTGTGGTCTCGGGCGCAGACTGAAATACACTGCTGTGTGCAGTAGGAACCTCGGCTGCTGCCCTATGTTTATGGGAAGCACTTCACAGCCGAGCCTGGTGTCAGGCGAGTCCTCCATAAAGGACCTTGACTTTTCTTTCCCAGACTGCCGTGCAGGTTACTTCAGGGAAGCTCTGTCCTGGTCATCTCTGCCTGGCATTTCCTGCAGGATTTGGCAAGTACGGCGTTCCCTCTGCTTTGGGGCATTCTGCGCTGGGTCTGTCTCCTGTTCTGTAAGTCTCACAAATTCACCCTCTCGGAGCAGCCATCTCTGCCTGTCCCACGCTAGGAGCTGTGGTGACCCCCACTCATCTTGTTTCCTTTTGCTCATGGCACTAGCTCTAATGAAAATGTTTCGTCCCCTGTTTGTTTCTATTAGACCTGGTGGGATGTGAGCCCCACCAGAGCCAGATCTGGGCCTGTCTCCTTCCCTGCTGTATATTCAGTGCCTACGACAGGGTCTGGGTCATAAATGAATGGAGAGGAGGAAGGGAGGGGAAAAAAGATCGACTTCAGGAAGATTTCAGAAGCACGGTGCTGAGAATACCAGGGTCATGTACCGGGGTGGGATTTACTTCCTTTCCACACATTTAAAAAATCTCAAAGACATACATTCAGCTTTATTGAGTTTAGGTGAAATCTATTCATAATAAAAATAAAATGATATCTCAATGACAACTTAATTTTGAGTAAAAATATTTTCTAGAGGGCAGGGGCTCTAAATACAAAGAAGCACAGAGCATATGTCACCTCTCCCCAATGGGACTCATGGCTCTCGATGGAGCCACCTGGAGCCCATTCACTTTGTGGTTTATTCCTGGGTCGTCTCCACCTCCGTCCCTCAGTTACGGGGCTGTGATGATCCACACCAAGCCCCCATTCTTACTGCTCCACTGGTGTGATTTTCTTGGGACCACAATGGGGAGAGGATGGAATCGTCTGTTTTGAGAAAGCACAGCTTTGGACGTTCATTGGTTTTCCCCTGTGCCTCCATGACTTGAGGGCGACCATCTAGCAGTCTATAGGGGTTCCGAATAAATTCCCGGGACCTGGAAATTATTGGATTTATTTTATTTTAAGCAGAAACATTTTATGTTTACTTTGGTAATGGCATGCTCCACTTAGTGTGGTCATTCTTAGCTCTCTTGTTTTGTGTCCACTTTGGAGTCTGGCTCTGGGCAAGCACTCAAATGCTCACAGGAGCCCCACTGCTCAGGGCACCCTCTGAACCCAAGGGCCTTTAAAGGGGGAACAGCAATGTGAGAACGTGGGTGGGGACAGCGAGTGAGGGGCCAGGTGCAGGGTGACAGCAGGTGTAGGTTCTGCACAATGCACACTGCACTGCATGGAGGCACTGTGTGCTCCCCAGCTGAGTGCAATGATGCTCAGAGTGTGAAATCGCAGGTCTCAGCACTCAGTGGGGTGCGGAGGTGCTTGGGTTTGAGAAGCCAGGGGAGCAGGCAGCTCAGGGCCAGCAGATTCGCCCCTCTGCACTTGGGGAGCTTTTGGCCGTCTCCTGGGTGAGGGAGTGGTGGTCACCGGTGGGTTCATGTGGTTCCCTGTCATTCTGTCTCTATGGCCCCGCCCTCCCTGACTGTGCCGTCAGTGGTCAGTGTGCCTCCATGCCCTCTGCGGTTGAACATTAGTCATGATCATTAGGCTTTTAATGATCTTATTGAGTACCCAGTGCCGGCCTCAATTTTTACTTGGAGAATGTGGGGTTTACATGACAAAATATGACCATGCACGCACTCTGATTGCCTGAATTAGGGGCTCTTGGGCTTGGCTGCTGGTTGGAGTCACCTGGGAGCTTCAGGAAATTCCAAGGCCAGGCCCTCCCTCCCAGAGGTGGGGCTGAACGGACCTGGGGAGCAACCTGGGTGCTGGGACTCAGGAGCTGCCAGAGGCTGAGGGGAGCCAGCAGGGCGCCTGTGGGGTTCTCTGGGTGGTCCAGCGGAAGCCAGTGCTGGGCTCTGGAGAGGAGAGTGAGCAGCAGTGTGGAGTACAAACCTCCGTCACAGACCTGGCTGCTCAGGGCGGCACAACCTTTTGGAAGAGTATGTGGGCAAGAAATTGGATGATTTATCTAAAAAAGATGCCAGCATGGTGTGAGTGGGTGACTTTATTTAGATGTAACTGTGCATAGATTAGGCTGTTTGGATGTGTTTAATTATGGCCTGTGATGGCGTCACTTTACCAATCATTTCTATTAAATGTCCTCAAGCCTAGTTTGAGACTTTAGGTCAGGTTAAAACTGTTTTATCTGTCAGCACCCGGGAGACTTGGGAAGGACTGTCACTGCAGGACCAGCCCTAACTGTCCCTATCATGTGGATCACAGGATGTCAGGCTATTTTGCAGAAGTAGCAGAGGTGAAACTGCAGTCATGTGACCTGGGCATGTGGAGAGGAGGAAACCATAACCTTCAGTAACACTTAGAACCAACGTTTCTTACTGGAGGAACCAAAAAGCCTGGGCATCACTGGAACGCAAACACTGGAACCTTTCAGAAACAAGCAGTCTGTTATCCAGGAAGAGCCAGTGCTGAAGTCCACCATTCCACACCTTACCATAAATAACCACGTTCAAAGCCGTCCCATTAAAATCCGCCCCGCCAGTGCGTCTGCATACTAACCTGCCCTCCCCAACCCATGAAAGTCTCACCTGACCCAATACTGGGGATTCGGATTTGAGCCCTGCCTCCTGTCTCCTTGCTGGTTGGCCTTGCAATGAAACCTTTTCTTTTCTCAAAAGCCAGGGCTATAATATTGGCTTCCATGTGCAGTGAGCCCATTGCATGACTCAGAGGATGTGTGGGCACACAGCAGGATGGTGTGGGTCAGGCAGGGGCATCGCAGATCCAAGGGCTGGCAGGTTCCTTTAATTCAGGGTCACCGTGGGCAGTTGGGGGTGATGCAAGGGAAAGCTCTGAAAACCACCGGGTCAGTGTGGCATTGGGAACCTGCCATGTCTCGGCTATCAGGGATGGTCTGACATGACCCTGCCCTGGCCCTGGGCTGAGATCACTGTCCTTGCAACGTCCTGTGCTCTGCTCCATCTTGGCACTTTTTTTGTGTGATGAGGAATGAGTCCAAATGTCCATTATTATTTTCCCACTTCAGGCCACCCGTAGGAGAAGCTCCAGGCCACCCACATTCTGCCTCTACTTCCAGCCCTCTGTCGTGGATGCAGCTCAGTTCCTGTGGATTCTCCAGTGGCCCCTTGCAATGCCCGTGCATCTGCCCACAGTGTCACGTCCACCTGCTGGAGGAGGGGACTGAGGGGACGAGGCCCGAGGGTGGAGGGGTAACGTGTCCATGCTCCTGCTTTTCAGGAGGCATGGCTGGGGTGCTGGCAACGTGGCCTCCCTGCTGCTCCGTGTCTCTGTGTCCCTCCCAAGTCCCTGGGCCGTACATGTGGGTGGAACAGGCTGGTGACCACACGGCGCTCAGCACGGGGCCACGCACGTTCCGACGACCTTCAGTCTCAATCCATTTCTCCTCAGCCACCTCCCTGGGCAGAGGGAACGAAAGCATTGAAATCATAGCCACTTTTAGCCACTTTAAGTTGGAGGGAACTTGTTTTTCCTTGGAGGCACTGGGTAACTTCCCACCCTGGGGAGAGCGTGGGTAATGACTGCCCTAAAGAACATGTGACCTTCCTAGGATACAAAACAAGAGCCAGGAGAGGCTCTGTGGGGTCTGTGGGACTTCAAGGGCTGAGGAAAGGTGGCGTTCTTAAAACTGGAAAGGTGTCTGGTGAGCACGAGACCTTCTCAGGGAGTCTGGGCCATTCACCCTCACAACAGAGGCAGGTGGAGAAGGGAAGGTGCCCGCCCACTTTGCCGGGTTCCTCTGGTGGCCGAACATAGGCTTCCCTCACATAGGAGCCTCCACTGAGCAGGCTCAGGGGGCGAGGCTGTCAGCGTGAACCAAGGGATGGCCGGAGGTGCAGGCAGAGCGTGGGGAAGCTGTGAACCTCAGTCTGCAGGGACTTTGCATTTCCTTGCTTTTCATAAATCATCCTCATTCGGTTTTACACCTGGCCTCCTCTCTGTGGAAAATCCCACTTCCAGTTTGTAAGGCGAGTTCTGATTCCCAGCCGCTTCCTCCCCACCTCACCAGGGTTATTTCAAAGACTCAGGCAAGGCCGAGGCACCGAAAAGCCCTCTGGCCACAGGTGGTCCCCACTGGGTTGGGCCACCTGGTGTCCCTTCGTGCTGTGCTTTGGGGAGACCAAGAATATCATGGAATCACTTCCCAGGACAAGCGATCCAGGAGAGCCTGAGGTCTCTCAGCTTTGAGGTCTGCAGCCTCCCAGCTCCTTCAGGCCCACTGGGTGGTCTATTTAGTCCGCAGGAAGCCCCCACGTTCTGCACCTGCCTGAACTTTCTGCCTCTTCCCTCTTCTCTTGGTTTGGGATTTTGGGAAACAAGAGCCAAGAGGTGTCCATGGTGACGCTGGCTCTCTGCCCTGCTGTGTGCTCACCTCTGGAGGCACCAGGAGAACCACCTGCCTGAGTGGAGGAAGGAGAAGGAGAGTAGGGCCCAGGAGAGAGCATCACAAGGCATCTACTGGAAGCACGTGGAGGCCTGAAGGAAGGCTACTTGTATCCTTCTCACTGAGAAACGTTTTGGGAACATGGTATGGACTAGGTAGGAGTTAAACCGTCACTGGGCAGAGACAGGCAGGACTATGGGTCTTGGGTGGGCTGAACCAGGGCCGAGGAGCTGGAGTCCAGCAGGGTGTCGGCTGGTCTCAGTTCACACGGCCAAGGGCCCAGGCTCCTGTCTGCCAGGGTGAAGGTGGTGGGGGTGAATCAGAGAACCTGGTCACTTTTGGGGACAGTTAATCTGGACACAAAGAGGCAATAATCTTCCTGGGTGTGAGGTGCTCAGCAGCCAGCCTGGACTCCACTAGGAGGAGAGGAGGAGGTGGGCCGTAGGCTTGAGCTCCCCCATGCCTCTTTCTCCCTCCCAGGGCTGAACATCTAAACTCTATGCCTCATGCTGTCAGTCCTTCCCTGGTGTTCACCAGCAACCCCTGGTTTGTTCTCGGTCCTTATCATGTTACCTCTGGAGGACTGATTTTAAACATTAAGAAAGTGTCACAGACACAAGGTGAGTGTCTTGAATTTCTGGAAAACAGAGACCTGAAGCTCCCAGGGATGCAGCCACCCTTCAGCCTGAGTGTGCATTACTGACCACCACACCATCGACGTCTTTTTGAAAAATGGCCCCATTTATGAGTGGGAGGCATATTGCTCTTTGATTTATGGGTCATTCTTGCAGCATTTATTGATCCGCAGCCCCCCTGCAATCATTCACAACCCACAGGGCACAGCCACCATGGCTCCACCAACCGGGGCAACTGCACAGACTGCAAAGAGACAGGGACGGACTTTGTGGCCTCTGATGTCCAGGCAAGCTGGTTCCCAAGTCCCAAACAGCTCTTAAAGCTGAGCGTGTGCACTTATTCCAAGTACACATAGCAAGGAGGGAAGAGAGAGAAGAGAGAATTTAAATACCCTCACCCATTCCATTTTCACCTTCCTGATCAAGCGTAGCTCTATTTTCCATGAGGAATATGAAAAACAAATTTATGTCAAGCGGGTGAGAGACCTAGTGGAGGGTCTTTCTGTTTGTGTTGATGATGAAATGGACTCGAGCTTATTGAAAAGTATTTGCAGGTGTCCCATAGAAGGGTATGTGTGCCGTGGTTACTCCTCCAGAGCTGCAGTGATGGACATAGAGCCATGAGTCACTCTGGAGGCTTCAGCCGGTGCTGGGGTCCCCAGGAGAGCAGGGGACAGGCTCCTCTGGAAGGCTGGCTAGCCCTGGTATGGCTGAGGGCTCTTCTGCTGGGCTGAGAAGACAGCCTATTTTAACAAAGAAGAGAAGGAAGTTTTCATTTCTGCTTTCTTGTTGTGGATCAAAGAGATAAAAGTGCAGTGTGTGGCACCAGAACACCAGCACCCGCTGACCTCTTTGAAATCAGATTTTCAGGGACCCACCTCACCTCTGTCTCTGTCTCTCTGTCTCATACACAGAAACACACACGCACACGTGTGCACACGTGCACACACACGCACACACGCACACACACGCACATGCACACACACGCACACACATGCGCACACACGCACACGCACATGCATGCACACGCACACACACGGAAACACATGCACACACATGCACGCACACACACACATGCGCGCACACACACACACGCAGACACATGCGCACACGGCACGCACGCGCACACCCACACCCACACGCAGACGCGCACACACACGCACACACATGCGCACGCACACGCGTGCGTGCACACACGTGCACGCACACACACGCACACACACGCTCGCACACACACACACACATCTCCTGTGAACATTACTGCCTTCGTCATGGTTTCTCATTCTTGGTCAGAAGCCCCTGTCCCCCTAGTCCCTTGCCACTCTAAAAGGAGATTCTTGGATTCTGTTCCACACCTTTTGAGTCCATGGGCAAGCCTAGAATTTGCATTTTTAGTAAGTAAGCCAGTGGTTCTGATGTAGACAGTCCACATATTACAGTGATGTCTGGACACACCGTTTAGAGATGTTTCCGACTGTTGAAGTCCATGACTTGTCACGTTTTCATGCTGCATCCACTGACAGGAGCTGACTACTTAAGGAACAAATGTAAATCTTGTCTTACAACTAGGTGGTTTGGGTATGCTGAGTGATAGACATGTCCCACTTTAAGCAAAACACAAACACAAAAACCTAAGTCTACCAAACAAATACCGGAGTTATTTGTTTGTACACTTTGTAAAACAAAACTCATCGCAGCAGAGAGGGGAGTGGAGGAAGCCTTGCTGAGAGCTGCCCTTCCCTCGGAAAGCTGAGATCCGGGCTGGCTGGGTCGGCACTCATCCCTGATGCTCTGCCCGGTGGTGGAGGGTGGAGGCTTGATTTCTGCCCCAGACAAAGGTCACTGTGACCCAGGCAAGAGGGTGGGGTGGCATGGGAGCTGCTGGGTGGGGAGGTGGGCACCTAAGAGGGCAGGGACCCCTCCCAAATAGCTCTGGCTCAAGTATTCCTCCCAATCACCCTCTAATGAGCCTTCTTGAGAAATCAGCCTGGGGGCAAAAGGCAGGGAGCACCACCCACCTCCCGAGTCTTGTGCACTGGGGGTTCTAGGAAGGAGAAGGTTTGAGCACCCCAGCCTGGGGTATGGGGCAGGCAGCATCAGGAGGGTGGAATATGGGGCAGGCAGCATCAAGAGGGTGGGTTATAGGGCAGACAGTGTCAGGAGGGTGGGGTATGAGGTAGACAGTGTCAGGTGGGGGCAGGCATGGGACAGACAGTGTCAGGAGGGTTGGGTATGGGTCAGACAATGTCAGGAGGGTGGGGTATGGGGTAGACAGTGTCAGGAGGGTGGGGTATGGGTCAGACAATGTCAGGAGGGTGGGGCATGGGGTAGACAGTGTCAGGAGGGTGGGGAATAGGTCAGACAATGTCAGTAGGGTGGGGTATGGGGTAGACGGTGTCAGGGGGGTGGGGTATGGGGTAGACAGTGTCAGGGGGGTGGGGTATGGGACAGACAGTGTCAGGGGGGTGGGTTATGGGGTAGACAGTGTCAGGAGGGTAGGTTATGGGGTAGGCATTGTCAGGAGGGTGGGGTATTGGGTAGGCAGCGTCAGGGGGGTGGGGTATGGCACAGGCAGCATCAGGAGGGTGGAATATGGGGCAGGCAGCGTCAGGAGGGTGGGATGTGAAGCAGACAGTGTCAGGAGGGTAGGTTATGGGGTAGACAGTGTCAGGAGGGTGGGGTATGAAGCAGACAGTGTCAGGTGGGTGCAGGCATGGGACAGTGTCAGGAGGGTGGGGTATGGGGTAGGCAGTGTCAGGAGGGTGGGGTATGGGGCAGGCAGTGTCAGGAGGGTGGGGTATGGGGCAGACAGTGTCAGGAAGGTGGGGTATGGGGCAGACAGTGTCAGGAGGGTGGGGTATTGGGTAGACAGTGTCAGGAGGGTGGGGTATTGGGTAGACAGTGACAGGAGGGTGGGGTATTGGGTAGGCAGTGTCAGGAGGGTGGGGTAGGGGTGGGCAGTGTCAGGAGGGTGTGGTATGGGGCAGGTAGTGTCAGGCAGGTGCAGACACATGGAGGCCCCCTTTCCCAACCCCACTTCCACTGACTCCTTCCCCTTGTTGGCTTAACCAACCCACCAGGTTCAGAGTTCAAGCCATGTGGGCTGGGTAGGGCGGTTCCCCTAAGCATGTGACCCTGCATGCCCAAACAGAGTGCCTCTCTGCACTAGCAGCCACACGGATTGGTTCCGCCATAGCCCAATCCAGAGTCCCTGAGAATCTTGCTATAATATTGAGGGAGAGGCTCCTCTGGTCACAAGTCACAGTGGGGCCTTGAGATCACATTTGCCCACCTATGGGTTCTGCCTAGATTCAGCCTCCAGAAAGCCTCAGCCCAGAGGAGCAGGAATGAGACAGATTCCCGAAGCTGGGCTTGGAGATCCCTTGGCCTGCACTTCCCAGTCCATTTCCTGTGTTCAGGCAAGTGTGTCTGGTGCCTGCCCCAGCTCCCATAGGATGACCAAGTCATGCCTGGAGCAGATGCCTGCACTGCGCCTGGAACTCAGCTGGCTCAGTTAGCAGCAGCAGCCATGGTTGTCCTAGGAAAGGGTGGGGCGTCTCTATGTTCACACTTTAGGGAAAGCTGGCTTTCTCTCCATGGACAATACATTTTTTTTTTTTTTTTACTTTTAATTTTGAAACAATCTCAAACTTAAAAAGAAGATTGCAAGAACAGTATGGAGAACTTTCCCCAGAACCATTTAAAATTAAATTGCTAACATAACGCTCCATCACTCCCAATGCCTTAGTGTGTGATTCACGCAATCCCTACAGAAAAACACTCCTCTGGGAGCACAATGTGGCTATCGAAATTGAGGAATTAGCACACACACTTTATTTATTTATTTATTTTTCCCTTAAAAAACTTTTTTCCTGTTTTTAAAATTTCAACTTTTACTTTAGATTCAGGGGGTGGATGTGCAGGTTTGTTCCATGGGTATACTGTGTGGTGCTGGGGTTTGATCTTGTCACCCAGTCATTGGGCATAGCACCCAACGGTCAGTTTTTCAGCTCTTTTTTTTTTGAGACAGAATCTTGCTCTGTTACCCAGGCTGGAGTGCAGTGGCACGATCTCAGCTCACTGCAACCTCCGCCACCTGGGTTCAAGCAATTCTCGTGCCTCAACCTCCCGCGTAGCTGGGATCACAGGTACCCACCACCACACCCAGCTAATTTTTGTATTTTTAGTAGAGACGGGGTTCCACCATGTTAGCCAGTATGGTCTTGATCTCCTGACCTCGTGATCTGCCCGCCTCGGCCTCCCAAAGTGTTGGGATTATAGGAGTGAGCCATTGCGCCCGGTCTTTTCAGCACTTTAATCGGCCCGTCCTCAGCCCCCTTGAGTGTGGCCAGTCATCTCAGTCATGTCCTTCATAGCCAGGGTCCAGGTTTGGAGTCCCACGCTGCATTCATGCCTCCTTTCACCTGCAGCCGCTCTCTGGCCTTTCCTGACCTTCGTGAGCTTGTTGCTTCTGGAGCCCACAGATCAGTCACCTTCTGTGTGTGTGATGTCTCTTCACACCAGGGCCTGAAGGCAGCTTGGGCCGAGATCACAGGAGCGAGACCATGTTCGCTCAGCGTCCTCGCAAGAAGCTGATCTCGCCCCACAGCTCCAGGGAGGGCCATTGACACTGAAGGTCGCAGGTGCAGGGACGGGGAGGAATTAGGATTTTAGCATCACCAGTGAGACGTGACCCCAGGGAGTCTAGTTCTGGGAATGAGGCAGGGATGAGAATAGCATCTGAGAGGCCAGAGAATCGTGATACTGCTCAGCACTTCCTCTTAGGACTCCAGCACCTACTGCTGTGGAGCCCTGGACACGTTCTCCCCCTGTGCTGGTCTCCATTCCTCTGCTATGAGATGGGAACAGCACCGCCCATCTCCCCGCGCTGCAGGCCGCTGTCCAGGGAGGGTTTGGGTATCAGAGAGCCTAGCACCGGAGGCTCAGCTGGAAGCACAGTGCTCGTTCACCCCGACATCTCATGTTTCTGCTGACCTCAGTGCCCGCCCGAGGTGAAAGCCCTTCTGTACCCCAGCTAAAGGGTCCCGAGTCCTGGGTAGCTCCTGTGACACCATGAACATGATCCCTGACACCCTCAACGTTTCCCAGGATGCTCCTGCCTCTTTTATGGGGTGCCCAAGTCTTGGCTTTGCCCCTAGAGGCCCATTGCCCTGCAGCCCTGCAGATCAGAAGTAGGGCCACGTCCTCCTGGCCCCACGAAGTGTGTGCAGGCCCAGCTTGTCTAATTTGCCAAAGCTCTGCCCCTCATCTCTCCCCCTTCCATTTTCCTCTCAGCTCTCATCAGCAGGGCTGTGACAGCCATGTCAACCCAGGTGTATCAGTGTACTCCCTCAACCTTAGTGACCCTCACCCCACCCTGTCCCCAGAGCCCTGCCCTGGGCCTCCTGAGGAGCTTGCCTTGCACTGTGCCCTGCAGCCCTCACGTGATCTCACAGCCCGCAGCCCCCACATGATCACACAGCCCACAGCCCCCACATGATCTCACAGCCCACGGCCCCCACGCGATCTCACAGCCCACAGTCCCCATGCGATCTCACAGCCAGCAGCCCCCACAGGATCTCACAACCCGCAGCCCCCACGTGATCTCACAGCCCGTAGCCCCCATGTGATCTCACAGCCCACAGTCCTCACATGATCACACAGCCCATGTCTCCCATGCGATCTCACAGCCTGCAGCCCCCACAACCAGCACACTGCCCACTGAGACCAGCCAGCCTCAGAATTAATTGTTCATGGTCTCCAAACTCACTGGACTCCTATTTTAAGGAACACAGAGCGGCCATACCTTGTCCAAACTGCAAGTCTGTGAGAAGGATAATGAGTGATTTGTTTCAAGCCCCTAAGGTTTAGGAGGTTTGTTACACAGCAGAAGAAACCACAAGAGCTAATCTACCTTCAACTCATGGCAAAACTTGCATTTTAAAACCAGAGTGAGCTGGGCGCGGTGGCTCACGCCTGTAATCCCAGCACTTTGGGAGGCCGAGGCGGGCGGATCACGAGGTCAGGAGATCGAGATCATCCTGGCTAACACAGTGAAACCCCGTCTCTACTAAAAATACAAAAAATTAGTCGGGCATTGTGGCGGGCACCTGTAGTCCCAGCTACTCAGGAGGCAGAGGCAGGAGAATGGCGTCAACCTGGGAGGCAGAGCTTGCAGTGGGCCGGAGATCATGCCACTGCACTCCAGCCTGGACGACAGAGCCAGACTCCATCTCAGAAAACAAAAACAAAAACAAAAACAAAAAACCAGAGTGTACTTACACATTAAAGTATCCTATGTTCGTGTATTTTTTGGAAAGCTATTGTACAATTTGCTACAATAAAGTCCTTCCCCTGGAGGCCAGGGGCAGTGGCTCACACCTGTAATCCCAGCACTTTGGGAGGCCGAGGCGAGCAGATCACTTGAGGTCAGAAGTTCGAGACCAGCCTGGCCAACATGGTGAAACCCTGTCTCTACAAAAAACACAAAAATTAGCTGGATGTGGTGGCACGTGCCTATAATCCCAGTTACTTGGAGGCTGAGGCACAAGAATCATTTGAACCTGGGAGGTGGAGGTTGCAGTGAGCTGAGATGGCCCCACTGCACTCCAGCCTGGATGACAGAATGAGACTCCATCTAAAAAAAAATTAAAAAATAAAAAATAAAAAGTTTTTCCCCTGGAAACAGAATGACAGAATGTTAATGGCAGGAAGAGGCCACGTGGAGTAAGGTCAGCCTACAGTTGAGAGCATGCTGTGGCCAGCAGACCAGCGTTCAGCAGCGGCAGGACTGGGAGTGTGCACTGCTCTCTGTGTTAAGTTGTGCAAGGGTGAGCTGGTGTGAGATGGAGTAGCAGATCCCCCAGCCGGCCCCAGGCCCCCGCCCTCAACTGCCTGGCACCTCTGCCAGCTGATTCCTCAGCTACGCCTCCTGGACTTCTACACTCCAAGCACACCAGCTTCTTGGATGTCTGCCACACTCCCAAATGTGTCCCATACTTTCTGTCTTTGCACCATTGCTTCTACCCCATACAGGAGCCATGTCCCGTGAGATGCTCCCTCTCCCAGGAAACTCTGAAGCTCCCAAGCCACTTGGATGCCTTTTCTTCTGAGCTTCAGAAGCCCCCAGTGTCCCCTTGCTGACTCAATGGGATCCTCTGCTGGACTCAGAGCTTCCTGAGGATACAACCAGACTAATGCTTGGAGCAGGGCCGTGGGGCCTGGGCATCGTTGGCTGGCCACACTGATGGTGTTGGTTGATTGGGGCAATGGGTGTGGCCTTCAGGATAGCTCTGCCTGCGTGTGGGGGCCCAGGGCTGCCCATGCTGGGACTCCAGAGAAAATTGGCAGGAGCTGCTGCATCTGGGAAGGGAGGGGGCTGCTCCCTGCACTGTGCTGTCCTTAGTTTGTGTGACTGCAACACTGCCATCTCTTTCTGAGGTCATCGCCTCTCCTGTGGCTCCTTCCCTGCGTCCCATGGAGGACACGCGGATTTGTGTGCTCTAGGAAGAAGCGGCTGATGAAAACCTTTTTGCTGAGTGTCTGCCTGAGCAGCAAGATGAATCTACCACCTTTTGTCTGTATCAAGAATTTGTAATAAGTTGGGCTCTGACAGGCCCATTTTATTTCCACAAAGCTTCGTTGGAGAAATGATGTCCTTTGATTAATCTTCACATTAATTTCAAGCTGGTGCTGCGAGATTGTCCCTGCACAGGTGAGGCCAGCTGCAGTGGGAATTAGCCATTGTGAAACAAGACACAAGACGCTGAAGGTTTACCATGACTGATGTTTCTTAGGAGGTTGGGACTTTCTTCATATTTGAAATCTTTAAAGCCACAGGATTGCCAGGAAAAATGACACAGGGAAGTGCTGGTGCTGTGGGATGTTTACCAGTTCGTTCTGTTTGGGGACCCAGACTTTGCCAGACAGGGCAATTAGGTAGCATGCACAGAGACGTGTGCACACATATGCACACACACGTGCCTGTACGTGCATGTAGCAATATGCACACTTGCACTCACAGACACATGCATTCATATGTGCATGCATACACAGGGCATCTTGAGTACATCACCCGTCAGCACATCTTTGAGTGCCTACTGTGGCAGGTTAAGTTCCCCGGAAGTGGACTCTGAGATGGAGGTTGCCATGCAGGCGTTTCCTAAGCAGGGCTCTCAGGATCAGGGGGAGCCATGTGCAGAACTGCCACAGGGGCCTGGTGATGGAGCTCTAGAGCCGGAATGACTCCTGGGAGTTGCCTTGAGTTGGGTCTGAATGGCCAGGCCTTTGTGTTCCACCTGAATAAACCACCGGGTGTGTGACGTCCCAGGCAGGCTCTGACCTTGGGTGCGGCACATGGAGTAGGCCTAAGAATGACAAGAGTTCCTCTTCTGGGCTGGTGGTTCTGGAGGCCACTCTAACTGCTCCTTGTTTACTTTATTTCAACCTCTTGTCCTCCGTTTTCTTTAGGACATCCACAGTTTAGCCAACAAAGAGTGGGGATGGCCTGGCAACTGTTAGCCTAAAAAAGGGTTATTGCTAAGCCCTGCTCATCCTCCACCAATAGAGACAGGACACAGTTACCTGCTCATGACTAAATGAAACTTTTATCTTCACACGTGTGTGTCCTTTTCAAAGCCTGCGGAGGTGAAGACACATGGGTGGGGCAGCAGCGACCCACTGCAAGTGGCCTCTCTCTGCTTTTCCTGCTGGGCCTTGAGGCCAGAGGTCCCCATAAGAACTGACAGCCTGCCAGGAGCCTCAGGCCACATGGAATGAAGGGTTGAGGGCCTGCTTTCCAGGCTCAGATGCCAGCATGTGTGGACGGATGGACAGAACCTTCTCACTGATCTCAAATACTCCTGTTGATGGGCCAGGTGGCTCTAAACACTTTGAGAGGTAAGTGCACTCGGGGCTGGAGGGGGCTGGGGTTTGTCTTCAGACTCAGTTTCGTGTATCCGCAGCATTTCTCCCTTTAGGCCGGCCCTGTGCCTCTCTCACTATGTGCCCCCTGACCCTGCCAATCAAAGCCTGAGTGTGGGCAGGAACTCAGATCAGCTCCTGACCTCTCCCAGGGGTATTTGTGTTATAAGCCTCGTTTCTGATTATGGCATTAACACCTCTGCACCATGATAAAGGTCCTACAGAAAAGGAGGGGAGAGCTTTCGGGCTGTAGAGGGCTTTTCCAAAGCCCCAGGCTCGGACAACACCAACTTCTCAGGACAGTCCTTGTTCGTGCCTGCTGCCCCAGCGCTGTGACTAATGGCAGTGTTTCTGCTCTCGAAAGTGTCCTGGTCTGAACCATAATGATAGAGTGTTCACTGTTCTCTACTCATAGGTCACGACAGAAGAGCTTTCGAAAGTGCGGGACAAGCTGAGAATCTCTGGGGGATGGGTATTGTGAGGTGGAAGTGAACTTGTGGTCTTTACAGTGGATTCCTCAGCTGCAGGAGCAGCACACATGGCAGGTGCTCCACAAACAAAGAACGTGCGGCCTCCTCCCTTAGCCCCATTTTGCAGATGAGCACAATGAGGAGAAGAATCCTGACCCAGGCCTTAGTGCTCTGTTCTCCAGCTCCTCCTGCTTGCTGGGGCTTCAGGCAGGCCCGTGACGGAGCCAGGGCTGCTCCGCCTGTGCTGGGCTCTCTGTACAGGTCTGGCAGGTGTGCCAGGCCATGGCCTCCCTCGGGTCTCCTGCCAGCAGTGCTGCCAGGGGCCAAGGTGGGCCCAGATGCACCAAAGCTCCTGGTCTTGATGCTGCTGTGGTTACAGGTCTGCACTCATCACAGACACAGCCTCAGGCTTCCCCACGCTGAATGCATGAATCATCTGAATGCAGCTCGGAAAGGGGGTCTTTCTTCACTGGGTGTGCATTCACAAGCTCCTCGAGATGCAGGAGAAGGTGTCAGTGGAACTGCATCTTTCAGAACACATGCACAGACCAGCACTTTTCCATCTTGGGAAGAGAAAAACCCTCCCTGTATCCCTGCTCCACTGGGTCTCCAGGGCTCTGAGCCTGTGGACTTAGGGTTGATTGAATTCCCTGGTAGCCGGCTCAAAACCAAAACCCTAAACCAAGAGCCTGTATTCCAGAGGTAGGCTTTGTTATGAACAATGGAAATGTCAGTGAACTGTGTTTATTTTGACTAGTGTACTGAAGCGTTGAAGGAAGATGCATTTCAGTCCCGGTGTCACATAAAAAGCAATTTCCGGGCCAGGTGAGGTGGCTCATGCCTGTAATCCCAGCAGTTTGGGAGGCTGAGGCGGGTGGATCACCTGAGGTCAGAAGTTCGAGACCAGCCTGGCCAACATGGTGAAATCCCATCTCTACTAAAAAATACAAAAAAAAATAGCAGAGTGTGGTGGTGGGTGCCTGTAATCCCAGCTACTTAGGAGGCTGAAGCAGGAGGATCACCGGAACCTGGGAGGCAGAGGTTGCAGTGAGCAGAGATTATGCCACTGCACTCCAGCCTGGGCAACAAGAGCTAAACTATGTCAAAACAAACAAACAAACAAACAAACAAATAAACACAATTTCCTGTTCCAAACATGTGTGGGACGGTGGAGTGGGGCTGAGGGGCACCTGTGTGGATGTCCAGGGCCCTGGGGATTTGGGGCTCACAGGAAGCCCTGAGAAGGATGGACAGGGCCTCTGCTCAGCAGAACCTCTGCTTGGCTGTGTCCTTTGGCAGCTTCAAGGAACTGGATCTTTGCTGTCGTGACCCCTGGAGTCCATGTGGACACCACGCAATGCCTGCCCCCCAACGGCCATGAAATATAGGTGGGGTTGGCTGGCCCAGGCAGCTATGCCTCCAGACCTGGTGCCAGGTAGCCTGAGAGGCAGCCGAGCCGCACGCCCCTGTGTCGAAGGGCAGAGGCCTCTGCAGGCCAGTGGCTCTCACTGGTGTTGCTGGAGGCCTCCTGCAGGGAGGGCAGGCAGAGAATTCCAGGCTCTTCCTTGTAGAAACCTGGGATGCCTTTCCCCAGTTTCTGTAGTGGACGCCTGTGTGGGAGTTCACAAGATGAAAGGATTCCATTGAAAATCCACTCGCCACACTAAGAAAACACTTGGACATCCCAGCATTCCCATGGTCACGCTTCCTATCCAACGACCTTGCCTGAGCACGGAAGAGATAAAACACCTCTGTTATACAGTGTTTGGCTGGCAGATCTTACTGCCTCAGGATTCCCTTCTGGCTGGCAAGCCAGATGGACGCATTGAAGGGCCAGGCCTCCTTGCCATGGCCATGGGACGGTTTGTCGCTCAGTTGAAGGTTAGGACAGATATTCATTCTTCAGGGCTAGCCTTTATTCATCATACTTCCCCTCTACCCCAACATTTTATTGTAAAATTATCAAACACACAAGAAGGTGGAGAGGATGGTAATCATCCTGGGGCTGGGCTGTTCCCTTGAGCCCTCTACCCCCTCCCCATTCCCCCACAGGACGGGTTGGGTGAGAACAGAAGCATCGTTTTGGTTACCTGTAGGGACTGCTGCACCTTCCTTCTCCCCCTCTCACCTCTTCAGACTGGGGACCAGGGGACAGTGTGGGCCCAGCCCCCAGCATCCTTCTTGGTCTTAGAGGACCAGGGCTGGGTGGGGTCAGGCGGGGTTGAGCAGCCTGGAGCTGGTGGGGGCAGTAGAGGCTGTTACTGATGCCCCTGGGACATGTCCTGGGGCGCTGTCCCTCTTGGGGTCATTTGGCAGACTTGTCCACTCGGCCTGTGGCATTTTAAGGGGATGAGGGCCAGGAGCATGGCCCAGGGCCCCAGGTTTCTGGCTCAAGGGTCGGGGTCCCATTCTCCCAGCCTGTCCCTCAGCCCCACCCTCCCCGCACTGGGCTCTACCTGCTTTGACCCCAGATAACAATGGCATGGTCTCAGCCCCGGGAGGGAGGTGTCTGGTGATAGCCTCTCAGCTGCAGGTCAGATGGCTGAGGTGTGGACGCCTAAGACCCAGCCCGTGAGATTGCTTGCAGATCGGGAGGGTCGACATCAGCTGGTTCATATGCACAGACACCCGAGTAGTGTTGGGATGAGTATGGAAGAGGGTGTGTTGGATATGCAGAGTTGAATATGTTTATTTTAATACAAATAACTTCTTCACCTGTAGTATTTATTCTTGGGTTTTCCTGCTGCCCTTAAACAGATCTTGATGGTGGTTAAAGGACTCAGGGAGTACTTCACAAGGGTATTTGCCCTCCATTCCTCTGCCCTGCAGCAGCACTGTGTGGGGTGTAGGGGTACAGCAGGGAACAGGGTAGTGACCCGCAGAGCTGGGAAGGGTGACGTGATGCACAGGCAGGGGCTCCAGGGCTTCGGAGGGAGGTTTTGGGGCTGTCAAGGAGGCCTCGGTGGTCAGAGAAGGCTCCAGGGATGGGAAGACAGTGCTGCTGAGTGTCAGGTGGCTAACTGGTTCCCTGAGCACCTTCTCCAAGGCCCCCTGGCCTTCCATGTCCTCTGTGGACACCAAGTCCTGCAGGGACCCTGACGTGTGGCAGGCATAGGTGGAGGGCAGGAGAGAACTCGCTGCTAGAAGCCTCATTAAGTTCCAAGGTGGCAGCAGGCACTAGGAGGGCAGGGTGGCAGGGCTATAGCTTGCTTCCCAAGTAGAGAGCAACAGTCAATTTTTATGACACTGTGATTTCAAATGTCTGGGGCCAAAGTAATAAGGAGAGCCAGGCTGGAGAGGCTTCAGAGGCTGACCCACCCACTCACTTTTCTTCCTGTGTCTAAAACCCAACCCCGCCAATCAAGAAAAACCTTGACCCAACAAGAAATGGGACCAGAGACCCCCAAAGTAGTGTGGAGACACAGGAGTGATTCTATCAGCTATTTTCTGCCTTGTGTTTTCTATGTATCTTATACTTGCAAAGTTAAATATGTCAAACAGCATGGGTGGGAAAAAAATCAAAGCCCTTCTGTAATCAGGACCTTCCTGAGGGCCTCTGGACAAACAGGCAGTAAACAGGAGGGTTACAGATTTTTCACATGCGACCCTGCCTGGCTCTGAGCAGGGTGCTGGAGCGCGGGGCTGCCAGTGTGTGGGGTGACTCCATGGCTCTGAACTGGCCCCTTCCTTACCAGCTTGAGTTGCCTTCTAGGAGCAACGAGACCCAGATGCCAGGCTCTGCAGGATTATTAGGGAGCTGGTCTTTCAATTAGAGCTGCTAATTACTCTGCTACTGCTGCTGACTTGCTTTGCATGAGGCTTGCTAATGAAGTGAACTTTGGGGTATCCTGTGAAATTATCAAGGCTCTTTGACCCATATATTGACATACACCAGGGGCACCCATGCAAGCCACGGGCATTATGAGAACATCTTCTTGGGGCACTTCATAACTAATTGGTAGTGGAGGGCGTTAAATAGTCTTATGGGCTTTACTAAGTTGGCAGTTGCTAATGAGGGTCAAGTCAGTTCCTCACTGAGAAGAGGCTGACAGCAGCTCACGGTTACAGAATGGGCAATTGGGGGATTTTTATGACTCCAGGCAGGATGCCGGGCAGTACTGACCTGTCAAAAAGAGCTGTGAGAGGTCTGCGGAGTCACGTGTGAAGGTAATTGCACAGATATCTTGTTTTATGACAATGAGGTCTGAGGGTGCTTCTTATACAGCTAATTCCTAGGCCCTACCCTAGATACAGATTCAGGGTCCAGGGATTTGCTTCCTTCACACATATGGGAAATGTGGCCAACTCTGGGCAAGTGGCATGCATGTGGAAAGTGGCAGCTGGCAGGATGGAGGGGAGCTGGCGTTCGTCAGACGTTTGCATGGCAAGTTGCTAAGGTGACACCATCGGTCCACTGGCATGGGTCTGCAGGGCGGGGGTGGGGCTGACTTTGGTCTGCTTCTACTCCCAAGCAGGTGTGGGTGGAGGATGGAACAGGAGGTGTGCAGCTGCTGCCTGGTGGGCAAGCCGGGGTCACCTGGATCTCAGGGAGCCAAGATGGAGTGCAGCCCCCACCCTCCAAGGCTGAGAAAGGGCTTCTTGTTCCCTCACCTGACTCCATGGCTCTGAACTGGCCCCTTCCTTACCAGCTCGAGTTGGCTTGGAGAAGGCTTGGAGCCGAGCACAGTAAGACCCTCAGGGACTGGTCCTGGGCTCCGGGGAGGTCCCAGTAGCTCCACCAGGAGAGGTTGACATGGGCGGTTGGCATGGGGGCGATCTAGGAACAGGAGACAGAGCACAACACCAAATAAGAGGCCTGGGTTTCCACTGCGAGATGGTGATGGCTGTCCCTCATCCACTTTTACCTTCTCGTATTTTCTGTGTCCCCTACAGCTGTATGTGACCATACCACTCAGTTCCGGCCATGAGATGTAAAGAGAAGTGTTTTATGGCACTTCCAGAAAACTGCCTCCTTATTGATGCCTAGAATGTAGATGTGATGGCTGGAGATTAAGCAGCTATTCTGTCCCAGTATGTGGGGCAGCAAGACAGGCAAGTCCCTGACACTTTGGACTCATCAGCCAAGGGACGCCTATCTTTGTTCCTCCTTTATGCAAAGGATGCATGACAATCTTGTTTAAGCCACTGCTATTTGTGCCACTTGAACCTAAATCTAGCCAATGTAAACTGATAACTGCCATCAGTGAAATCCAAGACTGGGCAGCAAGGATCTAGGGGCAGCATCAGGCACTGAAGGAGAATGTTCTTGCTCTCGGAAATACCGAGCTGCAGAAAGAGGCAAGACCCTGGTCTGGAAGGGATAAGAAGGCAGAGGCTCCTCCAAAGGCACAAGGAAAAGTCCACCTCTGGAGCTGGGCCACATGGTTAGAGTGGGCTCAGTGGCAGTGTGGTGTGCCATGCACGGTGCGGCTTGCTCTCTGTTGCTGTGTTCCCCTGCCTGGGGTCAGCGTGGGTCCCATGCTGGCCAAGGGTGGAGGGACACAGCTCCGCTTGAAGCATGAGAGGGCCTCAGAGGCAGGAGGGAAGCCATCTCTACATTTCCTTGTTTTCCTTTTCCAGGATTTCCATCCTGTCTTAGCAGTTGGTTAATTCCTGTGCATGCCCTAAATAACAGTGGTGCTGAGTCAGGGCATAAGTGGTCAGGGAACACTTGAGGACTGGAACTCATCGGATCAGCTCCCTGGTGGGCTGGGCGATTTCACAGCAGGCCAGAGAAGCCACACAGCGTTGGGCTCTTCAATTAAACTCACATCCACAAAAAGTCCTGGGATGGGTCCACCCACCCCGGCCAGGTGGGGGACAGTAGCGGGAACAGTGACAGCAGCCATGGTACCAGCCAGGGCCTGCCTTTTGCGCAGTGATCCTTATCTCACTTAATTGGATCTCCTTCTTGGTGCTGTAATGAAGATGGTGCTTGGAAAATTGCTCATAGCTGCAGAGCTGGAATTCAAACCTGGGCTGGTCCCACTCCAGTCTGTGAACTTTTCCGGAGCTGTCTTGTGTTGGGGTCTCATTTAGCTCTGCTGCTGGCTCATCCTGGGAGCTTAACTGAGTCACCACGGGTCTCTGTGTTTCACAGTTCTCTGTAAAGGGAGGGGGTGGACTAGATACATTTTGAAGGTCCCAAACTCTAGGGCTGGAAGATGAAGCTCTGCACCTGCCCCGACACCCACCTTTGCTGCACACTTTGTGGAGCGCTTAGGAGAAGCCCTCACTCTCAGGCTGTGTGTTGGAGACTGCAGGTTCCAATTATCTATTGCTGTTACACAAAATCCCCCAAACTTAGGGCTGGAAAGCAACCTGCACTCATCGTGTTATGGGCACGGATGCTGAGGGCCAGGGGTAGCTTTGTCTCTGCTCCATGATTCTGGGTCCTCAGTTGAGAAGACCGAGTGGGGTGGAGTCATCCGGGACTGAGGGCTCTTCCGAGGGAGCATCTTCCCTCCCACGCTCGGCTCCTGGCCTGGGCTCAGCTTGCGGGTGGAGCACCTCCCATGGCCGCTCGTCGGGCTGAGCCTTGAAACCAGGGTAGTGATGGTCTTTAAGAGGGAGTGTCCCACAAGTAGGTATCCCAGGAGATCCAAGTGGAAGCTCTGTGTCCTCTTCTGACCCAGCCTCAGAAGTCACCGAGCATCACTTCTGCCATGCTCTGCCAGTCGAAGAAGCCACAGCCCTCTAGATCCAAGGAGAGGGAGGCAGACCCCATCTCATGTGGGCCGGAGTGTCAAGGAAACTGGGATCTCTGTGTTGAAGCTGCCACAGGGCTGTAGTGAGGCTGCACTACACACCACACTCCTCCCCGTGAGCTTAGTCATGGGCTACAAGAACAGTGATATGAACCGAACACGTTTGCTCACATAGGTCACCGGGGTGCCTTCGACATGGTATTGGGCAATATGTGCATGGACCTGAATTTGGCCTTGGCTATCTAGAGGTCATCAATCTTGAGCTGATTAGCATTCCCTGGAGGGCTCATCCACACAGACTCCCAAGTCCCACCTCCAGAGTTCCTGATTCAGTGAGTCTGGGGTGGAGCTCAAGAATTTGCATTTCTGAGGAGGTTCTAGAAGATGCTGATGAACTGGTCCAGGGATCCCACTTTGAGAATTGGGGTTATCCAGGGACCATCCTATGCCAACTGGGCCTCTGGACTTTGGAAGCTCTGGTTATTAGAAGGCTGCACTCCCTGCATTTTTACTCTGCCCCATCAATTAAAAACCAAACAAAAACAAAACCGAAAAACTCCCAGCTATACCCAGATACATGCATTTCGTAAGTTATACATGTGTGTAATTGTTAATCACATTAAATCTTAGTGAAGCCTAATAGATATGTTTGCAGCTTAAAATAGCTATAAATAGAAGTTCCAGCATGTTCTTCCTGCATCCTGAAGGATGATTTGGGGGTTTGCAGGATGGCACAGCCCAGCCTGGAGTCCCCGGGGGGCAGATAATGGTGAGAACGTTCACCTTCAAGGTTCCTTACTGAATGCTTTGCTCAGAAACGGCATTGTTATCGTAATCCATGAATATTTAATGAACCCGGAGTCCATGCAAGGCAATGGGTCAGGTACTATAAAATATGCAAGGAAGCAAAACATGAATCTTATGACTTAGCTGCTACTGTGAATGTTGATTGTACGAATTGGGTCATTCTTGTCACACCCAACCAAAACAGAGTCAAGGAGCCAGAGGCAAAAAGCACTCAGGTCACATAACATTGCTCTGAAATATAATTCCCTGCAAGCCTGACTGCTGAAACTGCCTGTGGTGACCTGAAATCAGTTTTATCTAATGGGACCTGCTGCAAATCTAAGACTAATTTTACCCTCCGTCACTCACCAACCAGAGCTTGTCAACTCCCCAAAGCTTTACTAGTGCCAATAAACTTTCTCAAAGATCAGTACATGATATTTCTCCTTTTTATAAAACCTCCAACCTCCTCTTTGTACTTTTTACATGACTAATACCACCTGGTCTGTGTGTGTGCCCCAAATTGCAATTCTTCCTTCTCAAATAAAACATGAGATTTAAAAATTTATCTCTACAATTTTATTTGACTTTGACACTACTGTTAAGACTATGTGTTTCCTGTCTTGTTCTCAGAAGGTTTAAGGCAACAGAATCGAGGAGTTACGGAGTGAGAATATCAGTGCATGATGACCTGGTTACCCAAATCACTCATGCCAGTTCAACATTTACATGCTGCTTAACTTACTCCACTAAAACCAACGTAGGCATAAAAAGGGATGTCATGACTCTCGTAACTGGGAGGCTCAGGGCTGCATCTAGAGGTGGCAACAGTTAGGGACGCAAAGATGTCAGGGTCCCCTGTACCCCCACTGCCCTCAGCTTCCCTCTGGGTCTGGTCGCTTCTTCACCCTGCTGTTGATGTCTTTTTCCAGGCCACTGTCCTGATAGAAAGAGGCTTTCCCTACTTGTCACGTAGCTACGCTGTGGAAGGCGACTGGCCCTGCATGGGAGCAGAGCCACCTCTGGACCAAGCAGTGTGTAGGTGGTGGGTCACCAGGGTCCCAGCCTGGGTCACTTGCCCATTCGTGTGCATGTGGCTGTCATTGAAAGCCCCTCGGCAAAGGGAGGGACGTGGCTGAGAGAGCCGGCATGGCCCATGGCAGCCATATGTTTGGACAAAAGAAAGGAATCTATACTACTTGGTAATTAAACCTTATTTAATAATTAATAGCATTATGTATCACAGTGCAAAGCCAGTCCTGAATTATTCAAAAAATGGCTTAATTTTCCAGATGATTTTTGTGCTTTGGCAAGATTTTAATAAGCACCATCCATAAGAGAGGGTTCCACAGTGAAATATATTTATGAAATGCTCTCTACTCTACCCTCCTTCCTGTAGACTCAAAATTAACATTCCTGAATTCAAGGCCCAGAGAACTGCAGCTTTGAAGAAATCTCTTTAGCACAGTTTAGCCTCGAGTTTAACAAATTTATTGACTAAGATCCTCTTTTCCTTCTTCCCCACTCTAAAACTCAGACCCCTTATTGGGTGGAACCAGTGTTCTTGGAAGTTGCTTGGAAATGTGGACTCGATGCATCGGGTGTGACGTGGGCGTGAAGTCATCTGCTGAGCTTCATTTTGTCTCCTCCACCATCGGGAGCGAGGAGGGGGTTTTCCTGCTTAGAGATGTGGAGACTGAGGCGGATGAGGTGAAGTCCTTTGCTGAGATTTCACAGCGGGGCTGGCCAGCAGCAAAGTTTACCCCAGCTGTGCCTGACCACCAACCTCCCTCTCTTTCCAGTCATTCTTTTAGAAGCCACAGCTTTCAGTGAGATCATTTCCTTTCCCAACTTGCACACGGTGCAGGGGAAGTTGGCTGTGGCTGGCCATGCCCTGGACATGGCTGTTCCTGAAAGGGAGCAGGGGGAGCCACAGAGCTACCGCTGCGGGACCTGACCAGCACCCACTCCAACATGGAAGATGCGGGGGTGGCTCAAGATCTCTTCCAGGGGCCATGCAGAGGATTTTGTGGGGCTTCCAGATGATGGATGATTTCTTTCCCCTTTAATTTATACACATCACTTGGAAGTTCCCAGGATATTTATCCAGCAGTCTGGGAACCCCAGGGATGACCAGATTCCTCAGGTCTTTCTAGCAGGACACTCTGGGGCTTGCTGACAGCTCGGCTGGCCATGCTGACCTCAGACCCCACTCTGTGATGGGCAATGGCTGTGATTTGTAACTACGGGCAAGGGTGGTTTTGGGCCTTGGTGAATCCTTTAGGAAAATGGAGTTTCTCTATTTGAAGGGGCTTGGGGTGAGTAGGAGGTTGGGCCCTGTTGGGACAACACTATTTCCAAAGTGTCTTCCTTTTGTGGGGAGTGTAGCTGCCTCCAGGGTCTGGTCCATTAGCTGGGGCTGGAAGCCTTGGTCTCCATAAAGTGCAGGAGAAGTGAAATCCGACCCCTTTTACTTTACTATTATTTTTCTTCCCACCATCAACCCAACATCAGCAGCATGGCCATGCCTGGTCTGGGACTCACAATGGTGTCCACTCCTCACTCCTGGGGGTGCCTGGTGGGTGGGACACCGGGCCTAATCCGCACTCTAGTGGGATTGAGATGCTTTCTCCAGAATCTCTGCCGGAAACTCCTGAGGTGATTCCCCTGTTACTACACATCAAATATTCTCTGGGGCGAATATTCTGGGTTATTGTACTAGCATGTCTGTTGTAAGGCTGGGCTGTGGCTTGGGAAGGGCTGAGGCCCCTCACTGTGTCACCTGCTTCACTCAAGGCTGGAGCTGGGCAGGGGTCTCTCTGTGCAGAGGCTTCTGGGCTGCATTTTGGGAGCAGTGCTGGGGAAGGAGGTTGGTGCTTTCCTTTAGGCTGAAGTTTCATAGCCGACCTCTCCAGACCCTGCTAGCAAGCTCTAGGATCTGTCCCAGCTGGGAGGGCTTCTGTGGCCTCAGGAGAGTGGGTCCCTCATGGGGCAGCTTGCTGGAGGAGTCAGGTAGGGACCTGAGAGGCCACAGCCTAAGCATGGGCTTCCAAAGGAAACAGCCTTTGGTGGCCTCAGGGCCCACACTCCTTGGGCCAGGAGGAGGTGGGGCACAGACTCTCATTTGACCAGGAGGCAAGGGGCAGGGAGGGGGCAGGGTAGGGGGGAGGGTAGGGGGTGCACAGACTCTCCTTGGAGCACGAGGGCTGGGGTGTTATGTTGGGGATCTGAACGATCACCGCCCGGTTTGATGATTCGCTAGGATAACTCACAGGACTCAGCATACAGTGGCTCTCACAGCTGTGGCTTATGACAAAGGACACAGGGCAAAGCCAGCAAAGGCACAAGGTACATGGCGAAGTCTGGAGCAAACCCAGTGGGAGCTCCCAAATCTTCTCCCAGTGCATCACACAGGCTGTGCTTAGTTCTCAGCAGTGAGCTGTGAGTGGAGCTTCCAGAATCTTCTCCTGGTGCATCACACAGGTTGCGCTTAGTTCCCCAGCAGCGAGCTGTGAGTGGAGCTTCCAGAATCTTCTCCTGGTGCATCACGCAGGCTGTGCTTACTTCCCCAGCAGCGAGCTGTGAGTGGAGCTTCCAGAATCTTCTCCCAGTGCATCACACAGGATGTGCTTAGTTCGCCAGCAGTGAACTGTGAGTGGAACTTCCAGAATCTTCTCCCAGTGCATCACACAGGACGTGCTTAGTTCGCCAGCAGCGAACTGTGAGTGGAACTTCCAGAATCTTCTCCCAGTGCATCACACAGGACGTGCTTAGTTCCCCAGCAGCTAGCTGTGACAACACGTGTGAAGTGTTGCTTGTCAGGGATGTTCATTAAGACCTAGAACTCAGGGATTTTACCGGAGGCTGATCATGAAGGAAGCCTCTGTCTGACACGTGCCGAAATTCCAGACTCCTAGAGGAGAGCAGAGGTTCAGCATCAACCTCACTGCTGTACAGACAGTGTAGACACAGGGATCCACTTGTATCTATCCTGGGAATGATCGGGAAATCCAAGTGCCCAGACACCAGCCAAGGGCTCACCTTGCTGACAGCCTTTCTAAGTTGAGCAACGTTTTCTGCAGGGTGAGGTGCTCCTGAGACCGGAAGAGGGTGCCTTGGGGGACTTAGGGAGATGTTCACGGTGGTCGGTGGAAATGCAGGCTCCTGCCCCTGCCTTCCTCTCTTCCTGCTGGGTGAGCCTGCTGACTCCCGCATGGCTTCAATCCTCACCACAGTGGGGACAATCCCCGCCAGATTCCACTGTGCTGCCCTGGGTCTCATGACCTGTTAGACCCTTCTGGGACGCTGCCACTGCTGCCACCTCCCGCACTCAATATTCAGCTGCACCACAGGGGTAGGGCTCAGGCTCGACTCCCTGCAGCGAAGCTTCCATCACTTCCTATGACGTGGCAAATGCCAGCCTTTTCTTTTCAATGCCCTGCTTGCCTAGGACCCGAGTCTCCCTGTGTGAACGTCCTCTCCTTCCCCGATGAAGCAGCTGCAAACCTCAAGCCCTGTCCTGGGTCTCCATCTCTGTGATGGGAGCATCCGTGCCCAGCTGCCCTACCCAGAGGTGGTGGTTAGTGTTTGCTCCCTTGCCAGTCCTTGCGGCCCTAGGTGGTCTCTCCTGCAGTGCTGCCCAAGGGGCTGCCCGCGGTCACCCCTGGCTCCCGGTTGGCTCCGGGGAAGCCTTGGTTTGCAGCCAGGGCTTTGCGTCCCCCAGGAGAGACATGGCTCTAAATAGAGGTCCTCATACTCGCCTGGCATAAAAATCAAGGTTTTCACAGAAGAAAGATTTTCTTTCCTTTTTAAATGTACGCAGTTGTCTACAGAGGTTTTTGGACACTTTCAGATCACATCCAGACCCTGCTGCTCCTACAGCCCCTCTGGCTTCAGGAAGGTTCCTCTGTAGGCTGCCGAGAGTGGTGGCAGTGAGGGTGGGCAGTGGCTTTCTGTTTGCAGGGGTCACTCCCAAGTTTGGCTCAGCACCTGAAGACATGGGTTTCTCATCTTCCCGCGTGTCTTCCCCCATCCTGGTTTCACGACCTCCTTTGGTTTAGATGGGAGGGGAGGATTTGTGGATGCCAAGTCACTGGCTGTTTGGAGCTGTGACATGACCATGTCTACAGCCTAGGGTCTTGAGCCATGCTCTCCCTGCTAAAGGAGCAGCTCCCATTAATGCCGGCTACCGAGATGATGTTAGCTTTAAAAAGTGACTCTGGTGTCTCCTGATCAAAAAAACCTTTTGCCCAGGGTGTGGCCAACATCTGGAGACCACATCTTCCAGCCTCCCTTGCACTTATCTGTGGCCATGTGACTTGCTTCTGACCAATGGGATGTGAGCAGGCATGCAAGGTCTGGGGCACTGGTGTCAATGGAAATTGTGGGTGTGATGCCTCTCCTCCCATCCCACCAACTTAAGTGCAGCTAGATGCCATGAGGCAGCCTTGCTTTACCAGTGGAGACAACACTTTGAGAAGAAATGTTTGGGCAATGACACTTTTTTAGGCACGCAAATCCACGACTGGCATGTGCACACCATTTATCACGGCCAGCACGCACAGCCAGAAGCTGCTTTTTATTCTTACGACGCTTTCCAGAAAACCACCTCTCTTCTTTCGGTGCAGGAATGTCCTTCTCTATTTTCTTTGTACTGCTTTATGCTTCTTCTCTCACTTTCCCCCAGAATCTGCCTGCCTAGTGGTTGGGGCAGGAGGAGGACAGGACACTCAGGGGACACTCTTTGGCAATTACTTTCCAGATGAGCATGATAGTTTCCCTTTCTTAGAATCCTGGGTGGTTATCAAACTCACCATCTGTGGCTGGAGCAGGGGTCTCTGTCTCTGGCTCTGAGATGAGCTGGAGAGTTGTTTCCAGGTCTTGGTCTCTTGAGTAATTTAGGCCAACAGCTAAAGAGTGTGAGCTCTTTTCATTGTGGAAGAGCAAAATTATGATCCAGCCTTAAATATAGACTGAACGATTAATTTTCTTTAACGTGCTCAGGGCCCAGCTAATCACACATCCCTTTTGGCCTCTCAACTTCAAAGCATGCTCCTCCCTCTCTCCCCTCATCCCCTCCTTTATTTTTTTCTTATTCCTTTACATCAGGTCAAGTGCAGGCTTTAGAGAAAGCTGGCTGTTTCCTCCTTTCATAAATATGAGGCCAAACCAGGTTATTCACTTTTCAATTTGCTTTATGTGGATCAAAAGAGTCCATGAAAATTCTGTCAGGATAACAACAAGAAAAAAAACAAAAAACAAAAACCAAAAACCTTTGAACTGACTCTTTAAAAAACTTTCTAACCGGGAGATGGAGTGGAAAGGGAGCCACGTTGGCCTCTGGGTCCCCCTGGCTGCGACCTTCTCTCTCTGTGATGCTGGGCCAGAGCTTGGCGGAGGGGTGGCCTACGGCCTACAGCCCCGCAGGAAGCCTCATCATCTCTGCAAGGCGGTTCAGAGGCTGTAAGGCATGCACTACAGATCCCACAGCAGGAAAGTGCTGCGAGTTCTGCACCAGAACTCAGCGCTGGTCAGCTGACTCCACTGGGCACGGAGGGGCAGCTTCAGACCAACTACAGCTTCCTTTTCAGAGCCCTTCCACGCTGCTGCTCAGAGCAGGGCAAGGTGGCACCTGCGCTCAGGGCTCAGGCAGAACAGCTCTCAGGGGTTCTGGGAGCTCAAAGTGATCCAGTGTCGCTCTGCCTGGGATGCAAGGATATAAGATCCCTGCAGGGCTCATGGTTCTCAGAGGGGTTCTGAGGGCTCATGATGATCCAGTGTCATTCTGTCCTGGGACTCAGGGATCTGAGCTCCCTAAAGGGCTCGGGCAGGATGGTTCTCAGAGGGGTTCTGGGGGCTCATAATGATCCAGTGTTGTTCTGCGTGGGACTTGAGAATCTAAGGTCCCCCTCGCATGCACCCCGAATTCCCGCTAAGCCTCTACTGCTTCCTGCACAAGTGGAGCCACAGTCCCGGGCTCAATGTCTGGGTCTGCACCTGAAACACTGTGGGCCTTGGGCCAAGGATTAACCCTTTGATTCCTTAGGTTTCTGTAACATGTGTATTTTGAGGGTGAAGTGAGGAAAATGTATATAAAGTCTGCAGTAGGTGCACAGTCAGGGGGTGGAAGGCTCAGAAAATGGTAGCTGCTGGGAGGACATTCCTTCTTCTGACTCCTCCTCCTCTCCTCCCCCTCACTCCTCCCCTCACTCCTCCTCCCCCACCCATCAGTGCTCTACCTCCAGGCTTGGCTTAACAAAGAAGAAAGTCTCTACATCTTCCACGGAGCTCTGTCAGCCTCCCTGGCAGGCCCCTGGGTCACCTGCTTGTCCCCACCCCGATGGCTCCTTGCTGAGCACAGCAGAACCTGTGGCTTCCTGCCAGGCTCTGATGCCCTCTCCCTTGCCAAGCTCAGCCTCCCTGCAGGGTGAATGCGGTCTGAGCCTGTGCCGTTGGGTAGTGCTCTCCTGGGCTTAGCCTTGTCTCTGGAGGAAACAGCCAGCCATCCTCTGCCATCCAAGTCACTGCCTGGATCTCCTCTTGCAGGGAGGGCTCTGGGACTGCTTGTGAGGGGCACAGTCAAGGCATTTCATGCCGTGGAGATTGGCGACTGTGGAAAACTTAGACACTGCAGAATCTCTGGGGCTGAGGCTCCTGGGGGCAGCAGGGGGTCTCCTGCCTGAAGGGGTTAAGGTATGACGTTGGAGGAGAGGGCTTGGGACTGGGAGGAAGTCACTGAATTTGCAGGAGTGTTCCCCAAAATACGGCCCCTAGGCTATGCAATGCACTCACCTGTGGGCTTGTTTAAATGCAGATTCCTGGGCCTTACACAGATCTCCAGGTGATGCAGCTGGCCTGCAAACCTATGTTTTTAATGCACAGGCTTTCCCTCCATGCCCTGCCTGGCTGTGCCCGGAATTCTTATGCAAGGCACAGGAAGGAGCTGAAGCAGAGGGCAGGGGGTGTGGGGAGACTTCCAGGGACTCAGAGGATTGCAACAGATCCCCATGGCTATGCTGTTTTCTGCACCACTGGAAAGAGGAAATCTAACCATGGTGGTCGAAGGGAGGGGACGACTTAAACCCTGGGCAGGAGCTGGGGTAGGGATCCCATGTCTGGGGAAATGTTAACCAGGGGTTCATGGATTCCTGAGGGGCTGGGCGTAAAATTCAGATGACTGTGAACTTGGAAGGAAAACAAATTTCATCTTTATTTCTACTAGCTTCAAACTCAGATTTTGCGTTACTTTTGATTCTGAATTGAGTTCCACCATGGTGACTTTTCCCACGGACATTGCAGAGGGTTTTTTTTATCGTGGATGGATGGTGGTTGCAGGCATCTTGGGACTTTGAAATTTTAGTAATTCTTAGATCCTCCAGTGAACTTGCTGCTTAAGATGTTAGTAAAGGAGCACATATATTAACACATCACACATGTATTTAAAAACATTTTGAGTGGCTGGGCGCAGTGGCTCACGCCTGTAATCCCAGTACTTTGGGGGGCCGAGGCAGGTGGATCACTTGAAGTCAGGAGTTCGAGACCAGGCTGGCCAACATGGTGATACCCCATCTCTACAAAAATACAAAAGTTAGCCTGGTGTGATGATGCATGCCTGTAATCCCAGCTACTCGGGAGGCTGAGGCAGGAGAATCACTTGAACCTGGCAGGTGAAGGTTGTAGTGGGCTGAGATCGTGCCACTGCACTCCAGCCTGGTCTCAAAAACAAAACAAAAAAAACATGTTGATGACTTGCAAATATTTTCTACCATTCTGTAGGTTGTCCGTTTGCTCTGATTATTATTATTTTTTGCTGTACAGAAGGTTTAATTAGGTCCCATTTATTTATTTTTGTTTTATTTACATTTGCTTTTGGAGTCTTAGTCACGAATTGTTTCAATCCCGCTACTGAGTATCTACCCAAAGGAAAAGAAGTCTTACATCACAAAGACACCTGCACGAGGATGTTGATTGCAGCACAATTCACAATTGCAAAGATATAGAACCCACCTAAGTGCCCATCGACCAATGAGTGGATAAAGAAAATGTGGGATGTATGTACCATGGAATACTAACAGGCCATTAAAAAGAGTGAAATAATGTCTTTTGTAGCAACTTGGATGGAGCTGGAGGCCATTATTCTAAGTAGAGTAACTCAGGAACGGAAAACCAAATACCACATGTTCTCACTTATAAGTGGGAGCTAAGCTATGGGTAATGGGTATGCAAAGGACACAGAGTGGTATAATGAACATCGGAGACTCAGAAGGGGGAGGCTGGGGGGGGATGAGGAATGAAAAACTACATATTGGGTACAATGTACACTACGCAGGTGACAGATGCACTGAAACCTGACTTCACCACTGTACAATTCATCCATGTAACCAAAACCACCTGTACCGCAAAAGCTATTAAAACAGTGTTGATAACCACTTCAGTATAGTTGGTTGACATTGTAAGGCGACGCATGTTGGGTAATGTGTTAGGAGCATCCTTCTGAGAAGGGCTCGGTAGGCTTCACCTGACCCGCAGAGGAGTCTCTGGCACAAAAAGGCGAAGGTTCTCCCTGGCCATGAATGGAACTAGCTCTCCATCAGACATCACTCCCTTTGGGGCCCGGGCTCCTGTAGCCTCTGCTCTGCATGTAACTAACACCACGTGACATGGTGTCCTACTGAACACTCTGGGTTCAGGGGTCAGGCTGACCTGCATTTAAGTCCAGCCATGTGCCCTGGTGTGAGGTACAGAAACTTCTCAAGCCTCAGTTACTGCAACTCTGAAATAAGGCAACACAAATACCCATCACCCAGGGCTATTGAAGCAGGATTCCGGAGCCTGGTGCACACATGCTTAACTCTAGAAATAGTGTCTGTTTCCTCTTGACCAGTGAAACGGAGACATGGAGGGAGGGAGTCCTCCTGCATTGGAGAGAAAGAGACACAGGAAAGACCTTAAAGGTGATGCTTGTGTCAGGGAGGGGAAGAAGGGCTGGAGGTGGGGGCGAATGTATGGGGAGGAATGTGTGGTCATATGTGCAAAGAAGGACTCTGGATGTCATGGGGCGTGGGCCCACTGCTGTGGGGGCTGCTGCTCTCCCAGGGTAAGTCAGCTCCTACAGACTGCCCACCATGCAACGGCTTTATCAAGAGCGGTCATGGCCTCCATCCACCAGCCCGGCGGCGATGTCCCTGAGAGGGGCACTGGGTGGTGGCCTGGGGCAGCACTCCCTGCTTTGGGGCTCCTGTGGAGGCATGAGAGGGTATCAGCCTTGACTTGATCATGGAAGCAGAGGGATAAGCAGGCTTACACGGCCGGCAGCAGCACCTCACTTCTGGGGGTTTTGATATTCAGTTCCAGCTTGAACCGCAGAGACTTCACAGCCAGTGCCAGGGGACCCTCCACCCTAACACAACCGTGTTCCCCAGAAGCAGGCCCTGGTGCAAGACTTTGGGCACAGCAGTTTATGTGGAAGGTGATCCCAGGAAGCACAGGAAGAGGTGGGGAGAAGAGGCTGGGCGGGGGCAACCCATATAGGGTGAGGTTCCTGCAGGGGACTCCCGGGAAAGGTCATGGAGCACACAGCAGCCGCTGGGTCCTGAGCATGCCGCTGTCAGGCCCTCATGCCCCGAGTGCTCTCTGAGCAGCTCTGTGGGGTCAGTCAGGGGCCTGGAGGAGACCTGCTTCTCATGGAGATGCGGGAGGACGGTGGGCCCAGGGCTGTCCTGTGAGTGGGCTGTGAGCCCACAGTGAAGGCAGATGGTCTGGCCAGCCCACCAGAAAGGGGGTGTCTCAGGCTGCATTTGCCCAGGGCAGACCCCAAGACAGGCTTTGGGATGAAGCATTGGTCTGGAAGGGGTCTCAGGAAGCAGCTGGAGAAGGGGGCAGTGAGGGAGGAAGGGGCAGTGATGGCGAGTGAGGGTGGGAGTCAGCCACCTAGCTCTGTGGTCACTGGGATTGAATCCTGCTGGGGCCTCGGGGGACGGGGAGGCCCTGGGGGAGGCATGAGGGAGCGCTACTCCTGTCTACCCTGGGTCAGGCCCACTCCCAGGGATGTTTGTGGCTGCCTTGTCTGCGGGCAGAGCAGGTTCCAGGTTTCAGAGAAAGCCCCTGGGCAGAGAGAGGAGGTGCTGGCTGCCGGATGCCCACCAGCATCTGGTCCTTGGGGCGGCCCCATCGGCCCCGTGGCTCACTTTCCCTCCTCTGCTTCGGTGGTTCTTCTCCCTGGAGGGCAGGGGAGTGCGCTGTCCTGATCCTGTCTCTTGCTAGCCCTGCAGTGTGGGCAGCCATGTCACCTCTGATAACTGCTCCCCTCACCGGGCTGCTGAGGGGACAACACCAGACAGCACCCGGGGCATGGGTGCTCCACAGATGCCAATCTTGGGTTGTTACTGTCTCCTCTGGGCTGGAACTAAAGAGCCAGTTGTCCTGCAATCAATTTCTGGACCCTCCATGAGTGAGGAAGAGCAAGGAGTGACTGCAGAAGCTGCCTGCGCCTCTGCCTTTAAAATGAGAAGGGAAGAGGATTTCCTAGAAGTGCTTTTGTGCAATCAGCTGCCTCTGGCTGACAGAGGGTGGAGGCCAGGTTCAAAAGGAGAAAGACGTGTCAGAGCCTGGGCCCATTCCCTCCACTGATCCCTGTGCCCTTGGGTGAGTGGGTACCTCAAGTCTGGCTTTTGAAGCCTGATGAGGACTCCACGTGGGAGGGGCGCTTAGGCATTCTGGTGATTCCAGTGCCCGTCCTCTCCTTCTCATGAGGAATTGAGAAGGAATGTGTGTGGAACGCTGGTCCCAAGCCCTGGCCAACCTGCCTGCAACTCCATGTGCCTCCCAGCAGCAGATGGTTAATATCCAGGAAGTGCAGATGAATTTTCACATTAGACCAAATGAGACAGGATGTCACAGAGTCAGAGAGAAGCAATTTGAGAGTTGTTTGCTGTGTTGGACGCTGGTGCTATTCTCTCCGTGGATCTAAGCTGAGGCTGTCTGTGGTGTGAGGGGGTGGCCTGGGGGGTAGTAGGTACTGGAGGACATGCCCCACATCCCTATGACATGAGGTCAGGGTCATGAGTGAGATGTCAACTTCACTGGGATATAGCCCTGAGGTGAGGGAGTGGCTGTGGCCGAACAGAGGGCCCACTCTCAGGCCCCAGCCTTCCCCACTTCCCCGGCAGTCACTGCCAGAGCCATTTCTTGTGCCTGCACTGGGACGGCTGGAGGAGTCTGCTCAGTAACACCCCACCTGCTACTGGCACCATCATGTCTGAGGACTAGCCCCTCAGTCTTTAGATCTCCTTTTCCCTTGAGGTTGTCCCATGTCTTGACCTTCTCTGTGTCCACATCTGTCCTTCTCTCTCTTCAGCCACATTGGAATTTCCATGTTATTCTTATGTGAAACTGTTGGGTCAGTGTACAAGGAGCACAGATTACTAGGTGGCAGTCTCAATATCCAATTCAGTGAAACTATTGTTGGGTTTCTTGGTGGAACATTCTTCCCTGGGGAGCTAAGACCTCCAAAACAGCTGAGCTTAAAGCTGTGTCAATGGGAAGCAAAAAAAAAAAAAAATTGTTGCAGAGGGTAACAAGTGAGAGAAGCTGCCATCACATGATTCTCCAGGCCACATCTGTGTGGATTAGAAACCCGCTCCTGATACAAAATACCGGATGTGTCAAAGCTAGTCAGGAAACCAGAACTCAAACACACCATTCTAATACAAAGACTCTAAAATAAGGAAATGGTCAAGCAGATGTTGGCACCAGGAAGAGCATGTAGTGCCCAGCTGGGCATTTCAGGCTGTGTGGTGGGGAACATTGTCCTGAGACCTCCAGCATAACCAGTCACTGTGCTTATTTCACTGACTTAAGGCACAACTAGAGAGTCAGGGTGTCACCTGAGCATCTGCTCTCTTGTTAGATTAGCTGGGAGTGGTCTTCCACTTGAGTTCAACCCAATCCTAGTGTTAATAGCTGTTGTTTATTGAGCACTGACTCTGTGCCCAGTATTGCATTCCCATATTTCCATCAACAGCCTTAAAGAGAAGGCACTACTGCCCCGATCTGAGGAGAGGCAAAGCAGAAGAGGCAGAGCTGGTTTGTGGGGCACTGGAGCAGGAGGCACAGGTGGCTTTCAGAGGGCCTGGCAAGGTAGGTGTGTGTGCTGAACAGACGTTAAGATGGCTCAGGACCTCCTCCTGGTGGTCACGTCTGTGTGTGGTCCTCTCCCCTGAAAGCGGATGAGACCTGTGCCTTGCTTCTAACTAGAATACACAAAAGTGATGGCATGTCACTCCTGTGATTATGTTACATTATTTATTTAAGACTGTCTTGCTAGCAGACTTGCTCTCTTCTCAGTTGCTGGATTTGGGGAAGCAACCTGCCACGAGGTGAGAAGGCCTATAGAGAGGGGGCTGCCTGGCAGGGGACTGCAGACAGCCTCTAGGGCCTGACAGTGGCCTCCAGCTGATAGCATGAAGCCAGGCCCCTCAGTCTTACAGATGCAATGAAATGCATTCTGCTGACACCCCGAGGGAGCTTGGAAGTGGATCCTTTCCCAGTCCAGCCTCTGATGAGACTGCAGCCCTGGCCACTGCTGGGCTGCTGCCTGGTGAGACCCTGAGCAGAGGGTGCAGGTGAGCCCGGGCCAGACTCCTAACGTGCAGAAACTGTGTGGTGACCATGTGCGTTGTTCTCAGCTGCTAAGCTTGTGGTGACTTGTGCTGCTATAGATAACTAAGATGGTGTTCAATTAAAGGGAGTGCAAGGAGTCAATGAACAGGTACATGAAGAATCCTGGCAGTCCTTAGCATTTCTGAGCTCCTTGGGAAAGGAGGTGTGAGGCTGAGAGAACTGGAGGGCTAGGGGGAACCAGACTCAGTAGTGGGATTTTGTTCAGGCTGGTCCTTCTGCCAGAGGTGGCCTGTGTGGATGGCGGGAAGTCAGCTGCTGGGGCTGGAGTTGGCTATATGCCTTAAGTGCATTTTACTCTGTTTCTCTTGGCACCAGAGATTTCATTAACCATAATCCATTCTTTGGGCTCTTAAGATTTTCTCTGTCTTAAGCGTCACCCATCATTAGTCAGAAGTGGTAGAATTTGGAGTAATTCACTAGACAGTTTTAGAGAAACCACTCAGTGCCAGGAGACAGCATGGGCAGCAGCGAGTAAAATGCGGGTCTTCGTGCCCATGGCTTAGACCTCAGTAGTCGAGACAGATGCAAGAACCAGCAACTGTAGTACACCAGGGGCGGGAGGCCTGAGCGGTGGGCCAGAAGAGGAAGGAGCTCTCCACCTGGGCAGGGGGAAGGAGGGAGGGCTCCCTAAGTGCACTCCAAACCACGTAGGATCATGTGATTGCTGTGGCCTTTAAGAGGGAGCAGGATGTTCTGGGTAGAGGAAAAAGAGTGTCTCGGCTGCATTAGGAGGGAGCCCTGCTGAGCTCACAGCCTGGCCCTGGTCTCATCCTGACCTCCGCAGCCTAGGGAGGCCCCACCTGGTGTGAGTCAAGCGTCAGGGCTGGAGCACCCACCAGGGGGTGATGTGGTCCAGTTACTGTCTCCAGGACTGTCCCTGGTCCTTGGGGAGGCCCTGTGGCCACTGAGGGGACACTGCCCCATGCCCTGTTACAGCCCAGGCCAGCCTCTTCTCCAGGAACCCTGGCCTCTCCTAGAAAGGCTAGCCCAGAATCAAGCGTGAGATGGGCTGAGAGGCAGGGGAGGGGAGTCCTTTCAGGACACTAAAATAGAGCTGCGATTGTAGGTGAACTTCATTTCAATCCATTAAAGCCAAGGGGAGATAGAGTTTTTCCCTTTGACTTTGCCAAGCAATGGAACATGAGTGGCCCAGCCTCCTGATCTGAAGCAGAGCAAAACATTTCTGGGAAAATAAACAAACGCGGACCAAAAAAAAAGATGCTCATGTGTCTGAGCCAGCAGCGAGCCTTTGATCAGGTTGCTCCGAGGGACCAAAAGAGGGGGACTGATGGACCCTGGCAACAGGATGAGGCAGACTCTGTTAGAGGCTGCCCAAAGTCACACGCAGCGTTTATAGAGGCTGCAGGAGGAGAGACGGCAGCCTGGGAAAGGGACCAGACTAGGGCTTGGTAGAAAGACATGCACCGTGCTGCCGACGTTGGCAGTGCTGCACAGAAATGCCTGCTCCTTTCCGCTTTCTTTTCTCTTTTATTAATTTTATATTTCAGGCATTGTTTAATGGTGAATTTGTCTTTTTCTTGAAGATTCTCTTGGCCTCCTGCTCATTGGTTTGGCAGGACACCTGGCTTTTGGAAGAATGACCATTTTGCTGTACAGTCTGGTGTGGCTCAGAAGCCATGTTAATGATTTTTTTTTTTAAAGATGGAGGAAGAAGGTGTGCTGGGATGTGGGAGGGGTGAGGAAAGGAAAGGCTGAGAGTGGGGTGGGGACATCGGGAGCTGTCTCCCTATTAGATGGAGACAGCCGATGCATTTCAATTCACTCTTACCCTTTTGTTGAGAGAGGATGTAGCCACGATCCAGGACATCAGAACCCATTTTCCTCCACATTTGCGAGTAATTAGGACTTTCATTTGGACATAGTCGCTCAAAGCCTCAAGTCTCTTTCCTCACCTGTGTAATGAGGGTGGATGCTCTTTAGCTCACAGTCTTAGTTTGAGGCAAAATCACAAGAAATGGGAATAGTGCTTTGAAAAGGACAACACAACCATGTCAACCTGCTTTCTATTTATTTCTATGGAAACAGCTGGTGGGCAAGTCAGCCAGGGCAGCTGTCTCAGAGCCAGGCCAGCACCAGAGCGGTCTGGGGGCCTCCAATCCCGCTTGCCCTTGCTGGACCTGGACTCTGCACAGCCCCCAGCCCTGCCCTCTTAGCCGCCCTCCCCACAGGGCTCATCCACTGCTACCCAGTAGAGGGCACCCGGAGTCCCTTTAACAACAGCTTGTCTGTACAACCTCCTCGAACCATTTAGTTTATTATAGTGGAAATTATCTGTAGTTAGTTTTGGGCACCCAGTGTCAGAGTTTGGCAAAGCAAGGCAGAGAGCTCTGCTGCTGCCCAGGCTCAGGAGCCAGGGATGTTCTCAGAGCTTTCTTTCCACTCACTCCCTTGCGGGACTTTGTGGGAGAAGGAGGCTGTGAAGCGGCTCCAAGTCAGCTCCCTCCACACGAGTCCCATGGAGTCTTCTTTCCTATACCTCACTCATCCATTCATTCATTCATTCACTGGTTTATCTGAAGGGCTTCCAGTGTACAGTGAGGCTGCAAGCCAAGGGGTGAGGTGAGGGAGGAGGACTGAAGGCAGGGAGAGAGAATCAGGTAACTCACCAGTGCATCCACACGCTGACTACTCAGGGAGCGCTTGCTGGGTTACACAGCTACTGATGGAGTCCACTCCTAAATAAGTAAGCAGAGTTGTGGGATGGTTGAAGCTTGACCTTGGAGAGACCTTGGAGGGATGGACAGGTGGACTTGGAAACCCCCATTGTGGGGATGCAGGGTCTCGTTTCTTGCCCTCTGGGGGCAGTGCTGCTTTGGGAGTGAGCTGGGAGCCAGTCCCGGGGAGAGCCACACATCCCCTTCTGCCTCTGCCTGTGGCCCCTCTTCCTGGCCAGCCCTGGCGGTTGTCATCCTCACCAGCGGAAAACACCTGCTGCAGTGGTTAGCCCAGGGCTAAGGAAACAGAAGTTCTTCCCCCAGCACGGGTGGGGCCCACCTGCCTTGCCTGGGAGGAGATGGGGTGGGTTCTTGTTGACTGATTAAGTTGTCCTGCCTTAGGTGATGTGCGATTTCAGCAATGCACATTCTGGGAAGGACAAGCTTGGGCCTAAGCACCCGATTAGGGCAAAGGCTGGGCTTATGCTGCAGGCTGCATGGATGCACAGCCAGGATTTCTAGAGCTGCTTCAGTCTCGTAGGGCCTCTGACAGGAGCCAGGTTCAAGACTGGCTCAGGGAGACACAGTAGACATAGCTGAGGGGTGCCAGGAGCTGGAAAAACTCATTCTGATGCATAAACAGGTCTAATAAAAGTAGGAGATGAATTTAGGGTTTGGCAGGAGACCAGAATAATTGAAAATGCCCTTTAAGAAGACAAAGCCAGTAAAACACTACGTCAAATTACATATGGCAGGTAAAAGCCTTGCCAGAAAGAATTGGGAGCTGGAGCAAGCTTGAACTTCTGGGGCAGAGAAGCCAGCACATGACCATGATGTGCAGAAGGCCAGGTGGCAGCTGTGTCAGGGCCAGGAAGCCCTGGAGGGGGGTGGTCTTGGAGAGGGGCCTCAGAAGCCCTGCAGAGTATGAAGACCGGACAGGTTTCCCTGGGGACATGGGGCTCTCCATGCTCACCTGTTCTCCCTTCTGCTCAGACGCCCTGATGCCTCATGACACACAGCCACACTGAAGGCTGCTAGTGGTCATGCCATGGGGTCCAGCTCAGATGGGGGCCCAGGTGCTTCCTTCCTCGGCCTTCGCTGCAGCATTGGTGGCAGCTCAAATCACACATGGGTTTGGAACTCCAAAAACCCAAAGTAAACCCTGAAGCTAGCTCTCCAGTCCTCCCAGGGGGTGTCATTCAGGACTCCAAGGAAGATTCTGAGGAAGGGGAGGAACAGAGGTCCTCCCCATGGGGTGACCTGGTGCCTCGTGCCTATCTCTGCGGTCCATTCAGATCCCAGGATGGCCTTGTATGTGGACTGCCAAATTCAGCCACTCTGTGACTCCATGGGACCATCCTGTTCCTTCTGATTTGTTCTGGCTCTGCAGACCCCACTTTCCCATCTATGGTTTCTTTCTGGTGCCTGCAAGGCGGACATGCCTCATTCCCTCCAGGAAAATCCAGACCCTCTTCCATCCTGCACTTTGCTTGATTGGGAATCGCATGCAGCTCATACTTGTGCATCTATTTAATAAGATAGAGTTGTTGCTTTTTCTCCTGCAAAGGTGTGGAACGGAAGCTGTGGGTCTCATGCTGGAAAGCAGGCTTGGCTGGCCCAGCCCTTCTGGCTTTCTGTCATTGTTTGCACCTCGGTGTCTTGCTGGGCCCAGACATCCACCCCTCACTGGGCTCTCATCCAAGCACAGGAGAGGGAAGGGCCAAAGAACAAGGAATCTCTGGGGCCGCAGTACTTAGGATGGTTATATTTCCACAGAGGAAATGCCAGGAGAGGTGGCCCTGGAGCTTGAGGCCCTTATGAGGTGCAGGAGGCACAGCGAGCAGAGCTCTGGGCACCAAGCGCTGTGTTCAGAGGAAACAGCTGCATCCCAGCCAAGACCAGAGTAACAGTTGTGTTCCCAACTGAGAAAATGGTAACTAGATGCACGGTTAGGGCCTGTAATTAATTCTGCACCTAGATAAATAATCAGATGAAGGTCTGTCTGGGTAGGACACTGGAAGCAGGAGGTGCTGTGGACCCGAGGAAAGGTTCTTGGGTGTGGCGTGAAGGGGTGGTTAGATCCTGCCTTCTGGAGCTGAGCTTGGACTTCTGGCCCCGGTCCAGCTCTGTCATTGGCAGTCTAGTCCCGCTTTTCCTTCCCATGGTTCCGGTGCACAGGTGTTTCTGGCTGGCGCCAGTCCCGAGGTGCTCTGCTGATTCCGAGAAGCCGGCAGGCGGCAGCCACTGTGGTCAGGGCAGCACTGCCGTCTTCATCTGGGCGTCCTCATGCACCTGCTGTCAGCAGGCCCTCCTACCCTGACCCTGGAGGACAATCTGGGAGCCTCGGAGCCTTTCTGAAAGGTGGACGCATGGAGAGGAAAACCTGGCTTCAAGCCTCACCGGCCCAATAGGAAGGCTGATGCAGATGCTGTCTCCACCTGGCAGGCTTCCTGTGCCCAGCGCTGGTGCCCTGCCCTGGCCTGGCAGTGTGTGGGAAGCAGTGATGAGGCACCCAGCATGCTGAGCCCCTAGAAGGAAGGCGACTTTGGTCCAGGGAATTCGGCCAGTTTATGTCCTGGCTCCAAGGAGCTTCAGTTCCCAGCTCTCTCTCTCTCTCTCTCTCTCTCTCTCTCTCTCTCTCTCTACCCCTCCCTCCCTCCCTCCCTCCCTCTCTCTCTCTCTCTCTCTCTCTCCCCTGATCTCTAGGCCATGCTCCAGGCAGCATCTGTCCTGCCCTGTCTTTGTTCCCCTGCCCCAGAACCTTGCACACACAGATGGACGGAATGCACAGAGGAGAGAATGAATGGTTGCTTAATGTGAGGGGAAGCCAGGCAGCCAGCGACATGTAAAGCTGGAAGAGAACCTACAGAGGGTTCTCCTGAGTCCCTCAATTTGTCTGAAGGGGCCCCTCTTCCATGTTTGCTTGAGGAAGGGGCTGGGAACTTTGCCTGTGTTGACAGGGATCTCCTGGGAGCTGGGGTGTGGGGTGGGCAGATCCTAGCTCATGGCAGGCAGGCATTCAGTGTCACCCCTGCATTTGCCAGAAGGTTCCCCTCCTCTCCTGAGTCCTCAGGCTGTCCCCGTGGCATCTTCCAGGATCCACATATGAATGATGACTCATGGGTGTCTTTCTCCCTGCTTCTAGGGATAGTTTTAGGCTTGGGGAGGGGGTGGAATCCCACAAGAACAGATGGACGCTGCCTCCTTTGCACCTACCCCGTGGCTGTGTCTGAGAGCTTCCATTTTCTCCAGGAGGACAGGTGGCAGAGAACCATCCAATCCCCTCTGCAAGTGTAGCACTTGTTTGGAATTCAGTTCTATATCAGGTGGTGCGTCTCGCCAACTCTTCAAAAATCAATGAGCTACAAGGCCTTACATTAGAACAAGTCTCTTGGAAATTCAGTGCTGAAATCCCTTTATGCACCAATTCTCTCAGAAACCTGAGTCAGATAGTCACAGTTCTCCGTGTAGCCTATTTTTATGTCCAGTCTCTTGGAAATTTAGCACATAGTGGGAACTCAAACATTTTGCTTAATAATTGTAGGACTGTTAATTTCTGTGCCAGACTAAAGACAAGCTATTTAAAGACCCTCTATGTATGGGGCTTAAAGAGCTTAAAGACATGATTCTGTAGAAACATGATTCCATGGAAACAATGTTGGTTCTATGTTTGCCTCTAACATGTCACATTCTTTTGTATTTTAATGTTACTTCTCATGTTGTATTGACCAGGTGCAGTTTCATCTTCTGAATCCAAGAATGGAAGCACGATGGGACTTGAGCATCCAGGACTACCCACTCAGGAGAGCATATGACCAGCCCCTCAGAGCCTCTGGGGTCGAGGCAGGTGTGTCACCTTCCAGCCCCATAGTCAGTTCCTGTGGCTCCTTTGCCCATGGGCTGTGCCATTATTATGCCACATGACTGTGCAGTTGCTTTGTGCCTGGGGTGTTTGTCAGAAAAGATTCCCAGGGCAGGTGGGTGTGAAGACAGCATCCTCCCTTGGCCGAGGTGACACCCTCCAGGCTGGGGACAGAGTCTGGGAGAGTAAGGAGCACTTGCTTCTTTCTCTGGGAAATGTGCTGTGTGTCCCGACAGGGCGTCCTGGTTCTCCCCTTTGCCCTCACACTCTTTTCCCACAGTGAGTCCTGGTACACTCTTGCTCAGAGCCTGCAGTGGGATCCACCATCCCTGCAGTGGCCCCCAAGGGCTCCAAGAGCCAGCAGGACCTGCCTTGACCTTCCAGTCTCACTTCTGTCCACTCTCTGCTTTCCTCTCGCCAGTCCAGCCTGACCTCCTCGCTGTCCCTTCAGCACCCAGGCACAGCCATGCCTCAGGGCCTTTGGATGTGCGGTTTGCCTGGAGCACTCTTCACCCAGTCATCTGCTTGGCCAATGTCCTTGGCACCTTCTCTTTGGCACACCCAACACTGCAGAGCCTCCCCTCTCCAGCCCACACTCAGGACCCATGTATCTGACTCTGCTTTCTTTCCTTCCCATAACACTTACAGTCGTGTAACATACAAGTTGTTTACTCTTCTGTTCTGTTGTTGTTTGTGAGTTGTTGCCGGTTTTGCTCCCCAATATCCTGAGCACTCAGCAGTGTCTGCCCGGCTTTGGCTCAGATGGAGCATGATGTGTGGATTTGGGTTTGTTGCATCTTCTCAGTTCAAATAAAACTGACAAATGGCAGCATTCTTCAGCAGACATCCAGCATAGCTTTATCAATTTCATGTATTTCTGCTTCTGTCTTTATTATCTTGTGCATTCTATTTTCCTAAGGTTTATTCTGTTTTAAAAGAATATGTTTTCTTAAGTTCATTCATTCTCAGACTTCCTGCTTTTCTAAAACAGCCCTAATATCATGTAACCACTCTTAGAACCTTTTTGTTGTATTCTACAGGTTGTGACAGGTACTCTTAATGATTATTCAATATTAGGTACTGTTATTTATAAATTATTTAGAAATACTTGGTGAGTCATTGTTACCTCCTTTTTCCTGTTTTAGAGGTCATGACTTCTGTATTCTTTGATACAGCCTAGCATTTACAGCCTGCATTCCTCACTTATCAAAGTCTGATGTTAACTGGTGATTTTATATGTGGGCACTCTCTTTTCCAAATATATTTTAAAAATCTTTTAATCATTGATTTTTCACTTAATTGTATTGCGTTTAGAAAATATGGTGTACAGTACTAAGTTTTGCAATCTTTTGAGACTTGCTATTTAGTCCAATGCATAAGCAATATTTGTAAATGTTGTCTGTGATCGTATAAGAAATAAATCCCACCAATTAATGGGTGCGTGTTCTGCACATACCTGTCAGTTCACATTTGTTAGTTGTGTCATTTATGTCCTTGCTAACCATTTTTGTCTTCTTGACCTATCAGTGATGGTGGCTTTATCAACCTCTTATTGCAATCCTGCAAATCTTTGCTTTACATATTTAGAAGTTATTAGTTGCGCACAAGTTTAGAAACACTATATCTTCCTATGTAGTGATCTTTTTCTCCCATATGATGTTTTTTGCCCTAAAGTCTATTGCTATAGCTGCAGTAGTTTTTGTGATTAATAATTGCCTGGTATATCTTTTTTCTATTATTTTCTTTATGGGGTGTATATTTTAAAGTTTTGGACATATCTCTTTATAACAGCATATAATGAGATTTTGCTTCTAATCCAGACTGACCATATTTGTATCTTAAGTAAAGAGTTTTTAATCCATTTACCTTCATTGTGACTATTGATGTGTTTGAGCTTATTTTTGCCACCAAATCATATTTTACATATTTTATTAGTTTTGTTCCTTCCTCCTCCATTCTTTCCCTTTTTGGGAACAAGTGGCAAAGACAGTTTTTGAACTCAGATTTCTCCAACACCAAAGGCTGTATTCTTTCAACCTCTCCACTGTGGGACTATGAAAATCCCCAAGTGGCATTTCTATTTCACATCTCAATTTTATGCCGGAGATTAACTGCATGTTTTTCTATTTCCTATTTCTCGACCTATCTGTTTGAATAAACATCTGAATGGTTTTATAGATTGGCTTCCTTGGTGCTTCTCAGATATCCCCCCATTTCCCTACAGGGTCTGTTATGCTTTTTTCTCAAATACCTATGAGGAGTTCTCACTTCTTTACCCCTTCTAGTTTGGCTTAAATGCTGTCTTTTTACTGGAGCTCCCTTGGCCCTCTTAATCAAAATATCAAAACCCTCCACCCTTGCCATTCTTATCCCTGTCCTGCTTGACTCCTTGGAGGATGAGTGACTGCAGGCACCACCCCATGCTCAGAGGCTCTGTCGGGAGCCTGCGCCTCATACCTCACCCCGTGCTGAACTTCTTCAGGATGGCATTTGGCCTCCACTACACAGGATGAGTCTTCTGGGTAAATATTTTTTTCAAGTGTGGCGGCTCACTTTTTAAAACAATGAGTGAATATGGCTTTTTCACATGCTAGCGTTTTTCTCTGTTGTTTTCTTCGTCTCGTCCTTTTCACCTCTTCCCCCTTCCCCAAAAGCATGCACTGTGCAGTGTCCCCATCTCCTGCCCATCAAAACTCATGACCTTTATTCATATGATGGTGCTTCAGAAATGCCCTTCACCTCCCTGCCCAACTGTGCAGCTCCCTCTGGGTGAAATATTGACTTCAATGGCCTCATGTTCTTTACATTCTCCAAAGTTTGTCATCTTTGTTAAACAATGAAAGCAGCTTCTTGATGTTTCTCTCCTTAATGATTGCAAGAGAGAATGATGCTGTTATTTCCCAATTGTTGCTGCCAGGGAGACAATTGGATCTAGGAGTGGACCCAGAAGCAGCCTCCTGGAGGAAGCTGCAAATATGATCATTATCAGGCTGGAGATGCTGAAGATGGGTGAACATTCCCAGTGACTCTGGCTCAACCTGGGACCCTGGCCAGAGCTACTGGTCACCACCACCATGCAGGGTTTGGGGCTTCAGTGCCTACCAAGATGGATCTGCAGGCTGTTGACAGGTAGCCAGGTGACCCCTGTCTGCTACTGACCCCTCAAGCTGGTCAGCACAGGTTTATAATGAACACCACGGTGTCATGTCAGACTCGGCCCCAGTGTGAGGCCAGGGGATGCTGAGTGTCTGCATTTCAGCAAAATGTAACCCATCTGTTTCTAGGCATTTGCCTAAGACAGGTTGTGGTCTAGTCGTCCAAGGGTGATGTGGTGTCTGAAAGCCCCTTAAAAAGCTGATTCAATGTTTATTCTCTCTTTTGAGGAGGTGAGTCATGTTTCACCAGCAGATACTTGTGACTCATTTTTTAAAAAGGGTTTTCATGCTCTAAGCTGGTGGGGTTGAAGTGAATTACAAATCTGTCAGCCTTTCCCCATCTTTCTTATGTCTGGATGGAAAAGCACAAGCTCATATTCAAGGAGGTGCTCAAAGCTGGACTGTGGGGTTTTGCTCACATTATGAAGTTAGTTCTACTTTTGGTTCTGAGCAAGAATTGAGCCCAGAACCACCAAGGCTATCCCTTCCAGGGTAACCTAGAGAATGGTTTCTGTGGTGATCGCTGGAATTGGGCTGGTGGTCCCAAATGAGCCACAGGTCTGGCTTCCTAACTGCACCAGGGTTAAAATATGCTCCCGGAAGAGTGGAAACAACTTTCCTCCAAGCAATACAATGTCTGTGGTTGGGGGATTGTCTTGGAGAGAACCTGATTGGGATTTTCCTGGATAGGAGTTCTGAAACTTTTCCAAGTCGCTAGAGAAAGCCTGTCCAAGCAATTTCATAGAAAAAGCAACAGTGCACAGTCACCCACTCACTCAGCAGCACAGCGCAGTGTGGATCCTTGGGGTCCTCCCCTGGCTTTGTGAACTTGCTGAAGCACCTGGCTCCAGCCCCATTGCCTCCTGTGTGAAATTAGGATAACAGTTCCTCACAGAACTGAAGTGTAAATTTAGCGAGTTATTACAGGAAAAGTACTGGGCTCTCTCTGGCACATCATGGACACTGTGCATTCCAATTCCTTGCATTCCTGGGTACATATAGGAGGCATTTCTCCATTCTCCCGTTGGAAATCACTGAAAGCAACTTGGAGAAAAAAGCCGAAATGAGCCTTTTCTTGATGAATGAGGAGTGCGTGTCTTCCCCCCAGGCCCCCAGCCATAGAGCATCTTCGCGTCTTTGAACAGCCACCTGGCTCCTGCCTCAGGGCCTTGGCACCTGCCCTTTCTTCTCTCAGCATGGCATGTCCTCTGGTTGTCTGTGTCCTTGGCCCTCCTCATCTGTCATCAGGGATGACGACATCCCTGACCTGCTGCTGAAGGTCAGCGCCGCCCTGCCCACATGTCTGTGAGCCCTCGTCAGGGTTCACACTTATTTGGTTGCATTGTGTACTTTCTAGTGTGCACTAAGTGCTTCCAACAGTGTCAGGCTCACAGCAAGCACCGCATCAGTGTCACTACTATTATTATTATTGCTATTATCATGTCTTCGTGGGATGAAGGAGCAGTGGCTGGGGGGCGGTTGGGGGGCGAGGTGTGGTGGCAGAGAGCGTTTCCCACCTAGAACACGTGCCTGCTCTGAACATTTCACATCAGATGCTTTCAGGCTCCTTCTCTTGGAAGGTCACCCAAAGGTTGCTTTTCTTTGCCTTGAAGAATTGCAGCAGACTTTAGATCCGTTCTGCATTATATGTGTGGTGTAGTTGGATCAGATACATAGACGGAGACGTAGATAAAGACACAGATGTGGACCTTCAAGGAGAGCTAATGAGGTCAAGGTGTGTTACTGTGAACACACACAGGCACACATGGACACACACACAGAGACACACATAGGCACAGAGAAACACACAGACACACACACACACACACACACGGACACACACACAGAGACACACATAGGCACAGAGAAACACACAGACACACACAGAGACACCAACAGACACACACACACACACACACACACATCAGACCTGGAGATAGTAATCTAGGTCCTACATAGAAGTTTTGAAATATTTCAGGCAAAATCCCATCCCCTCCTTGCTTCACCTCCCCCTTGCCCTGCCCTGAGGGGCACTGTCTGGTCCCAGGAGCAGGGCCAGCTTTCGAGTGCCCAGGTAGGGCTGCTGCCGCCTCCAGCCTCCAGCTCCATTCCGGCCAGCCGGAGCTCCTTCCTGCTGGCTCTGCTTTTCCTTCCTGCACCTCTGGCAGCCTCTTCCTGGCTCTTGGCATCTTACTTGGTGAAAGTGAATGCAAGACAGGCTGAAAACCACATCCTTATAATCTTGGGGACAGGACTTGCCTCACTGTAGCCCTGGGTGTCCCCTCTGCTCCTGGGCTTGGAGCAGCCTGGGTGTGCAAGTGCCGAGATCTGCAGATCTGGAGGAGTTGCTCCTGCTCACCCTGCCGGGGCCGCTCTCCCTTCTCCTTGCAGGAAGCCATCATTTCCTATGTGCAGGCATGGGCAATGCCTCAGAATTATCATCTGGCGGGGAACGCCTTCATTTCTGTTTTACTGATTAGTACACCCAGGCTCAGAAATGTTAATTAGCTCACTCATGGTCACACATGTCATCCACTGCAGAACTGAGACATGAAAGAGGCTTCTCTGCCCCAAATTCTGCTTTCTTCATCCCTTTGCTAATACTTCCAAATTTGTGGAAACAAAGCATATGAAGCCACAGGGAGTCAGAGAGGCAGTGCAGCTGCATAGAGATTGAGGGTCGAGTTCGGTTGCCTTTTACCCATGACTGCAGCTAGGCCACTTTACTCCTCCATGCCTATAAAATGGGGAAATGACACCTGCAGAGGCTGCCTCAGAGAGATGTCGAGGTGATCAACTGAGAAGGAAACCTGCTCGGAAAGCTGTCAAGTACCCCATAGATATGAATCACCATTGTCCTCCATAGCACTAGAATGCACCAAGATTAAACATGAAAGTACACTGTTCAGGAAATTTCTAAAAAGAATATGTGTTCTTCCAAGAGACAACCTGTTTTCTAAATGTACTTTCCTAAGTCGGGGTTCCCTGGCACCCCGCCCTTCACCATGGCCATGTTTCCCAGAGTCAGTGGGCATGAAGTTGAGCAGCACAGCCAGGGCCCCGCTGGGCTGGGATTGCAGCCTCCTCACTCAAGCAACAAGGAACCAGAGAATCTCCCATGGGTGCTCAGCCTGCTTCCAAAAGACCTGAGACAGAATTACACCATCCGTGTGGAAATGGAAGCCCCTTGTCTGCCATGGAGAAGGAAGGGGGAGGAAATACCGCCAAGGCCGGGCTCTGGGCGGTCACAGCAGGAGACGCTGAATCCTCCCATGGGCGTCCTAGTGTGAGGGCAATGCCCCAATCCCAGCACTTCTCCCCACACGCATCCTCCCTGATGGTGCCCATGGGGTAGCCCTTGAGGGAGGGGAAGCGCTGGGGAATTCACCCAACGGCCTGTGCTGGGGATGCGGACAGCATCATGGACTTAGCTGCCCAGGAAGGCTTGCTGCTGAGGCACAAAGAAAGTCCCGTGGCATTTTTTGCTTAAACTCTCTGTAGAAGTGAAGGGAGTGGAATAAAAATGTGACTCGGCTGAGGAGGCCTTGTGGGAAGCTGACCGAAGCCACCTGGCTCCACATCTCCCCTGCTGCTGGAAGTGTCCATTAGGAAGGCCCGGGGTCTGCCTTAAACTCACCATTCCTACAACGAGGGGGATTTGTCCAGTCTCCCTGTCTGTGCCTGGGAAAAGGGTCACATTCTCCCTCCTGCTTCCCAGTCTGAGCAATGCAGGGCTGGGGACCAACTCTGTCTGCCTCCTGTCTCACCTTGGCGCGCACTTCCCTAGCTATTCCGGCACCACACCCTGCTCGCTGTCCTGCAGGTCTCTGGCCCGTGCTAGGATTGTGGCCCTCCAAGAGGTTTCCCAGCCCCGTCTCTCTCCTCTGGCATCCCCGTGCACTGCGAGCAGATCTGTCTTGGCCAAACTCTGCGTGGGGCATGCCCCCCTCTGCTCAGGAGCCCTCAATGGCTCCCTGTTGGCTTCTCAGTCAGGGCCTCCTAGCAGAGGTTCCCCTTATTTCCCACTGGTACTGGCACCCCAGTCCCCAGCAAGTGCTGGCCAAAGCCCCAGCCATGGCCGACAGTGACCACCCTCAGCCCCTGCTCAAGGAGACCGAGCTCTACCATGCTGGGGTGGGGGCGGCCACCTGGCCAGTGGTGGGGCGTGACCATGTTGCCTGGTGCCAGTGGAGGCCCTTGGGCCTGCATGTCAGGTTCTTTGCAGACCTGCTCCCTGGGGGCAGGTCCGGCAGCAGCAGACGAGAGTGGAGAAAACCCCTGAAGGAAGGGGGAATTTGGGGAGGGGCTCAGGTGCTGCTCTGCCCTCACCTAAGGAGCCCCATCTTGAACCTCTGTCCTCACAACCACAGGAGTCTGAGGCCCTGATGGTGACCATTCTGGAACATTCTGGTTAGGACCACTGGCTCCTTGCTGCCAAAGAGCTTCAGCATAGAGCTGGCACCCGGAATCTGGCAGTAGCTGTGCAGGGGAGGGCAGGCATTGTAGATCGGCCTTGCAGTGCTCATGAGAGGGGCCCTGGCACAGAACCTCTCTGGGCTTTAGTTACTTCTTCAGTGCAACAGGGATACTGTGGCCCCCTGGACGTGGTTTCAGAGCTTAACCCAACAGTGAGAGGGAAGCCTGTGGCGGAGATGGGGCTCACAGCTTGAACTCACAGAGGGCTGGGCTTAATCAGAGGATTGAGTGTCCTGGGTCCCAGAGGCAAGAGGGGACCCCCCATCACTGCCAAGAAACTGCAGCTCCAAAACAGCCCCAGATGCCACACCACGTCACTTCCCACATGTGGCCAGCTTGGTGGTGTGGGGAGTGTCTGTCGGGGCAGCTGTTTGCGGAGGGGCCTGGAATTCTTCATGCTTTACTGAACCCAGCTCATGAGCTGGCCTGCATTTTCCACTGTTTCAGGGTTCTGGCTTCTACACTGACAACTCTGCCATTTCACTGGGTGCCAGGAAGAAAGACGTCCTTACATTCTGCTGTGTTCTGGGTGGGTGGGATTGCTTATCTACATCCCAGATGAAATTAATAGGGATGTCTAATGCCATTCTCACTCACATGCACCAGATGCTGGGAGAGGGAAGAGGAGATACACAATTGGAGAGGAAAGCAGAAGAGCCACACTGGACATGCCGTGTATTACACAGAACAGCCAGCTGTGCAGCCTGTGGTTCCTGGGTGGAATAAGTGCATCCTGAAAGATTCATATTCGTCTTGTTCTAAGTGCATATACTCCTGATAATTAGAATTTCTATCCAAGGTAATTGATTTGAATTTCCCATCTGTGGGAAATGCAGTGACTTAGGTGGAAACACTAGGTCTCCAAACAAAAATTCCATAAACGACCCCTTAAGACTTTGCTAATTATATGTTAAGAAGTTCTCCAAGGAGGGACTTGGGAAATATTTTTGCCTTTGGGAAGAGAGAAAGAAGGGAAGGCGGAGGCAGATAGGAAACGGGACTGCCTGCTGTTTGCTGATTACTATTGCACTCCTTGCTTGGTTCCATTCTCTCTGCTGCACTGGATCCAGCCTGGAGTCATTACTCAGAGGTTGAGCGACTGGCTTGGAGATAAGGGGCCTCTCTTGCAGGTTTAACAAGAAGTACAGTGCAAATGCAGGCTTCCTGGAATCCTGCTGGGAGCTATTCATGCTGACACACATTGTTGAGTGGGAAGGGGGAACTTGTGCTTGCTGGTGGGAGGCTTCTGCCACCTACCATCTGTGGCTTGCAGGGTGGTCCCTGTGATTCTCTGCTTTTTGGGCCTTCCACTTCTCTGGACGGGGCTACTTGGCAGCATGGGAGCAGCCTCCAGCACCAGGGTCAGGTGGGCTGCTCCCATGGAGGCAAGTCCAGGTGGGGTGAGGGGCAACTGTCAGAAGTGACTGTTCTGGGGGATCTGCACAAAGTGGCAGGAGGAGTCCCCACAGGAAGTAAACCTAGAATGGAAATGGGTGGTCCTGTGGCTGGATACCACCAAGACTTCAGGCCATCAGGCAACATGAGGGATGGCCACCAGCAGGCCTAGGGCACCCAGTTATTCCTCTTCTCTCCTGGGAGGTCATCAGGAACTGTGGCAGTTGGTGGGGGGGCTCACAGGGAGGCAGGCACTGACAGGCACCAGCATTGGCAGTGACACCAAAGCCAGTTGTCAGAGCCACAAGGACATGGCCTGTGACTTTGCCAGTACTTATGCATCTCTGCCTGTGTGTGACCCTCACACAAGCCCTGGGATGCAGGGCGAGAAGGACTTGTGCAGGGGCCCTCGGCAGATGAGTGAAAGGATCGGTTGTGGACTTAGGTCTAGCTGATGCCATCTCCTTGACACCATGAAAGCTGGGCAGAACCCACGGATGACACAGTCCACACAGAGCTTGGCTGCAGCAGGGACTGGGAAGCCAGGGCCCCCCTGCCCTGGAATTTTGTCATTGCTGACCCTGGACTCCTGGAGTCTCCACAGTGAAAGCTGACCTACATCATGTGACTCCCTGGACAGGGACCCGGGTTGCTATGTTTTGGGCAAGAACCCTTTTATCCCATTCTTCCTGATGGGCTCCAGAACCCAGAGGAACTCAGTCTGCATGGGATCAAGCTGTCCCAGCTGTGGGCAGAGGAGTGGCCAGACTCCCCTCCTGCTGAGCACCCTGCCACCTGGCTTTGCCACTTACTCTCAATACCAAAAGACAAAAATCCAGATGAAAATTTCCTCTGGAATCTGGATAACAGCCATTGTTTTGGCTAGTGCTGCCAAATGCTATGGGTTCTACCTTCTCCCAGCGATGGTGGCTCAAGAGGCTGTTTGGGGTTCTGCAGCCTGGGTGCATGCACTCAGATTCAGTCTTTTTGACTGGGGGCCACGGTGCCTGTGGCCAAGGATAAATTTCAGTGACTGGCCCAGCAGTCAGCCATGTAGACTGAGGCATGAGCCCGAGTGGCTGGAAGCAGCCCTCTACCTGCAAGTGTCTTGTCTCCAGGATTCCAAGATGAGTCACAGACTGACTTCAGCTCTGGGAAAGCATGAGACACAGGTTTTCTGAAAGCACCTATCAGGGTGTGGGTCTCCCAGTCCAGGGTGAGTGCACACCTGCTGGGCCTCAGGCCCAGAGGAGGCCCCTCCTGGGCCCCCGGCCGACTCAATGACAGGGCCAGGAAGCAGGTAGCTCCTCATCTGCATTCTTCCACAATCCAGCACCCACACTGCAGTCTGATTTGAGAAGGCCATCAGGTGTAAAGACGATGCTTCTCAGACTGCTTTATAACCAGGTGTGGTCACAGGACTAAATTCAAGTCCATGGGGCATAAGTCACTGTGTCTCATATGGCAGCTTCAGATGCCTTTCTTAGAAGATAACTGCCTTTTAACCTCTGTCAGTTCCTCTCTTTTGCTGGCTAGAAGCAGATGAGATGGCTGGAGCTGGAGCAGCCATTTTGGACGGTGAGATGACCCTATGATTGTAGAATTTGTACAAGGAGGGAGGAGGAGAAAAAGCAGGCAACTCTTAATCTTCTTAGACTTGGCTTTTCTCCATCACTTCCACCCTGCTGGTTCATTCTCAAGCTCAACAGGGAGGTCTCCCACAATTCTAGCCTCACCTTGTGGCCACCTCCAAACCAGAGGAGAGAGTATGCCCCTGAGATCTCAAAGCAAGCCCTAGAATCAAGTCTCACTGTCCCCGTGTGGCTTCAGCTGGGTCATGGGCCTGTCCTTAAACTGATCACTGAGGTGGTAAAAGCTTTGTGTGCTGTGTTTGTTGGCATACAAAAGAGCATTCAAGCATATTTCCTCAATTCCTGTTTGTATCTTTAAACCAGCCTTTGCTTTACTGACTGTGCTTTGCAACTATTGATTCCTCACCTCTTTTGTTTGATGCAGGGGATCTGAGGTCCAGGGAAACGAGGTGACAAGCCCCAGAATGTGTTTAGGGGGCATGTATCACTTTTCTGATGCTAGGCCCCCTTTCTATTTTGGGGAAGCCTGACAATGGTCAAAGCTGGCCAGGGACACCATCTCCCCAACCTAGCATCTGGCACAGGTGTGGGCCTGTGAGCAGAGCTTGGCAGACCTGGGAATACTAATGGCAATGGCAGCCAGCGGTGGAGGCAGTGGGGTCTCACCGGGCCATTCAGAGTGATCTGGACTTCCGAGTCCCTCAGTCCCTGGTCCTAACCTCCTGAGCCCCTTCCAACATCCCTACTTCTCTGCTTGTCAACAGAGTCTGGGGTTGGCAGCCAAAGACTAGATGGCTGCAGAAAACACTCTACCGGTGGTGGAGCCTGGATCTCTCCCCGAGCCCCAGCCCAGCACTTGTGCAGAGTTGGTGCTCTGTGAGTCCCAGCCACGTGGGACTGGCTGGGCCTCCCATGCAGGGCTTTCCAACCTGAGCTAGTGTTGACCGATTCAAACATGAAAACAGCCAACAGCAAGCCAGGGCTGCTGCCGAGCCCACCAGGGTGCTTGAGGACTCAGATGCAGAGTCCCAGGGGAGCTAGGCAGGCACAGATCCCTACACCTGCAAAATCAGAATGTGTGGAGGTAGACGAGGGTCCCAGCAGGAATCATGGACTGAACGCTCCGGGAGCAGATACAGAACTTCAGGGCATCTCGGGGCAGTTGACTGGCTGCAATTATTTCCACATAGGGTTTCTTCCTAATCCTCCAAGAAGAACTTGTGACAGACAAATAAATATGACCAAACCCAGAAGGCATGCCACAAGACAAGGATGGATGTGATTTTTCCAAATGAGGAGTAGGCTGGGGCGACTGAGATTTGAACAGCAGTGGGCTTGTGTCCTTGTGTGTGCATGTGTGTGTGTGTGTGTGTGTGTTCTCCTGTGTCTGTGTTAAAATTTAATGTTAGCTTTTTCCTCTTCATTCCTCCTTCCAGGTTACACAACAAGGTCTGTGGAGAGGAGGCAAGACTGGCCTGGGCAGGAGGGGTGGTAGCCTGTGGACACACAGCCCGGCCGTCGGCCACCTCCCTTATGCCTTTCGGCATCATGAGGCCCATCGGTGTCAGGAGCTTTGTTCCGGAATCACATCCTTTCCCTCCCAGGGCTTGGCCACCCTGGAGATGGAGATGACACACAGCTGCCTACCCTGGCCCAGAATTTCAGCAGGTCACATGCTGAGTCCGTGGTGCTCAGCCAGTGATTCCAGCATCGTTTCAGAGAAGGCTGAGGGAACTGTCAGCCTCTCATGTAAGTAGCACTCAGCATTAAAACCACGTCTAAAGCAAGTGATGGGGAAGGGACATGGTACCTGTCATCATTTGTGTCCTTTGTCATCAGGAGAGTCCAGGGCTCTGAGTGGGTGATGGGCACTGTGGCTAATGAAGGAGACAAGAGGCTGCTGCTCTGGGCAGTGCTCCTGGGAGCGGAAAATTGAATGAGGTGGATGTAGTGAGTGGGGGATGAGAGTCCTGGAAGAAAGTCCAGAGCATCACAGGGAAGTCTGGAGGCCGGGTCGCTGCCCACCAAGAAAAAACTCTTGTGTCTTTCAGAAAAACAGGGGTGTCCTTCTGCTTACTCTAGAGTCCCGCTGTCGTGGTGGCAAGCCTAGTGGGGCTGCTGGGGGATGGCACACAGTGCAGAGCAGAGACAAGCCAGCCCCGAGCCCGCCTGACCTCCAAGCCCACAGGCTGGAGCTGCCCAATGAGCCATTGTCGACTACAGCATCGCAAGATGGGAGCACAGGTGGGGTGGTTGAAGCTGCTCACTCTGGGTTGGTGTCAAACAGGCAAGGGAAGGGGTGCAGGTTGGGGATCTAGCGGCGTCCATCTCAGGAATGTGCCGGGAAGCCCAGGCTGTCTTCTTTGCAGCCGCCAAATGAGGAAGCCTCCCTGGAGGCCAGAGCAGATCCCGCTGCTCGGCTGCCATGGCCTGGTGCTGCTGTCCTCCACCCCGCACCTGACTTTGGTCCCCAAGTCATCTTTCCCAAGCAAAGTCTTGGGTGCCAGTTGTGTCTGCAATGTGCCCTGGGCCCACCCACCCAGTCTGCCCTTGGTGAGTCTCCAGTTTCTCTATAAAATGGGAAGGCAGCCTCCACCTCAGGGTCATCTGGAAGTCAATCAAGGGGCCTCGGGGGTGAATTCTGCAGGGAGGGCCATCTAGGCACGTCCCTGTTTTACGATCAACCCGGTGAGCGCTTCTCCAATCCCACCACGAGCGTGTGCTGGGCGGCTTCCCATTCCCGTGGTCAGTAAGGGCGACAGGGAAGCAGTGCATGCCCCAGGTGTTTCCTTCACTCCGTCGTTTGAACCAGCGAGACCTGGCCAGACGTTTGATGTCTGAGGTTTGCTTTTCAAAGAAAAATTCTTTTGGCTTGATGTTCTTGACTGCTGTACTTGCTCCCTGACCACCAGCACCCCAGGCGCGGGACGTGCACTGGAGGCCCCTCCTTCCAGCTACGGTTTTCTGCGGGCTGTGACCTTGGCTCCGAATGTGGGGAGGAAGCTGCTGCTGTTGGAGGCCCGCATTTCGGAGGCCTTCCCACTCCTGGTCCTTTCTCCAACCACCAGCAGCGTGGAGGAGTAGGAGCCTCGCAGCTGAAGGGAGCAGTGTTTTTGGGGTGGTTTGCAATTCTTTCTCTTAGTGCTGCTTTTGCTGTGTGGGCGGTGCCGACACTTCTCACTTGAAGTGAGAAGCTGCTGGGGCATGCTCAGGTCTGAGTCCAAGGCTGGCAGACTTAGGTTCCCACATGGCTCAAGGGAACCCTAGAGATTTGCTGTCACTTAAATGTCCCCAAGCTCTGCTATAGATGCTGCCTTCAGAGCCAGCCACATGTAACTGTCGTCTGAGATCCAGCTGCCAAGGGCCTGAGACTCTACCAAGGCTCTTTCTGGCTGGGGCCAGGCAGGGCTGGGTGGGCTGGATCCCCCCTGGCCATCCAGAGGGAACAGCCCTCAACCAGGGCTGGGGGGGTTCCCAAGTGCCCCAGCTTCCCTGTCTGGGGGAAAGCCCAGATGGGGCTGCCAGCTCCCAAAGCTCCATGTAGGGTCAGTCCTCACTCCCTTCCCCTTCCCCAGCCCACCTTCCCCTCCTCTGCCAGGTTGCACACCTCTTCTCCCAGCTCAGCCTCTTGCCTGGGATCCGTGCCCAGGGTTTGCCTCTGGGGACCACACTGAGAGAGCTGGCTGTCTCACCTACATGTAGAGTGGGTTTGAGGGGACGATCCCAGAATATTTGGCACCAAGTTCAGGGCTGCTTGGGTGAGGATGGGCAAGGGCAGTGATGATCAAGGAGTTCCGTGTTTTCTCCTGTGGCTCAGAAGCTGCTTTCCTTGCTTTCTGGAAAAGTCTTGGGGCAGAACATGGGATTTGCTGTCTTCCAGGCAGGAGACTTACTGGCTTTTCAAGGCAGTGAGCACCTGCCAGCCACCCTCATGTCCCCTTGGAGCATCAGGGATCTTCTGCATAGAGGCTTCCCCTAGGCAGGGCCATGCAGAGACCGCCATTGGAGGTCTGGAGAGGTCCTGGGGAGTGGGCCAGTTGGCAAGGCAGGGGGACCCTCCCACATGTATACACAGCAGGGGAGGGCCCAAGGGAAGGAGCTTCATGGGGCTTAGGCAGTTGGGGGACAATGGAGGAACAGGGGAGACCTGAGTTCCCATGGACAGCAGCGTCTTACTGTGAGTGAAGATGTAAGTTGGACCTTCTTGGAAATACACAGCAGGGTTGCACGTCCTTGAAAGTAGACCTGAAACTATGTGTGTGTCACCTTTTTGTTGAGCATGGGGTCTGCAGCCAGCATGCCCCCTCCCATCTATCTTTCCTTCTTACAATAACTAAGTTTTTATTCTATCTGTATCTATATCTATCTATTTATACACACATATTATGCAAATACTTCTCATGCCAATCTACATTTATTTCAGTCTCGCATTTACAGTATGTATAGTGCAAACACACTTTAGTTGTTATAGTAAATATGAATATATACATACACACACACACACACACACACAGAAGAAGAATGTTCAGTTTTGCTGCAGTCCAAGAGATATTGAGAAGACCACTTCCCCACTGAATTTAGCACGCATGTGTTGCACTCTTGCTGAATACCAGGCACAGGCCTCTGCAGCACATACCTTCAGAACTCCTTCACTAGGGCGCTGGCAGATGTCACGCTTGGTGTAGGGGTCCAGAAAGAAAGGCTAATGTTGTATGACAGCATGCGTGTGTGAGTGCACAGGCTGGTGGAGCCTTTTCCTGAAACTTGGATGCTCCTCTGGAGGTCCACACACAGGGCAGAAGCCCTGACACAGGCTTCTGCCTCCCTCCCATGAGGCATCCTCATAAGCTCTGTCAGAGGCAGCACCTGAGCTGGCGACAAGGCTGTTGAGTCTGTGCTGTGCTAGGCACTGGAGAAGCAGCTAAACCAGACAGGCTACCCCCGCCCTCCTGCAGCTGACAGTCTAGGCAAGGGGGATTCAAGTAAAGATTCACAGAGGAGGCCAAGATGCTCTTCACAAAGAGGGGCCAAGGTGCCACTGTTGCGGCTGTGGGATGCAAAGTGAGAAATGGTTTTCAGGGCTGGCCTGGGCCTCATTGACCTCCAGTTGTGTGCCCTGGGCAGCTCACAGTCTTATCTGACTTACCCATACCTGTCCTAACAGGGCTGGAGTGCACAGAGAGCTCCCAGCAGGACTGAATATCAGTGCAGACACCTACACAACACCCACACCTCTGTGTTGATCTTGGTGGAAATAACTGAGCAGGTTTGCTGGGCACCATGTGATCCTGAAATACAAGCAGATGTCTCATGCTGAATCAGTCCAGAGATGCATTTTTTAAAGATTTGATTTAAGAAAGAGATTTTATTTTTTAGAGTAGTTTCAGGATCACAGAAAAATTCATCAGAAGGTACAGAAATTTCCCATATAACCTGTGCTCCCCCAACCTTCCCCATTATCAACATCCCACACTAGAGTGATACATTTGATTTCTTTTGTCAGAATTTTATAGTTTTCCTCTTACAGATCATGTGTGTATGTTATTGGATTTGTATCTAAGTATTTTATTTCATTTGGTGCTAATGTAAGTGCTGTTGTGTTTTTAATTTAAATTCCACTTGTTCATTGCTGGTATATAGGAAAGTGATTGACTTCTGTATATTAACCTTATATCCTGCAACCTTGCTGTAATTGCTTATTAGTTCCAGGAGGTTTTTTGGGTCAATTATTTTAGATTTTCTAAAAAACAATTTTGTCATTTGCAAACAAAGACAGTTTTATCTTTTCTTCTTAATCTTTGTATCTTTTATTTCTTTTTTATTTTTAGACAGGGTCTTGCTGTGTCACCCAGGCTGGAGTGAAGTGGGGCAGGCAGAGCTCACTGCAGCCTCAAACTCCTGGGCTCAAGGGATCTTCCTGCCTCAGCCTATTGAGTAGCTAGGACTACAGGAATGTACCACCAGGCCTGGCTACTCATTTTCTTGTCTTATTGCATTAGCTAGGACTTCTAGTACAATGTTGAAAAACAGTGGTGAGAGGGGGGATCCTGCCTTTTTCCTGATGTTAGAGGAAAACTTTTGAGTTCTTCACCATTAGTTATTATGTTAGCTGTAGGATTTTTGTAAATGTTCTTCATGCAGTTCAGGAAGTTCACCATATTACAAGTTTGCTGAGACTTTTTATCATGAATAGGTGTTGGATTTTTATAAAATGCTTTTCTGCATCTGTTAATATAATCATGTGATTTTTTTCTTCTTTAGCCTGTTGATATGATGAATTAGAATTACTTTAATTGATGTTTCATTGTTGAATCAGCCTTGCATACCTGAAATAAATCCTATTGGTCATAGTATAGAATTATTTTCATACATTGTTGGATTGGATTTGTTATTTTTTTTTGAGCATTTTTGCATTTATATTCATGAGAGATGTTGGTCTGTAGTTTTCTCGAGAAGTATTTGTGCAGTTCCGGTATTAAGGTAATTCTGACTTCATAGACAGAATTCTATGTGCAGTTCCGGTATTAAGGTAATTATGCAGTTCTGGTATTAAGGTAATTATGTGCAGTTCCGGTATTAAGGTAATTATGTGCATTTCCGGTATTAAGGTAATTGTGCAGTTCCGGTATTAAGGTAATTCTGACTTCTATGTTCTAAAAGAGATTGTACAATTTCTTCCTTAAATGCTTGGTATAATTTACCTGGGTCTGGTGCTTTTGGTTTTGCAAGGTTGTTCATTATTGATTCAATTTCTTTAATAGATATAGCTCCATTCAAATTCTCTGTTTCTCCTCATGTAAGTTTCAACAGATTGTTTCCTTGCAGGAATTGTTCCATTTCATCCACGTTATGAGGTTTGATGACTAGAGCTTTTCATAATAGTTCTGTATTATCCATTTTAATGTCTATGAGATCTGTAGTGTTGTGCCCTCCTTCATTTCTGATGTTAGAAATTTGTGTCTTCTTTTTTTCTTTAGTTAATCCTGGCTAGAGGCTTATCAATTTTATTGAGCTTTTCAAAAAACCAAATTTTTATTTTGTTGATTTTCTTGATATTGATTTTTTGTTTTAATTTCATTGATTTCTACTCTAATTTTTATTATTTACTTTTTCTGTTTACTTTGGATTTAATTTGCTCTTCTTATTTTAGTTTCCTAAGGTGGAAGCTTAAGTTATTGATTTTAGCCCTTTTTTCTTTTCTAATAGGTGCATTCAATGCTATAAATTTCTCTCTATGCATTGCTTTCACTGCATCCCACAAAATTTGATCAGTTGTATTTTCATTTTCAAAATATTTTTAAAAATCTCTTAAGATTTACTCTTTGATTCATGTGTTATTTAGAAATGTGTTGTTTAATATCTATATGTTTGGGGATTTTTCCAGCTCCCCTTCTGTTATCGATTTCTAATTTTAATTCCATTGTGTTCTGAGAAAAGACATTGTGTGAGTTCTATTGTAAGTCTGTTAATGTGTGTCCTATGCCCCAGAATATGGTCTCTTTTGGTTAATGTTCCATGTGAGCTTGAGAAGAAGGTGTCTTCTGTCATTGTTGAATGAAGTAGATTGATGTCAATTATATCCAGTTGATTGATGGTGCTGATGAGTTCAATTATTTCCTCACTAATGTTCTGCCTGCTGTATCTGTCCATTGCTGATAGAGAGGTGTTGATGTATCCAACTATAAGAGTGAGTTCTTCTATTTTTCATTTCATTTCTGTCAGTTTTTGCCTCATGTATGTTGATGCTCTGTCATTAGGGACGTACACATTAAATATTACATTGTCTTCTGGAAGAATTGACTCCTTTATCATTATATAATGCACCTTTGTATTCCTAATAACTTTCTTTGCTCTGAAGTCTGCCCTGTCTAAAATTAATATAACTAATCCAACTTTCATTTTATTAGTGTTAGCATGGTATATCTTTCTCTATCGATGTAACTTTAACCTATATGTATCTTTTTATCCAAACGAGTTTTTTTTAGAGAATGTATAATTGGGTGTTGTTTTTTGATCCACTCTGACACTCTTCATCTTTTAATTGGTGTATGTAGACTATTGACATTTAAAGTAGTTATTCACATAGTTGGAATAATATCTAGCATGCTTGTTACTTGTTTGCTATTCACTGCCCTTGTTATTTATTCCTACTTTTGCATTCTAGTCTTTCTGCCTTTTGTTGTTTCATTTGAGTATTTCATATCATTTTATTTACTCTTCTTTTTGTCATATCAGTTGTTATTATTATTTTTTTGAGATGGAGTCTTGCTCTGATACCCAAGCTGGAGTGCAGTGGTGTGATCTCGACTCACTGCAACCTCCGCCTCCTGGGTTCAAGCTATTCTCCTGCCTTAGCCTCCTGAGTAGCCGGGACTACAGGCATCCACCACCATGCCCGGTTAATTTTTGTATTTTTAGTAGAGATGGGTTTCACCATGTTGGTCAGGCTGGTCTCAAACTCCTGACCTCGTTATCTGCCTGTCTTGGCCTCCCAAAGTGTTGGGTTACAGGCTTGAGCCACCGCATCCTGCCAGTTATAATTTTTAAAACTGTTTTTTAGTGGTTGCCCTAGAGTTTGCAATATAGTCCAGGTCCACTTTCAAATAACACTATACCATTTCACAGGTAGTGCAAGTACCATATAATAGCAAAATAATCCTAATTCCCCCTTCTCATCCTTTGTGTCATTGTCGTCATTCATTTCACTTACACATAAGCACATGTATAATATATAATACATATACATATGTAAACATACATACTCAAATATATTGTTATTATTTTGAATGGATTGTTATCTGTTAGATCAATTAAGAATAAAAACTAAAAGTTTTTATCTTTGCTTATTCCTTCTCCAATGCTCTTCCTTTATGTAAATCTGAGTTTCTAGGCTGTATCCTTTTCTTTTTCTCTGAAGAACTTCTTTTAATATTTTTTTGCAAGTCAGGATTACTGGCAACAAATTTCCTCAATTTTTGTTTTTCTGAAAAAGACTGTTTCTGCTTCATTTCTGAAGAATAATTTCTTAGGGTACAGAATTGTTGGTTGTTGCTGGTTTTTTGTTATTTGTTTTTTTTTTCCCCTCTCAACACTTTAAATACTTCACTCCATTCTCTTCTTGTTTGCATGGTGTCTGAGGATAAGCTGGATGAAATTTTTATTTTTATTTCTCTATAGATAAGATTCTTTTTCCTCTGGCTTCTTTAATTATTGTTTCTTTATTTTTCATTTTCCTCATTTGAATGTGGCATGCCTGGGTGCAACTTTTTGGGGGGATTTATCCTGCTTGGTATATTCTCTGAGCTTCCTGAATCTATGGTTTGGTGTCTGACATTTGGGGAAATTCTTAGGCATTATTGTTTTAAATATTTATTTTGTTTCTTTTTTTCTTTCTTCTCCCTCTACTATTCCCGTCACATGTATATTGTGTTGTTTCTAGTTGTCCCACAGGTCTTTTTTCAGTCTTTTTTTATTTGTGTTTTAGTTTTAGAAGTTTCTGTTGAGATATCCTCAAGCTCAGAGATTCTTTCCTCAGCTATGTCCAGTCTCCTAATAAGCCCATAAAAGGCACTCTTCACTTCAGTGACAGTGTTTTTGATCTGCAGCCTTTTTGGGGGATGTTTCTTAGAATTCCCATCTCTCTGCTTACACTGCACCTCTGTTCGTACACGCTGTCTGCTTTGTCCATTACAGCCCTTAGTATATTAATCATAGCTGTTCTAATTCAACGTCTGGTAATTCTAACATCTCTGCCATATCTCGACTGTGGGATGAAGTGGAGTTTGGCTGGGGCAGTTGAAAGCGAGCCTGGGCCACTGAGCAGCCCAACTCCAGGGGAAAACCGTCTCCCTTGTGGCTCCCCCATCTGCTGAGAGCTACTTCCAGTCAGTAAAACTTTGCACTCATTCTCCAAGCCCATGTGTGATCTGATTCTTCTGGTATACCAGGGCAAGAACCTGGAATACAGAAATCCCTCTGTCCTTGTGATATGGAAGCGGGTCTAATTGAGCTGGTTAACACAAGCCACCTATAGATGGCAAACTAAAAGAACACTCTGTAATACACACCCACTGGGGCTTCAGGAGCTGTAAACATCCACCCCTAGACACTGCCGTGGGGTCAGAGCCCCACAGCCTGCCCGTCTCTATGCTCCCCTAGAGGTTTGAGCAGTGGGGCACTGAAGAAGCGAGCCACTCTCCCTGTTGCATGCCCTGTGAGGGGGACAAGGGAACCTTTCCCGTTTCACTGTGACCTCGATTCTCTGATGAATCTAAAAAGAGTTGTTGATTTTTTGGTTTGTTCAGCTTTTTTTGTTTGTTTGTTTCTAGGATGAAGGAATGACTTGCAAACTCCTTACCTGCTAGACAGGAAAGCAGAAGTTGAGATGCACTTTTTAAAGGAGTTGGGATGATTAATATTCAAGATGATAATAGAATTTAGATATTTAAGAAGACAAAACTGAATTAAGACAGAAATGAGAAAAGCATTCTCTCTTACCCCTTTTTGTAGTTTCCCAAACACTGTCTCACTTGGGTCTCCAATCACCCTTTGTTGTGTAAACTAAAAATAAAGTCCTAGACTTCTCACCAACTGAACAGACCCTCTCTTGGCCAAAGGATCCCAGAAAAAAACATAAAAACTGAGTTCCCAGCCATGACAGGGCAGGAGGTCAGACACCCTTCATTTCTCCCCTCCCTCTTGTGGTTTAGAAACAACTGACCAGCACGAATGTTAAAATAGAGATCATAAGACTGAAGGGACTGACTCTGTGTGGCAATAAATTGCTGAAGTATAAACAGGGCCTAAGGCCATGAGAGTCAAGGGTTAAATCACTCACCCCTACACTGTAAGAATAAACCATGTTCTGTCATGAGGTTTTTCTTTTTCTCTAGCAGCTGAACAAGCATTGGCTTTGGGATAAGCAATGTTGAAACAATTGCAGCTCCACTGGACATTGACCCCAGGTTTCACAAACTGTGACTACAGCTTTGATTGAACAACAGGCTGATTTCGGTAACTTTCTCCAGAGAAGAGACCACCAACTGTGGACTGGTTCTGGATGGTTTACAGAGGCTTCACACTTGAGCGCCTTTGTGTCCTGAAAAGACCTTTTGATATATAGGGCCTAACAGTCATGCATTTAAATGTTAAGTCTCCACCCCAAGGCGAACATGGATCATATGTGACATACATGTTCTATATGTGTGCATCAGGATCCTTGTTATGAATATTCACAGCTCCTTCTGTAACCTGTTGAATATGCATGTTTAGCCAACTCATTTGGCATAAAGCTCCTCCCCCCACCTATTTTTCTTAAAAGTGCTTGACTTTGGTCTTTGCCAGAAGCTGTGCTTCCCAGCCTGCAGGAAGACTACCTTCCGGCTGTGGTCAGAACCCTTTATAAGAAATATGGTTTCCTTTCCAAATGTATAAATTGTGTGATTTTTAAGTAAACAGTTGTATTCCAGGATTGTTTTGCCCCTATGTTCAGAGGGGGAAACTGAGGTGCAGAAGGTTTTCTTGACCTTCTCACCAGAAGCATAAACCTAGACCTCTTTGTATCTGGGGGATAGAAAACAGGCCAGCAGCTCTGTCTGTTTTGTGGTTGTTAAGTACCGTGCATTATTAATATCATTGTTAGTAACTTGAAGGCCTTTAAGTGAGGAGTGTATGAAAGGGAAACAGCCCCTGGCACGCTGTAGCCAGCTTCCGTCCAGCAAGCTGGGTGGTGCCCAGGACCACAGCGCAGCACAGAAGGAAGGGTCCTGACCTAGGATACTCCAGGCAGCACAGCCAGCTCGAAATCTCTGCCCCGGCCACCATCTCTAAAATTGAGCCATTAGAAAGTCATTGTTTTTGAGTTAACAAGTGTTCTCATTTAAAATGCAAATGGCTGTGGGAGGAATAGCACAGATATTGTACCCTGAACAATGTTTTTCATAAGGTCATACAGGATTCTGGCAAACACAAATGCCCACAGAGGACAGGCCAGTTAAGTAACTGTGCAAATCTGGCCACATCAAAGATTATAGAGTCAGCAGGGGCAGAAGAACTAGGAGCAAATGCCCCCTCGAGATTTTGCACCTAATAAGAGGGTGCTCAGGGCAGAGGAGAAGGTGTTCTGAAGCAATTGCTCAGAAGAAGCCGATTTACTTCTGTCTTTGAGAAACTTATGGTTGTTTTCCTCATCCATCCTGACCCCAGTTCCTGCCTGTCTGGCGTGCCCTGTCAAGAACAGGGCTGAGTTTCTGGAAATTTAATGCTTTCTAGATATAACACTTGAATGCAATTGGTGATTCCCAAACCACAGCCCTGGTACCAAATGCATCAAGATTACCTAAGGAAAGGATTGAAACAAACAAGCAACAACAATAACCTTCCTAGGGCTAAACTTTCAGAGATTCAATAAGTCTGAGTAACACCTAGGGATCTGCTTATTTATTTAAAAACAGCCAGGAGATTAAATAATCATTTATTTATTGGAATTTCCAATCCAGACAACAACAGAAAGAATAGTTTATTGGGCCCACATATACTCATCTCTAGCTGATGGATGCAAGGTGTTTTTTCAAAATTGAGATACAGCCCTCCCGTGTGCTCCCTCTGCCTGCACACTGGGTTGTTTTGAAGCCTATCCCAGGCATCCTATGGTGTTGTCATTAGGCATTTCAGTATGCATTTCTAAAAGATGGGTGCTTTTAATGTAACGTAGACACCTAACCATCAACAGTCCTCAGCATCAAATATCAGTGTTTACTATTGGTTCATACAAATCAGCATCCAAACCAGGTCCACCTGTTGCATGTTATTGGCCTGTTTTATTTCTTTTAACCCAGAGATTCCCGCCCCTTTTTTTTTCCTTTGAAATTTATTTGTGGAGGAACCAGGTCCATGATCTCTTAGAGCTTCTCAATTTTTCTTATGCACATGAATCACCTGCAGATTGTGTTAAAATGCAGCATCTGGTTCTGCAGATCTGAGAATGGGTCTGGGATTCTGCATTTCTAACCGGGTCCCCCGTGATGCTGAGGCTGCTGGTCCTCAGACCACATGCAGCGGGTGAGGCTGCTGAAGGAAGAGTGTGGAGGTCCAAGCACTGTCCATCCTCCCTTCTCTGTACAGGGGGTTAAACGCAGGCCCTGGTCAGACCCAAGTTCACCACAGGGCAACCATGCTCTCACTCCAGCTGTGAGCTCCCTGGCATGGCTGGAAGTCTGCACAGAGTCAGGGTCACAACCCATGAGGAGGCTGGTCTCTAAGTTCTCCCCAGCTCTTGCCATCTGTAGCCCTGTCTACTGTTTGGGTTGCTACGCGCTGGGTGGATGACACAGCAACGTTTAGTCCTCACAGTTCTGGAGGCCAGGTGGTCCAATATCAAAGAGCCAGCATGTCTGGTGTGTGGTGAGGGCTGGCCTTGGCTTGCAGGTGGCCTTCTCCACATGTTTTCACATGGTGGAGGGAAAAGAGGTAGGAGGCACCCTCTCCCCTCCTACAGCCTCTCCCCATAAGGGCTCTGCCTTCACAACCCAATTACCCTCCCTCAAAAGCCCCACCTCCTAATATCACCCTTGTTGAGAGTTAGGGTTTCAACTTACGAATTCTGGGAGACACGAACCCATAGTCCACGATAAGCCTGTAGTTGGAGGCTTTGACTCTGACAGCCTCCTATCACTTGTCCTTTGTGGGAGACGAGGCTGGACTGAGCGCCTGCCTGCAGAGGCTTGACCAGGCTTGACCAGGGCTTGCATGTTGGGGCTTGCACTGCTTCCCCTGCCACGTGGGGATAGAAGCCCTGGTTAGACCATTGGATGACAAGAGGACATCAGGCAAGGGGCCTAGCTGACGGCCAGTGCTAGGGCCTTGGGTACAGGTTTGAGGCCATCTCAGGCTTCCAGCCCCAGCTGAGCTCCCAACAGAGTGGGGCCACAGGACTGACCATCCACAGAACTACCCAGTCATAGAATTGTGAGAAGCAACACCTCTCGCTGTTGTCTTAGGCCACCATGTCCTGGTGTTTTGTTACACAGCACAGGATAACTGAAACACCCAGTGCAAGGCCTGAGCTGGGACCTCCTTACCTTTCTACTTTGAGGGCTTGGCACACATGGGCTAACTCGTGACATTTGGATGCCTCAAGAAGGAAACCAGCTTTGCAGTCCCACACATGCCTTTAAGTTTTCAATCATTGCTTCTGTTAAAAGGAAGGCCCACAGCAAAGCCCTTGGGAATGCTGGGTCTGGAGCTGCAGGCTCCAGGGTGGCCCTGGGGCTGACCCCCCTTCTCTTTCCCTTGCAGCCACACTCTGTTCTCTCAGCTTCCATGGCTTTGTGTTTCCAAGGCATGTAAGAATATCGGCCGGGCGTGGTGGCTCACACCTGTAATCCCAGCACTTTGGGAAGCTGAGGCGGGTAGCTCACAAGGTCAAGAGATCCAGACCACCCTGGCTAACATGGTGAAACCCCATCTTCTACTAAAAATACAAAAATTAGCTGGGCGTGGTGGTGCACACCTGTAGTCCCAGCTACTCGGGAGGCTGAGGCAGGAGAATCACTTGAACCTGGGAGGTGGAGGTTGCAGTGAGCCGAGATTGCACCACTGCACTCCAGCCTAGTAACAGAGCAAGACTCTGCCAAAAAATAAAACAAAACAAAACAAAAAAAACGAATATCAACTTCAGGGCTAATTTGAGAATTAAGTAGGATGAGGTCTTTAGTGCTGGACCTGATACAGAGTGGCTATGCAACATGTTATTATTATTATTGAATACCAGTCGCACACTGAGCACAGGAGCCATTGCTCCTTCCCTCTGTTGCTCGAAGTGTGCTTCATGGAACAGCAACACCAGCATCGCCTGGGAGCCCCAGCTCACACCTACTGCATCAGAAACCCTGGCTGCAGGGCTCCGAAACACACAAGCTCTGTGGGTGATTCTGCTCCTTTCTTTTATTCATCTATCTTTCAGTGACAGGGTCTCACTCTGTCACCCAGGCTGGAGTGCAATGACCTGATTATAACTCACAGCAGCCTTGAGCTTCTGGGCTCAAGCAATTCTCCTGCCTCAGCCTCCCAAGTAACTAGATTGCAGGTGTGTACCACCATACTTGACTAATTTTTTTTTTTTTTTTGAGACAGAGTCTTGCTCTGTTGCCCAGGCTGGAGTGCAATGGTGCAATCTTGACTTACTGCAACCTCCACCTCCTGGATTCAAGTGATTCTCCTGCCTCACCCTCCCAAGTAGCTGGGACTAGAGGTGCATGCCACCATACCTGGCTAATTTTTTGTATTTTTAGTAGAGATGAGGTTTCACCATGTTGGCCAGGTTGGTCTCGAACTCCTGACCTCAGGTGATCCACCCGCTTTGGCTTCCCAAGGTGCTGGGATTGCAGGTGTGAGCCACCATGCCCTGCTTGGCTAATTTTTTAATATTAAGTTTTGTGAAGACAAGGTCTCACTATGTTGCCTAGGCTGGTCTTAAACTCCTGGCCTCAAGTGATCCTCCTGCCTTGGCCTCCCAAAGTGCTGGGATTGGTAAATTTTCTATTATAAAATAAAACACAGATACAGAAAACCCCATAAAAGATATAGCTTAGTGAATTATTTTGGGTCAACACCTTACAGCCACCACACAGGTGAAGAAGCAGACCTGCAGCCTCTCCTATGCCTGCCCTGACTAGACCAGCTCTTTGCACTTCTCCACAGCTTAGCATCCAGGTGCAGTCCTTGGATCCTAGAGTTTCATCTTCCTTTTTTAAACTGTGATGTCTCAATTTATAGGTTCCCTGTACACCTCTCTTTCCCTTTCTGTTGAGGAACACAGGCTGGTTCGCCTGCAGTTTTCCCGTCTGGGTTTTGCAGGCTGTGCCCACGTGGTGTAGACCAAGGCCTGTGCTACCCTCTGTTTCTCACAGCTGGACCCAGAGCCGGATCAGACCCAGGCACCATTCATCTTCCAGACCAGACAGGTGTGTTGTCTCATCAGGAGGCATCCGATGTCTGGGTGATTCTCTTTGTGTAACATCAGCAGCCACTGGGCTGGCATGCCTGCAAAATGGTGATTGTCTGTTTCCATCATTTTTTTTTCACTTATTAGCTGGGATAGTTTCTTAAAGAGACTTTTCCTCACCTATGCCTGGATTACCCAGGGGTACCATTCGTACAGGAAAAGGAGGACAAACACTGGGTACTTTCTTTTATTTAAAACATTGAATTGGTTTTACAACATCTTCAAAAGGTGCCCAATTAATATTTTAAAAATACTATGAATTCAGGAATGTATAGTTGATGGGTTTTCAACATATTGCAATTATTCTCCTTTTTGAAGATTGACCTCATAATGAGAGTCTCTCCATGCTGGCACCTGAGCCTTCTGATGTGACCCTCGTGGTCTTTGAGGGTATCTTGGCATCTGCTAGGGTGCTCCAGGCTCATCTCATGCATTTCGTCTCTCAGACATGGGACGAGGCATGAAGCCCAAGAAGCCCTCCTTATTATTTTTTTTTTTAGTGGGAAATGACATTTCAAGACCACTGTCTGGATGCTGGATGCACTCATTGCTATTGGAATGGTCATTCCTTCCATGTATGTATGTATGTACGTATGTATCTATCCATCTATCTATCTGTCTATCTATCTATCTGTATCTCTCTCTCTGTCTGACTGTCTGACTACCTATGTAACTATCTACTTTGAAGGTAAAATACCTAATGAGTTTTATTCTCTATACAAATTTAGAATTTACAAGGTTTTAGAAAAGGGGCAACCCTCTTCTATTCCATCTGTATCTTCTTTCTTCCACAACAAGAACCCTGATTCTCAAGCCTACAGTGATTGATAGAATATAACATAATTATTTATTTTATCCCAAATTAAAGTCAATGAAATAAGAATAACAATACCACCACTCCTCCCTCCCTCCCTCCCCCACTTTTTTGATTGTGTGGGATCTATGCTGCCTGAGCTCCAGACCCTCCCACGGGCCATCACCCAGGCTGGGTTCCAGGGGCGACTCTATCTTCAGTGCCCACCAGTCCCTGAATGGGTGTCTCTCTCATCAGCTCGCTCGTCTGAGGCTTAGTGTTTAGTAGATTCCTCAGGAAATGTTCACGGGAATGATCTTTGCTGAGTTGTTACATACTGATAATAGTCTATACATGGCCTTTATCATTAAAGTCAGTTTTGCTGGATATGAAATTCTTGGCTAACATTTTCTTTCCTTGAGTATTCTAATGCATTTATTTATTTATTTATTTATTTATTTATTTATTTTCTGGCACACAGTGTTGCTGTTGAAAAGTTTGATGATAATTTGCTTTCTTCTCGTTACAAGTCATTTGCTCTTTTTGCCTGAATGCTCAAAAGATTTTTTTTCTTTTCTTTACAGTTTAATAATTTTACTAGGATATGTTTTGGCATTGCTTGTTCTGGGTTGATAATCGTTTCTCCTGCTTTGATTGTCTTTCTCAGGCTCCTAATTTCTTTATATTAGATTTCCTTTGTCTATCTTTCATATTTGCCACTTTCTCTCAGTCTTTTCATCTCTGGACTCGTGTTTTTCAGTTTTTACAAATTTCCTCTTTTTGCCTTCTATTTTTCTATGGCATTATCCCTTGTGTGTATTTGGTGTTATGTTCCTTTCATTTTAATCATTACCTCTGCAATAATTTTCTTTTATTTCAAATTCTCTAGAGTTTTGTTACCTTATTTATGAATTCTCCCAAAGTCATTTAAGAGTGTTCATGTCATGTGGTGTTCCTAATGTCTTTTAGTTTATATTGAAATAATAGATGATAGCTCTGATTTTTGTGGTCCCATTTGTCAGGCAAGTTTTGATTGTTAGTAGGAAAGGTTTTCTGCTGCTTCGTCTCTTTTTCTTGTGTTAATTTTGTATTTTGTGTCGTATTGAACCTCAATGCACTTCTGTTGCTCAATTTTTATGTGAAATGGTTTTCCTGATATTTTAGAAGGAGACTGATTGCAGGGGAGGATTTTTAACTCTGCAGAGCTCTCTCTTCCGCACTTTCCTTGTAGTATTAAGAACAGGGTGGTCTGCCCTCTGAGGTGTCCTGGGTGGGTTCCCCTCCCCACTTCAGGTTTGATATGGGGATCTTGCTCAATTTTGATTTTTCTCACCCAATCTCTCCTCAGTGTGGGCTCTGTCCTGGCTGGGAGCCCAGACAGGCCAGTTTGAAGGATCCACGGCCCAGCAGGCTCACACTTGTACTTGCTGAAGCATTAGACAAATGCTAGGCTTCAACTGCTGTTTCCAAATCACCCCCATGCCCTCTGCCTTTTGGAGGCTCTGTTTCCAGGTGCGAGGGTTGTCTCCTGTTTCCTTCTGCTGCTCCCACACTATCTGGTTGGGGGCTCGTGGGTGTTTGTCCCACCCACTTGAATGTTGGGTTGCTGTCCACGAGTTTTGGATTTCACTGTCAAGTTGTTCTGGGCATTAAGGCTTCCATAGCAACATGACACAGGCCTGGTAGCAAAAGCAACAGAAATCTATTGTGTCACAGTTCTGGAGGCTCAAGTCCCAGGTCCAGGTGTGGGCAGGGCTGGTTTCTCATGAGGACTCTCTCCTTGGCTTGCTGCACCTCCCGTGGCCTTCCCTCTGTGCATGCACATCTGAGTATCTCTCTGTGCCCAAAGTTCCTCTTCTTATGAGGACATCAACAAGGTGGATTAGGACCCACTCTAATGACCCCACATTAAGTCAATCACCACTTTAAAGGCTCTATTTCCAAATACAGAGCCCATTCTGAGGTACTGGGAATTAGGGCTTAAACATATGAATGTTGCAGGGAGGCCATTCAGCCCATAGCATGCCATCTATTTTTAGGGGGAGGTTTAGGGAGGGTAAGCACTCTGTCACTGCTGCCACTTTTTCCCAGAATTTCCCTTTCTTGTACCCGAGTGAGCCAGAGAAGGGACACTCACCACCCCCGGATGTGGGTCCCTTTGTAGCACCTGCCCTTAACAGCTGGAGTGCCTGACGTTGCAGAGCTGCCTGCTGCACTAAAGCACAGACCCTCTGCAGCAGGGACTCTGCCTGTCCCGTTGTCACTGCATCCACAGCAGCAGTAGCTGGTTCATGGCAGGTGCTCAACACATTGCCAAGGAGTAAACACGCAGCGGGAGTGCGTGCAGAGCAACGAACACAGCCTGAGAGATAGGAGCCGTGTGTTCAAGTCCAGCTCTGCCCGGACCCTGGTTTGTGCCTTTGAGTGAATCACCTGAAGTCTTTTCCCACCACCTGTGATGGCTGAGGGGATCAGGTTGGTCATATTCCTTACCTCTGGGCTCATGTTCCTTACCTCAGTGTGGGCATATGTGCATGCTGCCTGAAGAGGGACTGCTGAAGTAGCACAGTCCACAAAGTAGAAATCTCTTGTTTTACTTTCTCTGCAATTAAAAGTGACAGCAGGAGTCAGCAGCATCCAGAAGGGTCAGAGGTCACTGCTTCTTACCAGCATCAACAGCTTCTGACAAGGGCACTGCCTTACTCTCAGGCCACTGACTGGAAAAGAGGCCTTGGCTGTGATAAGGGCTCTGGGAGTGTTTTAGAGAAATACAGTTTTCAGGAAAGAACGGAGCTCTTGTAAGACACAGATCCTAGGGAGGCAGCTGAGGACTAAAATCATTGACTAGAAAGATGAGAGAAAGAGGGCTGGTCTTTTCCACACCATTTATTTGATTCTTGCTTGCACCCACCATTTATTTATCACCGCAGCTGTTTTCTGGCCCTCGCCACATACATGTGTGGTTGCCCTCACATCTCCATCTGTGAAATTTATCCACGACCTTATTAAAAAGAAACTTAAATCAGGATCAACAAATTTCAGTTCATTTTAATGCTAATTTGTTAAAAAGAAAGGGAATCTTAGCTGTGGCTACGTTGGGAGTTGAGTCCGAGAGCTTGGACCCGGAGTTCAACGGTGAGGTGTTCAGAGCCGTGGCCATGGCCTGCAGAGCCCTGCTCTGGAGCACAACCTCCCCGGGACTGTGCAGGTGGGAGAAGGAGCAAGGCGGAGTTTCCTCGCCCTCCTGCGGTTTGGCCCTGGGCCAGGGTCTGCAATGCAGGTTGGGGAATCCTCACTGCCCAGGAGCCCTGAACAAAAGGAACCTGGGAGGCTGGGGCGTGGCACGGGCTGGCATGGGAAAAGCGCTGAGTCAGACTGTGGAATACGCCTTAGCCAACGCCCCCGGTGAGGAGGCCTGGAGGGAGGTGCCTGGGTGAGGACTGCAGATGCCTACAGGATCGTGGCTGAGTCCTTGACTCCCTGCAGAGACTTCCTGGCATGGGCTTGGCACAGGTCTGGGGGGGGGGAAGGCAGCTTTCCCTGTTGGGCCTGCCGGGCAAAGGCTTGTCAGTGCCTGGGGCCCCCTCCTGAAGGATCACACGTAGGACTGTGGCTGGGAGTGGCCTCCTCAGTCTCCACCCCAGCCTTGGGCCCGATGACTGTGGCTAGTGCACTGGAGGTAGACACCACCTGGCCCCCAAGAATGGCTGGTGAACCCTGACCTTCCCGTAAAGGACCACGTAGGCACGGTAGGACTGCAGGCTGCCTCTCTGTTGCCAAACACCATCTAGGAGGAGCTGGAGGGTTTCCATTCCCATCCGACTGTGGGACCGGTCTTCTTTGCTTCAGTTCCATGTTTCTCAGAGCTGTGACCCACGTCAGCAGTTTTGCCAGCTCTCCTGTAAAACTCTTGGTTTTGTTTTCCTTAGTCTTTAATCTCATGCCAGGGTCTCAAGCCTGGTGCACAATAGAATCACCGGGAGCCTTAAACGATATTGACAGCCAGGTCCCTGCCCTGGAGGTCCTGGAGTGAGTCTCTGCATGCATCCCCCAGGGGATTGGAACGTACAGCCAGGTGGTGCCACTGCCCCAAAGAAAAGGCACATTCGCCACCAGGTTTCAGAGCCAGCTCTAAAGGGGACTGAACACGTGTAAAAGTAGCCCTTTCTGGGGATTTGAGGCATAAACCAGTTGTTTCCTTGGCCAAGAGCAGGGTGAAAACCAGGAGGAATATGCACTGAATAGGACTTGCTAAGAGGCTTTGAAAACCTGGACAGGCTCTTCAGGATCTCCGGACGTCCTGTGTATCCCACCCACAGGGCCTGGCATGCGCTTGGCTGGCACCAAGTTCTTCATAATGAGAGGCAAATGGTTAGAAAGATAAAGCAAAATAAGCTTGCAAAGAAAAATAAAAGCAATGAAGAAACAAAGGTGGCCACGCTGGGGCCTTTGCAGATGCTGGAATAGCGGGCACTTTGGTTTAAAACAGCAATTTTTCAGCTTCAGTGCCCACAGAGTCTGCTGGAGGGCGTGTTCAGAGGCTGCAGTCCTCACCCCCAGAGATGCTGACTTCCTGAGTCCAGGGAGGGGTCTGACATCCTGCATTTCCAACAAGTTTTCAGACAATGTCAATGTTTCTGGGGGTCTTCGGGCAATGCGTTAACACTGGTCAAATGACCAAGATAAAGCAACTTCAGAGAAAATCAGTGAGAAAACAGAAAAGAAACAAAGGTACTTTTGGCTAAAACCCACCATATGGAATATTAGATTCCTTTGATTCTAATTCCCCTGCACCTGGGCCCTGATTGCAGCAGAAGTTTGCTATATTCAGGCATTGGCACTGGCTATGACTGAAACCCAGGGTTTCTGGGTGGGTCCCAGTATGCAAATTCAAGGCAATCTATAATTTTCTCTAATCTAGGAAGTGCTGTGCGAATGCTGCCTGCTTTCCTCCTGGCCAGAGCTGGTGCTTAAGGTCTGAGAACCTGGCAGCCTAGACTAAGGTCGCACCTGAGATTTCCCCAGATAAATGATCTCCTGCGCTGGTGTGGTCCTAGGCTGCCTTGGAGCTCACACAGCCCCATGGCGCTCAAGGATTGCAACCCACAGGGATTCATCAAATGCTTAACTGTGGCCAACTTCAGTGTTCCCAACCTGTACCCTGGGCAAGACTCTTGGAGGAAATATTAGTAAGAATGGCCTGAAAAAGTCTGGAAAAGTTGTACATGGCATCATCGTCTTGCGGTTTAGCAATTTAAAGGCCCTGAGAAGTCCTGTAGTGAAGAAACTTGCTTAACATATGGAAATGGATGCCTTCCATAACTTGTTTGAGCATGAACCATGTTCTGAGCATTTCTTTTTTTCTTTTTTCTTTTTTTCTGAGACGGAGTCTCACTCTGTCACCCAGACTGGATTGCAGTGGCGTGATCTCGGCTCATTGCAAGCTCCGCCTCCCGGGTTCACGCCATTCTCCTGCCTTAGCCTCCCGAGTAGCTGGGACTACAGGCACCCGCCACCGCGCCTGGCTAATTTTTTGTATTTTTTAATAGAGACAGGGTTCCACCGTGTTAGCCGGAATGGTCTCGATCTCCTGACCTCATGATCCACTCGCCTCGGCCTCCCAAAGTGCTACTATTGGGATCTCAAGGAACTCACTCTTCATGAGATAGCAGTGTGGGAGATGTACACAGATCCCACAGCCCAGGAGGAGGGGAAAGAGGATATCGAGTCTTCCCGGTCTCAGAGAGCAGATCCTCAGTGTTCTGTGAGGCCCCACAGAGTCAAAGCCTCCTAGAGGACGCAGGCAGGCAAACAGGTGTCTCCTGGGTGAGGGACCCTGTCCGTGCCCAGTTCCCAAGACACACTTGCTCCCTTGTTATTCACAGACGCCCTCCTTTATCCACAGGGATTTAGACCTGCTTCTCTGTGGAGTATCAAAGATTCAAAATACCCACCATGTGGCCTCAACTCCGGGTCTTGTGGCTTGCTGCCTGGGAGAGTTGGCATTAAAACCAAATGAGGTAATGAGTTCAAAGCTGCATGGCTCAAAGCAAGCATCAGGATCACCTGGGAGCTTGTGGTCCACACAGAATCCCAGGCTTGCTCCAGACCTGCTGAGCCAGAACCTGTCCTGGAGTGAGACTCCCAGGAGTGTAGAGGCACATTCGAGTTTGAAAAGGCACTGTTTTGCAAGTAAATAGAAATTAAAATAAAAGTGATATGTTAAAGGGTTGATTCGCAATCCTGGCTGCACTTTGGAATCACCCAGGGAGCTTTAAAAATCCTCAACTGCCCTGCCCCCAATTCTAATTTAATTGGAATGGAAGTAATCTGGACTAGGGGAGTTTAAAAGCTCTGTGGGTGATTGTAATGTGCAGCAAACAGCTTTAAAGGTATTAGGGTCTTCAGCGCATAGAGGTGGTGGTGGGGGGGTGGTGTCCCAGTACCTGGTATGGTGCCTGGCCTGTGGCGGGCACAAAACTGTTCATGGAAGAACCACCTCACTGCTGCATGGAGTGCATTCGAGGACTCTGAATCACATGGAGGATGGGCAGGAGGTCCCGCTGAGATCTGGATGGATGGAGGACAGAGAAACATGCAGAAACACTTCATCCCACTGTGAGAGTGTGGTCCAATGCCAGGGTCCCAGTGGTGGAGGCAGCCTGATGGTCACACTGCCTTTCAGGTGGCCTCCTGGTCTCCAGCAGCCCATGGCATGCACAGCCCACCCTGCGATGCTGAACTGGTGGGTGCGGTGGAGCCAAGGCCATTGTAATAGGTGGTTATTATTTTGAGTTTTTTTTTTTAAATCTGATAGACTGTAACCCAGTTATAGATGAATGAGAGGCCATGGTTTCAGGACAGGATACCAAGCGCCATCAGGTCTACAAGGAGCCACCTGTGCCCTGTGAAGGGTGTGAGCACCATCAGGTCCACAAGCAGCCACCTGTGCCCTTTGAAGGGTGGGAGCGGAATGCCTTGGAGTTCTCAGGAACAGGGGACCCCTCCTCCAAGGTGGCTGCTTCTAGGAACACTCTCCACGCTGTGCTGTGTGTCTGTGTGAGCTGATGGGCTGGGGGCATGGGTGGGGCAGGCAGCTGGAGATAGAGCCCTGGGCAGGTCTTGCCACAGGCTGCCTACCCATCCCCAGCTCTCAGGCCTGAGTGACTTTTTAAAAGTAAAAGGACAGCAGCCACAGACACCTTGCGATGGGCCATCAGCCTTCAGCCAGCCTCGGAGGCTGCAGCAGCAGAACTGGGAAGCGGAAGGGGTGAGCGACTCCACCTCGGGGCAGGGTGCCCTGCCAAAGTCTCCCTCTGAGAAGCGCCTTCAAGTGCCTTCTCTTTGATAAAAGACTATAAGGTTGGCAGAAAACCAAAATACATTTTCTCCTTCAAATACGTCTGAGGCTCATGGCCAATAAGTCCCAGGTCCCTGTCAGGCTGGTGAGCATGTGCATGGAACTGGCTGTGGTCAGGGCTGGGGAGGCAAGGCCCCTCGGTGGGTGCATGGAGCCCACCCTTCCAACTTGCTGCCCTGCGATGGCAGCCCCTGCTGTGCCTGGAGGAAGGTCATCCCAGGAAGCTGCCATGGGAAAGGGCTGGGAGGGGCAGACGTGGGGTCTGAGGGGACGCTGGTGATTGACTCCTAGCCACAGATGCTGTTGGCATCTTGCTTCCTGGAGACTGAGGGTTCTGATCTTGCCGAGCCAACCCCTTGCTGGTGCCCTCTTGACCTCCTCCTCTGGGCAAGTCCAGGCTGGGGCCGCAGGCTGCTCACCCTCTGCAGGTGAAGGCTACCCTCTCTTATTGATGTCATTCCCCAAATGTTGTCCTTTCTCTGCTCTTTTCAGAAATGGAGAGGCTGGGGTTGCCGATGGGGCAAAGAGGAGACAAAACAGGTGGAGAGAGACGCCCGGGCCTGCCAACCATGAGGTAAAGAGGCTGGAACCGCACAGCTCCTGCCTGGGTGCCTCGGTGGGATCTGTGTCCCCCACAGCCCACTGGGCATGGACTCCAGGGAGGGGCAGAGTGGCCGGCCCCTCTCTCAGGCTCTGCCTCCCTGGCCTTTGCTCGCATGAGCCACCTTCTGTTGTCCCTGGGACACTACCTCTCACAACCACAGTGGCCTACTTCTGAGCCCACATCAAGTAACGTGCACAAATGAAAAGAACGTTCTCAAGCTTGGGAATTTATTTCTGTGAATACAGACCGAAGCTGTGATCTTATGTAGGCTGGTTACAGAAGGCTAGACAATAAAATCAGAGGAGAGTCAGAAGTGCCAGTAAAATAGTGAGATGTCAAGGCTAAGTTACCACTGTTCACAGATCACATGACTGTGTGCTTGGAATACCCAGGAGAACTGGCTGAACCTATGGAAAACAATAACTCAGGTAGGAAAATTATTATGCATAACCAATAACTTTTCTATGTACAAATAACTTGTTAAAATATTATGAAAAAAGGCCGGGTTCTGCGGCTCGCACCTATAATCCCAGCACTTTGAGAGGTCAAGGTGGGCGAATCACTTGAGTCCAAGAGTTCAAGACTAGCCTAGGCAACATGGCAAACCCTGCTTCTACAAAAAATATGAAAAATTGGCCAGGCATAGAGGTGTGCACCTGTAGTCCTAGCTACCTGGGAGTCTGAGGCAGGAGAATCACTTGAGACAAGAGCGGGTGGTTGCAGTGAGCCAAGACTGAGCTGCTGCACTCCAGCCTGGGCAACACAGTGAGACCCTGTCAAAAAAAATAATGAAAAAATATTGCATTTAAGATAGCATTTAGTTGAGACAATAGCAAAATACAAACTTTAAAAGAAATATGTAGGACCTATATAAACAAAACCTGAAAATTCTGCTAAGGGATAAACTAAAACTGCGAGCGATAACTTGCTATTGGCTAGAATGCATCAATATTATGAAGGTGACCATTAACCCTAAATTACTCATAGGATCAGTGCAATCCCAGTTGAAACACTAACATGCTATGTGAAGGGAAATCGATGTGGGAAAATAAACAGGAAGAGTCAGGTGGAAGAAGGGAATTGGGGAGTAGTCCTGTGAAATGTCAAATGCACCGTGAAGGTTCAAGAATGAAAGCAGATGGACACGAAGGTTTGTGTGGAGCAGAAAGAGGCCCCAGGATATATACAAATGTATACTCAAATCGAGTGTGTATGATAGGAAGCATTTTAAATCAGAGGGCAAGAGAGGAAATATTGAATAAATGGCTTAGAGACAATGTGGTATTTGGAAAACCACACAGAATTCTGACCCACTGCCTTATTGTTCCAAAATAAGTTCCAGAGGTATCAGAGATGTGAGTGTACAAGAGTGAAATGAAAACATTCTGAAATTTAAAAGGTGAGTTTATTTATAGTTGTGAATGTGAAATGCCTTTCTAAGCAAGATATATATTTGAAAACTTTAATGGGAAATGTTGAGATATTTGACTAGAAATAAAAATCATCATCGAGGACACAAAAACCCACAATTAAAGAAAAAGTGAACAATTAACTGAAGAAAATATTTGAAACCCAAATGGGAAAAGGCTTGTAGGCTTCATTGAGCAACACGTTTTACAAAGAGTGCTCATCAGTCAGTAAGAAAAACATTTACAAACCCCACTGAAAAACAAGCCCACAGAAATATAAATGAAATTGGTTAATAAATACAGTTTTTAAAAGGCTTGCTCAATTTCTCTCAAAATTAAAGAAACATATAAAAAGAACAAAGAAATATAATTTCAAAGTAGCAAAATTAAAAATGCAATGGCACTCGTGGCTGCTGTGAGCATAGGGAAAAGGGTGCAATTGTAAATTGTCAACAGGAGTGTAAGTTGCAGAGGGCTGCTCTGGAAAGTTAATGGGCCATATCCATCAAAGTTAAAAAATGCAGCTACCCTTTGACTTAGCAGTACCCCTGCCAGGAATTGACCTGGTGGCTGTACTCATAAGTTAGCCAGGAAAAAGAAACACTTACAAATATTGTTGCAAGAATGAAACCAGAACAAAAAAATCAAATAATCTATCATTAAGAAACAGATTATTTAGATTATGACAATTCTACAGATGGAAAAACTACAATTTGTTCACTTGTGTTTATGTATACACTTCAGTAACAAGTTATTAACATACACAAAGAATGAAATGACCCTCTCTCTACCAATACAGAAACATTTCGAAGACATATGTTTAAGGGAATAACAAAAGGCAGAACAGTGTAAAAACAGAATAACAAATAAATAACTAACCCTATAAAATACCTGTGTTGGCATATGCACAGAAGCCTCTCTCAAAAGGACATCTAAGAAGTGATGAACCAGCCTAGAAAATAAGAGAAAGGCTTTCACTTTTTATTTGAAAATGTTCAGAACTCTTTGAAGTTTTGAGCCATGTGCAGTTTTACTTTCCTTTTTAACGTTCTTCTTTCTGCTTCCCTGGGGTGTAAGAGATTGCTTCAATCCTTCCCTGTGCGGTGTTGAGATGTAATCTTCTCTTGCTCTTGTCCTAAGTACCTTAAGACCCAGTTAGTGTCTCCATGTCCGGCCAACCACTGGGGCGGCATGGTTGTCTCTTGGGGAGCAATGTGAAGAGGCTGTGTCAGTAGCAAACATGCCCTCCCCTCGGTTTCTTCCCACAGTTAATGAAGACCTCCCCAATCGCCCTGGTTCAGTGGCTTTCCAATGCCAGCTTGCCTCAGAGTCCCGAGGGCCTGTGAACAGGTGTCACAGCTCCTTTAGAGTTTAGAGGTCTGGGAGGTGGGGACTGAGAGCTTCATATCCAAGAAGTTTCCAGGTAATGCCTTACTGGTCCTGGGACCCCACTTTGAGAACTGACCAGGTCAGCTGTCTAAAGTCAGATGCTGGGACTTTTCACTGTGTCTTAATCTGCTCCTGCTGCTGTATCAAAATACCCGAGACTGGGAGATTTATAAGCAGCAATGTATATTGCTCACAGTTTTGGAGTCTGGGAAGTCCAAGGTCAAGGCACCAGCAGATTCAGGGGCTGGTGAGGGCCTGTTCCTCCCAGATAGGGCCTTCCATGTGTCCTCACATGGTGGAAACACCAAAAGGGGCTAACAACCCCTTCAGTCCTCTTTTATAAGAGCACCAATCACACTCATGAGGGCTCCCCATCATGATCTAAGTACCTGCTAAAGGCCCCACCTCCTCACATCAGGACCTTGGTGATTAGGTTTCAGCATCTGGATTTGGAGGGACACAGACACACAAACATGCGACCACAGCACCCTGGCTTCCCAGCACACGGCTGATGCTTGATTTCCCACTGATGGGTGAATCCCTAGGCCCCTGTGCTGTTGTGGAAAGCAATGATGGTCCATGCAGTTCATCCTGCGTTGACCCTGCAGGCAGGAGGAGGGATGCAGGGACTACACCTCAGTGCCCTGAGGCTCTCACTTCCTGGCCTCACTCCTGGGGTCGGGAGGGCCAGTGTAGTGCACATGCACCCGCACCCCAGACCTAAGGTCTCTGTCCAAGTCCCCGCATCCATAGCACTGTGGGTCTGGCAGGTGCCCATGGCCTCTTACCATATGCTCCTTCTCAGAGTTCTTTCCTGAAGGGCTGGAGAGTCAGGCCCCAGGAAGCTGCCCTGAGCTGCAGACCTACTGGAGCTGCTGGATCCAGCCCAGGTGCCTGGCTCTCTGGAGAGGACACTCCAAGGCACAGACCCTGAGGCATAGACCTCAGGTCTCCCGAAGTTGACCCCAGGCTCGTGATCCCACTGGCCTCGGTGTTACTGATTTCCTCCTCCTGGGTTTTGACTTTGGTCCCTTCCTTGAGGCACTTCCCTTCCTTCCTCACTCCCTTCCAGGTCCTTCCTGGAATCCCCTCCCAGATAAACCAAATCCTTATCTCAGGGCCAGCTTCTGAGGCAGCCTCAGCAAGGACAAGGCCTCCTCCCAGCTCTCAGGCTGAGGACCCTCCTCTATCTTGGCTGGACGGTGCTACCCAGGTTCTTGGTGGGAGTCTCCTCAGGACCAACCGTGTTATCCTGGGGATCTGAGCTGGAGGCAGGTGAGAGGCACCTGCTGAGGATGCTGGTGCAGCAAACCCAGGGGCCCTGTTGCAGAGCACCCTCAGTCCATGCCGCCTGTGTCCAGGGAGTGATGAGGGGCTCCAGGGAAGTCAGGGGGCAGGACAGAGGCCTTGGTGCCTCCACAAGGAGGGTGGTGTTGCCTCGTCCACCAATGTTTGTCCTACACAGGGCCTGGCCACCAGTAGTACTCTCCCCAGGGGGTGTTTGCTGAACGCCTGGAAAGAAAAGTAGGAAAGGAAGGAGGGAAGCTTTTCATGGCTTCTGCTAAGACTTGTCAGTCATCTACTGACTCTCGAGAGCAGCTCTCGGCCCAGGGCAGAGTCGGTTCTGCAGCTCCAGGGACCCCGGAATCCCAGCCCTGCATATGGCAGCTTCCTCCTTCGTGCTCCAGTGTAAGGATGTGCTTCTACCTGCAGGGCTCAAAACCCTGTGCTCTCTCCTTCCTCGCCTCCCCTCCCCCACACTGGGAGCCTCCTCCTTGCCTGCTGGCTGCAGGAAGAAGAGGATCTTTAGGGGGAATTTTTGGGTAACTCAGGTGACTTTCCCACAAAAGTAGATGACAAGGTTGGAGAGTGGTAGCTCATTTGGGAGCTGATCTCAGGAAGCTCCAGCTGGGGTATGGGGAGTGGGAAGGAGCCAGGACAAAGCTGTGGGCAGCTAGGGTTCAGCCACGGGGAGAGGGATAGGTAATACCCCAGGGTCCTCCCAGCCCAAGGGCCAGGAACTGGGGCTATTCACCCTCCAATTCCCACTTGTAATCAGCTAAGGGATGCTTGTGAGGCCGACCCCACAATGCTGGGAAAGCCCTCAGGCAGATTCTCCAGGGGCTGCAGAGGGCCTGCGCAGTGCCTCGAGCCATGAGCCTGGGGAGTCACCAGGGCACCAGCAGAAACCACGGCTCCACCATTTGTATTAGAGGATTTGGAAATAGGTGACCAATGTATAACCCCTTGGAATTAATATGGAGCAGAGTCTATTTAAATTAGAAAAAGTGTATTTTCTGTCTTCTAGTTAATTGGACACTCAGGGAGTAGAGGACTGGAATAGAGCCATTGTGATCTGGATTTCTGTTTAATAAAACAAGCGCAAGCATGGCATTCTTCTAACCACCAGTATTTATCTTTCAAAGTCACTTGGCAGCACTAATATCTCTAACTGCTAAATGCATGTGGTTGCTGAAAATCTAAAATAATATATAATAACCTCTTTATTTAGAGCAGTAAGATAATTTATGCTATTAGAAACTTGGAGAAAATGAGCAATCTTTAAACACCTTGGTAAACAGAGATGGTACCGGACGTTTGAAGCACGGCAATTGCAGGAAGTCTTTTATTCATTTCAGAGGGGAGGAATCCCCCCTACCTCCCTGACTCAGCATCGTTTGCTGTTTGCTAAGAAACTCTTGGATGCTGTGGCATTGCTTCCTGGGAAGATAAGCCATGACCCTTACGGCAAGAGGCAAGTCTGGGTGGGCCTGGGTGTTCAGGGCCTTTTTCGCCCATACCACTGGCGTGTCCAAGGGACAAGTCACGTGTGGATTATTACAGAGTAAACAGTGCTTTATGCTTCATCAGTACAATCACATTCAGAATCACAAAAATGTACACACGTCAGGATCATAAGCCCTCTCCAATCTTTTTAAAAAATAAGTGGAAAAATAGTAATTGTGTAAGTTTGTGGGGGGTGTGCTGTGGTGGGGTGTGCATGCGTTTGCAGGTGCCTTAGCAGAGCCCCCTCCTCACTTGAGTATCGTGTGTGTGTGTGCGTGTGTGTGTGCATGTGTGTGTGCATGTGTGTATGTGTGGTGAGAACATTTAAAATCTACTCTTTTAGCAATTTAAAAATACATAATACATTTTTATTCGCTAAGGTTACCTGTCTGTGCACTAGATCAGTGAGACCGATTCCTCCTGCTTAACTGTGACTTAGTACCTTTTGCCCAACAGCTCCTCTTTCCGCCTCCACTCCCTCAGCCCGGCCCCTGGTAACCGCCATTCTCCTCCATCCTGTGAGTTCAATCTGTTTAGATTCCACATGTAATGAGATAATGTGGTATTTGTCTTTCTGTGTCTGGCTTATTTCACAGTGAATAAGGAAATTGTGGCCTATATACATGATTATTTCTATTTGCAGCAGCATGGATGAAGAGGGAAGCCATCACCTACATGAAAGAACCCATTCCCCCACCCCCAGTCTCTCCAAGGGGCAGTAGCTTGTGTGATTTAAATGGCTCCCAGGCTGTCCCTATCCCCTGGGGCACTGGATGAACTTGATTAAGCTAAGGATTACACTTGGCCATCTCACTGTAAAGCATGCATTCCTAAGCAGATAAGGAGAGACCTCAGACAGCTTGGCTCTAGGCTGTAGAGAGCCACCCGACGTGCCAGCTGGTGGAGGCAGAGCTGTCTGTTAGAAATGGAGCCTTGGTGATGGCCGCAGACATCATCGTGGCCCTCCCCGCTCCCTCACGACTTTTCTTCTTGGAAGTAACACGCTGGTGTCTTCCTTCCTCCCCAGGGAGTCAGGCTGAGTTATTAGGCTGGGGAGTGTTGGGAAGGAATTGGGCCTGCCTGACTCGGCCCTTCCTGCCTGTACTTTGGGGGAGTGCTTCTCTGCCAGAGCACCTGGTGAGCCTAGCGGACCCTGTGCCTGGGTGAGGGATTGGTTTCTCTGTGTCTTTTTGGGGCGGAGGGGTAAGAGATCACATGACATCTGCCTTCTCAACAATTTTTCCAGTTTTATTGAGATATAATTGACAAATAAGAATCGTATGTAAAATAATATTACATATGTACACACAGAAAATGGTGCGGCAAAATGTACACAATTGGTGAATGAGGGTAAAGGGTATGTAGGAGCTCTTTGTCCTAAATCCGCAAATTTTCGGTAAGTTTAAGACAATTTACATCTATGCCCTTTAGCTCCACTCACCAACCGTGTGCATTCCAGCCCAGTATAACTTTCTGTGTGCATAGGTAATGTCATTTTTTATCCCTAAATATTTCAACATATGGCCTGAGAGCAAGGGCCCTTCCTATCACATAGTCACAGTATAATAATCAAAACTCAGGAAACTTAGCATTAATACTACCATCTAATCATTCTTTGTCAGTTTTCTCAGAGATGCCAATGATCAGTCTTTCTGCCCTGTCTGGGGCCCATGCGTGCGTGGAGTGTTACCTTTGCTTGCCGCGTGGCTCTGTCCACTTTTCCTCTGGAGTGTGCCTTCTCAGCCTTCACTGTCCTTCGCCGCCTGGACACTTCTGAAGAGACCAGGCCAGTGGTTTGGACAGTGGCCCACATGAGCGGACTGAGGGGATGGGCCCATGGTAGGGACATCCCAAAGCCCAGCACGTGGGGGCAGGGGCGGCTCAGCATGTGGCGGGGGCGGCTCAGCATGTAGTGGCGGCAGCTCAGCATGTGGCCAGGGCAGCTCAGCAGGACAGTGCTGATGACCACATTACGTGGCTGTGCATACGAATGTTGGGTGTCTACCCACTCCTGGTCCTCCCTGCTCTAAAACCAAACCCCAGACCTGGAAGGGGAGGTGGGGAGAAAGCACTGCTTGTACTCAGGGGTCCCTGAACACAGTGTTTGCTCCTCCCCACCTTCCTGCCTCTCAGAAAGCCCACCTTTCCAGAGCCTGCCCTCTGACCCAGATTGAATTCTTCTTCTAAGTAATTCTGAAATAGAAATTCCTCTGATGGCCACAGTTAAACTCCATTTCTCTGAAGCTCCACGCCAGCTCAGCTGGGACTAGTCCCTGCCCTTGGTTGGTTTTGACAAACAGAGAATCTCCCGCCATCATTGTTCACAGTTCATACTGCAGAGGGCTGAGTCTTCTGAAGATCTCTGCAGAGAGTTCCACATATGCCTACTGCTATTTGCTGCCGCAGAAGGCTGAGCACATGCAGAAACTTCTGGAGACAAACTGTCCTTCATAAACTCTGTGAAATATGTTCCTCTTTATGCCAAAGCTATCCTGTGGAAGGAAAAAGAACTTTCCGTGTCTGGATATGTTGTGAGGATCTCCTCTTTTCATTAACTGGACATCACTTGATGTCAAGGATTTTTAGGTTTTGCTGCTCAACCTCTTAAAGCCCATTAGTGTCTCTGTCTTTCTTCCCTAGTTCCTGATTTTCCACACTCTAGTTCTGCTTTACTGACTATACTGTGGCTATGTCATTTGTTTTAGGTGATCTCAACTCCTTTGAGAAGAATGGTATATTTTTAGCATTTTCATAGTTATATTGTGCTCAGTTCCCCAGCAGGCAGAAATTCTTATCCCCATTTCCCATGAAGAAAACAGTCTGGAGAATCCAATAACAGGCTCAGTTTTCATAGGACAGGTTAAAGGGAGAATCAGATCTTAAGCAAAGTCTAGAATATTCTCCTCCTCAGATGAGTTGCTATTCAGAATGCAGTTAAAAGTCTAAGGAAAAGAATAGAAATAATCCATGAGTTCCACGGCTGACAGAGGCCGATGGATGGCATCCTTGCCGGGCTCGCTGCTGAGGTCCCTGTGGCTCAGGGAGAAGTCTGTTGAGTAAATTGCTCCTCCGTAGGCTGTAGCTTTCCTACCACGTTCATCCTATGTCTCCAGCTTCTAGAACAGCAACTGGCAGGCACAAAATAGGCCAAGGGTGGTAAATCATGTTGAGCAAATGCTCACAATCATCATTTGTGCTCCTTCACCTTAAACATGTGGCCAGAGATTCTCCATGATGTAAACCCATGGAAACATGGAGGCCTCCCGAGGCCAAGCAACTGGCTCTCTGGGGCCACAGGCTTTGCCCCTCACTGCATTCTGTTGTGATGACCAGAACGCCTCCTTCTCACAGGGAAGGCCCAGGCCCTACACTCCTCAGAGCAGCAGCAAGACGCCCACTGGCAGATGTCTCCGTGTGGTGGGGCCAGTTTTGGAGCCTCATCACAATGTCCACAGGGTCTCCGAACTGGGAAGGATCAGGAACACAGTGACTCCCAGATGGTAAGGATGAGCTCTCTCAGGCACTGCCTTTGCTGGGTTTGCTGTGGCAGCCTGGAATGCAGGGTGGTGCTGCTTGGGCTGTAGGCATTAAGAGTGCTGTAATTGATTAGTGATGTCTGCCCTGAGCAGGACTGGGGAGTGGGAGGATGATTGTCACATTGCCAACTCTAACCTGATCAACTCCTTCATGGCTAAGATTAGGGAACTCTCCCCCAGAGAGGTGCCTTCCAGAAATGTTTAAATGTTGAAAATGTTTAATTGCTATCTCTGAGGTGCTGAGGAGATAGCAATGAACAAAGCAAAGTCCCTCCTCACTGGAAGCTTGCATTCTAGCGGGGTGCCCAGTGGCCCTCAAACTTCAAATCTATCCAGGGTTTGTTACAACGCAGGTTTCTGCATCAGACTTGCTCAGATATTCTGATTCAGCCTGTCTTGGAAGTGTCTGGGCCATCATCATGCTTGCAGTGACCTCAAGTGGTCCTCCAAGGGTCTAAGGGTGGCAACAACCAGTGGAGGGGACACTGGGAGGGGGTTTGAGAGTAGACTGAGGCCATATCTGTGGCCTGCCCCTCATCCCTCCTTACAGTGCTGTGGGCAGCTCCCCCCTGCTGGCTGGTGTTGGGTGGAAATGGCTTCAACGCCCTGCCCTACTGGAGCTCAGTGTGGAGCCCTTGTTGGGTTCTCAGCCGAGAAAAAACGAGAGAAAAGCATCCATGAGCCAGAGATAGAAATTGAGAGCAGTAAGCAAATGGCCAATTATCTTTCGGATGGTACCCAAATGTACTGTCTGCTTATCTGCTGCCTGCAGAGCAAGCCGGCGCCTGCCTTTGGGAGCTGACTATGAGGACGGCTACTTTCGAGTAAAGAGGCTTCATTTTCCTGGCCAGAGCTTATACTTTTTAGTATGTTAATTGAGTGAAGTATGCCTGCTTCCCTGTAGAGTCAGAGGTATTTTATCATGGACAGGAAAATCCCTGTATTCCAAACCCCAGTACCCCCTGCCTGCACACAGGATGATGTGCAGAATTCCGCCAAATGCCCAGGACTCCCCAGCGGTTCAGCCCTACCCGGATGTGATGCTGTTTCTCTCCTGCAGACACAGTCATTAAACAGCCATGTTGCAGGGAAGAAGTTCTCTCTCAGGAAGATGAGCAGTGGAAAAGAGCCTGTATTATGCTCTCCGCATCTGCCAGACAAGGGAGGCGGCGGGTGGGGCAGGAGGCCCAGTGGAGGGTGGAACAGTGGGATGATATGGAGAATCAGCTCCTGTGAGCCTGGGGGCTTCCTCAGGAACTTGAATCCCCAGCCCAGCCAGACCCCCTGGCCGACTTTCCCGTACCAACCACTTTGGCTTCCGTGCTGCCACTTTTGGGCCATCCGTGCTGGGGGTACTTTCCCATCGATTGAGCCCTCGAAGGGGCCTCATGGGCTCCTCACAGCACAGCCTCTGCCAATATCAACAGCCGCAGCAGCCACATCCTGACAGCAACCACCACCTTGAGGAATGGAATCTTCTTCTGCCATGTCTCCGATACTAACCTAGGCACCTGTGTCTTACAGAGGATTTTTATGTTGTTTCCCAGTTCAAAGGCCTGTCTGAAAGATGCTCTTTGGATTTCAAAAATACTGGGTTAAAATTTCTGACACAGTAAAGCAGAATACTTGATATTGTGTATGTATAAAAAATTCTGAGTGCACTGCTGCTATAGATGAATGACTCTTGTCCTTATTGATATACATAATTAGTAAACCCGACACCAGTGTTGATTCAGCATGGTGGGCCTTCGGGGCTGGGTAACTGGGTGGAGGGACATCCCCCGGTCTCTCAAGCAGCTCTGAGGGGTGTGCGCCTCTGGCTGTGCAGGCCCACAAGCTCAAGCCGGCAGCGGGCAGGCACAGTTCAAGTTCAACCACGAGCAAAGGGTCCGGCATTGGAACCCCGTGTCCGCTCCAATGCTCAGATTCTTCAGGGCACTCTCTTCCTCTCCTTTCCTCACAAGAGCCAGACACCTACTCATTTCTTCACTCTGTACTTCCCTTTGTTCCTTCAACTCTTAAGCAGGAAAAATTTTGTTTCTTAAGTAATTGCATTGAGATATCACCAGTGGATGCTGGAGCCAGCTTGCTCCAGCTCCTGAAACCTAAGTGCTAAATTTTCAGGGGTCTTGGGAGCCAGTTGTTAACACAGAAATCATTAAAAATTAAACGTTAAAAACTTACTATTAGATGAATTGTATTAAAATGAAGGGAAAAAATACTCAAACTTGTCACTTGCAGCTCATTCACATTTGACTGCATTTATGCTCGCAAGGTGATGCGGATCCACGGCCCTCCCTAACTGTGCTCATGGACGTCACATGTGCAGCCTGGAAGTGGCCACAGGTGAGAAGAGTCATGCCTCGGAAGGGGCAAACACTGCAAACTAGAGCTTTCTTGCCCAGACAGCTGCTTATTAAACATTTACAAGCGCACCAGCGGGAATGACAAACACAAAGTGCACAAAACTGGAGAGCTGCACCCACGCAACTGCCAACCGGCCTGCCACCCCGCATAGCCACCACCCCAATAACTACCACCCCATGTGACTGCCACCCCGCCTGCCACCCCACATAGTCACTATCCCAATAACTACCACCCCGTGTGACTGCCACCCCGCATAGCCACCACCCTGTGTGAGTACCACCCCAATAACTGACTACCACCCTGTGTGACTGCCACCCCACCTGCCACCCCGCATAGCCACCACCCCAATAACTACCACCCTGTGTGACTGCCACCCCGCATAGCCACCACCCCAATAACTACCACCCCATGTGACTGCCACCCTGCATAGCCACCACCCTGTGTGAGTACCACCCCAATAACTGACTACCACCCCGAATAGCCACCAACCTGCCTAACTACCACCCTCTGAATAACTACCACTCCGAAAAACTACCACCTCGAATAACTACCACCCTGTGTGACTGCCACCCCGTATATGCACCACCCTGTGTGAGTACCACCCCTATAACCACCACCCTGTGTGACTACCACCCTGAATAACTACCACTTTGTATAACCACCAACCCGCCTAACTACCATCCTGTGTCACTACCACCCCAAATAACTACCCCTTTGAATAACTACCACCCTGTGTCACTACCACCCCGTGTGACTACCACCCGTATATCCACCACCGCGTGTGAGTACCATGCAATAATCACCACCTCATGTGACTACCACCCTGTGTAACCACCACTTCGAATAACTACCAACCCGCCTAACTACCACCCTGTATCACTACCACCCCAAATAACTACCACCTTGAATAACTACCACACCATGTGACTACCACCCTGCATATCCACCACCCTGTGTATCACCCATATAACCACCACCCATGTGACTACCACCCTGAATAACTACCACCCTGTATAACCACCAATCCGCCTAACTACCACCCTGCATCACTATCACTCCAAATAACTACCACTTTGAATAACTACCACCCTGTGTCACTACCACCTCAAATAATCACCAACCCTTTTAACTACAGCCCAGTGTAACTACCACCCTGAATAACTATCACCCAGAATAACCACCAACCCACCTAAATACCACCCTGTGTCACTACCACCCCGAATAACTATCACCTTCAATAATTGCCACCCTGAATGACCACCACCCTGTATCGCTACCACCCAGTGTAACTACCACCCCGAATAACTACCACCCTGTGTAAGTAATACCCACAATAACCACCACGCCGTGTAACTAACATCCTGCATAACTACCACCCATTTTAATTATCACCCTGAATAACTACCAATCCACATAATTACAACTCTGACAACTACCACCCTATGTAACTACCACCCCATGTAACTACCACCCCATGTAACTACCATCCTGAGTTATTACCATCCCATGTAACTACCACCCTTTGTAATTACCACCCCATGTAACTACTGTGAAAGGAAAATCAATCTTGGGGCCTTCAAATCGCTAAGCTAAAGGGAAAAGTCAAGCTGGGAACTGCTTAGAGCCAACCTGCCTCCCATTCTCTCCAAAGTCGCCCCTGCTCACTGAGATAAATGCTCATCTGATTGCCTCCTTTGAAGAGGCTAATCAGAAACTCAAAAGAATGCAACAATTTGTCTCTTATCTACCTACAACCTGGGAGCCCACTCCTCACTTTGAGTCTTCCCATCTTTCCTCCAAGTTGTCCCGCCTTTCCAGACCGAACCAGTGTTCATCTTGCATATATTAACTGATGTCTCATGTCTCCCTAGAATGTATAAAACCAAACTGTGCTGTGACCACTTTAGGCACATGTCATTAGGACCTCCTGGGGCTGTGTCACAGGTGCGCATCCTCAGCCTTGGCAAAATAAACTTTGTAAATTAACTGAGACCTGTCTCAGATTTTCTGGGTTCACACTACCACCCCTTGTAACTACCACCGCATGTTACTACCGCCCCGTGTAAATACCACCCCACATAACTACCACCTTATGTAACTACCACCCCAGATAACTACCACTGCATATAACTATCACCCCATGTAACAACTACCATCCCAAATAACTACCACCCCATGTGACTACTACCCTGTGTAACTACCACCCCAAATAACTACGAACTCATGTAGCTACCACTCCATGTAGCTACCACTCCAAAAAACTACCACCTCACACAACTGCCACCCTATGTATCTACCACCCTGAATAACTACCACCCCAAGTAACTACCATCTACATATCTACTACCCCAAATAACTAACACCTCATGTAACTATCACTCTGTGTAACTACTATCCCATGTAACTACCACCACATGTAACTACCACCCTGTGTGTTTACCAACCTCTGTAACTACCACCCCAAATATCTACTACCCCATGTAACTACACCTCAAACAACTACCATCCATGTAACTATCACCCTGCAAATACAACCTTGAATAACTACCACCCCATGTAACTACCACCCCATGTAACTACCATTCTGTGTAATTACCACCTTGAATAACTACCACCCCCCCATAACTACCACCCCACATAACTGCCAGTCCATGTAGCTACCACCTGCTTGAGACGTAGGTCACACAGTCCCCAGGGAACCAGCCATGTCTCTTCCCAGTGCACAGCACCCCCTTGCCACAAGGTAACCACTATTCTAAAGCCTCTCCCTAACGTGTAGGATTTCCTGGCCTTCTCCTCATACAAATGGTGTAATATAGTGTGTTATCTCTTGTTTCTGACCTCTTTGCCCTGCTGGTTATCTGTGGGATTCACTGTCATTGTTTGTAGCATGGTTCGTTTCTTTTGATTGCTGTGTGGCAGCCCCTTGTACGAATATCTCGTTGTTTACTTTCCTTCTGGCCCCTCTCCTCTGCACTCCCATCAGCTCCTCCTTCCTCTTGCCCTTGTCTGTCTAGCTTTTACCAATGACTCTTGTATGACCCCCCAAATAATTGTTGTCTCCAAAGTCTTATTGCTCCCAGAAACCAGGTATACTGACAGCTGCAGAATGTAAACCCGGGAACCAGGCTGAATTGAAAGCTCTGATTGAGGATTTCCCTAAATCTAGACAAAGCCAGCAACTATTCCTAGAGAAATTTTTGGGTGCCTAGGACCCAGGGCTACTGTGATGGTTAACGTTATGAGTCCAGCTGGCTGCGCCATGGTTCCCTATTTATGTGGTCAAACATTATTTTAGCTGTTTCTGTGAGGTTGTTATGGATGAAATTAACATTCAAATTGGTGGTCTTTGAGTGAAGCAGATTGTATTCCCTAATGTGAGTGCACCTTTTCCAATCAGTTGAAGGCCTAAATGGAATGTGAGCCTGACCTCCTCAGAGCAAGATGAATGATGCAGCTGATAGCCTTTGGACTGAACTGCAGCATTGGCTCTTGCCTGGGTCTCCAGACTGCCGGCCCATCCTGCAGATTTTGGACTTGGCAACTTCCATCATCTATCAGGTCAATTCTTTAAAATCTCTCTCTCTCTTTCTGTCTCACACACACACACACACACACACACACACACACACTCCCCATATTGGTTCTGTTTCCCTGGAGAACACTGGTTGATGCAGTGACCCGACCTATGTTAAGTTGTACACATACTGATCAGAGCCTCAGATACTAAATTCTAGATGGTAAGAGCTAATTGGACTGAACTGGAAAGGGACCTATATGATCCCTCTTTCCACAATAAGCTTGAGGGCCCAAAAAGGGCCTATAAATTAGGATTAAGTCTTCTACATGCTATGCCTGAAACATTTCCAATAAAATCTATTGGACCATAATTATATCATGCAAATAATAAAATATAAAAATATAGGCAATGTTAAGACTAAACTAGAAAGTATATTGAGGTTGCATTTGGGAGTTAAAGAAGAGGGTGATGGGAAAGCAGCTCTTTCATCTCATTTTGTCAATTTGTATATGTAATTCAAAAACAGAAATTAGAATGGAAGGTAGTCTTTTCACCTCAACTACAATAGCTGGCAGAGCATGTTGAAAGGGCTTTAGAACAAAAGGAAGACACGACCCAAAATAAACGCATGTCCCTACAGATCAAACAGCAGGGTGACCCACTCCCAGCCAACTGACAAACTGATAAGGATACTTGTAGATATGTAAACAAAAGGGAAGCTGGAATAAAGATCATCCCATCTTGGAAAAGAAAAGACAAGACAAAGAAAAATCAGAAAATCTAGTTAGATGAGGGTGCACCCAATATCTTGCTGTTACCTTAAATACTCAAGGTGAGTTGATGAAAAATATAGATGGTCCATTTCATTATTCCCAGTTGATATGGGAGCTCCTCTTTCTAAGCTACACTTGCCACCTTTGCTTAACCTTCACCTCAGAGCAAACACACCACACAAGTGGCTGATATTTCAAATAACCCATGGATTTTCCTGAGCTCCTGGTCCTGAACTGTATAACCTTCAGGTCCTTGGTTGAAAACATTCTTTCCTGTTCTGTGATCCCACCTATGCAAATTTAATAGCGAGACATTCACATTACAAACAGAACATTTGCACACCAGAGGGACAATTTCCTGCAGTCTCAGAGAACTCTTCTGTTCATCATCAAGCTGTGTCTGCTCTCGATCTACCTTTGCCCCTTCTGTCACATCAGATGTGAGCCCTAGATAAAGGCCTTGACACCGTATCTGATACTGTATGGGCTAAAACTTCCACCAACATACAGAAATTAATTTGAGTAGAACTTATTAAAATTCAGATAGATCCTACCAAATGGTTACCCAAATTTCTCCATTATCCCCTGAAGCTGGGAATGAAGGAAAGGCTCAAACTAAAGTTAAAAGTCTTATAGCCAGAGGCCTTCCCATGCCCTGCATTCACCCTTACAACCCTCCTGTCCTGCCAAGAAACTGAATGGATGAGAAATCAATGTGGTCAAGACTTCAGGGCATCGACACATTTGTCATTTCTCACTTCCCAGTAATTCCTAACCCAAACACCATCCCGCCATCATTTCCTCCTGTAGCTGCCTGCTCCACTGCAGTGGAGCTTTGGTCAGCCCTTCTCAGTGTGCCCCAGATCAGTCAACTTTTTCTTCCTTCACCTGGGAGGACAACAGTGCACCGGGCCGGGCGCACCCCAGGGCTTCACTGAAGTCCCTCCTGCCTTCCCCAGGTCCACAGTCAAGACTTTACAAAATTGTCAGAGCACAGCCCATTATTCAGGGCACAGCCTATCAGAAGAGGGAAAGGCATTCCCTCACAATAGACAAAAAGCTATGCAGACTTGTCCTAGACCCCTCACAGCAACAATGGACAGGATTTCTAGGTTAACTGGATATTGCAGACAATGGGTGCCAAGTTTTTCTGAGGTTACGATACCTCTTTATGAACTCAGTTCTCAGGAAGACCCTCTGCTGTGGGGGCTCCAACATGAGTAGGCCTTGTGGGACCTGAAGAAGTCTCCTCAGTGGCCTCCTTCCGGGTGCTTTCCTAACTATCAAAGCCAATCATCTATTTGTGCATGAGAGATCTGGACATGCCCTTAAGGTTCTGAATCAACCTCATGGAAGGGCCAAATATGCCAAGCGGTCCCCAAATGCCAAAAGTGCCAGGAAACCAAAAGATGAGGCAGGCAAATCCAGTTTTTGTGGATATAGGATGATTCATTAGAACCTTCAAACAGAAGCACAGTCTTGAGAGGCTACAAGACAGGTAGACCTCCCTGCCGTTACTCCCCAGACCCAGGGCTTATATACCATAGGGAAAGATTTTATTTGCTCTATCGAGATGATGAAAGGCAGCCCCCCAGAACAGGAAAGAATGCTGTGTGCATCAGAGCCTGCCATTTGTATGGTAACATCAAGGTTGACATGCTCTTATGCGAGGGACAGTGAATACAGTAGAATTGGGAGTCATTCCTGGGACTGGGGCTGACCAGAAGTCAGCATGTAACCAGCATCCAGGATGGAGTCTCTTTTGTCTCCACTCCATCAAAAGCCTGTTGTGGACTCTGTAGCCTGGACCCAGTGATAAAGGTTATCCCTCTTGCCTCGGGGCAGGAGCTGGCACTACCAGGCTGCTGGTGTTTCCTCTGAACTAGCTCTAGGCTCCCTGCCTGACCTCACGGCTCCTCATGCAGCACAGACACCACTTCACTTCTCAGCCGGCCCACCAACCTCTCAGGAAATTCCATGACTCCCCCTCACTTTAGCGTTCACCGCAGCAACACCCTGAACCTGCCACTCTCCTGCCCCAGCCCAGAGACAGGCTCCTCTTGATGATCATTCCTAAGCTGGGAGCCCTCTGCCCCACACTCAGATTTTGAGACGCTATCAAGAACCCTGACCTAACATGATGGATTGTGCCTCACAACCGAACCTGGAGGTGATCAGGCAGCAGGCAGCGCTAACCGGGAATCTAAGCCTCCTTCAGAATACAGTCCTCTACCCAGATCAGGTCAGCCCAGACAGCAGCACTGACCACACTCACCAGAAACGTCAACTCATCAAACCCAGAGAGTAAACGCATACACAGACAGCAGACATGCTCCGAGATGCACTGGAAATAAAAGGGGTTTCTTGACTTGGGGCTCCCTCACTTGTGATTGTGAGTTCCCACCTTCACGCAGGGGCAGCCTCCCCATCCTTTCAATTCCCACAACACTGATCTGTCGTGATCTCCTTAACAGCCATCTTTTCTAAGTCTGACATCATGATTAATGTCTTGTCAGTTTCTTTTTCTCACCTGTAAATTCGATTACAGGAGAAGTCTTAGCAAGTTATAAATTTTAGAAATTATACTTAGCAGTATATTCCAGAGTCATTCTTATCAAAAAGCATATGATTTCCTGATTGCATGCATCCTGCGAATCTGTCATAACTCAGCCATGTGACAATGGAGGTTGTCACTCGTTACTTCCTGCTGCAGGGACTTCTGTGCAAGCCTTATTTGACCTTCCTGACTGTGGACATAAAGATGGGGTCTTTTGTGTCCCCCAGAGCAGCTAGTATATATCCTCTTTGAGGCAGAGCTGCAGCAGATGTTCATACACATACACAAACACCAATGCTGTTTTCAGGGAATTTCTCTTCAGCCACCAAATTTCAAGAAATCAATGTGTTTCCCTCTCTGCTTTTCCAGACCTTAGAAACACAGCAGAATGAATCAGAAGGGCACAGTTCATGCTTCTCCAGCTGGCAGAAGCACAAGCTACAGTTCACTTAAGCATCTGATTCCAAGCCCAAAACGTTAACCTCTAATTAAATTATATCCTCTTGACACCTATAATGTTAAAATTATGGTAATGTATGATGTTATTAATTATATCTAATTATTCAATTAGCAAATAGCAAATACCAGTGGGAATGAAAGTTTGTGAATGATTTATCAGAAAAGCCAAGATTGACAAGTCTGGAGCCTGCTGCTTGGTGGCAAGAGAGAGGATTTCCCCAGGCGCTGATCAGCCTCCAGGGAGGAGGGGGGATGCTTCTAGCCTGCCCTGGAGACACACAGCCTAGAGACCAGAGGTTGTGTTTGAGGGCTCTGAGCTTGTGCCTGGGAAAGTCTGGGCTGGTCTTAGAACCTACCAGACAGAGGATATGTCATTCTTTCTTCCCCAGAGCTGAGACAACTTCAGGCTCCAAACCCAGACCTCTACCAAAAGTTGGGTGGGGCTTTCTCTTAGCAAGTGGTAGCTCACTTAATACATTTCAACTCAACACACATTTCTTGAATGTTGGCTGGGTTCTGGGTAAGATACTGAGACAGTGATGGCCTGGAGGGAAACAGGATTCTATGTTAATTTGGAAACAAGCAGGAGATGTGAATTGTCATCTGGCTACTTGAGCTCAGTTTCTTGGCAACTCACCAGAGCCTGAGGTTCCACAGGCTGGTCTTCCTGAATCCGACCTGCCTCATGATCACACCAGGAGACACAAAGGCTCCTTTCCTGCTCCACATTAATGCTGCCTCATACCCCTCACCCTGCCCATCTGGAAAGCAGGGCCACTTGAGGGCTGCAGATTAATGTAGGGACTCCAGCCCACCTGGACCCTTCCTGCCTTAAACCTTATCCATGAGGCGCCAGTGTGGGGATGTTCTGAATTTAGACACATCAAAGAGCAGAGCAGAGGGCTTGATGAACTTGTCCATTAGTGAGCATGCCTCTTCCATGCCCAGACAGTTGCCAAAGATTACTGTGCCCTTGGGGGAGAGCCTGTGGGAGCAAAGCAGAGAAAACATCAGTAAAAAACATTGGCTCAATTGTTCCCATGACTAATTTAAAGGGAGCAGCTTTCCCCTGCTCTTGGCCATGTTTGCTATCTGGGTATGCCATTGGCCAGAAAAAAAAGTGTCTTTGAACAGCCAGAGCAGTAGGGGTTACAGCTTAATAAAGATTATGATGTTAAGTGTCATTTGAATTTTGGTGAGGGGAGATCACCAAGGTTTTTCAAGACATACAAGGTAAAATTCACTGATTAAAATTATGTGTGCAGTATTCCAAAGTAAGTGAAAACCCATTTTGTCAAACCATAGATTGAAATATTTATTCTAATTATAGTCAATCCTCATCTTAATCAAAATAAACATTTACTGTATTCTTCTCATTAACAAAAATAAAATTGTACATAAACATTCAAGTCCTTAGTACTTTGGGACTTTTACCTTCTGTTTTCTTAAGTATAAAGAGAAACTTTGATTACGTCCCATAAAATTTTTGAAGTTGTTTTTGACTTTAGTAGATGATTTCGATTATTCTCAAAATTAGCAAAACAACCCAAAATGTCCAGAAGCATACCTTTGCCACAGGCTTACTGAAGCTTTTATCATACATTTTATATCATATATAATAATTTTGCTACATGACAGCATTATACCACATTCAATAATAACAAATAGTATTTAGACTTATCTTGTTTTTTTACAACTTATTAGAAAATAAATAGGAATTATTGTATTCAATTTTTATCAGTTTAATATTGACTGATTTTAGTCACCTTTCTTATAAGACACATTTCGCAATTTATTTCTCAGTGATTTTTATGCTATTTCTTGAAACATGCAATTCACACATTTGCTTGAGCTGAGAAACGCCATATGCCTTCACCTGGTAGGGAGTCCCATCTGGCAGTTGAATTGTGCCAACAGAAGCTGCAGTGCTGGCTTTCCAAGCATGTCATCAGGGTGGCATCTCCATCATTCAGGCTGGCTAAGCCTCAGCCTCAAGGTCTTCAGGAAAATATATTCAAAGCATATGATAAAATAATATTCAGCACTATCTCTTAGCAGGTTGAACCAAGTACCTACGAGGGACACGCTGGTGTACAGTCCTCTGAGAGTCTTGTAATAGTGCCCTTTGCATAGACGTCCAAGAGATTGAGCAATGATGATTTGAATGATTGGAAAACAAATCCCTTTCTGAGGGAGGTGGTTTCCAATTATTTGCTTTCAACACATTTAAAGGCAGATCTAATGGCTATAACCGAGAAGGAGTCCTCAGAACTGAATGCCATTGGTATAACAAAATTCTCACCTACTCTTAGACGTGAATAAAGTTTCTCAGTGTATTCAACTATAAAACAAAACCACAAAAAACAAAAGGTGAGAATAAAATTGATGTGAGGTCTCCTTTGCTTAATTCTAAAAATAAGCACTATTCATCTATCACAAGGCCTTACCCAAAAAGACAATTTATAGGCCCCCAGTAAAGGTCAATATTAATATGAACCACAGGGGTAGGTGGTTGGGGGGGACCCTGAGCTCTCCCCGGACAACTGCACCAGTCACGGGCACCTGCTATCCCTGTTGTCCACTTCTTGATCCAGGGGACAGATACATAAGTGACTCAAGAAACAGAGCAACAACCACAAAATCATCTCATCACAAGGAACATCCCCAATGCAATCTTATTTTTTAATATAATAATTTATCAATTTTTTATTATATACCTTGAATTGCTCAGTTAATGATCATTGTCATGATAACTCAATTAAAAAAATTGAACATCTAGAGCCATTTGGTCATAGGAAACAAAATAATTTCAATTGATATACATGTTTCTTTTCCAGAATTTTATGAGATGATAATAAAGCTCTTTCAAGCATAAAATTCTGTGACATTAGAATAAAATTCAATGAGGGAAGTAGAATTGAACTGTGAGTTCCAGTAGAAAAAAAAGAAGGGGTAAAATTTCTGACATTTAAGGTGGAGATTGCTCATGTATTTTTTTTTTAACTGCAAACTCTGCCTCTTGGCAAGCAATTCTCCTGTCTCAGCCTCCCAAGTAGCTGGAATTACAGGCGTGTGCCACCATTCCCGGCTAATTTTTGTATTTTTAGTAGAGACAGGGTTTCACCGTGGTGGTCAAGCTGGTCTCAAACTCTTGACCTTGTGATCCACCCACCTTGGCTTCCCAAAGTGCTGGGATTACAGGCTGCTCATGTATTCTTTTTAAATGGATAATGCTAAGTTTTAAATTGCTGTGGCATTTATTTTCTTTTTTCTTTCTTTTTTTTTTGTGATAAGTCTCACTCTGTTGCCCAGGCTGGAGTGCAGTGGCATGATCTCGGCTCACTGCAACCTCTGCCTCCCAGTTTCAAATGATTCTCCTGCCTCAGCCTCCTGAGTAGCTGGTATTACAGGCGCACACCACAACGCCTGGCTAATTTTTGTATTTTTAGTAGAGACGGGGTTTCACCATGTTGGACAGGCTGGTCTCAAACACCTGACCTCGTGATATGCCCTCCTCGGCCTCCCAAAGTGCTAGGATTACAGGCGTGAGCCACCGTGCCTGGCCAGTATTTATTTTCTATTGCATAAATTCTAAAGAGAGCACTAACAGTTTTATTTTAAAATACCAGTTTTTATAATATATGAAAAATTATATGTTTGTGTGAAAAAGTTAAATGTTACCTCAAACATATGTGAAAGAAGTTTCACGACTTTGTCAAAATTCTTTTAAGGAGAGAGCACAGTGGTTAAAGAACTGCAGTTTGGGGAGTGGGGCTCTCGGTGAGGAGCAGCTGGTGCAGAGGGAGGGAGAGAAGCTGGCTAGAGCCCACTGTTTCTAGGAAACTGTGATAGATTGGTGGAGGATCTGAATGGGGAGGAGAAGCAATAAGCCCGGCAGGTGGGAAGGTGTCTAATCATGGAGTTCTTGGGTGGGAAGCCGAGGAGAGTCTGGAGTTTGCAGAGAGTATGCCAGCAGTGGGCAGCAATGACGAAGGCCATTTTGGAAGGATTTTTGGGGTGCTGTGACAGTGCATCAATTGGCATATGGAGAGGGCAGAGGGACAGGAAGCAGGAGCATGAGAAATGAGAAAGGCAGGAATGAGGCAGGGGTGGCAGCAGGGAGGAGGGAGGTGGGAGGGCCAGTGTTTGGCAAGTAGAAGTGACAGGTGCTGGTGACTCACATCAAGGGCCTGCATGAAGGAAAGGACCCAGTCTCAGGTTTCTGCCTGATGCTTTGGGCACAAATATTGTGGGGGAAACTGGAAGCAACCTGAGGTCTTTAGATGATACCTTGGACTATTTTGGGCCTAGTGAAAATGAATTGCTATTATTTTGCCCATCAGAAAAATATGAGCTTTTCAGTCTCTCCACTCATTTCTATTCACAGGACTAGTGGGAGACGTCTAGAGTCAGGCCATTCCCTGCACAGGTGTGCAGTGTGTCATTTGCACATTGGTCAAAAGAATGTTAAATGTCTGTCCCAAGTTATTTTGCAAATAAGAAAGCTGAGTCCCAGAGAGAGAATGTGAAAATCAAATTACATAACTAGCTGGTTGACAGTTTTATTTAAGTTGCCCTGGCAAGAAGTGAAGTGAGTAATAGTTCACACTGTGTAGAGAAAAGGGAAAACCAGAGCTCCACTCTTGTCATCTCCAGTGGGGAAGGCAGGTTTGTAAATAGATTTAACTCTCCAATTAAAAGACAGAGAATGGAAGAGTGGATCAAAACATGATCCAATGATATGATAACAAAAAGAGACACAGTTTAGATTCAAAAAAATGAATGCGTTGAAAATAAAAGTATGGAAAATATATTTCATACAAACAGTAACCTATAGAGAATCAGAGTGCTTATATTAATGTCAGACAAAACAGATTTAAAGACAAAAACTGGTATTTGAGACAAAGGACATTTTATAATGATAAAATGGAAACTCCATCAAAAAGATATAACAATTATACACATAACAACAGAGACCCAAATTACCTGAAGAAAAACAAAAGAATTAAAGAGAGAAATGGACAATTCAACAATGATAGTTCAATACTCCACTCTAAATAATGATTAGAGCAATTAGAAGATCAAAAAATAATGGATAACTTGAACAACGCAAAACAATGACAACAGTCACCTATAGAGCACCCTACCCAACAACAGAACACATATTCCTCTCAAATGCACATAGAATGTTTTCCATGGTAGAGCACATGTTAAGTCACAAAATAGGTCCCAATAAATTTGAAATGGTCAAACTCATGCCAAGTATGTTCTCTGGCCACAATAGAATAAAGTTAGAAATTGGTAACAGAAGGAAATTTGAAAAGTCACAAATATATGGAAAGTAAACAACACGGTAAAAAACGACCAATAGGTCAAAGAGAAATCACAAGAAATTGGGAAATTCTTGGAGATGAATAGAAATTAAAACACAATGTAGCTGAATTTATGGGATACAATGAAAATGGTGCTCAGAGAGAAATATATAGCCATCTGTGTCTACATTTAAAAAGGAGAAATACTTGAAGTTCATAACTAAACCATCCACCTTAAGAAACTAGAAAAGGAAGAACACTACATCCAAAGCAGCTGCAGGAAGTAAACAATAGAGAAGAAATAAATAAAATAGAGAACAGAAAAACAACAGAGAAAATGAACACAATAAAATTTGCTCCTTGAAAAGATTAACAAAATTGACACATCTGTAACTAGGCTGAGCAGGAGAGAAAGAGAGAAGACTCAAATTATTAAATCAGGAATAAAAAGGGGGCATTAACACAGACCATTCGAAAAGAAAAAAGATTATAAAGGAATACCAGGAAAAACTGTGTGACAACGTATTAGACATTCACATAAAATGGACAAATTCCTAGAAAGATACCAACCTCCAAAATGGACTCACAAAGAAATAGACTTATAACAAGTAAAAAGATTGAATTAGTCACAAAACAAAAACAAAAACAAACTTCTCGCAAAGAAAAGCCCAGAACAAGTTAGCTTCACCAGTGATTTGATGAATTCTACTAAACCTTTACAAAATAATTAACACTAATCCTTTAAATACTCTTCTAAAAAGCAGAATAAGAGTAAGACTCCCCCGTTCTTGCTATTATTCCAGTGTTACTCTGATACCAAAGTCAAATATCACAAGAAAAGAAAACCACAAACCAATACATCTTATAAATATATATATATATAAATACTCAATGAAACACCAGCAAACCAAATCTAGCAGTATTCACCATGTGGTATTTACCCCAAGATGCCAATTTGGTTCAACATATGAGAAAGTAATCAATGTAATATACTGCACTAATAAAATAAAGGGTAAAAACCACATCAGATTAGGACCATTAGGACACAGACAAACACTTGACACAGTCCACCACCTTTCCATGATGAAAAACACCCAAGAAACCAGGAATGTGAGGAGGCTTTCTCAAACCGATAAAGGGCATTTATGAAAACCCCACAGTTAATATCATACTTAATAGCAAAAGACCAGAATCTTTCCTAGAAGATCAGGGATAAAACAGGAATGTCTCTCCTCTTGCCACTTCATTTAACATTGTTCTGGAAGTTCTACCCAGGTCAATTAGGTCAGAAAAATACATAAAAGACATGCAGATTAGAAAGGAAGAAGTACACTTATCAGTATTTGTAGATGATCTGACCTCATATATAGAAATTCCCAGAGAATGCACAAATAAACTATTATGACTTCAGCAAACTTGTAGGATTCAAAATCAATACATAAAAATCAGTTGCATTTCTATACATTAGCAATAAACCATCTGAAAATGAAATTAAGAAAATAATCTCATGTATAGTAGCACCAAAAAGAATGAAATACTTAGGAATAAATTTAAAGAAGTGTAAGACTTATACACTGAAAGCTACAAAAGATAACTAGAATAAAGTGTATAACAAAATGAATGAAAAGACATCCCGTATTCATGGATTGAATGAATTTTGTTAAGGTAGTAATACATGCCAAGTTGATACAGAGATTTCATGTGCTCCCTATTAAAATACCAACTTTATGTTTTCCAGGAATATAAATTCTCATCTAAAATCTTTATGGAAATGGAACCTGGAGTATCCAAAACAATTTTTAAAAAAGAACAACAAAGCTGGAAGACTTACACTACCTCATTCCAAAACTTACTACAAAGCTAAATTAATCAAGACAATAAGGTACTGGCACAATGATAGACATATGGATGATAGAATATAATTGAGAGTCCAGACATAAATCTGTGCATCTATGGGCAATTGATTATCAACAAAGTTACCAAGACAATTGAATGAGAAAAGAATAACCTTTTCAACAAATGGTGCTAAGATGTGAAAAAATTAAGTTGGCTCCCACCTCAAACAATATAGAAAAATTAACCAAAATGGATCAAAGACCTAAATGTAAAAGCCAATCTGTAACATTTTTAGAGAAAACATACGTTTAAGTCTTTGTGAAGTTGGATTAAGCAATCGTTTTTTAGATATGACAAAAAAGCACAAGCCCCTTTGAAGGAAGCAGCTTGCCATGGTAGGATCCATGAGACAGCTGAAAAACTGAGTGCCCAAAGTGTGAGAGGGTCATGTCTGTCCCTGAACACACATCCTCACTGGGGAGCCTGAAGGTCTAGATGATGGGAAAAGAATTTGACCTTACCTGGGGCTGAGATGAATTTAGAGAGCCAAGTGAAATATAGGGGTAGAGGAAGCAGTGGGAAGAACCCTGTAGGCACTTTTGGTGCCCAGGAAAGCCATTCCTGACTTTGTCTCTCAGGCGTCTCTGCGGAGGTGTGCCAGTGGAACTGGGGAAAGACCACAGGGAGAAGGAAACTTCCAGCTAGACTTTATAACAATTTCAACCAAACATGAAGTTTCCTGGACAGAATCCAGGGGAGGAGGTGAACAGGGAGTGCATATATAAACACAGAAACCATGGCAGGCAGGGAGGCCAGAAGCCTGAAAGCCCTGCTTGATTTCTCAGTGGGGAGGCTTGTAGTCTGGGGCAGGTTCTCAGCCCTGCTCACTGGCTGCCTGGAAATAAACCCGATGCTCTTGTGGGGGCACAGTGGAAGTGAGACGGGCCTTTTGGACTGTCTGGGAGCTGGGTGAGGCCTGTCATGCTGGTTTTCCCCACTTCCCTGGTGACCTGTATGACACAGAATAGGCCGCCATAATCCCCCTGGGAACATAACTCCATTGGTCTGAGAACAAAACACCCATCCTCTACAGCAGCCATGGCAAACCCCACCCAAGGAGAGTCTGAGCTCAGCCATGCCTAACTCTGACCCCATCTGATGGTCTTTCTCTACTTGCCCTGGTAGAGGTAGCTGAAGACAAACGACATAATCTCTTGGGAGCTCTATGGCTCCATCCACCCCCGGATCCTCCCTATACTACTGCAGCTGATGCACTGGAGGACAACCAACACAAAACCAGCACGCTTAACAAAAATACAACCAAAGACCCTCACTGAGTCCACTTTACTCCCCTGCTACCACCACTGGAACAGGTGCTGGTATTCGCAGCTAAGAGACCTGAAGACAGATCACATCACAGGACTCTTTGCAGACACACTCCCCAGTACCAGGCCAGAGCCCAGTAGCTCCATTGGGTGGCTGGATCTAGAAGAGAAATAACAATCACTACAGTTTGGCTCTTAGGAAGCCCCATCCCTAGGGGAAGGAAAGGGGAGAGCACCACATCAAGGAAGGACCCAGTGGGACAAAAATTTGAATAGCAGCCTTTGAGTCCCAAATCTTCCCTCTGACATAGTCTACCCAAATGAGAAGGAACCAGAAAAAGAATCCTGGTAAGATGACAAAACAAGGTTCTTTAATATCCTGAAAGATCACACTAGCTCACCAACAATGGATCCAAGCCAAGAAAAAGTATCTGAATTGCCAAAAAGATAACTCAGAAGGCTGACTATTAAGCTAATCAGGGAGGCACCAGAGAATGGTGAAGACCCACTTAAAGAAATTAAAAAAAAAGATACAGAATATGGATGGAAAAATCTCCAGAGAAATAGATATCATAAATAAAAAACAATCACGACTTCTGGAAATGAAGGACACACTTAGAGAAATGCAAAATACACTGGAAAGTTTCAGCAATCGAATTGAACAAGTGGAAAAAAGAACTTCAGAATGCAAACACAAGGCTTTCAAATCCAATCCAACAAAGACAAATAAAAAAGAATAAAAAAATGAACAAAGCCTCCAAGGAGTTTGGGATTATGTTAAAGGACAAAACCTAAGAATAATTGGTGTTCCTAAGGAAGAAGAGAAATCTAAAAGTTTGCAAAACATATTTGAGAGAATGATCAAGGAAAACTTCCCTGGCCTTGCTGGAGATCTAGGCATCAAAATACAAAAAACTCAAAGAACATCTGGGAAATTCATTACAAAAAGATCATTGCCTAGGCACATAGTCATCAAGTTATCTAAAGTCAAAATGAAGGAAAGAATCTTAAGACCTGTGAGGCAAAATCATCAGGTAACCTATAAATGAAAATCCTATCAGATTAACAGCAGATTTCTCAGCAGAAACCCTACAAGCTAGAAGGGATTGGAATCCTATCTTTAGCTTCCTTAAACAAAACAATCAAACAATCATCAGCCAATAATTTTATATCGAGCAAAACTAAATTTCATAAATGAAGGGAAAATACAGTCTTTTTCAGAAAAACCAATGCTGAGAGAATTCACCACTACCAAGCCAACAATACCAGAACTTCTAAAAGGAGCTCTAAACCTTGAAACAAATTCTTGAAATACACCAAAATAAAACCTCTTTAAATCATAAATCTCAAAGGACTTATAAAATAAGAACACAATGAAAAAAAGGTATTTTGGTAACAACTAGCATAAGGAATAGAATAGTATCTCACCTCTTGATATTTAAGTTGTACGTAAATGTCCTGAATGCTCCACTTAAGAGACAGAGAATGGCAGAATAGATAAGAATTCACCAACCAAGTATCTGCTGCCTTTAAGAGACTCGCCTAACATATAAGGTCTCATAAACTTAAGGTAAAGGGGTGGAAGAAGATATTCTACACAAATGGACACCAAAAGCGAGCAGAAGTACCTATTCTTATATCAGACAAAACAGACTTTAAAGCAACAGTGGTTAAAAAAGACAAAGAAGGACATTACATAATGATAAAAGGACTAGTCCAAGAGGAAAACATAACAGTTCTAAATATATATGCACCTAACACTGCAGCGCCCAAATTTATAAAACAATTACTACTAGACCTAAGAAATGAGATAGACAGAAACACAATAATAGTGGGGGACTTCAATACTCCACTGACAGCACTAGACAGGTCATCAAGACAGAAGGTCAACAAAGAAACAATGGACTTAAACTATACCATAGAACAAATGGACTTAACAGATATTTACAGAACATTCTATCTAACAACTGCAGAATATACATTCTATTTATCAGCACATGGAACATTCTCCAAGATAGAACATATAATAGGATACAAAACAAGTTTTGATTAATTTAAGAAAATCAAAATTATATCAAGTGCTCTCTCAAACCACGGTGGAAGAAACCTTCAAAACCATCCAAATACATGGAAAGTAAATAACCTGTTCCTGAATGATCATTGGGTCAATGATGAAATCAAGATGGAAATAAAAAAATTTTTTTAACTGAATTATAATAGTGACACAGCCTATCAAAATCTCCAGGATACAGCAAAAGTGGTGCTAACAGGAAAGTTCATAGCATTGAATGCCTACATTAAAAAGTCTGAAAGAGCACAAATAGAGAGTCTAAGGTCACACCTCAAGGAACTAGAGAAACAAGAACAAACCAAACCCAAACCCAATGGAAGAAAAGACATAACAAAGATCAGAGCAGAAGTAAATGAAATTGAAATAAAAAAAAATACAAAAGATAAATTAAACAAAAAGCAGGTTCTTTGAAAAGATAAACAAAATTAATAGACCATTAGTGAGATTAACCAAGACAACAGGAAAGAAGATCTTAATAAGCTCAATTAGCAATGAAATGGGAGCTACTACAACTGATACCACAGAAATACAAAAGATCATTCAAGGCTACTATGAACACCTTCACGTGCACAAACTAGAAAACATAGAGGAGATGGATAAATTCCTGGAATTTTAAGAATAATACAATGGACTTTGGGGAATCAGGAGAAAGGGTAAGAGTGGGGTGAGGGATAAAAGACTACACATTGCATACAGTGTACACTTCTTGGGTGATGGGTGCGCCAAAATCTTGGAAATCATCACTAAAGAACTTATCCAAATACCACCATTTGGTATGTAACCAAATACCACCTGTTCCTCAAAAACTTTTTAAATAAAAAATAAAATGTTAAAAAAGCACAGGAAACCCAGAATAAATGTATAAGACAATCAAAATTAAGAGCTTATGCAAATCAAAGGACACTACCAAGAAAGTGAAAGGACAACCCAAGAAATGGGGGAAAGATTTGTAAATCATATAGTTGAGAAGCATCTATCATTCAGAATGTATAAACAACTCTTACAACTCAATAATAAAAGGCAATCTCATTTTAAAAATGGGCAAAGGACTTGAATAAACATTTCTCCAAAGAAGGTATACAAATGGCCACAAGCACATGAAAAGATACTGAATGACATTAGTCATCAAGGAAATGCAAATCAAAATTACAATGAGATACCACTTCCTATACCTATAGGATGGCTATAATAAGAAGATGAATAGTAATAAGTGTTGACAAAGATGTAGGAAAATTTGAACCCTCATTTATTGCTAGTGGGAATATAAAGTGATGCAACTGCTGTGGAAACAGTTTGGCAATTCCTCAAACAGTTATATACAGAGTTACTCCATGATCCAGCAATTCCACTTCTAAGTACATACCCTAGAAAACTGAAAACATATATTTACTAAAACTCCTTGTAAATGAATGTTCAAACAGCATGATTCATATCATCAAAAAGGTGAAAACAACCCAAATGACCAATGACCATCAAATGATGAATGGATAAACAGAACATTGTATGTCCATACAATGAAATATTATTCAGATATAGGAAGGAATGAAGCACCATACATGCTACCACATGGATGAACCTAGAAAACATTATGCTGAGTGAAAGAAGGCAGATACAAAAGGCTTTCTTGTATGGTCCCCCGATAGAAAATGTCCACAACATGAAAAACATAAAAGACAGAAACTAGATTTGTGATTGCCAGGGACTGGAGGTAGGGGAGACTTAGAAGTAACTGGTAATAGCTGTGGGGTTTTCTTTGGGGTAGTAAGAATGTTCTGGAATTTGATGGTGGTAATGGTTGCACAACCCCGTGAATGTACTAAAACTCCGTGAATTGTACACTTTAAGAGGGTAATTTCATGTTGTGTGAAGTTTCATGTGCTGCCTTTTATGATGATGCCAAATTGTATGCCCTGATTTGCCTTTCCCAGTGAGGAGCTTGGCTTGTCTAGGCTCCCAAAAGGTATACAATACAGAAATTTACAATGACTTATTTTTCTTTGCCCATATAGCATTTTCTTCTCCAAGAGCGCTATGCCCAGTGCCGGGGAATTATTCTAGCCTCTGTGAGTTAAACCACCTTGTCTAGTGCCTAAGAGAGTGTTCTTTCCTGTGAACAAAAAGTGCATGCCAACTTCTATCTCTCCTCTAAACGGAACTTAGCATAGCACTTGGCCCAGAGTGTATGCCTAATTGCAGAAAACTTGCCAGATGTCTTCACGGCATTCATTCACTTACTCATTTGCTCCATTCCTCACTCACTCACACATTTCACATCTTGAACATGCATTCTGTGCCAAGTTCTACCATTTTAATTCATTTACTAAAGCATTTGCTGTATTTCAGGTGGGGAGGTCATGGGGGTGAAATGAGAGCCGAAATGAGATGCATGCCCTCTGATGACACACAGCTAAGGAAGATAGATGGTTACAGACATGAGCTAATTTAGGCTAAGACTAAAGTAAATACTAACCATGATGGACATGTTAACCAATGCCACGGAGGCACTATCCCTTGAGTGCCTAAAATACTGCCACTGGGAACCCCCAGAATGAGCGGTGGGGTGATCCCTCTTAGGAGGTTTCTCCTGCATTTATTCAAAGACTACAGCTTGATGTCCACATCTTAATTAGAGATCCTATCGAACTTTAAAAATGATCAAGTACACTTGACATGCTTGCAGACAGGGTTTCAAGTGGCATATAAAGAGACTTCAAGCAGCTATCTACGTTGTGAAAAAAATCACAAGAAGTCTGTTGGAGAGCTAACATAAAAACTGGAGTTACCAAAATTGACCTCTCTTTTTTGTTTTGAGCTGCCTAAGAGCCAAGGTAGAAAAAAGGAAACATAGTAAGCTAGAGAAGCACTACTGTCTTTTCTTGTACTCATTGTCAAAGTACTCAATCATGATAGACTTTGAAGATCAATGGCAGATAAAGGTTTCAATCCCAGTTTTCTGGCTTCTAGTTGAAAATATCAGTATAGAGATATTTATACTCTTACCCAACAACCAAAAACAGCCAAAAGGAATGAAGAAATGGAGAAGAAAACTCCATATTTAACTAAATTAGAAAGAAGCCCACTACCTCAAACCACCCACTGTGAAGAATAGCTGGCAAATAGAGTGAAATTGGACAGAAAGAAAAACAGTATGAAATAAAGATGACCCCTCATGTCTCCCAAGAATGACAGAGGTCTCAAAGAGAGTTAGATAGCAACGAAGGCCCAGTCAAGGACCTAGAACCTGCCACTGCAACATCTGGAACATGGAGAGACCATGGGAGCAGCCCCCAAACCCTGGCACATTGTGTTGAAGCAGGCCAGGGAGTGGGGTAGAGGACAGGCTGCACAGAAGAGCTGTTTCTGCAAGAGGCAGATGGCAGTAGGGGAAGGATAAAGGGAGAGTGTGCACAGCAACCAACTAATCCAATTAGCTAAAGTTAACCAAAAGCTAAGTGAGCATGGCGTGAAAGAAAACACCTGGGTGGATGTTTCACCACCCCAGTGGATGCCCTTTCCTTCCCCCCATGTTTCCCTTTTCCCTCAGTGGGTAACTCGGAAAGGAGCCAGCAACAAAAGAAGCTAACAAGCAAGGCTGATGTAGGACATGCATCTGAAAGCTGAGCTGTGACGCAGAAGGGGATTTTGGACAAATGCTTCTTCGGAAGAGTGCTGTCTCTTAAGCTGTTTCCTCTGGCTGCATGCCCACCCTTTTAACCTCTGCTCTGTGATGGGGCTGGGATTCTGCAGCCACGTTTCTAATCTGTCAGCTGTCCCCCATTGTGGGGGACACCAAGAAGCGGTGTTAGAGGGAGGCGTCATGGCTGTAGGAGGAACAGGACCTGCTCCTTCCCTCCTGAGGGCTCCCAGTTCCTATCAGCATCTCCCCAGCAATGGGTCCTCACCCCAGTTGTGGCAGCTCCTTCCTCTGCAGCAGCTGAATTCCCTCCACAGTTACTCACACTCAGAACCGATGACTGGATGGCACTCAGAGACATGGACAACACTCAGCTGGAACTCTGCCTCCCAGCCTGGGTCTGTTTCATGAGACCTCTTTTTGGGCTCCTAATGTACCAGGACCAGCCATGCACTGCCTCTTCTCTTGGCCTTAGCTCCATGGGCTTCTTCTGCTGAGGTCAGGCAGCAACTCCTGATAAGCAGTGGCCCCCTCCGCAGAGCACTCATCTCAGTTCCCTCCTCTCAATTCCTGATGTGCCAGCACCAGCCAAGGAGTCCTATCCTTAGATATCTGGGTCACAGACCCTTAGGACCATTCCTGGGAGCTCGAAGACACCAGCACTAACCAAGTAGCAACCCCTACTCAGAAGTCTAGCTTCCAGCTTGAGAATGCTCCTCCATCAGAGCTATAGATTTTAATGTTTCAACCTCTTCACTTTGTTTCTCTAGCCTAGATATGGCAGTGGGTCCCAGGAGTTGTTATCTTAAAGGTATCTTAGTATTTTCCCCTTTCTTTTTTTGGTTCAATACTTGGTTGACAATATTTTATATTAAATTTGTTTTTCTTAAGATACCTGATGTGGTTTATTTTTCTTCCTGGACATGTACCGTTACAATAAGTTGTAAGAAAAAATAGTGCAAAGAAAATATGCTCGAAATCGAAGGAGAGATAAGACACCAGAAGGAGATAATATTGGTCTGGGTGAGTTAAGAAAAGAAATTAGAATTAGTAAGTGAAATCAAATAAAAGTCCCATTAGAAAAAAGGGATTAAAAAAAAAGCTAACACTAAAATTGCAGTCAGAAGTATGGATAACACACTTAGAAAAGTACACAGAGAGAAAATGATTATAGAAAAAATATTAATTAAAGGAGATTCAACTATGTGTATATATATATATATATACACACACACATAGTGTCTGAGAACAAGAAAATTCAGGAAGTAAAAAAGAATACAATACGTTAAAAATACAACAAAAGGAAGTACTCCTAGGAGCAGCCTGAGTGAAAGAATGGAAAGGAATGTTAGAACTTAAAAAAAACTGACATAGAATGACTATTACCAAGAAATATCTTGGTGAAAATTGAAGATTTTAGAATTTGAAGACAAAGAAACAAATCAATACGGTCTCACATAAAAAATACAAGTTATGGCCAGGTGCGGTGGCTTATGCCTGTAATTCCAACACTCTGGGAGGCTGAGGTGGGTGGATCATGAGGTCAGAAGATTGAGACCATCCTGGCTAACACGGTGAAACCCCATCTGTACTAAAAACACAAAAAATTAGCTGGGCGTGGTGGCGGGCACCTGTAGTCCCAGCTACTCGGGAGGCTGGGGCAGGAGAATGGGGTGAACCCAGGAGGCAGAGCTTGCAGTGAGCCGAGATGGCGCCACTGCATACCAGCCTGGGTGACAGAGCGAGACTCTGTCTCAAAAAAAAAAAAAAAAAAAAATGCAAGTTACAAAAAATCAGGAAGATTAGCTTGGTCTCAGTTTTTCCTACAGCAATATTGAATGCAAGTAGCAAGTCAAGTAATATGATTGAGTTTATTAGAGAAAAAATAATGCAAGAATTAAATTCCTCAACAATTATTTTGATATAAAAGCAAAAGAAGATATTTTCAAACATGCCTGGACCTGAAGAACAGTCACTCATCAACCCTTTCTGAAAAACATAACTTCTAACTAAAGGAAGAGGTTTTTATTAAAATAATTAAACACACAATAAGACAACATGAATGAAATACAACAATAACAACAGCATCAACAAAAGACATTAGAAACAGGCCCATGGGGATCCAAATATAGGAGCTGTTAGATACAGACTTTAAGTTCACTTTATATGTTAAAGAAAATTAAAGAACAGAGTGAGACATGTAGTCAAAAATCAGAAGCTTTAGAAAAGAATCAAATACAAATTTTATAAGTGGAAAATAAAATAACTAAAATTAAGTCAATGAATGAGTTTAATGCAGATTGGACACAGGTAAAGAGAAAGTGAATTGAAAGATAAATTTGAAGAACATGTCTAAATTAAAGCATGAAGAGAAAAAAAGAATTAAAAATAGAGAAAGACCTTAAGAGACATAGAACATATGAAAAATATCGAATATATGGGTAATTAGAATCTGAAAAGGAGAGGAATAATAAATAGGGCAGAAATAATACTTAAAGAGATAACTGCTGAAAACTGTAAAACTGGTTAAAGACATTGACCACAGATCCAAAGAAATTGGGCTTTGAGTATGAAGAAAACAACATCTAGGCACATCATAGTAAAGCTAAGACAAAAATCTTTAAAGAGTCCAGAAAAAAAGATATGCTTTAATCTGACTTTTCAACAGAAGCAATGGAAACCTGGAAACAATGTGATGATATCTTCCAGGAGCTCAGAGAAAGTAACTTCCAGCCTGGGTTTCTAGAGCCCTCACATATACACCTAGAGCTGAAGAACTGCTCAGCTGAGCCCCAGCTCAAATTAATTCCTGTTATTTAAGCTGCTAAGTTTTGAAGTGTTCTTTAGCAAACATTCAAAAGTGGATGTGAAACAGACACATTCAGACACACACACACACGCACACACACAATGTGAGCAACTGGACTCACTGTCTCCGAAATGCTGAGGATTGGTGTCCAGCCTTGCTGGGTGGAAAGAAAATGATTTTTCATTGCACATTCTTTTGATCTGTCTGGATCATTTTTAACATGCTCTTTATTTTTTTAATAAAAATATGTGGACAAAAAGTTTTAAGGAAAATGTGATCTTTTGCCCATTTCTTATAAGCCACCCTAGATATAAGTGCAGGAGCAACTTTGAAATGTGAGGCGATGATGCCGCTAGCTGGTGCTGCTGGGCCACAGAGTGTGGGATGGTGAAATCTTCAGGGTTTGGGTGAAGCTCCCAACCTCTTTGTCACCGTATTCGTAATAACAGTACCCTAGCTTGTGGTCCAAATTCCTTTTTTGCCAGTGGCAATTCTAAACCATTCCTTCACCATGAAATAATGAAATTGGGCAGGGAGAATAGGTTCTGAAATGAGAACAGTGATTAATACCCACAGCTGTCAGTCTTCAGCAGAAATGTGTCATATTATTCAAAGAATTAAATTCCTCCTCCATTAAAAATATGACTAAAAGAATTAATTAATTTTCAATGTAATAACCTAAGCAAGCAAGTCTTGCATGAAAATGAGTATTTCTGAAATTCTAATGAACTGTTTCCTTTTAAATGTTCTAATGAAGCTGAATTCAGAAAGCAGTTTTCTGATAATTGCTACAGATCCAAGACTCCCTCAAATGAGCTATTAGGTGAGATAATTTCTATGGGAATTGAACTTCAGATAAGGACAGATGAATAAACACCAGTGTGGGAATCAGAAGTTAGAGGCTATGGTAGGCTTTTGTATCTGCAGCCCCAGTGAACCACACCATCCGGCGTTCTCACCCTTGTGTAGGCCCTTTCCCCATTGACTCTGGGCTTGGCCATGTAACTTGTTGAGAACAGGATGTTAGCAAGTGCGATACAGGCAGAGACCTGATCAATGTTTCTTCATGGGGGTTTGTCTTCTTGGAATGCTTTCTTGTGTAAGGCAGCTGTCACATAAGAGCTCCAAGTGATCTGAGACCACCAAGCTATAAGGAAGCCCAAACTACCCTGGTGGTCAGATCACAGGGAGAGAGAGCTCACATGTCTGATCAACTCCCAGCCACACTAGCTCTCTAGAGAAGCCCCAGGTATGTGAACATGGGGTGCACCAGCTCTCGCACATGCTACCTGGAGCTGAAGAACTGCCCAGCTGAGCTCCAGCTCAAATTAATTTTTGTTGTTTAAGCTTCTAAGTTTTGAAGCATTCTGTGGCAATCAATAAGTGAAACTAAAGTCTAGGGGTCCTAGCTGAGACACACCTAGAAGAGAAGGTAGCAGGCAGCAGAAACAAATATAAAAAATGTAGTGAATCCTTTCATCTGTAATGGTGTCAGAGCTCTTACTCTCTCTTCCACAAGGTTCCATGGGTAACGGTGAATCAGAGACCCTTGAGACTGAGTGTGTGGTCCCTGGACCAGCAGCATCAGCATCCCCTGAGAGCTTGATAATTTCTAAAATCTCAGGCCCTGCCCCAGACCTGTGAACCTAATCTGCCTTTTAACATGATTTCCAGGTGTTTCGTGGGCAGGTTAAGGTTTGAGATGTGCTGGTCTGGAGGAAAGAGATCTGGGTCAGGAGATTTGGCATTTGTTAGCTTCCGGGGATGCCAAGATGTGGGTCCAAGGCCTGTGCTCTGGGATGGCTGTGACCTCTGTTCTCTGAGATGTCTGTGAGTACCTTTGAAAGGGGGTGACTCATGCGTTGAAGGTCTCACTGCCACTTACATGCCATAAGTGTGTGGGCCTTTTAAGTTTCAGGCTTAAAGCCATGAGTTACTCGGCCAACGTGGACATCCTTAGGAAAAGCCGGTAAATTAGGACGCTTTGTAACTGTCAAAGCAGTGAGGCTTTGTTGATGAGAAAGGGAGGTGAAAAGAAAAATGCTCCACCTGAGAGGTGACTGAGAGTGATGGGGCAGAAGCACATGGCTGAGGGCTCCTGGAGTCTCAGACCTTGGACTCTGGGCACCTGAATGCCTGGACAAGTGGGTCCCTCAAGTAACCGTGCATAAAGCAAATCACCTTTTCCAGTCCAACACAGGGGCTAGGTTTACCCTTGGAGATTTAGCTCTGAGAGGTCTGGGGTGGGATCCCAAAATCTGCATGTAAACGAGACACCAGAGGGGAGACAATGCAGGTAATTCTAGGACCACCCTCTCCCATTTAATTTGATAAATAAAAAAAAAATGATGGCGCTGAGCAGTGGTGACCTAGTAAGCCAGCAGTCCGGAAGGAAAATTTTAAAAAGACACCAACAAACCCCAATTTGTAGCATCTTCTGACTTCTGTGGTGCAAACCCTCCCACTATTGCAGAATTCAAGCTACCAATAGTTTGACAACCGGCTCCTCGAATTGCTAGACATTTAACAGTGGGCTCTCTGCAGACTGCATGAGCCACCGCCACTGCCCATGTGGAGCAGTCTTCCTGTTGCGATGTAAATGCTGATGGCAACACAAATGCTTCCAGCCAGGAGCATGTAGAGGGCTTCCTGCGTGCGGGCAGCTTGCCTGCTGCCTCGCCTCACCCTGGAGGCAGCCACCAGGCAGGTAGGCTGAAGGAAGTCGAGGCTCAGTTCCTGCTCCCAGAGTTGGCCATGTGGTCAGGACGGACCCTGGCATCTTGGTTTTCTGCCCTGTGGTACTGATGACCCTCCAGGAAGATAAGGTGGCTCCTCCTCACTTCGGTAGAACTGAGTGGGGGTCTCTCTTGGGGCTCCATCCCCCAGTGATGGGACCTGCTGTCTTGGTGCTCCCCTGCCCGCCCGGTGGCTTATGTCTTGGAGGACACAGACCCTTCCTGGATCTAGTCTCCCCGTAGCTGCCCAGGACGGCCAGATGCTGCACCCTGGAAGGGTGAGAGAGCTGCTAGGTGACGGGGTAGATGTTGGTCAGTAGGAGATGGAAGCCAGTGGATGACTGCTTCTTGTTCTATGTAGGCTGACATCATATTCATATTGCAAGCCACGGCGACCCTCAGGCTCCCTGAAGAAGTCCCACAGGACCCGGCCCGGCAGCAGGTCCAGCTATGCATCCCTTGGTTTTGGGTTTTGGCCCCTCTCCTTCCCTGCCTCGCTTTCCTTCCCTGGCAGCTCTGCTTCCTTGAGGTCTTATTTCCCAGGACAGTGCAGGCACAAATGCTTTCATCTCAGGCTCTGCTTTGTAGGGAATCGAAATTAATACCAATCCCAGTTCAAACTCAGGACTGCTTGATGGAGAGCATGAACTGAGGCCAATATGCCATCCCCACCCCGCCCCACTCCCTGGCAACGATGCATCCGCTTCAGAAGCATTGGTCCCAGTGGCCCTGGTCAGGGGATCCCAGGACTGAAAGCCCTGGGCACCTCATTCACGAGCCTGCCCCTTGTCTCCTGTCCCCTGCCCCTGTCTCCTCTCCCCTGTCCCCTGCTCCCTGCCCCCTGTCTCCTGACTCTGCCCCCTATGTCCCACTCCCTGTCTTCTGTCCCCTCCCCATCCCCTGCTCCTGCCCCTGTTCCCTGTCCTTTGTCCCTTGCCCCGCCCTCCACCTCTGGGCAGCACTGCACTTCAAGACTCGGGAGGAGAGCAGCCCCTCACCTCCTGAGAGCCCCAGTGCTGCTGCAAAATTACCTGCGCAGCAGATTTTCTTTCTAAAAGTCTTTTAATATCTTTTTTTAAATCTCAGCTTTATATACAGTATATCAAAAGAAGAATTTCTGTATAATTTTTTGCTGGAGAGAATGAATCACCACTAATCATTTAGCACATATTTCTTTACAACCATTCTCTTCTTAATAGCATATGTGTGTGTGAGTGTGTGTGCATACATGAAATATAAGGTGACATGATGTTTTGCAGCCTCAGTGTTCCTTCACTGCTAGTGTCAGACAGCTTTCTAGAGGCACACATGCACATATAGCTCTGCGGGACGGTCTGCCAGTGGATGGATGCACCGTGATTCATTTATAACTTGTTTAAAATCATGACTAGACCTTGGCCATGTCGTTCTTCACTCTCAGGTACTACTATGCTGCTTCCTGGAAACATGGCCCAAATCCAGAAGTCCTTATGGAGTGTGCAGTAGGAGATCCAGGGGCCTGGGCACATGCTGGCTCCTTGGTGTCTCCTGTGCTTGGCTGCTGTGGCAGGCTGGCATCTGTCACCCCTCCTTGAGGCGATTCTGTGGGGAGAGCACGTTTGTGTAGGTCTACTCCCACTATCTGCACAGGCCAGGGATGTAATACCAGGCATTTCTAGTTCAGCTCTTGCACACTTGCCTTTTTACTGTTACTGACAATGGAGGACTCTAAGGTGACCCAGAGAAAAAGCCTCAGCTGCCTTTGGATTAAGAGATATGAAAGAACAAGGACGAACAGAGCCACTGAAGAGCAGTGAGCTGCCACCTCCTCTCATGTTATAATTGAGCATAATCACATCCCAGCTTACACCCAGGGCTTCCCACAGGCTACAAGCCCAAGCAACACAGATTATTGGCTAATATAGCCTTCTGTATTGGAGAAACACAGATTATTTTAGTCACTATGGCTGCATAACAAACTACCCCAAACTTCAATGCTTTGCAAAACCGTATGTACTGCTCTCTTGGTGTGTGGGTTGGGGACATGGGCCGAGCACCGTGTGAGGGCTTGTCTTAGCTCCAGGACACCCGGGGCTGCAGCAGGAAGGCTTGACCAGCTGGGCACTGTGGGCATCCAAGGCTCCCTGTGCTCTCTCCATATGGCCTCCTGCATGGCAATGTCCCTCGTGGTAGCCCTGGGCTCCAGGAGGCACGGGACCCAGGAGAGAAGCAACTTGGTTCCAGAAGCCACATAGTGTGACTTCCCTTGATCTATTGGTTGGAGTGGTTTCCAAGGTCCACTTAGATTCAGAGGACATAGACACCCCTCAAATAGAGGCAGGTCAACCTCATATCATGAGAGAAACACAGGGGATGGATGACATATTTTGGTGTCACTGTCTTTAGAAATTCATTGTCCAGGCCACCACTTTAGGAAGTTGATATCGAGGGTGATGCAAGCTACATGCACAGGGACAAGTTACTGTCCTAGGAGAGCCAGTGGGAACTGAACATGCTGAGACTGGGGAGGGTCCCAGGGAGGACGGTTCCCCAGGAAGCTGGCCAGCCCACAAATGCAGGGTGTTGTGGAAGGTCCTTGGCTCACCCAGGCCTTGTCAATATCCAGGGGTGGACTGGGACAGCAGGAGGTTCTGGGCATTGGATGAAATGGATTTTGGCAACAGATAGCGGCCATGCTGCTGTGGGTTACTCAGATCATTCAGACCAGGAACCCAGCCAACAGCAGGGGACAAAGACATCAGGGAGGTGGGCAGCGCTGCCAGTGTCCAAGCTAAGGGCCTGGATACCAGCCTTGGTCATACAGCTGGGCCCAGACAAGGGCTAAGGTTTCCCTTAACCAGGGGAACTCCCCTGTACCAAGGACCCCAGGCCTCCAGCAGTGAGTATGCTTCCAGGTCTGACTTGCTGGGGTCTGTGTGCCTTCTTAGCCGTTCTGTCTGGGAGGTGTGGACTCTGATAAGGGCTGGGCTCTGAAGGGGGTTGTTCCTCATCCCCAGCCTGCAAGGAAGGTGAAAATCAGGAATTTGGGGGAACAAACAGGAAGGAGGGGCATGTGTGGACCCCATCTGAGCAGCAGGCACTCACACCCACTTGACTCTGGGCTGCTCTCCCCAGTCCTCTGTGCTCATGAAATGGGGATGGGAGGTCCCGCAACGTCTTCAGGAAATGGAAGAGAAGGTGGCTAGAGCAGGCCCAACAGCAGAGCTGGGGCTCCTGGTGGGTGTGGAGGGAGGTTTTATGTGGCTGAGGCTCAGAGCAGGATGGACCTCTACGGAGAGAAGCCACAGGTGGGGCCTAGAGGAAGGAAGGGCTATACCATGCCTGTTATGGGGAGTGAGTTCCCCCACCCCCCAGCAAGGGGCTCCTCTCCATGGGGTCTGCTGCTCGCCCTGGGGCTGACCTGCTGGTCTCTGCACCCACTGTCTCCACAAAGAACTGCCCTGCTGAAACTATGGGGGTAGTTCTCAGGTGAGACCCCACTGCAGAGTCAGGGGTGTTTGCAGGAGGGCTCCTATCCTCTTCCTCCAAGCCACCTTCTTGTCCCCAGTCTCTGGGCTCCACCTGGGTCCCCGCACATCCAGGTTCACTGTGGTCATCTGTGGGATGCCTCTGGGGCTTGGGTTTTGTTCCAGCTTCCAGGATGTCACATGTCCTTTGGAAGACTCAAAGTGACTCTATTTTTGTACAACATTAGACAATTTTGGTTCAAACAAAACAATGACTATTGTTCATGATGATGTCAAAGAGGGAGGGCGGAGTCCGGACCAGCCCAGCAACGATGGTTTGTTTTGTGAATAAAGCAGATGGATGATGCACTTGAGGCTGCTGATGGCTCACTTAGAAGGCTGGGGACAGCAGTAGAGGGAAATGCGTCAATGCAAGTGAGGTTCTGAGAGGTTGGAGAGCAGAGCCAGAATCCTTATGCTGCAGGACCCGCTCCAGCACCCAGCAGGCTGCCCAAGGCATAGCCAAGGGTACTTAGAGGCTGGAGAGAGGCATGTGTGTGTCAGGTCCCTGCCTGGAAAAGGAAGATGTTTGGACTCTTAATTAATGCAAATATTCCTTAATAATCCCCACATGGAGCTCCTGATGAGGTTGCCATGGCCACAGGCTCCGATGAGCCCAGGGCCCTCATCCCTGCACGTCCATCCTCCGCACCCACATCTGATTCAGGCAGTGAGTGCTGGGAGCACTGGGCTCCTGTAGCTGCCACTGAGAGTCACCTAGGCCCCTCTGCCTCCTGCAACATCCCAAAAGTCACCTGGGGTTTCCTTGGTTAGGGATGGGTGATGGCAGGCTGTCATGGCAGTAAATGGTCTGCTGGGTTTTACAGCTGCTCCTGCAGCAACACCAACAGGGATAGGCAGGGCCGAGCCTATTCCATCACCAGGTAGGGGAAAAAACTGAGGTTCACAGAGGAACAATGACTCACACAGCTCATTTACGACTTGTCAGTCCTCATACCTGGCAAGGGTGCAAACGATACTGGGCAGCACTGGGCTAGGACTCAGGATCCCAGCAACCTGGGAAGGAGGTGCAGGCATCATCTCCACTTTTTGGAGGAGAGAAACTCAGAGATGGTGAGTATCTTGCCTCAGGTCACAGGGCAATTGAGTGGCTGAACTGGGATTTCAGGGCTGTCACAGCCCATGCTTGGGAGTAGAGGCAGGAGCAGGGCTGGCTTACATTTCCTGCCTGTGCCCCAGGATTAAGAAGTTGATGATCCCCACCCCTCTGCCCTGTGTTGTTGCCGAAGGCCATGGCACTGGGCTAGGAAGGGAGAAAACAGTTGAGAGGCGGCTTGTGGGAATCACACTGTGCTGCATGCACTGGTGCAGTTGCATTGCACCCGCAGTTAGCAAGTTCAAAACCACAGGCGACAGGTGCCCTGCTGCAGGTGGCAGATCCACACAGAAGTGAATCTTTCTGGCTTGCGTCACTACAGAGGGACTGCAGCAGAGCCAGCCCAGATGTGTGGTGTCTGCAGCAGCAGCTGTGGATGTGGCCAGGGCATGTGGGGGTGTGGTGAGTGCCTGATGCTCCCAGGAGGAGCACAACAGCCGGGCCTGGGTCTTGTAGTTAACGTCAATTGCCCTGCTGTTCTGGTTCTCCTAGTTAAAGCAAGGCAAGATCATCTGGGTTTTCCTGAATCTTTTTCAGAGTTTTTCACCACTAGGCTAAGTCACGCTGTTGACCCTAATCACATTAGATGATTAAGGCTTACACATGGTCAGACACTTATTCTGGGGAGTTAGATCTCCCAAGCATGGGCCTGTTGCTTTGCTTCAATGCTGAAAGGTTCTGGGCAGAAGGAAGGTTCTGTCTTAAGGGAGAGCCGTGATCTCGGGGCTTCCTTCCTTTCCCAAGTGTGTGCTTTTAGTTGAACTTGACTAGGTCAAGATTCTTCTGTCCCGAATCCCCTTGCTTTGTTCAGACACATCTCCCTGATGCTGCTTGCCTTGGAAGAGGTTCTGCAGATGACATGATCTGTCTCCTTTGGGTTAATGCTGGCTCCTATAGCAAAAGGACCCCATAATGTCCAAAGTCCCAAGTATGAAGTTTATTGCTTATTCCCTGAAGAGTTGAAAATGCGAGGTCCTGGCTGGCAGGTAGCTGTCCTCCCTCTTCCGATCCCTTCCAGGAATTCTCCCACCTTGTGGCTCCTCTGTTCTCTAGGGCCTCAGTGTCTACATCTGGATCCAGCCTACAGAAGGGGGAAGAGTGCTCCCTGGCTTACATCCTATTGGCTAGAACTCACCTGGCTGCAGGGGAGGCTGCTGTCCGATCTGCTGGGTGTTCAGGAAGAAGAGAAGAAAATGCTGACGGGTGTGCCCGATGGTGACAAGCTTATTCTCAGCTCCTCTTTTCCTCTTAGACCATTATGGCCCTCACAATGCCACTTTTTTGTTGGGAAACCGTGAATCTCAGAGAGCTTCCCAAGCAGCAGAGTGGGATTCGAATACAGACCTGGATATAAATTGTCCTTTTTCCAGAACACAGCAGCTTGCAGTGGCTGGGCCACTTGTCCACACGGGGACAGGACAGTCCACTTACTCAGCCTCCAATCTTTCATAGGACTGAAAGTCTGAATCATCCAAAGTAAAAAAAAAAAAAAAAAAAGGCCGGGCGTGGTGGCTCACACCTGTAATCCCAGCACTTTGGGAGGCCGAGGCGGGTGGATCACGAGGTTAGGAGATTGAGACCATCCTGGCTAACACGGTGAAACCCTGTCTCTACTAAAAAAAATACAAAAAATTAGCCGGGCGTGATGGCGGGTGCCTGTGGTCCCAGCTACTCGGGAGGCTGAGGCAGGAGAATGGCATGAACCCAGTAGGCAGAGCTTGCAGTGAGCGGAGATCACACCACTGCACTCCAGCCTGGGCGACAGAGCGAAACTCCATCTCAAAAAATAAAACAAAATAATAAAATAAAATAAAAAATCCAGTTTATTTTTTAGTAGCTAGGGAACTCAAATTAAACAAACCAAGATGGCCCTAGGTGGCCCATCAGGAATTGGTAGGAAGGACCTGAGAGTAGGTTGTCATATGTGCCTGAAGAGTTGATCCTTCTGGTGCTGGAAGCCCATGGACATGGCTTCTTCCCTGAATCTTCGGTTGCCTCTGAGGAATGTTTCAGTGAAGCCACAAGGCTGTGTTCAGCCACGGCAAGGCACACCAGCACCTCGTCCTCTCCGTTCACATTCCCAGCCTGTCTCAGCTCATGCCCCCAAGGGACATCCCTCTGCCTCTTAGTGCACCCTCCCCCTCCAGCCCATGCCCAGTCCACTGGGCCACAAGACTCCGACCCCTGAACGTGGTGTTGATCACGCCATCCCCAGCCATTAAAGCCACTTCCCAAGACCGCTTCACCTTCTTGGGGTCAAACTCAAAGTCCTTAATTTGCCACTTAAGGCCCTGAAAGTCCAGCTCCAATGCCCCCTTCTTGCCACTGCTATGTCTGCCACTTCTCTGCTGGGTCCATTCCATTGTTCCCTGTTCCTGGCAAGTGACCCACCTAACTCACCCGCCTCCTGCTAACTAGCTGGTTCCACATCCTCCTCTGCTTTTCCATGAAGCCTGCCCCATCCATCCCTCCTGGAAGCATTTCCTGGTTCCTTCTCAGGGCCTAGCACATCATCTGCCCTCTCAGGGCCCTTGTCACTTTTTTCAGCTGACAGTGACTTTGAACAATCTCTTTCCCATGCAGTTCTTGGTTTTATGAACATCTGGGTCCCACCACACGGCTACCTACCTGCTCAGCAAATGCCAGAAGCACCAGCCTCCAAGGAGGAGCATCAAATTAATAAGGTTTTCATCAACCCACATGCCAGGGCCCTGGTTCCAGCCTGGGGATATTCAGGAGAGGATGTGGGGTTAAGGTTATGGCTGAGCATGGAGGGCTGGTGGTGCTTAGGGATGGGATGGACATGTCCCCAGCCTCCAGTCTCTGACCACCTCCTCTTCCCATCCTGCTCTGGGCACACATACAGACTGCCTGTGGTTGGTGGACCTGCCCTTGCTTCAGGGGTTGCTCAGAGCTCATCTGAAATGCTTTCCCATGAAACATTCCACTGTGCAGCTCTTAGGGCAACTACCTCTTTATGCCTAGATAGCCACTCATGTTTGCTTCATCATATATATTACACAATCCATATTTAATCATGCCACACAAGTGCACACACGCATCCCTTTCCATTGCTCCTCTCTTCCTCTCTGGTGGAATCTACCTAACACAGCACCTGGGACAGGGCAGCCACCAGTCAAATTTGTTCAATGAATCACTGTAAGAGTGAATGAGTGAAGGAATGAATGAAGGTACTTGCCAAGCATCCATGTGTTGTATTATCCAACCAAGACTCAGCAATCCCTGATGTATTCGACCTGTCATTAGCTTTACATGCAGTAGATTTTCCTCTGCGTGGCTCCAGTAGAATCTGGGGGAAAATACGACATTGGCCACAGAGTGTCATCTGAACTAAATTATGCCCCAGCCAGCAGGACACTGTTTCTGATTGTGTCAACTCTCAGCCCTGCAGCAGGCAGTGGCCCAGATGCTGATTGCAGAACTGGACCAAACCAGTTGTGCAAGCAATTTTTATGGAAACCAAAAAAAGTAGAAACAGAAGGTAAGAAAAGTAAACAAGACAGTGAAGGGAGAGACAGAAAATCCTTGAGCAAGTGCTGGAACTAATGAAGTTTGCCCGGCCGTGGAGCTGCCAGGGAGGGAAACTGAGTGGCTCAGATGAAGCCTCCAGGGACTCGGGAAGCAGCAGCCTGTCCGGAGCCGGCGCCGGCGAGGTCACAGCAGGGGTGGCACAGGAAGGAAAGGGAGACACAGCTCAGGGACAGCATGGACTTCCAGCCATCTCTCCAAAGGAAGCCTGGCTGGGAATCAAAAAGAAATTTATCTTCCGAAATGCTTCATTTCTTTGAATTTATGGCAGCAATAACTCCTTGGGCTATAACCACTCCGGCCCACGGACTCAGCTGGGAGAGGCTGAGCACTAAAACTTGGGAGGTATGCTGGGGTGAGGGCAGAACAGTCACTTCCCTGGGGACAACCAGAGCCTGCACATCTAGCTTGTGTCCCTGGGGCCAGGATCCCATAGCTAGGGACTTGGAAGTCCTTTCTTCTGGCAGTTACCAAACCTATTAGCTCGTTAGAATCACCTCGCGATGTAAAAAAATAGATTCCTGGACCCCAACCCTGGAGATGCAGATTCCTAAGTTCTGCATTTTCTAATGGGTTCTGCAGACCTAGCAGTCCCAGTGTGCATGCTCGGGGCCATGGACTATACTGCAGGTGATGGAGAAGCTCAGGCCATCACCAGGTGCCGCAAAGTCACCCCAGAAAGGGCAGGAATCATCTGACTGTGTCCTGCCGACCCGTCTTCCAGTCAGTGTCTTGGCAACACCCCCTCTGCCTGGATTTCAGCCCAGGCCTTCCCTGCCTCTCCCTAGCAAAAGTCTGCCGAACTGGGGCCTCCTCCCAGGTTCTCTGGGCCCACCCACCCTAGAGGCTGCAACCACCGCTGCCCTCTTGGCTGCCCTCCTGGAGCCCCACTCTCCTTGTTCTACTTCCTATGTCCCTCCAGATCCCAGGGAATGGCCGAGTTCTGGCCGTGCTCCCACCAAGGGCCCAGGCCACTTCGTCCAGCCCCTCCTGGCCATGGTGTGTCCTGATCACACCTGCCCTCACAGGGCAGTGTAAGCCACTTGTGGTCTGTGCTGGAATGTCCCTATCCAACCCCCTGGGTACAAATCCATGGGTCTTTTCTGTGCCACGAGGTTTGGGGTACTCCCAAGAGGCCTCTCTCCCGCCACACTGGCCAACTACCTTATTCAGCCATGGCCTTTCCCAACCCAGGGAGGGTCTGGAGGCAGCAGGCTGGGGTCTCCGCACTTAGATTCCTGATATTTTTGTCGTTTTCATCCAAGGATTTGACCTTCCATCCACTCTTGAGCTCTGACTTCAGGCCCAGAGCCTCCGCCACCAGCTCCTTATGTGTTTTCCCAGGAGTGGAACCTGTGGAACTCGGGGGTGGGTGCTCAGGGTGCCCCCCACACCACACAGGTATGCACTGCAGGCACTCATGGCAGGTGCATGGGGCAGTGAGGGAGGCGAGTCCCCAGCTCTGTCCCCTCACGTCCCTCTTTGCTGACATCTGGACTTCTCATCTCCTGTGTCCTCAGCTCTCTCTGGCCCTTCCAGACTCCAGGCCTGGTTCTGACTCTCTGGCATCTGTGGCCTGCTTTCTGGCTGTGCCCCTGTTGCTTGGGTGGAAAGCCACCTCAGAGAATCTGGACCCAGGAGTGGTTCCAGCTAGCACCATGGGAACAAAGTTCAGTGTTTTCCAACCCGGTCTGCTGATCACTCCCATCACAGCCCGTGGGGACCCACCCCCAAACCTACTGAATTCAGAATGGCTGTGGTCGGGGTAAGGAACAAGCTTTTTAAAAAATACACATTTTATTCTGCAATAGTTTTAGAGTCACAAAAAATATGCAAAGATAATGTGAATGTTCCCATATGCCCCTCACCCAATTTGCTTCCTCTAATAGTATCTTACAGTATCAAGGTTCATTAGTAAAAAATAAGAAAGCAACATTGGCTCATTACAATTAATTAACTCTAGATTTCATCAGATTTCACTTGTTTTTCCATTAGCATTCTTTTTCTGTTCCAGAATCCAGTCCAGAGACCCAAGAATTATATTTTAAACAAGCACCCTGGGTTGTTCTCAGGCTCACTAGAGTTTGAGAAGCTTGATCCATTTACAAGTCACAATTTAAAGATGAAGTTAAAGCTCAGAGAGGCCCAGGGACATGCCAAGTTCCCTTAATTAGAGGAAGTGCTGGGGACTTGGGGCCTGCCAGTCACGGCACTGTCACCAGTCCCACATGAAGCTCTGACCCTGGCTCCGCTTTGCACCCTCCAGCCATGAGGTGAGGGACGGGGACCACAGCAGTAGCTCAGTCTTCGAGAGTAAGCGGTCAGTGGTGTTGCAGTCTCAGGCCAACGCACCTGCAACGCTGGACCTGGTGGGCTCTGTGCTGTCTCCACAGTGAACTACACAGCATGGAGTTACTGCCATCGAGGAACACCATCCTTCCCTGCTTCTCTGAGCCTGCACTTGTGATCTGAACCTGTACCCAGGCCCCAGCAGGCTGCCAGAGCAAGTCGATGGGGCCCTGCCGACATGGAGCTCTGCATCACTGGCCGCTTCCTCAGCCCTGGCTGGCCCCGCACCATGCCCTCTTTTCACCCTGCAGTCCTGCATTCCCCATGCCAAGGGCCCACCTCGCTGCAGTTTTAAGACCACCCAGGCTGGTGTGCAAAGGGAAAGAGGAGGCCCTCCTCCCGACCCTGGGCTCATCCAAGCTGCAGTCTCCTTGCCTCATATAAACTATTCTCTCTTCTTGGGATGCGTTTTTCCACCTTCCTGCCTACACCTGCGCTGTCCCATACTTTGCCCACTGGCAGGATGTGGCTGTTTAAATAAAACATTCTGCTTCACAGGTGCACCAGCCACATTTCAAGTGCTCAATAGCAAGGTGTGGCTGGTGGCTGCTGTGGTGCATGGGCAGGAGCAGAATATCCCATGGTGGCAGAAGCCTCTGATGGAGCAGATACTCTAGTCTGAAGACATCCATCTGCACATGATGAACAAGGCTACAGGGAGGAGAGGGGAACCAGGTTCAGGGGCACATTGCGGGTGGGTCTGCTGGATTCACACCAGCTAGACTCTGAGCTCCACGGTGGCAGCCAGCTCAACTCCTGCAGAACCAGCTCAGAGAGCTCCATCCCACCTGAGCGTCTCCTCTCAGCACAAGCTGGTGGCTGTGGAGCAAGGCTGTGCTCTCTACACCCAGGAGACCTGGGCACCTGTCGAAGTTTCCTAGAGGGCTAGTGGCAGGAAGAGAATGGGCCAGTTCCTAGCCAAGGCATAAGGTGGGGCTTGGTTACTTGGAAACCTCAGGGAGGTAGAAGACAGAGATGGCCTGGAGCAAGCAGCAGCCCACACCTGCTGGAAAAGTTTAGCTTGTGAAAATGGATTTTCCACAAACACGGAAATTGGCAATTTCCCCTTAGGATTATATATGAGGGAAGTAATCTATTTGAATAATGCTGTGAAATAAAAGACATTCCCGTTTCTCGTTGTACCCCTTTCCTCCTTTCTAATGGAACAAGGCAATCTTGGAAAGTGCAGAGGGATGAGACGCAGGCAACAAAAATGCCTTCATCCATTTGCCTTGATAGGGAAGGGCTCTATGTATGTATAAGGAGAAAATTTCTGTGATTTATTTACTATTTTAAAGTGCAAAGGCTGGGCGCGGTGGCTCACGCCTGTAATCCCAGAACTTTGGGAGGCCGAGGTGGGTGGATCACGAGGTCAGGAGATCGAGACCATCCTGGCGAACACTGTGAAACCCCGTCTCTACTAAAAATACAAAAAAATTAGCCAGGCGTAGTGGCGGGCGTCTGTAGTCCCAGCTACTCCAGAGGCTGAGGCAGGAGAATGGCATGAACCCAGGGGACGGAGCTTGCAGTGAGCGGAGATCACCCCACTACACTCCAGCCTGGGCAACAGAGCGAGACTCCGTCTCAAAATAAATAAATAAATAAATAAATAAATAAATAAATAAATAAATAAAGTGCAAAATCGGTAGGTATGCATAGGAAACATCGGAGCTTGCCTGTGCACAGCCGTTCATGGATGTTGTCTTTGAGAGTGAGGTTGTGAGGAATTTTCACATTCTCTAAATTATAGAATGTTAAAAATAGCAAGCATGCATTGTCCAAATACATAAAATGAAAAAAAAAAAAAAGGAATTGCAGCATACGAGGGATGGAGCCACTCAGTCTTCATTAGATAGTCAGGGTTTGGACTCAGCGATTTTTTGGTTTCCCCAGGTGCCTTAAGAACCTACATCTAAACAGCTTATTAGTCTCAATTCTATTTGTAGATTTAAAGATTTTTTTTGGAGATGAGAAAAAAATGGCAGATAGGAGGCATGAAGAACTTGTACTTCCCGCTCAGACAGAGAGAGCAGCCTGTGGAGAATCACATCATGAACTTTTGCTCCAAGAACTGCTGCAGGAACATACCAGGAAAGACAAGAGAATCCACAGACCCTTTGAAGGAGGTGAATTGCTACTGCAGGCTCCATGGAACAGCTTGCTTTCTCAGTGGGGAGGCAGCTAGCTTGGGGCAAGTTTTCAGCCCTGCTCACCAGCCACCTGGGACAACTTGGTGCTGTTGTTGGGGGCATGGTGGGAGTGAGACCAGCCTTTTGAGCTGTGGGCTGTGTGGAAGCTGGTTGAGGACAGCAACACAATAATAGTGGGGGACTTCGATACTCCACTGACAGCACTAGACAGGTCATCAAGACAGAAAGTCAACAAAGAATGGACTTAAACCATACCCTAGAACAAATGGATTTAACAGATATTTACAGATCATTCTACCCAACAATAGCAGAATATCCATTCTATTCAAAAGCAGATGGAACATTCTCCAAGATAGACCATATGATAGGCCATAAAACAAGTCTCAACAAATTCAAGAAAACTGAAATTATATCAAGTACTCTCTCAGATCACAGTGGAATAAAATTGGAAATCAACTCCAAAAGGAACACTCAAAACCATGCAAATACATGGAAATTAAATAACCTGATTCTGTACGATTGTTGGCTCAACAATAAAATCAAGTTGAAAATTTAAAAATTCTTTGAACTGAATGATAACAGTGACAAAACCTACCAAAATCTCCGGGATACAGCAAATTCATTGCTAAGAGGAAAGTTCATAGCCTTAAATGCTTACATCAAAAAATCTGAAAGAGCACAAACAACCAACCTAAGGTAACACCTCAGGAAACTAGATAAACAAGAACAAACCAAATCCAAACCCAATGGAAGAAAAGGAATAACAAAGATCAGAGCAGAACTAAATGAAATTGAATCAAAAAATGCAAAAGACAAATGAAACAAAAAGCTGGTTCTTTGAAATAGATAAACAAAATTGACAGACCATTAGTGAGATTAACCAAGAAAAGAAGAGAGAAGATGCAAATAAGCTCATTTAGAAATGAAATGGGATATATTACAACTGATACCATAGAAATGCAAAAGATCATTCAAGGCTACTATGAACACCTTGACGTGCACAAACTAGAAAAAGTAGAGGAGATGAATAAATTCCTGGAAATATACAACCCTTCTAGATTAAACCAGGAAGAAACGGAAACTCTGAACAGACCAATAACAAGCAGCGAGATTAAAATGTTCATTAAAAAATTGCCAGGAACAACAAAAAAATCCACAACCATGTGGATTCACAGCTGAATTCTATCAGCCATTGAAAGAAGAATTGGGGCTGGGCATGGTGGCTTACTCCTATAATCCCAGCACTTTGGGAGGCCCAGCCAGGCAGATCACCTGAGCTCAGCCTGGGAAACATGGTGAAACCCCACCTTTACAAAAAATACAAAAATTAGCTGGCATGGTGGCATGTGCCTGTGGTCCTAGCTACTTGGGAGGCTGCGGTGGAAGAATTGCTTGAAGCTGGGGGGTCAAGGCTAGAGTGAACTGAGATTGTGCCACTGTTCTCCAGCCTTGGTGACAGAGGGAGACTCTGTCTCAAAACAAAAACAAAAACAAAAACAAATACAAAACAAGGAAGAATTAGGAATTGGTACCAGTTTTATTGTCACTATTCCAAAAGATAGAGAAAGAGGAGCTCCTCCCTAAATCATTCTATGAAGCCAGTATCACCCTAATACCAAAGCCAGGGAAGGACATAACAAAAAAGGAAAACTAGAGACCAATATCCCTGATGAACACAGATGAAAAAATCCTCAACAAAATAATAGTGAACTGAATCCAACAGCATATCAAAAAGATAATCCACCATGATCAAGTGGTTTTTAAACCAGGGATGCAAGGATGGTTTTAACATATGCAAGTCAATAAATGTGATATGCCACATAAACAGAATTAAAAACAAATATCACATAATCATCTCAATAGATGCAGAAAAAGCATTTGACAAAATCCAACATCTTTTTATGATTAAGTCCCTCAGCAAAATTGGCATAGAAGGGGCATACCTTAAGGTAATAAAAGCCATCTATGACAAACCCACAGCCAACATTATACAGAATGGGGAAAAGTTGAAACATTCCCCCTGAGAACTGGAACAAGAAAAGGATGCCCACTTTCACCACTTCTATTCAACATACTACTGGAAGTTCTAGGCACAGTAATCAGACAAGAAGAAAGAAGTAAAGGGCATCCAAATCAATAAAGAGGAAGTCAAACTGTCACTGTTTGCAGTTGATAGGATCATACACCTCGAAAACCCTAAAGACTCATCCAAAAAGCTCCTAGAACTGGCAAATAAATTAAGCAAAGTTTCAGGATACAAAATTAATGTACACAAATCAGTAGCACTGCTATACACAAACAGCTTCAAATCAAGAACTCAATTCCTTTTACAATAGCTGCAAAAAAAAAAAAAAAATCCTTAGGAATATACTTAACCAAGGAGGTGAAAGACCTCTACAAGGAAAACTACAAAACACTGCTGAAAGAAATCATAGATTACACAAACAAATGGAAACACATCCTATGCTCATGGATGAGTAGAATCAATATTGTGAAAATGACCATGCTGCCAAAAGAAATCTACAGGTTTAATGCAGTTCCCATCAGTTGGCACCATAATTCTTCATAGAACTAGAACAAATAATCCTAAAATTAATATGGAACCAAAAAAGAGCCCCCATAGCCAAAGCAAGATTAAACAAAACCAACAAATCTGGAGGCATCACATTACCTGACTTCAAACTATACTGCAAGGCTATAGTCACCAAAACAGCATGGCACAGGTATAAAAACAGGCATATAGACCAATGGAACAGAATGGAGAACCCAGAAATAAAGCCTAATACCTACAGTCAACTGATCTCCGACAAAGCAAATGAAAGCATAAAGTGGGGAAAGGACACCCTAGTCAACAAATGGTGCTGGGATAATTGGCAAGCCACATGTAGGAGAATGAAACTGGTTCTTCATCTCTCACCTTATACAAAAACCAACTCAGGATGGATCAGAGACTTAAAACTATGGTCTGAAATCATAAAAATCCCAGAAGATAACATCTGAAAAATCCTTCTAGACATTGGCTTAGGCAAATACTTCATGACCAAGAATCCCAAAGCAAATGCAACAAAAACAAAGAAAAATAGTTGGGACTTAATTAAACTAAAAAGCTTCTACACAGCAAAAGAAATAACCAGCAGAGTAAACAGACAGCTCATAGAGTGGGAGAAAATCTTTGAAAACTATGCGCCCAACAAAAGATTAATATCCAGAATCTACAAGGAACTTAAACAAATCAGCAAAAAAAAAAAAAAAAAAAAAAAAAAAAAAAAAAAAAAAAAAAAAATCCCATCAAAAAGTGGGCTAAGGACATGAATAGACAATTCTTAAAAGAAGATATGCAAATGGCCTACAAGTATATGAAACAAGCTCAACATCACTGATTATCAGGGAAATGCAAATCAAAATCACAATGTGATACCACCTTACTCCTGCAAGAATGGCCATTATAAAGAAATAGATGTTGGCATGGATGTGGTGAAAAGGGAACACTTTTACACTGCTGGTGGGAATGTAAACGAGTACAACCACTATGGAAAACAATGTGGAGATTGCTTAAAGAACTAAAACTAGATCTACCATTTGATCCAGCAATCCCACCACTGGGTAATCTTCCCAGAGGAAAAGAAGTCATTATACAAAAAAGGATACTTGCCTACGCATGTTTACAGCAGCACAATTCGGAATTGCAAAAATTTAGAACAAGCCCAGATGCTCATCAATCAATGAGTGGATAAAGAAAATGTGGTATATACATATAATGGAATACTATTCAGTCATAAAAAGGAATGAAATAATGGGGTTCACAGCAACCTAGAGGGAGTTGGAGACCGTTATTCTAAGTGAATTAATTCAGGAATGGAAAACCAAACATGGTATGTTCTCACTCATAAGTGGGAGCTAAGCTATGAGAATGCAAAAGAATAAGAATGATACAATGGACTTGGCGGACTTGGGAGAAAGAGTGGGAGGGGTGTGAGGGATAAAAGACTACACATTGGGTACAGTGTACACTGCTCGAGTGATGGGTGCACCAAAATCCCAGAAATCACCACTAAAGAAACTATTCATGTAACCAAACACCACCTGTTCCCCAAAAACCTATTGAAATAAAAAAATAATAAAATAATAAAAAATAAAGATTTCAGGGTTTGGTGTGAATTTCTCTGTGCAAAATGGCTGCTTTGCTGCAGACAGCTAGCAGCTTCTGGGACTCAGGAACTTCTGTTTCCTGGGAAATCATAAGTCTGGGCCTCATCTGGTATTTGTCCGCTCCTGAGCCCCAGCTGTAGCGCAGCCTCAAGGCGCTGAGGGTCACTTGCTATCTTAGCTTGGTGTTCTTGGAAGCAGACCTCAGACAAAGGCTGGGAAATAGTGGTCCCGGGAGGCACACGTGAGGAACTGGGAAGTGGCAAAGGGCAAGATGGGAGTCAGTTAAAAAGGCGTCAATAATCCCTCTCCTGGTATCCACCTAAAGGAAATGGAAACTTATGTTCCCGCAAAAACCTGCACACACTTGTTCATAGTAGCTTTATACAAAGTTGCCCCAAACTTTGAATACACAGCCCAAATATCCTCTGACTAGGGCATGGACACACCACTGCACCTGCCCTGTGCAACGCTACTTAGCAGTAAAAAGGGGTGAGCTGTTGATGCACCCAACAAGCTGGATGAGTTCCAAGGCTGCAGGCTGAGGGGAAGAAGCAGGCTCGAAGGCTGCATTCTGTGCAGCTCTATTCACAGGACACTCTGGAAACCCACACGGTGGGGGCAGAGGGCAGGGCAGTGCCACCGCTTACAGGTGGGGCAGGGGTTGACTGCATTGGGCATGTGGGGATTTGGGGAGTGACGAAGCTTCATATCTTGACTGTCAAGGTGGTTCCATTTCAGTGCATATTTATCAAAACTCTTAGCACTGTGCACTAAAGAGTGAATTTTAGGCCCACAACAGATCAGCAGAAGCAGGCATTACCCTGGCTGCCTCCGTGAGGACTCCGAGCCAGGAGGCTGCCAGAGGCAGGGCCAGCTGGAGCCCCAGGGAACCTGATCCAAGGGACTTCATGTCTACAGTGGCCGCAGTGTAAACTCCGATGTAGGGGCCCCACTGCCCACTGAGGGGAGCTGGCAGAGCGTGAAGAGACAGGAATGTCAGCAGGGTTTCAAGGTTGGATCTCATCAAGCCCCGGGGCAGGAGTGTGAACAAAGATGGCCTAGAGCGCATTCACAGAGGCCTCCTAGTGGAGAGCAGGGGGAGGGAGGGGCCTGCGCTGCCCACCTGGCAGGCCCCAGGCAGGGACGCACGTGCCAGGGATTTATTTGGGAGGTGAGCCCAGGAAGCACTGGTAGCGGAAGGGGAAGATGCCAGCAGAGGATGCATGAAAGAGCCAGTGATAGACGTGGACAGCCGAGGCTCCGTCCCATTAGGAAGCTGGTGACTACCCACGACTCCCAGCACCACTGGCTGAGGCTACTCCTGGTGGCAACTCCCTGGTCCTGTGCCTGCCCTGAGCCCTGCAGAGGTGAAGGGGAGCCCCTGGGGCATAGCCAAGGGCAGGACTCCTCATCCCCCCAGGAAACAGGAGCCTGAGGATCATGGGCTGGGCATTGACGGCCGCTACCATTGGTGCCAACACTGGCCACTTGCACTTGGAGAAATCTTGTTATCAGGAAATGGAAATTATTGAATGAATGTATTCTTTGGTTTTCTGGTTTTATCTCACTAACGTCCATGTGAAAGAGGAGCGGAAGATGCCATTTTGTGTCTCCACCATCATCCTCATGACCACAATTGCTCTTGAGGTCAAGCTGTCTCAGACAGAGTGGTCTGGCCACCTGAGGAAGCCACACGTGGCACGAATGCCAAGCAGGAGCCAGGCCCCAGCCAGTTCCGCTGACTCCCTTCCCATTTCTTCGTGGCACAATCAAATCAAACATGATGCTTCCCTCTGGGGACGGACGTGGCTGAGAAGTGCGCTGGCTTCTGCTGCAGCTGCGATGAGCACACTTTTCTCTTTCTCAAAGATTAAAGGAAGAAGTTTGTTATAGCAATGTCACAAAGATAAGTTCTTCCAAGGAGATTTTTCTTTTCAGTTAAAAAAACCCTGTTTTCTAAGGGAAGCTGGTGTTTCCAGTTCCCCTTTTTGGAGACTCTGAGATCCACACATTGCTGACAGGCCAGCGTTCAAGGCCAATGGATGCAATGGCTGGGCTTCCTTTGCTGAACCTTTGAACCTGCTTCTTTTTAACCTTGCAGTTAAATTTTCAGATGCAGACAGCAGCCTCTGGTCTCTGCATTGTGCCTTTGTAAAAAGAGGAACACCCTGTCTGCTGAGAGGCGCCTCCATTTAGTCTCCCCGCACCTCAGTTTCCCTGCTTGTAAGTGTAAAAAATGGTGCCTCACCTGCCTGCTTCACAGAGTCATTTTTTTGAGAGGATCAAATTTAATCATATTTAAATATACGTGTATAACACTTATCCTGTTTCCCAAATAGCTAATGCTGAGCGAAATAATGCATAAAATAAGAGGTCTGTTCTCAAAAAAAAAAAAAAAAATCCTAAAATACAGAGGGAGCTGCAGTTAAGTCCAGGACCATGATGCAGGACTGAATTAGAAGTCCTAAGGACACCCACGGAGGAGATTGCAGCCTTCCCGGAGAGCCCTGTGCTGAGCCGGAACCTGCATCCCCTCATTTACTCCTCAGAGCAGCTCTGTGCCTGGAGACTTGAAAGATGAGGGAAGCCAGGCCCAGAGATGCTAGTGAGTGGGGTGGCAGGGATCCCAGCCCACATCCTCTAACCCTGGAGCCTGTGATTGGAGCAACGGCACAACACAGATGAAAGGACGTGGGCGTATGAGTCCTTGGGCACAGGGCTACGCCTTCTTAGTATTTTTAATCCTCAAGCCCAGCAGAGTGCCTGGCACACACTAAATCTTTGGCTTGACTTGTTAAAAGCATGAGCCACATCCTACATAGAAGCAATATGTATAAGGAGTACACAGTTTAAGAAAAATAGGAGGCACCTGTGCCCTCCTGGTCTCAGAAAGGGAAACTTGCCAGCACCCTGGACCCCTCTGCTGACTGCCACCCTGTCCCCTCCCTCCCTGCGGAAGAACCACTATCTTTGGTTTTAATTTTAATTGGTATGAGTTTAAAGGGTACAAATGCAATTTTGTTACATGCATATGTTGTATACTGGTGAAGTCTTGGCTTTTAGTGTATCTGTCACCTGAATGGTGTACATCGTACCAGTTAAGTAATTTCTCATCACCCTCCCCCATCTGCCCCCACCGTTCTGAGTCTCCAGTGTCTGTCACTGCACACTCTTTGTCCATGTGTACATACTATTTAGCCTCCACTTATAAGTGAGAATATGTGGTACTTGACTTTCTGTCTAAACTATTTCACTTAAGATAATGGCCACCAGTTCCATCCATGTTGCTGCAAAAGACATGACTTCATTCTTTTTTATGGCTGAGTAGTATTCCATTGTGTGTATACACCACATTTTCTTTATCTATTTATCCATCGATGGGCACTCAGGTTAACTCCATGTCTTTGCTATTGTCAACAGTGTGAGAGCAGGTGTCCTTTTGATACAATCACATCTCTTAGTTTGGGTAGTTGCCCAGTTGTGGGATTGTTTTAGCTCTTTGGGAAATCTCTGTACTGCCTTCTGCAGAAAGAAGCCCTGCCTTGAATTGCATGTTACACTCCCCAGTGCTGCATCAGCTCTTGTTACCTGCTTGTGCTTCATTACAGTCTAGCTTTTCTTCCTTTGAACCAGATCTAAATGGGTCACAGCACGCACCTTCTGTACCATCTGTGTTGGTGTTCTTTGCTCACATTGTGTTTTCAAGCTTCATGCCCTGGGCTCACTGGTGTTCAGCACCCAGATTCCCCTGGGCCGGACGATGACAGCGGGTTTGCCATGAGCACTATTGATGAAATGAATGGATGAAGACCACCACCAGCCTGGGCACAGAGGAAGGAGGGGAGTTCTGAGTTTGGAGGCAGCTTCATGAGGGGTCTGCATTTACCTGGGCCTTTGGGGACACACCTGCCTCTGATACACCTGTGAGGGTAGCTGGGAAATAGGGCAGAACAGTGTGTGCCTCACTGGAGAATCTGTAAGACTCAAGGTGGGAGGGAAGACGTGTGGCAAGAGGGGGTTCCTGGGGAGCCTAAATTAGGATTTCAGTTCCATGTGCAGACACTGCCCCCGACCGATGCCCTGAGGAGGCCCCAGACTCATGCCCTGAGGGAACAAGTCCAGGCCTTGAGCACCCCTTGAAGCCACACGTCTCCTCCTCGGAGCAGGAGGTTGAGGGCGTGGCCATGGCTTCTCCTGGGGCCTCTCTGCTTCACTCTGAGGTGCACACTGCTAAGGCCTGGAATGAGCTGAGTCTGTGAATGACCAGTACTCCTGCATAGACCCCTAACTGTGGTGATTCACAAAGGCCAGAGAGATACTTCACAGTTTCCTGGGTAAACCCCTAACTGTGGTAATTCACAACGCCCAGAGAGGTACTTCACAGTTTCCTGGGTGGACCCCTGACTGTGGTAATTCACAAAGGCCACAGAGGTACTTCACAGTTTCCTGGGTGGACCCCGCACTGTGGTAATTCACAAAGGCCAGGCCAGAGAGGTACTTCACAGTTTGCCTCCTGCTGCATGCTGACCTCCTTAGCCTTGTGCCTGTCCATGCCAAAACACAGGTCCACAGACACCAACTGGCAAGATCAGGACTGTGTCAGTCGAGCCAGGACATCGAGTACACCCCAGCAGCAGAGTCTCGGGGACGCAGCCTCCTGGGCCCTGTATTCCAAACTCTGGGGTCTCTGATTATCCCATGGGATGGCTACTGCTTGAGGGCCCTGTGAGCGTCCGACAGCACAGGAGCCAGCGTGCTGTTTCTGAAGTTAGGATGTCTCTGAGAGAGGGCTGGCCCTGAGGCTGGCTGGGTCAGTGTGATGGGCTTGTCCACAGGCTGAGGCAGGGCTCTATTCTGCAGGACCTGTGGAAGTTTTGTATGCAGAATTTTTATAGCCATATGTGTAATTTTGTTATTGTGTGTGTGTGATCATGTGTGTGTGTGCCTGTATAAGAGAGGGACAGAGACAGAGAGAGAGAGAGATTGAGAGAGACAGGCACACACACAGAGACAGAGAGAGAGAAAAAATATGCCAGTGGGAAATATTCACTTCTGAGTCATTTATTGAAAAAAAAGGGTGAAAACCCCAAACCAGAGGAAAGTCAAGGAACAAATATCTGCTGTGCCAGCTGGGTGCAGGGATAGATCCACTGAAGAGTGGGAGAGGAGGTCAGAGCCACCTTCCTCATCACCCGGTTCGAGCAGAATAGATGAGTGGAGAGAGCCATGCAAAATCAGCCCCTAGAGAATGCGAGCGGCACCCGGGAAGATGCCTGCTGTACAGTGAGGAGGGTGTTAGGGTGTTGAGCATCCCCATGAGTCCAGTTTTCACAGGTAGGGGTACGAGGGTGTACCTCAGAGGTCACGGCAGCCTCCACATAGGGTAGCAGGCCACTGATGTCATTACCGTGGTCATTTCGTCTCCATCCTCCTCCGTCATTGCATTTAATATTCTCCCCTAATGTGTGCACATCAGAAGGAGAAGTGGGAGGCGCTCACCTTCAAGATGTCCTTTGTTCTCTGAGTGTCTCAGCTTGGCAGGATCACTTTCACCCTGGGCCGGCTTTTGTCTGTGAGCCACAGAGATAGCTGAAGGAGCCGCCTATGGAGCTCAAAATGGAAATCCCTTCCCTGCAGTCTTGGAACAAGCTCACTTCCTTTTGTAATCAGGGGGCTTGGAGGGTCCAAGTCCAATCTCTGAGAAATCAGGGCTGGAGGCAGGACCCTAGGCTGACAACAGTGAACAGAGCTTGGGTCCACCAGTGCAGCAGAGCAAAGCCAAGGCTGACCTCAGGGTTGCGGCGAGAGAAATTGAGGCACCGATTGCAGGGCAGCTCATGATTTAGACCTGGCCTCAATGGCTTACAGGTAGGAGTTTTTAAAGGGAGGGAGGCAGAGGTCACAGGCAAAGTCATAAATCAATAGGTGGAGGCTGTACATTGGCTTGACCTAAAAACGTGGAACATCTCCAAGTGGGGGCCCACAGGTCATAGATGGCTGGATTCAAAGATTTTTAAACTTGCGATTGTTTAAGGAGGCAAAGCCTTGTCTAAAAATTTTGTAGCCAGCAGAAAAGAATGCTAGGTTTAGCTGGTGGACGTGACCTCCTCTTGGGCCTCAGGAAGAAATTTAGAACCAAAACAGTGGTCAGAGTCCAGTCCTCAGCTCCCCCTTGTCTGAGGTCTGTGTGCCAGTGAACCCATTAGATGGGGTTCCACATTTCTGAAAAACAACCCAAGGACATATGCTAAGATGTTATCTTTAGTTTCTGTAGGAAACCAAATATTCTCGTGATTCTAACTTCCGTGGCCACCCTTTTAAGCCACTATAACCTTCTGGCTTCTCAAGTTGCTCTTTTACTTCTCAGGGCTAGCTGGGTACCTGGAAAGTCCCTTGAAGGAACTCAGAATTTTCCTTTATTTCCATGCTTGGGGGAAGGGGTAACTGGCAGGCCTGGCAGGCCCCAAGAGGGGTCCCTGCTCCATTGCAACCCCAGAACACGGATGATCTCAAGCTACCCCAACATCCCGGATGCTGGCCCAGGCAGCCACTGTCATCATAAGATGATGGAAAGGGTCACTGAGACAACAGTCTCCATGATTGATAATCCAAGGACATCTCACTCAGTTCTTCGTTACCAAGGCCCTGACCTCATTCCCAGCTCCCAGCTCTTACTCATTCTGAGATAGGCCTCTCGTTTTGGTTTGGACAAGCTTAGCACATCGCTCACCTGGAGAGGACGGGCTATGCATAAAATCGCAAATTCAATTTAATTAAATTCAACAAACATTTAATGAAGGCCTTTCCTCCACTTCATTCTACACATTACAGCAGAGTTTCATCATAAAGATATCTAACTGACCTGTGCTCCCTGAATGCAAAGAGGCGAGTCTGGAGGCAGGGCTAGAAGTAGGGTGCGATTTAAACAGGTGCTTCAATCCATGAGCATTTATCCAGAGGTAACAAATGCAATCATGCCTGAAAGAAATCAATGCATTTTAAGCAAACCCATGGAAAGAATGCATGAATGATTTTAATGTTTTCCTGCCAATGACTTGGGAGTAAAGGGTTGCTGAGGGGGATGGGCCGCCCCTGCCTGGTGATGATTTCTTCAATATTCTAGAAGGAAGAATCAGAGAAGGAACTGGCGGCCCTACACAAACACTGACTGAAAGGCAATTAGAAAACTTGATGCACTGGTCTCCAGAAGATGAGAATAATAATAACTGATAGAAAAGCCAGCAAGCTGGAACCCTTGTGAACAGGTTGCAGAGTTGCCTGCTGCGAAGCACCCTGAGAACCCCCTTGTGGAATCGAGTCCCTTGGTGCACTAAGAGAGACTGTGCTATTGTTGTACAGATGACACTAGCTATATCATGTGCAGGGTTGTAAACCCAACATAGTTTTTGATATCAGTTAAAAGAATGTAATTCTGCTATATTACATTGTTATAGTATTTTTATATTCCACATTACAAAATTACAAAGGCAATACTGACCCTATGCGATTTTCACTTTGTGCTCTCTGGAAACTACTTCCTGGCTGAGATGCATCTCCAGAGCGTAACCTGAGAGCTTGTAACACCGAGATACGATCTTCTTCCTCACCTGCATCATCAATTATTGCTATCAGCTCTGGCATCTGTCACTGTGCTGGTGTGGCGACCTGAACTCATGGTCAGCCATCAGCCCAGCCATCCTAAATTCCACGTCTCATTTCCACAAGCCCCACGCAGCCTCTGCTGCAGGCTCCAAAAGAAGGATGTGGGAAGTGGGTTCTGGCCGTGACTTTGCCAGGCACCTGGGAGGGGTGCCAGCCAGGACGTGAGTGTCCTGAGCAGCAACCCTGGGCTGGCTTCAGGCACATCTAGGTGATAGACCAGGGCATAAGCCTCTCATCTTTCCAGGGCTTTTGTGTCAGTGGCAACTGAGTTGGCTTGAGGGATCTAAAGTTACCCCCTGACCATCTCCAGTGGCACCCCCAAGCCCGGTGGCACCCATTCCGTCGCTGCCCGTCTCTTCGAGTCCTCTCATTCTCTGTGGCTGCTGGCCTGTCTGTTGGTTTGCCTGGGTGTTGTCTGCCCCCATGGAAGGAGGCAGACCTTACTTTCCCTTACTGACCACCGTTACCTCTGAGCTCAGAGCAGCTGGATCACTGGGCAGGTCTGCAACAACAATGCATGTGGTAAGTGGTTAGGAGTCAGCCCTCCATGGCCCTCTTCTGGGAGTGAGTGGCCAGTGGGGCCTGATGTTAGAGGCTCTGGAATTTGGATTGGTGCCGCTTCCTGAAGGCTGGGGAAGTGTCAAAGAAGGCTTTCTGGAGCAGGTATCAGCTGGCCTTGAAAGATAGGCAGGGTGTGGTCATGGGCCGTGCATGGGCTGAGAAGGGGCTCCCACTGCATCAGAGGCCAAGGTGCTTGGTCTGCCAGAGGCCCATCTCCTGGCAGGGTGTTGTTGGGAGGATTCAGAGTTGACCTTTGGCATTCCAGGGCAGCAGTACCCAAGGCGCTCTTCAGGGGTAGAAAACCTTAGTCTTATCAGATATGAGCCGGAAGAATGTGAGCTCTCTACCTGAAGGTTGAGTCTGGAAGGCCCTGAGTGAATGCTAGAAAAGCCTCAGCTTGTGGGGGTGGGTGGGCAGAGACTACGGGAGCTGCACCGCTGTGGCCGTTCTCTGCACCTGGGATTGCCAGAGGAGGGCACCAAAAAACACCCCTGGGCTGTGGAGAGGGCAGAAGCTGACCCCCGGGGCAGTCCAATTGCTCGAGACTTCTTTGTCATTTCACATTCTCCAGGGCCATTCTTCAGGAGCTGTGGCTTCAGTGTGAGTGGGAGATCTGGCCTGGTTCATCTTCCAAGAAGTTAAATTTGTTTCTCTAATGTTCAAGCTAAGATGTGTTTATTTTTCTCTTTGGTGCATAACTTAGAAGCAGCAAGTATTTTCTAGCTGCACCATAACAGTTAAGTTCTGCTCCTAGAACAACTGAGCTGAGTCTTAGTCCAGAGGAGATCTATTTCACAGGTGAGAGACAAGTGAAGATTGAGAGAGTTTAATTGCACAGGAAATCACAGAATGAAAAACAGTATCACCTGCCTTGGCGCTGTTCAAATCACGTTCTGCAAACATTTACCCCAAACATTCACTACGACCTTCCTTGGAGGCTCTGCTAACAGGGACCTTCTACAGACAAACACAGGCCTCCTCTCTTTCGCAGAGGAGACAAAAGTTTGCACTGTGCTGAGGATTCCGAGTAAATTTTCTAAGCCTGTCAGACTTGTCTCCATCAGAATGAGTCCATGTGGGCTGAAAACAGAGCTGCAGCTGCCACATAGCCAAGCGTGCTTCTTTTCTTGCAACCCTCTGCGGATTCCTGTGAGCATAGGGGCCTCTTTGTCAGGAGGGATGAAGAGGATAGATGGATGCTGTGGAAGAATATTGTGGGTCCAGCAGGCAGGAGCCTAATGGAACGCAAGGGCCCCGAGCCTCAGAGCCAGTCACTGAAACAGGCTGAGTCCCTCATCTGTGAGAAGGGCTCAAAGTGAGCTGTGGCAAGGTGCTTCTCAAATTGGAAGATGGATTGCTGGTTTCAATGGTGCGGGAGTCACATGGGTTAGGCTGTAGCTGCTCATGGTTATCTTTTCACCTCTTTGGGCTTCACGTTCCTAACATCTGTGTCCTAATCTCCCTGGACCTCACCAGGGGAGGCCGGTGCAGGCAGGCTTTCCAGGGAGCAGCACCAAGGTGTGTAGCGGGGAGGCTTGTATGGGGAGTGACGCCTGTGAACCAGACATGGAGACTGTGGGCTTGGGCAGAAGGAGCCTTCAGGACATTGGGCAACCTCTGGACACCTCTAAGCCCAGGGTGCTGGCGGGAATAGCTGGTCTGGGTGGGAAGGGGCAGGCCTGTGCCTCCGCCTGGCCTGGTCACTGGCCAGGGCTGCCCCAGGGAAAGCGGGCTGTGGCTCTAGCACTGAAGGCTGTCAGCGGCCATGCTCCTCACAGAGGGGCAGCCAGGATAGTGGGCTGCTTGTGGGACACGGGGCTGTGGTAGCAGAAGCTGCACACACTTGGTTGGTTCTTACCCTCAGGTAGGTTCAGGCAGGACTTCATCAGTCTGAAAATCTGCCTGTCAAGGATCCCTGGCAATTCCCTAGGGGCACCCCCCAGTGCGTGTGAGCACATTCACCAATGCCATCCTTTCCAGTGCTCCTCTCTGGTCCCGCCTGGGGGTCCCCCATGTCCAGCCAGGCATCTTCACTGGTCTAAGGTCCTTGTCCTGGCGGCCCCACTGACTCCCACTTGACCGGGGCATGCCGGTTCCCAAGGAGCTCCTTGACACAGGAGAAGAGCCCCAGGGCTGAGTGGCGAATCCTCTCTGGGTCTCTCTCACAACTCAGGCATGGCAGGGCTGTAGGCAGGCAGGGTGGGGAATGCACAGCCCCCAGCCAGGGAGCTCCTCATCATAGAGGTCCTCTTGCCCTCTGCCTGCAGGATCCTCGGGGGCAGCATCCCCAGCTCAGTCAACACAGCCAAGTCTGAATCCTGTGCAGATGCCAGCTGGTCTCTCTGCAGCCTTGGGAAGAAGGGGTCCATATACTGAACACCCACTGCCCATGTGTGTGCAGCTTGAACCCTTCATGGATCAAACACAGCATGGATGTGGGGCCCACAGATGCGGGTGGACAGACAGACAGACAGATGTGGGTGTGGCTGATGGCAGCTCTTCTGGGTGTTGGTAAGGGGCTTGGCAGTGTATCTGGACAGGGATGGGAGATGCATGAGCTTGGGTGGTGACTTGGGCTCCGTTGTGTCCCCTCAAAACTCATATGGTGGAATTCTAATCCCCAGGCCTCAGAATGTGACTATTTGGAGATAGAATCCTTAAAGACGTGGTTAAGTTAAAATGAGGTCACCAGGGGTGGGCCTGATCCTAGATGGCTGTGTGCTTATCAGAAGATTGGGACATGTACGCAGGAGACTCAGGAAGAGGGCAGCCACCCACAAGCCAAGGAGAGACCTCGGAAGAACCAGTCCTGCTGACAGCTGATCTGGGACTTCCAGGCTCCAGAACATGGGAAGTACATTTCCGTTGTCTAAGCCGCCTGGTCTGTGATGTTCGTTACGGCAGCCCTGGCAAAGCCACACAGGCAACTCCTCAAGAGGCCACTCTCCAGACGGGTGTGTTTTGGGTGTTTGGCCTCCTGGGGAGCTACTCGTACCTGAACTCTGACTCTGGCCTGTTGTGGACCAGCTCTGCCATCAGGCAAAGTACTGGTTCTCTGAGCCTCTGTTTCCCCATCTGTAGAGTGGGAAGGTTAAAACCCATATCCCCCTTGAGGGCTGTGGTGGGGCTTCAAAGGGAGAGCTTGTGATGGTGTCTGCTACACACTGGCAGTGCAGGGGCCCTCCAGACACACGGGCTGCCTTCCCTTTCTGGGACCAATCACCTTCCCCTCCAGAGAGAAGACCTGAGTTTCATCTTCCCAAGCTCAAAATATAATCTGATTGATTCTACCCAGCTGAGTGGTGGGGACCAAGAATCCCAATCAAGGGCAGTGGAGAGGGCGGGCAAGGCCTTCTCAGTCCCAGAACCTCACACCTGGAAAACTGGGAAGGCCACACCTCCATTTCCTTTGCAAACTAGCGGCCAGCAAAGCTAACTATGCCAGAAGGTGCGTGTGTGGAGTGGAGTGTGTAGCAGTTGAGACCACCAATCTGGGATTCGGGCGGAGCTGGAGCAAAGCTGAGATTTGTACCAGCTGTGTGACCTGGGACAATTTATTTCCTAACCTCTTTGAGCCTTGGCCTTCCATCTGGGACATGGGGATCACGAGGATACAGACCCCTGAGACCACCGTACAGATGAAGATGACATCATAGAATGCTCCATGATTGGCAGAACCCTCCCTCCGCACCATGCCCCTCTATCAGTGCCCCTCATCCTCAATGTGAGAATGGGCATGATGGGTCTGAAAAGGGAGAACCCCAGGCTGATTCTTCCTCTGCCAGCGCCCTACTGTCAAGATGATCTTCTCGGCCCATTAGAAACAAGGCCCTGCCTTACGTACCCTGCCATAGGCAATGCTCAACAGTGGCCATCTGAGTGACTGAAGGAGAGCGCTGTGGCCGCTCACTGATCCCCTTTAGGAAGGGAGACCATCGCCCAGGTGTGGGGGTCCTGGGGAGCACCTCCATCTCTCCCAAAGCTGACAGAGCTGCGTAGGCAGGAACCCGCCCCCACACAAGCACCACAGATATGTGCACATGGGGCCAGATGCAGCATTTGCAAAGTGTTGATGGAAGCCTGAGAACTGGAAGAGTGTCCCAGGAAGCTGGAAGAATGAATGAGTCTCCCTCAAGGTTGCTACTCTGGCCTGAGCAGCACCTCCCACCACAAACACATGCTCTTGGACTTGGGTGGTCTACGGCCTTGACCCCTTCCCTAGGCCCCTGCCCCTGCATTGAGGGCGCGGTGCCCATGGCCTTGGTTCTGCCCCTGCACTGTCTCCAGTGAGGTTGTGCACTTCTCCAGCTCTGCCCCCTTCCTCATCTTTGTTTCCCAAGGGCCCACTGTAGCCCTTGTACACAATAGGTGCTCAGCAATGCTTGTGAAACTGTCCTGGCATTCACAAGGGGGCATGGAATGCCTGCCCCGTGCATTGCACCTCTGGCTTTATTCCACAGTGATGCTGAGTGACTCAGAATGAACAAACCTGCAGATAACTAAATGAAAGCCCAAACCTCCCCTACAGCCTCTGATAGGCCTTGTCCAACCTCTTTTCAAATGCAGTCCTCTCCTAATTCATGTAGAAGGAGCAGAAGGAACCATACTTTTTCTGTGAGCAGTCGTGCTCTGTGGGTCTGATTTCTTGCCCACAGCTTGCACAATGCAGAGCACATGGTTCCCAGCCTCATCTAGACCACCATCCCGGAAAGGATGGCAAGGCTGCTGGTGATGCCTGTGCCCCACCCGGTTAGACCCTGGTCCTCGCCCACAGCGGAGTAGCTGGGAAGGAGGCTCACCCACCACCCAGGAGACTTGAGTCCCCACCTACCATGACCTGGCTGACTTGGGCTCATTCCTCTCCTGTGGGGCCTGTCTCTGTCCTCTGTGGATAAGACCCACAGCCCTTTCTGGATCAGAGGATTTCTGGGACTCAGTGACTGAGCGGCCCTGAAAGCTTTCTCTACAAAGCCCCAGGCCACCTCCAGTGGGAGGCAGTGGCCATTTCACTGCTCCTGTTTGATGGGAATCAGCACACTGCTGGTGAAGGCAGGTGGAAGTGTGCACCAGGCAGCTGAAGTGATGTTCGACTCCACAGGCTTCTTGCAGGGCTCAGAGGAGGGGGTGGCTCCCTTGTTCCCTTTCTCCACTTTCCCTTCCTCTCTTCAGCTAAACTATGATAGGGGTGTTCAGGGAAGTCCTTTCATAGGTCTGTGAGTGGATTCCAAGCTTACTTGGCAGGTTCCATCTGGATGGTGACTAATTCAGAGCCACTTTTCAAAATGTGAATGTTTGTGTTGTGAGTAACCAACCCGGGTGGAATAGTGCAGGGATTCTCAGCATTGCTGAGGTTTGGGGTCAGCTAGCTCTCTTTGTGGGGGTTGTCCTGGGCATTGTAGGATGTTGAGCAGCATCCCTGACTCTATCCATAAGAGGGGTAGTTGTGATAACCAAAAATGTCTCCCCAAACATTCACAAGTATCTCCCAGGAGTGGGTACAAAGCTGACACCGGTTGCTGATTCTATTTGCTGTCAGACCTCTGTTATCCCCGAGCATGGATGGCTCACCCAGGCCCCCGGCTGCATATTCTCCAGGCCTTTGCCTTCCACGTCAACCACTGCAGTCACCACTTTCTTGTGAACTGGACTCAGATGAAGCCTTGGGGTGGGGGTTGTGGGGAGGTCCCTTTCATGCCTGAAAGGCTGCACCTGCTCCGGGGGAAGCCACACATCAGGGCAGGGCATTTGGAAGAAGCCTGACATCCCCAGCTTCTCTCCTGGTGCAAATCATCCTGGTACCACATACTCCCCAAAGGGGATGCTCAGTGCAGGGGTGAACACAGCCTGCACTGAGACCCTCTTTGCTGGGGTCTCAGCGGGACGAGACTCAGGGAGTGCTGTGGCCATCTTGCAACCGTGATTATGGGGCACTGGCCTCACTGCTCCTTGGCTGAGCCCAAATCCGGGTTTGTCACCCGGGGGTGTTGAGGGAAACAGCCTTTTGAGTTCCATTTCAGATGTGGCACAGGACTGCTGAGAATATGAAACAGACCAGTTTGCAATGCACTCTTCAAATTTAAGATATGTATTATTTTTAAAGCACCTATTGTTTGAGAATCTACAAACGCCAGATGGAGAGTTGGTTTAGAATACCTGAAGAGCTGGATTCTTCTCTGGGAGTAATAACAAAGCTTTACATTTAATTCCTTCCCATTATTCCATTATGGACTAAAAAGAAGGGCAAGTGAGCCTCATCTCTTTTCTACGTTAAAGACTGTGGTGGGATAGTGACCATCCCTTGTCGCTAATGACAGAAGGACATCTTGAGAGAATAATGGAAGAGTCGCTCGCTGTGCTAAGCAGGAGAGGTCTCCCAGCTCCTCAGCAGCCCTTCCGCCAATTCAGCCCTCAGCAAGTCGGGGCCCACCTTAGCAGATTCTTCCTACTTAGCAGGAACACTTCATCAGCCAGTTCAGTAGAAAAATAGATGATGCTTAAAATGTGCCAACTCTATCCAGGGAATGAAGACATTAGCTCAGGTGACTTAGGGGAACTGGGACCATCTTGTTCCACCTGCAAATCTTGAATGGTTTAATAAAATAATTGGAACCCAAATATGGATGCTCTGGCATATATAGACAACAGATTCAAATCATTGTCCATTTTTTGGCTGTGTCATAAGTTGGACTCTGGTGTCCTGAGGTGTCATAAGCAAAGGCTGATCAGAATGGAGAGCGCTGGCTTGGAGCTGGGGGAAGTGGTGCAGATACCGTGATTTTGTGTCACCTCTCTCTTTCTTAAATATCTTATTTCTATCTCTGTCTATGTATATTCAAATTTGCCCCCAGTGACCTGGTTTCAGTAAAAAGCAAAGTGCAATCCCCTAGACACAGTAGGAGGTGCAGGGGATAAGCCCTCCAGGACCTATCTGGCACCTCCCAGAGCACCTCATTTTCACTCAGCCTTTACTGACTGAGTGTAGGCCCAGTTGTTGAATTCTCTCTGTCCTGGGCAAGCGCAGCCCTGGGCTCATTCTGTGCTGGAGCAAAGGGCATGCGGGTGACGGAGGAGATTGACGACATGCTCAGCTAAGGGGACACTTGTCTCGTAGTCTGCAGCCCAGATCCACCATGTTTGCCCCTGCATTGCTGGGGCAGGGGCAGTGGCACTGAGAAGCCAGGCCTGATGCCAGGGCAGCCACAGCACTTGTCCTGGATTGGAGCAGAGGCAGAAATCTCAAGAACAGGTCAAGGCAACTATTCAGATCTAATGTGGGAACTGTGTGCCTGTGGCTCCTTGTTGTGATATTTGAACACAACATGGTGACTGTAGACACACATTAGGCAATTGAGTTGCCTGCAATGAAAGTCAGAAAGGACCTTGGTCAGAATCAGGACAAAGACATTGTCCTTGTCGCTCCTAACTAATGGCTTTAGGGCCGTGATGGGAAGGCCCGGCAGTGGATGCTCCAGCTGTGCTGGAGTGTGTGAGCGAGCAAGCAAGCCTGCCCTGAGAGCCCTGGGAAAGAGCCTGCCTTGGGAGCCCTGCACACCAGCCCACCCTGGGACCCCACCCTGGGAGCTCTGTGCACTAGCCCACCCTGGGAGCCCTGTACAAGAGCCTACCCTGGGACCCCACCCTGGGAGCCCTGGGCACGGGTCCTCCCTGGGACCACCCCCCCTCCCGGGAGCCCTGGGCATGAGCCCACCCTGGGAGCCCTGGGTACGAGCCTGCTCTGGGAGCTGAGCACAGGTCTCGTGGATTCAGCTCTTCACATTCCTCATTCTCTCCTGTGGAGCTGCCAGCATGTGCAGCCATAGGCACTGTGGTGGGTCTGTGGCCTCTGCTGGACAGAAGTGACCAGAGACAGCTGTCAACAGTGCCTAGAGGCCCTTCAGGCTACCCTCAGACCAACGTGAGAGGCTCACGGTGGGCATCCTGGAGCGGGTGTGGGTCTGTGTCCCCAGTGTGAAGGCCAGGACTCAACCTTTCCTGCACGCTGCTGTCCTTGGGCCTTTAAAGGTTTCCTGAAAAAAGCTGTCCTACCCCATGGGCCTTCAAAACCAAATCAAACCACACCAAAACGAAACAAAACAAACAAAACACACCAAACACCATCAGCAGGAGCAGCAACAAAACCCAAAGGATTGAGCCCTTGGCCTTTCTCCTGGAGTAGAGGCTGGTTTCCCACTTTTCAGCTCAAGAAAATACAGGTTTCCCCACAGCATGAATCGCCCCTCTCCTGTTGTTTGGGTTTGGAAAGCCAAGCCCGGCCCCACCCACTGGGAATGTCTCTAGTCTGGTGCTTCTGCGTGGAGTCATCCACATTCACACCCGTCTGCTTCTTTTCCACCAGGTAGGTTTGGGCAAATCCTTAGAGCCCTCAGGGTCTTCCCCCGCCCAGGGGGGTCATCCCATTATGCATACCTGCCTGGAGCTCCATCCCAGCCACCCCCATCCCCTTGTGCATGGGGCAGCTGTACTCAACCTTCTCATTTCCCACCCTGTTCTGATGCCCCATGCCATGCCCGTCCCTCACTCCTGTGGGAAAGTGAAGCCACCCCTGTGGTCCTGAGTCCCGCTGCACCTTAAATGCAGGGTCAGCAGCTCCTGCCCCTTCTTCCTCTCCCCACAGGGAGCTTTGACTCTTTCCTGTGAGGCTCAGGCAGTTGACAAATTCATTACTCAATGGACATGCTTGTTTGGCAGGGAGCCCTCAGTCTGAAGACCTCCTTTGTCTTGGTCTAGCATCCACCATTACTTTCAAAGATGAGCAGAATATTCAGACAAGAGCCTCAGGGGAGTGAAACCCCCACCCCTTGGACAGCCAAGCTCACTCTGAAGAGCAGGGAGGAACTTCCAGGAGGTCACGGGGGTGGGGACAGCACAGCCACCGCCTGATGCAATTGATCCCAGTGTTATCAGCACAAAGTAGCGCATGGAGGCATCCCTAGGTAGGAGATGGGACGGCTGTGATTTCCAAGGGTTCAGCCTCAGCTCAGGCTATAAAGGGACAGTTAATGGCTTATTGGCAAATTGGATCAACAGATGTCAGCACTGATGGCAACTAATGCAGGTGGACTTTGAGGGAAAGAGGGAAGCACAAAAATGTCCTCATAAGGACAGGCATTTCAGCCCATCCACTAGGAGCCTCTAAGGGATGCTATGAAACCTCAGGGGTCAGATCCTGAACTTAGGTCACGGCTCTGGAGGGTGGCTTTGGCCATGGCCTCCGTGCACGCTCCACTTGACATTGGTATCCAGGGCATGGGAGTGGCGATTGGCAAGCAGGAAGATTGCTCCGCTGGTCATTTTAAACCCAGAGGCTGCTGCAGAGGGCAGGGCCACTTGCAGAGCTGGCTGAGTTTGAGGGAAGCCCTGTCCCAGCTCTGGAGGGGCTGGTCCTGGTGTCAGGGGGCCTGGTTCCTGGTTAGCTGTGTGGCCTGTCTGTGGCAGCTGCAGATGGCATGGTGACCAATGATGGGTCCTCCCCCACCATGTTCTCCTCAGAACCCACTGTAGTTCCCTGGGAATAGCTGGGGTATGACATCTGGTCAAGTCATTTGGGACACTTGCTGAAGTTGGGGATGCCTGGGGAGGCGGGGGTACCTGGGGAGGTAGGGATGCCTGCGGAGGTAGGGACGCCTGGGGAGGCGGGGGTACCTGGGGAGGTGGGGGTACCCGGGGAGGCGGGTATTCCTGGGGAGGAGGGGTACCTGGGGAGGCAGGGGTACCTGGGGAGGCGGGGATGCCTGGGGACGTGGGGGTACCTGGGGAGGTGGTGATGCCTGGGGAGGTGGGGGCACCTGGGATATGAGGATGCCTGGGGAGGTGGGGGGATGCCTCGGAAGGCAGGGACACCTGGGGAGGAGGTGGGGACACCTCCCTCCTGGGACTATTGGGAGGATGAGGCGAGGTCATGTGTTCCTGGCATAGCTGTGCTTAGTGGATGCCACGTGGGCCTAACAGCAATGATGCAGGTTTAGGGAGGTGCAGGTCGCTCCGGCACACTCGGAAGATGGCTCAGCTGACAGCAGTCACTAACACAACCACCAAAGATGACCTTCAGTCACTTTCCCTGCCGCCAAGGCCAAGCCAGTCGCAGGGCTGTCACACACTGTGCCTAGCTGCCAGGTGAGCTGCTCGGCCCCATGGCTGCCTTCAGCTGGCCCTGTTCCTTGTGCCCACCTAGGACCATTTACACCCATAGGTAAAGCCTTTGAGAAAGACTTGGCAGAGCTTGACAACTTAGGGCCAAGCCCCTGGGAACTGAGGCTTTTCCATCTGGAAATACAGAGGCTGGAATAAGATGGGCAGTTGATCTAGCAGAGGTAAAGTACCTGGCACTGAGGGCCTGGCTTAGGGTGACTGTGACAGTATAGACAGAAATGATGGGTGTGGATATACAGACAGGTTCTACTTCTTTACCACATCCAAAGGTATGCACCTTTGGGGAGCCTTTGAACTTAAAGTGGATCATTTCAGGACAAGTGCAAAGAAGCCCATTTGACACAATGACTTGTGATAAATGAACCCTGAGAGATGGAGGGACATTGACCAGCCATGGGACAGCCAGCCAAGGACATGATAGTAACCATGACCACCTGCTCCTGCCAGGCGTGATGGTCTGTGCCTCGTGCCTTCCCCAGCAACCCCACAAAATGGGCCTTATTGATTAGCCTCTCCAAGAGACGAAGCTCAAAATGGGCCTTATTGATTATCCTCTCCTAGAGACGAAGCTCAGAGAGGTGTAGACCTTTTTTTTTTTTTTTTTTTTTTTGATGGAGTCTTGCTCTGTCTGGCCCAGGCTGGAGTGCAGTGCCACAATCTCGGCTCACTATAACCTCCGCCTCCTGGGTTCAAGTGATACTCCTGCCTCAGCCTCCCGAGTAGCTGGGATTACAGGTGCCCACCACCATGCCTGGCTAATTTGTTGCATATTTAGTAGAGACAGGGATTTCACCATGCTGGTCAGGCTGGTTTCAAATTCCTGACCTCGTGATCCACCCTCCTCGGCATCCGAAAGTGCTGGGATTACAGGTGTGAGCCACTGTGCCCTACTGAGGTGTAAACCTTTACCCAAGATCACACAGCTAGAAAGTAGCACAGCTGGATTCAAATCCAGGTTGGTTTGAACCTAAACCTATGCCCTCCATGGCCAGTGACTCTAACTCCTACAGGGGTGTTGGCTGGCTTCCTTATCTACTTCTTAGGGTTAACATCCTACAGTGTTTGTGAACCACCCAGTAGAGACAAATGCTAGATGGATCTCAAATTTGACCCGAGAAGACAGTGCTAATAATTTTCAGAATATTAAATGTTCAAGGTCAAGGAGGAGAGTTTCAGGCAGAAGGATCAAACACAGAGACCTTAGTCCAGGGCAGTGGTTCTCAACCTTGGCTTCACGTTGCAGTTACAAGGCCACATCCTGACCCATCAAGTCAGCCTGGGGCTGACCCAGGCCTCAGGAATTTGCGAAGTGCTGCCGGTGGAGCCACCGTCCTGGAGAGGGGGTCTCTGTGTCCACTGAGGGGATTAGGACGATCATATTTACTGGTGGAAATTGAAGCGGCAGGGACTTTGGTTCTCCTTGAGACCCCCCTACTATTTCAGCAGTGGAGGCCTGGGTGGCTCTGCAGTTCCTTAAACCACAAGGGGAAAGTATAAATGAAACCCAACGACAGCTATTCATCAGAAAGAAAAGTCTTAAGCGAAAAAGCTAAAAGATAATTTTTTGTTAAGTAATGAACACTCGTAAAACAGCAATGAAATGGTATTAAAATGTCTGTGATTACTTATTTCTCAGCATTCATCTGGTAACTTAAGCAGCATGAAGCAAGAGTTGCACTTTAAAAAATGACAAGAAAATAGCTATTCATTTAGTCGACAGAGTAAGGCCCATCTCATTTCCAGGATCACTAGTTTCTGCTTATGACGGGGTGAGCATCCGCCAGCGCGGTGATTGGGAGGCGCCCCTGTGTCTTTAGGCTGAGGCAGTGCCCATAGCTGCAGTGCCTCGAGTTTCCGGAGCAACCGCGGGGCTCTTTCTTGAGGAGTCTTGGGAGGGGCGGTGGCCTGCCTCCCCATCCTAGATCAGCGAGGTCCCAAGAGTGCGTATTGCTGCGGGGTAGCTGTGGAGTGTAGACACGTTCCGGAGGTGGCTTGACATCCTGAGGCTGGGGTGGTGTGAAGGGAAAGAAAGAGGGGCAGGTCCCGGGCTTTGCTGGCTCTGCTTCTCAGGGTCAGGCCAATGGGTCTGCAGAGCAGTGCAGCGGGGCTCCTGCCAGCCGTGGTGTTGCCTCTTTCTTCCCAGCCCCATTCTCGTCTTGCAGGGAAGGCGTGTGGACTCCGGGGGGCACAAAGGACTCCAGCAGGGCCACAGACAGAAGAGTGATGTGTCCCTTGTCCTCTGCCTATTGCACCGTATTCCATAAAAAATAAACACTTTTTTGGACTGTTTGTATATTGCTAATGCGGTGGCACTCTGGGCACTGGCAGGCTGCAGAGAGCCGCGTTGCCATTCATCCACCAGAATCCATCCAGAGACAGCCTTGCGGGCTGGGATCTTTGGAGCTTTCCTTTGGAAGGATTAGCAGTGCCCGTCTGTCTGGTGCTCTACACAGTGCTGTGAACATGAAATTAAAGGATAAAAACAAAATAAATCCATGGGTAGGAAATCCCAGGGCTTCGTGGCATCATTTGGCAATCATTTGTACTGTACAGCATCATGCGGTATGCCTGCTTCCTCCACGTCCACACAGACCTGGCCCCGGGTGCTCCCCCTCCATTCGCAGGAAGCTCACAGGTGGTTGTTCTTGGAGAGGTAGGCGATGAGGGCCACGGCCACGCCCACATAGACGCCAGTCCCAATGGTGATGGACAGCACTGCCAGGAATAGGGCCCGCCGGGAGCTGGTGCTGGCCTGGTGCAAGTCCCCCTTGGCCACGGCTTTGTTGGTCTGCAGAGTTGGAGAAGAAAAAGGAAGTCATTGTAAGCAAGTCGGAACAAGCAGTGAGTGGAGGGCTCATCTACGGCTCCTGATTCAGAAAAAGGCATTGTTGATGCAGAGAAGGCTGAGGGGGAAACTGTGCTCACCCCTGCTATGACCAGGGCAGTTCTTTAACTGCAAGAAACAAATGTGGGGCTGGGGCCTGCTGCTGCTCCCCCACACCGCAGGGAAGACAGACTTCTTTTCTACTTGGCCCCAAGGGAATAAGAGAAGGCTGGAAGTAGCCCAACTGAGTTCCATCAGTGTGGGGTCTGGGATCTCCAGCACGAGTACTGAGGGATGGGCTAGATAAGACTCCTCTAGTGCTGCTCTTTCTACCCAAGAATGGTGTGCTTGTTTATTTGAATAACTCGTAATTTTCTAAAGCATATTTCTATCTATCTTATTGAATCTCTGCTACCCACTGGAGGTGTGCGGAAGGCAATGACAGTTCCCATTTCCCCGAGAGAAACTCCGGCATAAGATCATGAAAACCACTGGAGGACACCTGAAACCTTCCTCCTCAGCTGCCTCACCTGCTGTGGCCATGAGTCATTCACTTCCTGACCGTCCCCACCCTGGACATGGTTGGCGTTAGTAAAATTCATCCATCAATAAAATCATTTGATACAAAACTAACACCTATATTCCTGAGTGCTCAATGACATGACCAGGTGTTGGTGTAATCAAATTCATGATTCTTGGGGTCACGAGGAGATGGAAACATGGAGGTTTTGGAGGCCACCATGGAGGGATCACCGGAGTAAAATGGCTCATTTGGCAGATGGGGTGAGATGCTACCAAAGCACTGAGCCACGGGAGCCCACGTGATGCTGAGGAGGGTTGACTCCCAAGCCACCCGCGGGCCCCCTGTGGTCAGGACTACCCTGGCAGAATGTCCTAGCTCGTTCTCATGGCCGTCTCCAGAAAGCCAGATTTCTACCGGGTCCCATTTCCACCTAAGGTCAGTGACATTACTAGGTTTTATAGGTGAGTATGGGAGTCGGCATGTCATTCACTCAAACACACCAGCTAAAACACACCAACACCTCTGCAGTGGACCAGAAAGGCTCACACTCAGAGATGGCTCATGACGTGAACCTGCATCTTCCATGGTCTCTGAGCTCTGGAAGTCTGTGTCGTGTGGGGAAGGGATGCCTGCCGCTGCTTGGCTTCCTTCTCGCTCCTCTAACTTTCGGATCTTAAAAGCTAGTTTTTATTTTTTTCCTCCCCAACTTTTTGTCTTGGAACTGAGCTTCAGAGCTCACTATGGACAATTCTGGAGGGAGCAGAGATAAAGGGATGCAAAATGGGAAGCCTCCTAGGACAATGAATGAATAAATGAATGAATGAATGAAGTCGTGGTGAGCCAAGTCTGTTTCATGCAGCAGTGCTCCCACACACGCCCACATCTTCGAACACAATTTCCTGTAATTGCCTTTCCTTAGCGCTAACTGAAAGAGTCATTGCTCATTAGGGTCATGGCTTTGTGTCCCCGCCATGATCACCAGCCTTAGTGCCATCCCCAGGGCTATGCAAAGGGGTGCAGAGAGGAAGGTGGAGCTGCTACAGCTGACTGGGCACCTGCCAGCAGCATTCATTCCCTGACCCCTGTGGGAACACCCATGCCGGGCTTCCCGAGCTCATGAGGGCTCACACATCTGAGTACCCACTTGCGGAATAGTTGCCTTCCTGCTCACTTGTAAGCTCCCCAAGGCAGAGCCCATGTCTCTCTTGTGTGTTGTGGTCTCCCTGGGGCCTGGGCTGGGCTCTGGGGGGACAGGAGGAATGCGATACTTCTCTAACTGGGGCACAGTTCCAGTCTCTCTGGTGGTGTTGAGGAGGAAGGCAGTGGCACGGGGCTGACTCTTGACCTCAGTTCTGGCCCAACTCTGCAGGTTCTGCATATAGACGCACCAGAGCTCTCATGCTCAAGCTGGTGTGTCTGCTTGAGAATCACATTTGCTCTTTATTCTCATTCTCCACGCTGGGGGACCTTGATACGCCGGTTTATATGTTTGGCTCTAACAAGAAACCTAGGGAATGTGGTGTGTTAGGGGCCTGATCGCTGGAGATATGTCAGAAACAGCAAACAGATGCAGCCTTAGCAAGCAGGCTGCCTTCAGCAACGTCACTCGGCATCTGCGTGTCATAGAAGCCAGAGTTTCTGCAGTGCCCACTCCTGCAAGGCAGAGACGTCATTTACATACACAAAACACACAACGTGGTCTAATGAAGGTGATTTACCTGATATGAACCTTTTGTCTCAGAAAATGGATAACTGTGGCTGTGAAACAGCTTGCTCATTCCTTTGGCAGGGTGCAAATGGGAAGACACGTTTCCATCCTGACAGCTGCTGGACGAAAGCTCCTGGCTCTTTGACAAGATTTTTGGTGTGCATGAGGGCAGGGCAAACTGTCTTGAGTCCAAGAGTCTCTGAGCTGAAGGCAAGGCTTTGTGTGTAGGTGCAAAAAAGTTTGTCAAGATTGTTATTTCTTGTGGCTGGTTTTCCTTCCCTGTCTTTTGCCAACAGGTTGCAAGTGAAGTTTGTGACTTTATTGGCCTTTCATTGGAAAATAAGTGCAGGCGGTTAGAAAGTGCAGGTGACTGGCGAAGCCCCAAGCAGTGCCCAGTGCCTGCACCTTGTGCCAGCGGTGGGCTGGGGGTAGGGGCTCAGCAGGACCCAAAGACACTATTTCTGCACTGTAAGGGCTCTTCAGAGAAAGCGTTTCAGCTCACAGCAGAGGCACAGCCTTAACAGCCCAGGGCACAAGGACTCATCATTGAGAACGCAGGAAGCAGCTGGGCTCCATCGGCAGGGCTGGCTGCAGGGCATCAGACGTAGCCCCCAAGGGAGATGTCCTGCAACCTGAAACCCACCAGGCACTGAGCTCCTGCACAGCCCACACTGGAACATGATTTGTGCACTGCGGTTCTGGAATTAAAAGACCTGCTTTCTCTTCCCTAGTTGCAAAGATATGTAGAAGACCCGATTTTTAAATTGAAGAGTAAAAGTAAACTTGCGCCATAGCAATGACAGCTATGGAAGCACCCCCTTCCTGTCCCTCAAGTGCAGCGCTGTTCACACTGAGGAAATAAAAGTTACACAAGCAGAGGACGGACAGCCAGAACAAACGTGCTTTAGCTGAAGTTGTCACCGTTAGAACTGAGGTCCAGCCACCTCGTACCACCGCTGGGTCACACCTCCTTAGGTTGAATGGTCACTATCAAGTGGCCAAGTCAAAGGAACTGGCTGTCAAAGGACCGAGAGCTGTTGATCCACATGTAAAGGTCATGCTGGTCATGGCTTCGTGATGAGAAATGACCAGTTTGTGGAGGGACAAAGTCAATTTGCATTCCATGGGTGGTAGTGTTTAATGCTGAAACCCACCAGCAATTCTCTCTGGTGGAACCCCCCACCCTGCCCATTGGTCACATTTTGGGGAATGGTTCTATCTGAAGGGAGTGGCTTCTTGTGAAGGTGGCAGAGAGGTCTGGGAGTGGGTTCTAGGCCCTGCTTCCTTCTGACGCTCCTGGTGGATCCAGGTCTTGCTCTAGTTGGGGGAGTGGCCAGGCTGCCCTTGCCCAGTCCCCTCGTGTCTCCCCTTCTCATGCCCACCTGAGGTCCCTGGTTTATCCAATAATGTATCTTGGCATATGCTGGCATGCTGAAGGCCAGTCCCTCCCTCCCTCCTCCCTCCCTCCTCCCTTCCTTACTTTTTATTCCCATCTCCCTCCTCCCTCCCTCCTTCCTCTCTTTTTTCCTCCCTCCCTCCTTCCTCCTTTTTTCCTCCCTCCCTCCTTCCTCCCTCTTCCCTCCCTCCCTTCTTCCTCCCTCTTCCCTCCCTCCTTCCTACTTCCTCCCTCTTTCCTCCTTCCTTCCTCCCTCCTTCCTAACTCCTCCTTCTTTCCTACCTCCTCCCTCTTTCCTCCCTCCCTCTTCCCTCGGTTTTCCCTCCCTCCTCTCTCCCTCCTTCCTCCCCCTCTCTTCCCTCCCTCCCCTTTCCTCCCTCCCTCCTTCTTTCTTCTGCTCACTTGCTCTGTAACAGAAGGTCCAGCTGGAAGCTCCATCCCAGGCTCCACATCACAAGAGACACACCCTAGGATGGTGACGGGGACCTCCCCGCCCCCACCCCCAGCAGCCTTTGCCTATTTTCTAAACAAGAGAGCAGAACAAATTTAGATGCCTCAAGGCCTGTGCCTCCACAAATGGTTTGGAGGCTGAGAAGCATTTTGAAGGACTGACGGTGTGCTGAGCCTGGGTCCCATCCACAGAAGGAAGGCATTTGCTTTTCACTCAGGCTGTGGGGGTGCAGCTGCCATGGGACCCTGCTGGCTCCATGCATGTCCAGCACTGCGGGCGGGTGACCAGCCGGTTCCTACCTGGAGACTCTGAAAGGCAAGCGGCTGACCGGCCCCCTCAGGGGTGGGGCCAGGAGGGTGCTGCTCTGTGGAGATGACCAGCCCCTGGCTGGGCAGGGAACAAAGGCCTAGGTGTTCTCCAGGGACCAGACATGGTCTTGGGTCCTATCCAGTAGAGCCCAGCTGAGGGGCAAGTGGATGGACACACAGGGCCTGTGCCAGCAGGCTGAAGCTGGGGATGCGAAGGTGAGCGTGGGCCTGAGAAGAACCTGCCAAGTGCCCAGATGAGAAAGCAAGCCGTGTACGAGAGCACAAGCCTCCTGTGACAATGTGAGTTTGGGGTGGCTGTGACATCTCTGTCTCCTATCTGCTCCTGCCAACCGCACCTTGTCCACAGGGGCAGACACTGTGGCTGACGAGTGGGGAGGAGGAGGGGAAGAGAGGAGGCCCTTCCTCCTGAGGCCAGGCCTGCTGTGTGTGCAGCCATGCCCAACCCATGCTTAGAACATGCTGTACATGGACCCTCCAGCAAGGCCAAGAGGCAACAGGAAGTGTCACAGACAATGTGGAAAAACCAAAATTCCCCTGCACTCCTGGTGGGATACAAATTGGTACCACCACTTGGGGAAATGGTCAGCATTTCTTATAGCTGAACATATAGATACATCACGCAACAACAATTCCACTCCCGTAAATGAGTGGACATTTATTTGTGTAAATACCCAATAAGAATTATTCATGTATTCACAAAACACATCTGTAGGAATGTTCAAAGGAATCTGACTCATGGTTGCCCTGACCTGGAAGCCCTCTGAGTGCCAGCGATAGAAGGGCAAGCCGTCATGACACCCAGATAGTCATGGAATAAATTTCAGAGACACAGTGATGAACAAACGAAGCCGGACTCGGCATCCTATTATCTACAGCACAAAACAGGCCCAAGTTGCCTCTGCTGTTGGCATGGAAACAGGTTCATGGATACTTCTGGGAAGGAACGGTAACTGGAAGAAAGCATAGTTGAAAAAAAACTACCTTACTTTAGAAATGAATTCTATCAATAATTAAATGAACAGATAAGAACCATCTACAGAGAATAGAGAAACTCATTTTATAAAACTTGTAAAATCTTGATGCCAAAACCAGAGAAGAAAAGTCAGAGAAAGGGAATTGAGAGGCTGACTTCATCTCTGAACACAGATGCAAACGTAATTACGTTGACAAGGCAGCACCTGTCAAGGGCAGGTATTGCCCGGCTCCCTCTCCAGGCCTCTCCCCACCTCTCCCTGATTTTGCCTTCTCTCTGGTTGTATTTGCAGTGGCCGTTTCATCACCCGTCACTGTTTTAACACTATTCATCTTCCGGGCCACAGCTTCTCCATGGTACCTTCCCAGCGGCCTTGCCAGCCAGCTGCTAAGGGAAAGGCTCCTGTCTGGGCCCTTGTGTCTCCACCCAGCACTCAGGATGCTGCAGCATTGATGCTAGCCTCTTTGCTGAATGCAGGACACATCACCCACACCTGGCAGTGCCCAGACAGGGCCCAGGGAGTGTCATTCATGACCACACGATGATGAGGACGGCAGACTTTCCCCCTACCGTGTTTCCAAGGGTAACTCATGCTCTCCAGAAACATTTCCACGATGGGCAGAACCCCATGCAGGCAGGCCCCAAATCATGGCCGGTAGTCACTGGCTTTATGCAATCCACAAGCTATTAAGGAAGATAGAAATCAGGCGAATCCAGAAAGGAATGAGTTATGTCCAGTGCTTCTTTCTGTGGCCAGTGACACCTATTAAAGGGAAGCCCTGTGGGCTCAACAGGGCACAGGGAGGACTTGGCTCCAGTTCGGGCAGTATGCCACGCTCAGCAGTACAGAACGGGAGGGATTGGCAGCTCCCTGGGTAACCCAGGAAAGGAGGGGGGTGAGAGGAGTTGGAGACCGGGCAGCAGCTGGGGAGGGAAGGTCCACATCAGAGCCGTGCAGAAGCTCCTGGGGATGGAGATGCTGCTCGGCTGTGCCACTTGCTGCGTCTACATGGCACTTGGGGCATGGCTCATGTGACTGCAGAACCGAATTTTAATATTATTTAATTTTAACTAATTTAAAAGTAAACAGCCACCCATGGCTGGGGGTCCCACACTGGACAGCATGGATCTGGGAGAAAACGAGGCAGACGACCCCGCTGGGAGAAGAGCCTGTGGTGAACGCCTGAAACGAAGCTCTGGGCGTTGCCGGGCTGTGCACTTTGTGGGCTTTCCCAGGCCCCTGGGAAACAGGCTCCACACCCACATGCCTCGTGGGAATCTATTTCACATTCAGTGAATCGCCGGGGGGTGGGGGTGGGGGGTCATACTCCACACGGTTCGATGTCAGGGTGGAGATAATGAAACGGCTGCAAGATGAAGGACACAGGGGTGACCGTGGGAGGGGGAAGCCCCTCGAAACCTGCAGGTCACTGGGGAAGGGCTTTCACCCCCCAGGGTACGGCCAGAGCGCCTGTCCACTTCAGGGGTCCACGGCCTGCAGCTCCTGTGTGGAATCTGTCACGGGGAGGAGCACCGGCCATCAGGGACCCAGTTCTCAGTGACCCCGAGGCAGAGTCCACTCCACCGAGCTCCAGTCCCCTGCCGCGTCACTACCTGCCTTTCCCCGAGACACCCTGGAGATGTCTGAAGTGCTGGGCTCTGGGCTGTCTCAGACAGGCCAGGACCCACAGGCTGCCATTTCTCTTCGCTCTTCATGGAGTTTCCAATGAGCTTTTGCTTGTCCTTTGGCTGGAAAATACCCACTGTCGTTTGAGGTTTTGGAAAAATCATGACGTTTTCTGAGGTCTACCCCGGCTGCATTGTTTCTCCTGCAGTCAGTTTTTAGGGGCAAGGTCGCTGTTTCCACAGTCCCCGTCATCCATGGACCGGGGCCAGCACAGCTGGGGGTCCTCAGCAGTTATGCCCTCGCCAGACACCTGCCTCCCGAGATCTGGGACAGGCTTCCGCAAGACACTGGCTGCCTCCCGAACTATTTATCTGGAAATGTATTCCACCATGGGTGTTTTATGGTTCATTTTCTTTCCAGTACCGATACCTGTCTGGCTGGATTACATTTCTTTGCATTATTGTAAAGGTTATTTCCATTATTTATCATCATCTAATGTTTGCTGTGCACTGACAAGGTACTGAGAGCTGTACTCGACAAAGAGGCAGGCTCAATATTCTTAATGATAGTAAGAGAAGCTGAACAGCAACTATAGGAACGGGAGGCTTCTCAGGCAAAGGGTCTCACACGCAGACCCCCCAACACACGTTTGTTGCCTGCATGTATTTAGGCCCAGGTCTATTTTTATGACCCCTGCCTTTTTAACAACCCTTATATTTTAAGCCATTAAAAAAAATAAATCTTCTGATGTTAGTTAGGTCTAAATGGCAGGGAGGAGATGGACTGTGAAACCAAATGTACAGACTGTGTTGGTTACAACCCAACTCAAACACCAGAGGAAGGCTAGGTCACCGCCTGGGTGCTGGCGCCGATCCCCTCCGCCTCCTGCTGGTCTGAATCACTACATCCAAGGGAGGGGACTTCCTCCCAGGGAGGCTTCTTGAGTGTCCTTGTCCTCAAGGCCAGCCCCTTCTGTGGATCTCAATTTACAGACATCACCATATAACAACATCGTAAACATACACGGGAACTGCGGCTGCTGCACCAGGCTGCTGCTGGACCGGGCAGCTGCTATCATTTACTCCATTTGCTGGCTGTGTTTGGCCCTCCTTGCAATGCTATAAAGGAATACCTGAGGCCGAGTAACTTTATAAAGAAAAGAGATTTAAGTAGCTCATCCTTCTGGAGGCTGTACAGGAAACATGGCGCCAGCATCTACTCGGCTTCCGGGGAGGCCTCAGGGACTTTTCACTCATGGAGGAAGTAAAAACAGGAGCAAGCCTGTGACAGGGCCAGAGCAGGGGTGTGAGAACAAGGGATAGGAGGGGCCACACACTTTTACTCAACCAGATCTCAGAGCACTCAATGTCTTGAGGACAGCACCAAGCCATGAGGGATCCGTCCGCAGGACCCAAACACTTCCCACCAGGCCCCAACTCCAACACTGGGGGTTACATCTCAATATGAGATTCGGAGGGGATAAACATCTGGCCCTGGCCAGGGAGAAGCCAGCCTTGGTTTCTCACAGATTCAGGCTTAGCTTGCCTGAGAGGGAGGGGGCTGCGGGGCTGGCACTGCTCAAGTGCGAGCACGCAGAGCTCAGGAGGAAGCGAAGCAGAGATGGGAGCCCCTGAGGAGGGCGAGGCGCACTTGTGATCTGGTCCAGGAAGTGGATTTCTGTGTCTGGGTGGCTTCAGCTCGGTCCTGCATCCTGGTGCCCTCTGAATGCTAATGGGGCTGCCCACGGTGCTTCACCTTCCTCCAGGTGAGTAGCTGGGTCCACCCCAGCAGCCCACCTTCTGCAAACGCCTCCTGGCCCTCCTCACCAGTGCCCCTCAGCACGCCTGCTTTCCTCAGGGCACCACGGGGTCCAGCATGCAGGCCGTTTAGGAACAGGAAGGATCCTAAAATCATGAGATATTCTATTATTAAATCAGAATTACGGCTAGAATCAGTGGGACTGACAACTGTCACTCTCCTTATTCGTCAGATCCAAATAGCAGTAAATGGTCACACACTTCATACTGACTTTTCCTGTGCCCTTCATTCTTCTTTAAAATGTGATATACATCTCCCATATGACTGTATACCAAGTGGAACACTCATAGAGAAGTGCTCTGTGCATCAGTACACAGCTTAGTGAAGCCCCACCACATATGTAACCAGCCATTGGCACTAAGAACAGCACCGTATAACCCCCAAGGCCTTCCTGTGCCCCCTCACTGTCCCTCATCCTCAGCGGTGCCCACTTTGCTGAATTACAACAGCCCAGATTCTGTTTGCCTGCTTTGGAACTCCCTATAGGTCCCATAGTACACGCACGATGGTGTCTGACTCCTCTGCTCTGGGTGTGAGACTCACCCCTGTGTGTGCAGTGATGGACCATCCGTTCACTAGGCTCTTGTTGCAGGAATGCAATGCAGTCTATTCGTCCATTCTCCTGGGGAAAAGCATCTGAATAGTTTCTAGTTTTGGGCTACTATGGATAGCTCTGCTATGAACATTCTAGTCTTTTTTTTTTTTTTTTGATGAGTATACAGATGTATTTCTGCTAGGTCATATAGCTAGGAGTAGAATTGCTGATAAGTGTATGTATATATTTAGTTTCTAAAATAGTTTTTATCATCAAAGGAATATGTTCACAGTGTTTGGTAAAATACATGACACCAAAAGGTGTATAGTATAAAGTAAAACACCAGCAGCAATGTCTTTGGATACTTCTCTACCTCTGAGGCTCTTTCCCAAAGGCACATTTTGAACTTTGTTAGTGGATCCATCTGGTATTTACTTCTTTCTTAAGGAGTTAAACATATTTAATTTCTTGATTTATCAATTTGTCAACTACCTATCACTGACCGACTATTGTGGTGGATGAAGAGTTCGCTTTCTTGGAAACCTCTGTCCCTACCCACTTTGTCACCTCTCCCTTCCTTCATCCCCTAATATGGTCATTATTTTGACTACGTACTTTGTGTTCACTGCTAAGCCAAGTGCACTGGTTTATGCCTCTTTTCTTCTGGCTTCAGTTGCTATAGTTTTTACCACACCCATTAATACCCTCTCAATACATTTTTTCAGGCTATAATCAAACATATCAGATAATCTATTAATTCCTTCTTATTTCCTCCTGGCGTTCACACTCCTGGTGTTCTGCTCCAATTGAAGCTGATTGCTCTTTGATGCCTCACTTTGGAAATTTGTTTTGCTTCCCTTTGACGTTACAGTTTTTGTTTCCTAGACCCCAGGCCTTGTCTCAGGAAAGCTTGTCCCTGCAACACACACCGCGGAAGGCTTCGGAACATCATGCGTGGGTGGCAGACTCTGCGTGCCTGCAAATGGCCATATTCTATTGCCATGTTTGACTGACAGTTGGGAAAAGTATAGAATTCCACTTTGGAAATGATTTTTTTCCTTGGACTTCTGAAAGCCTTGCCCCATACTCTTCTCACTTCCAATTCTGTCAACAGGTCTAGCATCATCTTTATACCCCTTCACTGCTGCAGCTGCTCCTTCTCTCTGGAAGCTCTGGTGGAGTCCCCTGCCACCTGGGTGTTCTAAAATGTTGATTTGAAGGGCTTTGATGTTCAGTGAATTCTCTAACTCTTCCTTCCTTCCTTCCTTCCTTCCTTCCTTCCTTCCTTCCTTCCTTCCTCCCTCCCTCCCTCTCTCCTTCCTCCCTCCCTCTCTTCCTTCTCTCCTTTCTTTCTCTCTGTCTTCCTTTCTCTTGCTTGCTTTTGTCATTGTCCACCTCTCTCCTTTTGTTGCACTTTATGGATCATTTCCTCAATCGTTCTCCAAGCCTTCTATGGGATAGTATTTGGCTATCATATTCCTTAATTTCCTTTTGTTTACTCTTTTTGTTCTCTCACTTTTGCTTTTACACAACTTTCCTTTTTGATTTCAGGAAGTTGATTTCATTCCTTATCTCTCTGAAAATATTAACTCTATAGATTTTTTGAAAGACACTTTCTACTTCCTGCTTTGTCTCTCTATCAATCAGAATCCTTCCCCTGACCCTCACCCATTTGTTCAGGTTTCATTTTTTTTTTTCCATGGTAGAGGCGCTCTCAAGTGTCAGGAAATCACTGGCTGTTATTTAACATTAAAGATCACCAACAGGCCAATCAGATGCTCTGCATATATGGCACTGATTAACTGGTGAGATTTTCCATAGTATTGATTAGGCTGCAAGCTGTCTTTCAGATTTCTTTAGCTTCTGTACAACAGCATACATTGTACATTGGTCTTTTCTCTGAGGACTATTATAGGCTGAATTTTGTTCCCCCAAAATTATACGGTGAAATCCTGGCCCCCAGTACCTCAGAATGTGACTGTATTTGAAGATAGGGCCTTTAAAGAGGTGAGTAAGTTTAAATGGCATTGTTAGGATGGGCCCTAATCTGACATGAGTGGTGTCCTTACAGGAAGAGATGACAGGGACACAGACCACACCGAGGGATGACCCCGTGAAGTCGCAGCAAGAAGGCGGCCACATGAAGGAGAGTGGCCTCAGGAGAATCCAGCCCTGCCAACCTCAGGCTTCCAGCCTCCAGAGCTGACAGAGTTAAATTTCCGTTGTTTAGTCACTCAGTCTGGCATTTTGTTATGGCAGCCCTAGAAGACTAACATAGAGACATTCAGTTTCTCCAGGGATAAATCCCCTAACTTCCTGCCTTGGGGTAAGAGCCAGGGGGGCTAAGGAGCACTGGGGCCTGGGCATTAGAGGGGCCGGGCCCTGCTGCTCACCATGCTGTGGACTTTGGTCTGCTCTCACTCCTCACTGTGCCCTGAGTCACCAAGGCTGGAGGCATTCTGACTGGTCTCCTGCTGGGATTAAGAAACGTCTGCCACTAAGCCCTGAAGATGGGACACAGGACTGGGTGCTTTACCGATTACAACTTAGAAATGCACTGCTTTCAGGTGGATGTCTTCGCCATGTCTTGCCTCACACCTGGAGCTCCCAGCCCTGCCTCCTCACGGTGGTGGTGGAGTGGACTGGCTGATTCCTGCTGCTGTTGTCATGGGGGCTTGCAGACTCAGCCACACTGCATGATCACCACTCCTCCGTGCGCTTTCATCTTCCAAAACGTGCTGACATCTCTGTTTCTTGTTGCTCCACGTCCATTCTCTTTTCCTTCATGGTTTCACATCTTATTCTTTTACCATAACTTAAATAAAGATTTTATGAAGGAGGTGACATAACACACATGTTCAAGTGCCACTAGAAACTGATCCCTTTTTACTTAATGTCTTTCCAGCTTAGGCGGGGTCCAGAGGTGACTCTGAGACAAGGGTAGGGAGACAAGCAGCTTCCTTGGAGGTGATCCCAGAAGTGCCATTAAGAAGGTAGAGAGGTGAGATAGGGAGGCAGAGGAGCTGTTGCAGGGCGGGTTAATGAGCAGGGGGTGGCTGTGTCAGCCCCACTGCAGACATCTGGAAGAGTATTCCCAGGGGCTCCCCTCCAGGAGCAAGGAGTCTGGATTATGTAGCCCCAGTCTCCTCCACCACTGCTTGAGGGCTGCTCCCGTGTGTTCACCTCCCCACATTTCTGGCCCTCCCCTGCACATGGCTGGGCACCCCGCTGTGAGTGGAGAAAGCCTCCAACAGAGTCAGGGCAGGTATTTGCAGTTAGAGCCATGAGTGCCAAGGGAATACGGGTGCAGCACTGGTGTCATCTGCTGTGTCTCAAACAATTGCTTTGTCATGTTTCCATTTTCCTATATCACAGTCGGCTGAATGAAGAATCACATTTGGTCACTTGGAAACTGTTAAACTTACTGGAGTCACAGCCAACCATGAGCAGGCCGAGGGCTGGACCAGAGCCCAGCGTAGGACAGGCAGAAGCCTCTTCTGATGGCCCTTCTGACTTGTAGGTTATGGTGGAGGAGCTCATATAAGTTTTGTGAACGTTCCTCGGTAAGGCAGCCTGGGATAAGGGGTGAATCCTGGTAGCTGAAAACAAAATTAGGAGGTTCCAGGAGGAAGAGAATTTTGAGCAGAGACTAGGGACAGGCGTGTCTTTGGCCTCACCTTGCATCTCACTTGCTGGGGGGAGCCTCAGCTTGTTAATGCTTCCCTTTCAACGCCTCTGTCTGGCTTTCCCGTCAATCCCATTTCCTGGATGCAACCCGAGTGCTCATGCATCATTCTGCAAAGATGACCCCTCTGTGGGGAGCAGTGACTCTTCTAATTATCTACTGCTGGTAACAAATGGTTCCAAAGCCTGGTGGCTTGAACAACAACCATTTTTTTCTGTCTCATAATTTGTGGGTCAGGAATTCAGATCAGACCAGCTGGGAGACTTTTCTACTCCATATGGCATTAACAGGGTCACCTGATGTGGGGTCACTGGTGTCTGGACTGCCCTGGGGTGCCTGAGATGGCTCCACTCACACCTGGTGCCTTGGCCTCTCCAGCACGGTGGTCACTGCTAGCTGAACTTCCTGTGTGGCAGCTCAGGGCTCTGGGTGAGTGTTGCAGGGGGAAGCTGCAAGTTTCTCCTGGTTATCAGCCACAGGAGACTCAGAACATCACTTCTGCTGTGTCCTACTGGTTACGAGTGGCTCAGTGGGGCCAGCCCAGATTCAAGGGGAAAGGATGCAGGAAGCAGGTCAAGAAATGCGTGGTCACCTTTAGTGTACTGCAGTGACAGCCACTCTCCTCCAGTGACGCCCCTTTCACCTGGTGGCCCAGGAGAGGAAGCGTCCTTAGCTCATTTTGTATTAGACTTCTAATCTGCACAGCTGAGTAAATTTCCTTGTTTTAAATATACGTGAAAACAACTCCAATGTGTGCTTTACTGATTCAATCACAAACTTGGCTCATGTGTGGTCGTTTCTCTGCCTTTGCCACTCCTTCTGTAGCAGGACTGACTTCAACTTTAGGAAATTTGGATAGGCTCTTGGTGGGGAAGTTTATAGTGATTAACCCACAATCTCTTGCATCATCCCCTTTATGACCAAGAGATACATTTGTGACATTCTTGTGGCCTTTATCAGCACTGAATGCAGTCTGTGGCCATGGTTCTAAGATGATATTTGGGGAATGGCCCTGGTAAGGATCTATGCTTACAGTCAGCCTCTTTGCAGGGAAGCAAAATAGATAAATTCAAGAGTGTTGGCCTTAAGAGTAAACACATGTGAGCAAACACAAACAAGCTGAAGTGATAAGGAAACATGATAAAAACAAATACACATATGAATATAAGGAGGCAGAGGCAGATGGATTGCCTGAGCTCAGGAGTTCGAGACTACCCAGGGCAACATGGTGAAACTCCATCTCTACTGAAAATACAAAAAAACTAGCCAGACATGGTGGTGCGCACCTGTAATCCCAGCTACTTGGGAAGCTCACTCAGGAGAATTGCTTGAGCCCTGGAGGCGGGGGTTGCAGTGAGCCGAGATCGCACCACTACACTCCAGCCTGGGCTACAGAGTGAGGCTCTGTCTCAAAAAAAAAAAAGAAAGAAACAAGAAATAAGAGTCATTGCGTGGTCCTTGGGAGCCCTTGGGAGCCAGAAGTGAGCTGTAAGAAGTACAAGATACATTGCATTTTCAAGAAACACACATTTGTTTTCACACGATCAAACAGTCCATTTCCACGCATACTGCAGAACCATTACAGCTGGCAAGAGCACGCTGGAACGCTGTCCTAGCTGGGAGGCTGGGCTGGTGCTCTGAATTCTGAGACCCAGTGCTTAAGGTACAGAGAGGGACGTTTTTCTCACATGGAGAATTTGTACAACATACAAGGTTGAATCTTTTTTAATTCAAGTGAAAAAAAAAGAATGGAAATGTTTCTGCAAACCATTTGTTTCATTTGGCTCCATGGTGCTGACTACGTACGTGATGACTGCGTGGGAGCACACAGGCAGATACGTGCCATGTGGACTGAGGATGGACAGCTCACTATGGTTGGAGGGCTCAGCACAAACTGGATGGGCCATTTATTTCTAGCGCAGCTGGCAAACTTGCAGATTTCTGTTTATAAACGTGGTGCCTCCTGGAAGGCAGACACAGCATTTGTACAAACGCTGCTTTCTAGCTGGTTCACTCTTTATGAGTTTGCTTTCACAACAGCCTTGGGGACTGGTCAGGATGACACGTTATAGATAAGACAACGAAGACTGAGAAAGTGTAAGCAACAGACGCACACTCACAGAGTGGAACTTGCTTTCTGAACCACACCCAGTGCCCTGCTGCCTGCATGCTACCCCTATTTTGGGTTAGTAGGTAACTGTGACCCAGGGCCTGGCTGACACAGGAGAGCTGTGTTTCTTGGCCCTCCCATGCCCATGCGATCCATCTGTTTGTTGCACAAAATGTATTAAAGATGAGTGTATGCCATAGGGAGCAATGGCTTCCTGCATTTGAATTAGTTTTATTTGCATTTTCTATTTTAATATTTTCCTGTTTTAAATAAAGTCTTTTACATTTGGTACTGTCACTGGTGTTTATCTGTGAAATATGATAGGTCTTTCATTCCAGCAAGATGGCCAACTGGGATGACATGGGTGACCCCTTTCACTGAGAAGGCACAGAAACCATGTAGTCCATGGGTAATTCACTTTCAGGAAACAGGACTGGGGGTGTGTGGCTGAGTTTCTAATGCTTTGAGGGGAGACAGGACGTGGTGTTTGGTCAGGGGAGAACTCATGCATAAATCCCATAGCCTCAAAGAGTTCTTTCCATGAGAGAGGACTAGAAATTCCCCAGTCTCCACCCCATATTAATAAACCAGCGAGTAAGCTTTGTGTCTGTCCTGGACTGTAAGTGAGCAATCGAGACCTCAAGTCAGGCTAACTATAGGTATGGGCCCTGAGTTTATAGATACACGTGTGCAAGAGCCCCGCTGAGAAGTTAAACTATAAATGGATCCAGCACTCAAACCCAATAAAACACAAAGATCGTTGCTAAGGATGATGACAATTTCATAAACTAGAGCTCATAGATTTCCAGCAGGGGAAAGAAAATCTTAGATCTCAATGGAACCACCAAAGAAAATTATAAACTGAATGAGGGGAGTAAACATAAAAACGATGGTCAGCTGAGTGTCCACCCAAAGCAGAACTGTTACTTCCAGGTGGCTCCCCTTCAGCTGTAGGGCACCCTGCCCATCTCCTCAACAGGATGTCTCCTGATCTCACACAAGCATCCAGTCCCTGGGGGAGGCTTCCTTGGCCCCTGGTTCAGGTCATGCTTCCCTGCACCATGCTTTCACAGAACTTTGCATTCATGACACTTACTAAGTGAATGTTCATTTCCCCACTAGACCATAATCCCCAAGGGAGCATAGGTCACCTTTTTGCTCACCTTTTTTCAACACTTAACATCGCACCTTGCACCTGGATGACATGAATGAAGGATATATCCAAGATATAACTGAATAATAAGAATCAGTACCTTTTCCAACAGAAATTCAAGCAGCATGCTGGTAACATGAATATAGCAATAGTGTCCTCTGCAGACGCCGGCCTCCACCAGCTGTTAGCATCCCAATGCTGACTGCTGAAATGGAATCTGGCTGCTGTGGCTTGGCCTCTGTGTTGCTGCACTTGGCTTGGGCACTCGTTTCTAACACTTGGCTCCTTCTAAGAAGATGGGTTGCTTAGCAACTTCCAAAAACTGTTTGCCTCTGAAGCAGGGAGGCAGCCCTTGTCAGTCTGGTGCTGGGCTCCCTGCTGGCCCTGCTGGCCTCTCCCTGGGGAACCTCCCTGCTTTCAGACTGGACACTGGAAACCAGGGGTGTGCACTCCTAGTTCCACTCCTTCAGATTTTTATTTGCCTGCTGCAAGAATTCCTGGCCTGAACTAACCCGAAATGTGTGATGATACAGTGAGACAAAGGAAGTCAGGCCTCAGAACTTACTCTATAGTCAAGTGAAATGAAGATTCAGTAGTCAGAGTGGACACACTGGGAAGGTGCCACATGCTTTGTATGTCCTCAGATCCTTGGTGACACCAGGACACACCCTGCAGGGCAATGGCAGCAGATCATAAACCTCCACAAACCTCCTGTCTTAAAAGGAAAAGTGCCCACTTCAAGAGAGGGGCTTCAGTGAAGCTGAGTTTGCTTCTTCATTGCCCAGAGGCATGTCTGCGAGCCAAACTGCTATGGACTGCATGTATGTGTACCACCCCACCCCCCAACTTCATATATTGAAGCCCTAATTCCAATGAGATGGTATTAGAAGGTGGAGCCATTGGGAGGTGACTGGGTTTGGATGAGGTCATGAGGCTGAAACCCTCAGGATGGGATGAGTACCCTTCTAAGAACAGAAGACACAGGAGTTCTCTCTCTGCAAACTAGTGAGGACACAGGGAGAAGGTGGCCATCTGCAGCCTGGAAGAGAGCCCTCCCCAGAACCTGACCGTGCTAGTACCCTGATCTCAGATGCCCAGCCTCTAGAATTGTGAGAAACAGATGGCCACTGCTTAAACCACCTAGTCCACAGTAACTTGTGACAGCAGCTCAGTCTGACTGATGTGCTGCTCAGTCTGTCCCCAACTTTTCACAATACTCCCTTGCGTGTATCTAGTTGCTGGAAAAAAAATCCACCCATTTCCTGAGCTTTTTATCTCAAATGAAAAAGGGCACTTTCCTTTGGAAAACAGGTTCCAGCTTGCTGGGCCTTCTTAACTGGGATTATTCTCTGAAATGTGTCATGGTGTCACCTGCTCCATCTGGTTCCTTGAAAGCTGCTGTTTCAGGGCTATCCTGATATTTCCACACGAAATTGACAAGTGCCTCTCCTTTTCCATGGATGCCTGTGAGCCCCCATCCCCTGTGCCGCACTTTGGGATATCCACCATTCCCCTTCCCAAAGAAAGTGTTTGGCTCAAAGAGGATGTTCGTATAATACCACATTTCCTTTTCCTACTGAGAAGAAACTTGCCTCTGAAGCGTGACTTGATGGCATATGTACCCAAAGCAGATTCCCCCGATTCTGCCGCATGCACTGCCCTGTGTCAGCTCCAGGGAAACAGGTTTCAAGCCACTGAGAAAGTGCTGCCATGTACCCTGCCCTGCCTGTGTGTTCATATGGTTCTCCACTGTTTAGTTCCCTCGGTTCCCTGGTTGGGAGCAAGATGCAAAATTAAAAGTATATCTATATTGACTTCTTTACTTAGACCTTCTAATGAAGTGCTGACTGTCAGGTGCAAGCTAACAAGAATGTGCTTGTTTGGAATGAATTCCAAAGGAAAGACAGGAAATTCTCTTGTATTGAACTCGAGAGAAAAAGATTCAAAAGACTACGTGAGGGTCGCTGTCTTAGCCCATTTTGTGTTGCTATCACAGAATACCTGAGGCTGAATAGTTTATCAAGAAAACAGGTTTATTTGGCTCATAACTATGTAGGCTGGAAAATTCAAGACTGAGCATCAGCCGGGCTTGGTGGCTCATGCCTGTAATCTCAGCACTCTGGGAGGCTGAGGTGGGTGGATCACCTGAGGTCAGAAGTTCGAGACCAGCCTGGCCAACATGGTGAAACTCCACTCTACTAAACATGCAAAAATTAGCTGGGAGTGTTGGTGCACACCTGTAGTCCCAGCTACTCAGGAGGCTGAGGCAGGAGAATCACTTGAACTCAGGAGGCGGACATTGTAGAGAGCCGACATCACGCCACTGTACTCCAGCCTCGGTGACAGAGTGAGAGTGGATCTCAAAAAAAAAAAAATACTGAGCATCTGCATATGGTGAGGACCTCGGGCTGCTTCGACTCACTGCAAAAAGTAGAAGGAGAGACTTGAAAGCGGTATGCATGCACAGAGATCATGTGGTGAGAGAGGAAGTGGGGTGTGCCAGGCTCTTTCTAACAGGCAGCTGTCGAAGGAGCTAATAGAGACAGAGCTCCCTCACACCCAAGGGACGGAATTCATCTACTCGTGAGAGATCTGCCCCCTTGACCCAAAGGCTTTCCACCAGGCCCCATCTCCCAATATTGCCACACTGGAGATCAAATTTTAACATGAGGTTTGGAGGTGACAAACACCTAAGCCATAGCAGTCGCCTAGCCCCCTGGAGCAGTCACTGGGAAATCACTGATGTGTATAGGCAGTGTTGCTTACTGTAATGTGTGCATGTTCCCTGGTCTGTCCACAGTCCTCTAGGCATTGGAGGAACATGCATGGTTTCCTCAGAGCTGCATGTGGGGCTTCAAAATGAGATGCTGGACTTGAAAGGGCAGGTCTCTACCCTGACATAAAATCTGACTGAAGAGGGGCTCAGATGTGAACTGGGGGCTTCCTGGGCAAGTGCATGCTCCAGCTCTCCTCTCTCCAGGTGGATGGAGGTGGCTCTGTGTGGGACAAGGTTACATGATCACATTCCCACGGGAAGCACAAGCTTGGCTTCTATCCAGGCGAGAAGGGTGCCTTGACTCCTGCAAACCATTGTTGTAGCTGGCCAGCACCAGGTGTTCTCTCTAGAGCCCACTGTGTTAGGGAGGAGAGAACCAAGATTTGAATATTTTGGTTCCTAGGACTGTTGAGATGATATCAAATGATTTGCTGAGCATTTTCAGCCTGTGAATACAAGATTAATCAGATGGTAGCCACATATACTGGTAGTATGAGTCTCCCCCTAGCCCAGCCTCCGCCTCTCTCAGCCCAGGTATAGCCTGGGTGCAGACCTGCAGCTGGTGAGGTGAGGGGACAGCAGGATCATCTGCTGGTCCAGACAGTGGATTCGCCCAGAGGGCTCAAAGCTGAGAGCTCACTGCACACACCGAGGCAGTCTTCCCCCCTCACTTCCCTCTTTCACTCTCCGTTGTCCTCTCTCCCTCTTTTCTCTGGAGCCCTGTGCCAGTTTTCCTTGCTGAGCTGTTTCAGTGAGAGCCACAGCCACAGCTGTGGCACCAATGCAGCCATCAGCATCCTATCCGGCAGCGTGGGCTCTCGTCTAATGGTTGGAAAACCAGCTATTTGGTCTGCTCATCTCGAGTTGTGGGTAAACGAGCTGTGTTCCTACTCAGATTATCTAGGCCCAACTGGGTGCAGATGCTTCCCATTGAAATAATTATGAAAAAAGTAATTAACATGGGTGTTTTGCCTGGAATGTGGCAAGATCCTTAAGGACAGTTTGGCTTCCTCATTCCAACAGGAGGCTCACTTCACCACCAGGAGAGAGCAGTGCACCGCCACATCATTCATTTGGCTGCAGATGGATCCCAGGAGGCACGCTTGGTAACTTTAATTTCTCTAACAGTTCCTTCCCAAACTGCCTCTCAAGCATTTTTGCTAATGTAAGAGCATTTTTCCAGGGTCAGACTGACCGGTTTCAAACCCATTGCTTCACTGTAGTGTGACTTTCTACAAGTTTCCTTCTCTGTGCTTCAATTTCCTCATCTGTAAGCTGAAGATAATGAGTTACTGTGTCATGGGGTCTTTGAAAGTACTAGGGTGTTAATATACACCAGTCTTCAGAACAGTACCTAGGACACAGTAGTGAGTGTTCTGGTGATCTATTGTTCTGTGGCTAAGTACCCCAGTGGCTTAAGACAACCACCACTGGGTGCTTATGAATTCTGGAGTCAAGAATTCAGGGAGCACTCAGCTGGAGAATGGGCTGTTCTGGAGGTCCAATGTAACTTCTCTCAGATAGCTGGTTCCTGGGCTGAGATAACTAAGAGACTAAGCCTGTTGACCAGAACACCTACAAGTGGCCTTTCCATGTGACTTGGGCTTCCCCACAGCATGGAGGTCTCAGGGAGGAAGATTTCTTACATTGCAGCTCAGGACTCCAAGAGCAAGTGTCCCAGTGAGTGAGGCAGAAGCAACAAGGCCTCAATGATTCCTGGCTTCTGAGGTCACACAGAGCCCTCTTCCTGCACTCCACTGTAACAAGCAAGGCACTAAGTGCATCCCAGTGCTATGCAAAGCACTAAGTCAAGAGGTGAATGAAATTATATGCCTTAATGGAGAAGGGGCAAGGCCACATTGCAGAAGAGCATGTGTGCTAGGAAATGCTGTGGCCATCTTTGGGAGGTAAAATTTACCACAGTGAACATAATGTTTTAACTGTCATTTTAATTAACCTCTGCCTCATCATCTATGTCAGCAATAGAGGGCTGAAGATTCACAACAGCCTTGCTTCATGGATGAGCACATGGAGACTCCATAGAGCAGACCAATTTGCTCATAATCATGCACCTAAATCAAAGTGTGTTTGGAAGCTGTCATATCCTGGAATCCATTGATTTTTCTCCCAAGTTCCCTGGGAATAAAGTGTGGGTGTTTGCGTGTAGCTAGTCTAGATGATTCTCTTTTTCTTCTTTGGCATAGAAAGTCTACTTCTTGCATTTCAAAATATATGAAGCTGCAAGCTAATTATTGCTAAGGCTCAGTTTTCTCTTTTTGATGATGTGTCTGTTTTTCTATTGAGAAATCTGGGGCCAAGTTATGGGGCAAGAAGGAGAACTCAGCATCACATAAGTGGTTGGAAATCACATATTTAAAGGCTCTTTCCACAAAGCTGTATTTCTTCTTAGAGCATCTCTGAAACTATTCTGTATGACACTGTCATGGTAAATATGTGGCACTGCGCATTTGTCAAAACACACAGAACTTTACAACACAAAGACAAAATCTTATTGTATTCAAATTTAAAAAATTGATTAGGAAGTCAGGGGATGCCAGGAGGGAATGCAGATTATGATGGATTAATCTAACTGTATTACAAATTTATGAAACAACCTCACTGAAGGGGGTGAGGAGGGTGTTGACCAAAGTAACCCTGGAAACGAGTGGAGACTGCAGGACTAATGGCAGAAAGAACTACACATAAGCACAGCACTCTAGCTGATAAAGTTACTTCTCATGAACACGGCACTCTAGCTGATAAAGTTACTTCTCATGAACACGGCACTCTAGCTGATAAAGTTACTTCTCATGAACACGGCACTCTAGCTGATAAAGTTACTGCTCATGAACATGGCACTCTAGCTGATAAAGTTACTTCTCATGAACACGGCACTCTAGCTGATAAAGTTACTTCTCATGAAGATACAGGTTGACAGTTCTGACACTATACACTTATACTGGAAATGAACAATTAAGTAAGTGGATAGTGGATGGTTGGAGCCAGGTTTCTCATTGTTGGAGTAGGAGGTTACAGAGAAGTAAGGGAAGAAGGCTGCAGTGATGTGTGACAATGAGTTAGAGTTGGAGGCACCAGTATGAACTCACATTTAGCTTAATACAGATACAGATGGATATATATATATGTACATAAATAATTATGCATATAGAAATATTTCTACATATTTAAACAAGTAGAAATACTCTCTATATAGAACTAATTACATTCGTGCAAAAGTAATTGCAGTTTTTGCCATTAAAATGCAACTAACCTAACAGTAATGGCATGAGGATACATACATTTATTTCCTAGCTTTGTCACTGAGAGAGCCTAGAATCAATGACACCCCAGAAGCCACAAGCACACCCAGTGCCCAGATCTTGGTTTCGAACCCTATTCTCTAATGAAAGAACCAGGGCTCCATAGGAAAATAGCTGATTCTGGGACGTGGACAGGAAGCATACAAGATGAACCTGAAGCAGCATCTTGCGGTGCAAAAATGTAAGAAAGTGCTTCAAAAAACAAAAGGATGTCAAGTGGACACAGAAACCAATCTGAAAGAGCTCCCAAGGGTCAAAGCAGCAAATAAATTATGTAGTTTTGGATTAGACACCAAAGTATAACATAAATATCCAAGGGTCCATACTGACATAAATAAATGGATGAACCAATTAATGGAGGAGGGTAGACAAATCTCCCACACAGACAAGTTCCAAAACATTTATCTAAGTGCTCTGCCCTTAAGGTGATAAAGTATTTTCCACCCTACCCTTCGAGTGTGGGCTGTGCGGTGACTTCCTATGACAGAGTACAGCATGGGAAGGGGGAAAGAGTGACTCTGCTGTGGAGGCCCTGACAATCCCTCTCTCTCCAGGTGCAAGCTTGACATCAACAGCAACAAGCCACACTGATAGCAGGTGCCCCTGATGTGACCCCAAGTCTATAACCTCAGTCTAATAAAGACATCAGACCAATCTCAACAGTGGGGCCTCCCACGATGTACCCGATCAGTGCTCTGCAAAATTGTCAAGGCCATCAAAAACAAGGAAACTTATTTGAGAAACTGTCACAGCCAAGAGGAACTTAAGGAGGCACAACTACTAAATGCCATATGGTTTCTTGGATGGGACCTTGGAACAGAAAAAGGACATTAGGTAAATCTTGAAGGAATCTATTATGGACTATGGTTCTTTTTGTTTTTTGTTTAACCATAGAGCCTACATAGTCCATGGAGTGTAGTTTCTGATAATGTGTTAGCAGTGGCTCATTAATTGTGACAAATGTGTCACACCATAAGATGTTAGGGAAAGGAGAAACCAGTTAAGGGATACATGGGAACTCTGTGTACTGTCTTAGTAAATTTTTTGTCAACCTAAAACCATTCTAAAATAAAAAGTTGACTTTAAAAACATCAGGGCGTGGCATGGGACAAGGTGAGAGACCAGGAGCTGTGAGTCTGCACACCCTGCTGCACACTCCGTGCTCCATCCTTGGCTGCCTGGTGGCGAGGTGGGCAGGGCACAGCTTTGGTATAGGCCGGCCCAGCTCAAGTCTAGCACGTATGTTAACTAGTTTACGTCCTGTTACTATTTTATCTGAGTATCTAGTTTTATTTTTCTCCCTAAAATAGAGTTATAATACCTATTTTGCTGGTTGCGACAAATACTAACAACAATAACACACTGACTTACAGCTTTATGTCAAACACCATACGGACAACACTTTACTTGCCTCATCTCATTTCTTCCATTGCACAACACCATGTAGTAGGTACCATTATCAATACTGTTTTCCTCAGCAATGTTTTATGTTAACATAGGGAAAAGTTAAAAGAAACTACAGTCAACACTCATATACTCACCACTTTGGTGTACCATTATCATTTTGCTATATTTATGTATCTACCCAACTCTCCATCCATCCATCCATCCATCCATCAATCCATCCATCCATCATCATCTTTTTCCAAAATGTATTTCATAGTAAGTTCTCCTAAACATGTCTGCGTGTGAAACCATTAATGCTACTTTAAAAATGAGGAATTAAGGTTCAGGAAGGTGAACTTTATCCAAGATCACATAGCTAGTGAGTAACAGCTTCTAACTCTTGGATTGTAGTAAGTGCTCATGAATAGAAACTACTGTCATCAATATCATTCTCTAAGCAAAAGTTCCTGGGAACAAATGAGGAGGTTTAAGATTGTAAGAGCTAGGACAGGAAGGGCAGATCTTTCTTTTTAAACACCCACCGGGGACGAAGAGCAATTCTTAGCAACCAAAATGAATGGACACTTTGGAGTGAACAGTTGTGTGCATGCAGGCTGGCAGGCACCTGCCCATGCGCCCTCCATGTGCGCCATCTCCCTGACACGTGGGTGGTGGCTGTTTTGTGCCTGTGAAATGCTATCGGGTTGCTAGTTTGGTGCCTCTAGAGATGTGTGGATCCATCCCATGCTACCTGCAGAAGCACCCCTAGGACTCCTGTGTTTTTGTGTCCAGTGAGCTTCCACAAGTTTTGCTGTATTATGGGTGACATATTAGTCCTATTGTTCTCATCTGAAATCTCCTCCTTCCAGTCAATTTCATAGAAAAACAATTACATAGTAAAACAAAACACATTTGTTTACAAGGTCTTCCCACACTGGGGCCACTAGATAACCATGAAATCTAACGCTTTAATTATTTGAAGAAAAGCTCCTTCCTTCCTTCCTTCCTTCCTTCCTTCCTTCCTTCCTTCCTTCCTTCCTTCCTTCTTTCCCTCCCTCCCTTCTTCCTTCATTTCCTTCCCTCCTTCCTTCTTCCTTTTTTCTCCCTCTCTCACTTTCTTTTCTTTTTCTCCCTCCCTTCCTCCCTTCCTCTCTCTCTCTCTCTCGCTCTCAATGTCTCTCTCTTTCTCTCTTTCTTTCCTTCTTTTTTTTCTCACTGTCACCCAGGCTGCCAGTGGCATGATCTTGGCTCTCTGCAAACTCTGCCTCCCAGATTCTCCTGCCACAACCTCCTGAGTAGCTGGGATTATAGGCACTCCCCATGACCCCCAGCTATTTTTTGTGTTTTTTGTAGAGATGGGGTTTTACCATGTTGACCAGGCTAGTCTCGAACTCCTGACCTCAAGTGATCTGCCCACCTTGGCCTTCCAAAGTGCTGGAATTACAGGCATGAGCCATTGCACCTGGCCAGAAGAGCTTATTTCTTAAGAAACAAGAATAAAGATTTAAGCACAAAACTGAAAAAATATGTAGTGTTATTTACTAGAATGAAAATTTGGGGGGCAATCTAAATGCCTTAAAATTTATTTGTGAATAGTTAAATAATCATGTTGTGTCCATATGGTGAGATATCTGGTAATCACAGACAATTATGCTTATAAGGCAGTGCTAATTACATGGAAAATGCTCATGGTATTGATTACAAAAAGGCAGACTTTAAAATTTAATCTTACCTATATAGAGAATAATGTTTAGAAAACAGGACTGGAAAGAATCAGGCTAAACTCTTGAGTGTAATTGCTTCTGATGTTTTCACCCTGTTTTTTCATAGTTTATCACAATGTCCAAAATTTCAATTGTATTAATGTTAACAACAACAAATAAACCACATTGATACCGCAGGATGCCATTCTGTCCTGGTCAACATCACGCCGACAACTCAATTTATTTCTCCAAGTGTGAGCAGCTAGGGTGGTGGCAGTGTCCCCATCACTCACACTAGGGAGCTGAAGGGCAGGGACAGCAGGCTGTCTCCCATCCCCGGAGATGCCGAGATGCCTTTTAGAATTCTGGGGAGCTGCTGTGAAAGCCTTCGTGTGTGGGGAATATGCCTTGACCCTACTGTCCTCACTGGGCTCTGATATGCAGTGGCAGGGACTGCTGTCTCTGCAGGCTGATAAGCCTTCATCATCACTGTCACATACGAAGCCCCCAGTAGCACTGGAGCCAGTGGGCACATGCACCTGGTTCATGCCTCTGCTGAGATGTGCTTTCCTTGTTCGCCATCTGACAACCCTCCCCTGAGCCTGTCACGTTCTCCCTGCCTGCGTCTTACCTCACTCTGGGAGCATTTCATACCCTCTGTGTGCACCCCTCCTGTCTCCACATTTTAGGCTGCACACAGTGCTTTGTATTATAATAATGTGTGTGGCCTTTGTGGGTCTTGCCGTTGGGACAGCACCTCCTCAGCTCTGCTTCCTGGGCCCCCATGTCAGACACCTGCTGCTGATGTCAGCTGCACCCACCACGCTGGCAGGGAGGCCCAGCAGGTTGTCTTCCAGTCCAGGTTGCCATCTCAGCACAAGTCCTGCGTGCCTGGCCTATGACCTTTGGCACCCCTGGGCTACCCCTGTGTTTATTTCTTAAACAGTGCAGTGTGCTCACTCTCTGAGCCTGGAATCAGAAGCCATCACAAGCCCAAGCTGAGTCATGCACAGACTTTCAAATCAGAGCCCGAGCCTCTGCTTCCACATTTAATATGCCATTTATCTTGACAATGGCCATTCCTTTTTTTGTTTGTTTTCAGTAGCAATCACATTCACAGATATTCATCCAATGACATTTAAAAACATACAAATTCCAGGCTGAGTGTGGTGGTTCATGTAATCCCAGCCCGTTGGGAGGTCAAAGTGGGGGTATTTCTTGAGTCCAGGAGTTTGAGACCAGCCTAGGCAACGTTGTGAAACCCAGTCTCTATTTAAAAAAAATACAAAAAATTCACCGGGCATGGTGGTACATGTTTGTAGTCCCAGCGTCTCGGGAAGGGGCTGAGATGGGAGAATCGCTTGAGCTCAGGAGGTGGAGGATGCAGTGAGTCCTGATGGTGCCGCTGCACTCTAGCCTGGGTGACAGAGTGAGACCCTCTGGAGACAGTCTCCAAATAAATAATAAATAAAACAATTTCTATTTTTACCTTATACCACATTGCTGTTCTTAATATATATATGCAAACTTGTCAGTTATATTCCCTTTTTTAAAAAATCCGATTTTGCACCTGCAGCATCCATCTTGGTTTTTCTGTCCTTCTCAGCCCTGCACTGTCACTGGGGTGACCAGCTTTGGTATGAGTTGACAGTGCAGCTTTGAGCTGGCTGCTTTTCCTCTGTGACTGAGAGGTGAGCCGTGCCCGCTTCACTTGGGCAACTCATTCACCTCCACTTTTTAGGACTGCGTGAGGCTAAATGATGCAGTGTTTGGAGGGAACACTCTCTCGGACACTGGATGACTGGATGTTAGTCCCAGCTTGGCCATTAACTAGCTGTGGCCTTGGTCAAGGCATTTAACCCCTCCAGGTCGCAGCAGTTTCTAAGATGCTTCTAGGATAGCCCTGGATTTCTGCCAAGAAGTCTTGACTACACAGAGGAGTCTACAGATAGTTGAGGGGTGTTCTGGGGCTGGGGAGACTCGAAGGGAGCCAGGGTGGTCTACACCAGCCAACTAGGTGGGTGCAGCCCACTGCCTCTGCCCTGCTGTGGTGACTGAGGCTCTTGGTGACACCTGTACACCTTTTACTGCTGGACCTTTGACTGGTGCCTGCTGGCAGAGCACCTGCTCTGCTCTTTGCCTGTTCTGTTTCTGGCATCACCTTCCCCCTTCCTTCCTTGATTTGAAATTTAGGACTTTAGTGACTTGATCTGTATCACATCTAGGAATATCAGCATTTTAGAAGGGTCTTCTCTGTGGCAGAAGTCTGGAGAGCCCACATTTTGCTGGGGTTTTCTAGGTGAGCAAGAGGCTTCATGAAGAAGATCCAGTGGCTAGGTGGGACCTCTGAGGGCTGATGTCTCTGAATGAGAGGGTTGTCTTTATGGGCCTATTCTTTCTGTCTCTCCAATGCCACTGCTTTTCACAGGGAAGAGGCTGTTAGAGTGGAGGGAGGGGACGTGGAAGGGACTTGAAGAAAATGTAGCTCTGAAGGGAAGGAATCGTAAATTACCATGTGGCTTGTAATTACCATATGAGACACACCACAGAGTGCTGGGTTTCTTGCTCGCTGTTCACTCCTCTGTTCACTATGTATTTGGCATCTATGCTGCATGTAGTTCCATGTGGGATTCTGTAGGAGCTGTACCAAGACCCCTCTTCCCAGCCAATGTACCCTCCTCAGCTGCTGGAAGGGTGGGCTGCTGAGGCTGCAGCAGCCTGCCCTCCCCGGGCCCTGCCCGTGGCTGCAGGGAACTGCCTTGCAGGATCCCCCACAGGGAAAAGGTCAAGCAATGACTTCCCATGTGCAGGGGAAAATTCTCAGGAGCCTCTTGGATGGTATGCAAGGCCTCAATTGCAACTTGTGATTTCCTACTGCGCCCCAGGCAGAACCTAGGTCTGTTGACATGATCAATATAGATTTTATCTTATAATAATGATATAGCAGTTAAAAAGAAATTATTTAGGCAGATAGCGAGGGTAAGAGAGTCCTTGGTAAGATTTTCCTTTTAATGAAAAGCAGCCCCCAAATCACTTCTTTTCTAACAAAGAGCAGCCTGTAAAATTGAGCTGCAGACATAGATAAGCTGGAAGCTTGCATGGGTGAATGCCAGCAGCTGTGCCAATAGGAAAAGGCTACATGGTGGCCAGGCAGGTTCAACATGGCACTCCATCATCTCCTTTCCTTGTCAACCACGTGCACAGTAAGGAGCAGACAACATGGCACTGGCCAGGTAGAGACCCCATCTGCATAGTAAAACATTAGGGAGAGGTGGCCAGCTTCTTTGTGTGCTATGTAAATGGCACACCTGGTCCAACCAATCTTTGGGCCCTATGTAAATCAGACACTGCCTCCTCAAGCCAGTCTATAAAACCCCATGTACTTTGCCATGGACTAGAAGACCCACTCAGGTGCCCCTCTCTCTCTGCAGGAGAGAGAGCTGTTCTCTTTTCTCTTTCTTTTGCCTATTAAACCTCCACTCTTAAATACACTTCTTGTATGTCCATTTCCTCTATTCCCTTGGCACGAGACAATGAACCTTGGGTATTTACCCCAAACAATGACGCAGCTTCAATAATAGATGAAAATCACTTCCAACTTATGCATGATGAAAAGAAGTTAAGCTTTCTCATGAAAATTGAAGTACCCTATTTGCAGCCCAGTCTCATATACCGGCAAATATGGATATAAACTTTCACCAAAAACTACATTTGATTGGAACATTGTTCATAGAGCCCCCCCAAAGTCCAGACAACAGTGAACAAGCAGTGTTGGAAAGACAGCTGGGTCAACGACAGTCATTGTTATGCAGGTATTTCATGAATGCTAAAGACAATAACTACAAAATTTCCAGAATATTGGAAAGTATTGTCAGTGAAAACATTGAGATACAGAAAGTGTGTTTACTCTCATGAGAATAAACTGGTGAGAGGGTCCCCACAGTGGTAGATGGCATGGTGACCGGGTGCTAGATGTGTGTGCATATGCAAATGGCTGAGTGTGGAGGAAACTGGAAGGGCAGTCGAGGTGGTTAACATAGGTTAACTGTGTGGCCGTGAGATCCACCCTCAACACAGAAGGGGAGAAAAGGGTGCTCTGAAAAACAAGAGGCATGTGTGAATAACTGCACTGTTACAAAACTACGTGTTTTGTGATGTGAATGTAATTGTAAAAAAAGCTTATAAAAAGGTACTCCTTTAGTCGGCCTCCTCATCAAGAAAAGTCTCCAGTTTAGAAACTTAAGTATTTAATAAGAAAGATGAGAACTGGAGGCAAGACCCAACCAGCACAGAGACCCTTGGTGTCCGCTGGGATAAGGTGCAATGTCCCTGAATCTGCAGTGAGCTTTTATCATAGCAATAGGTTCTCTTCTTTAGAATCACGGGCGGGAAATTATGCAAGATGACCAGGAATGAAGAGCGCGTTCGGAAAGGCAGAAAGTTATAAAATCTGTGAATGATAAGAGGAAGCTGCTTTGGTCAGAGGTTCTGTGAAGCATGAGGAGATAGGTGTAGAAATAAAAAGTTAGCAGTGGATTTTGTGACAGGACGATGGGGCTCTTCACTGCATGGTTTCTCCTCCTCTGCACACCCAATTCTTCGTGTGTTCATGAGTCACCACCGTGAAGCCAGCACCTGGGCCCACGGCCCAGCAGGAGACAAGTGAGGTCTTCACTGCCTTTCCTTCCCAAGTCTTGGAGGCTTCCCGCTGGCAGGGTGAGGAGTGGGCAGAAGCCCGTGCTGTCCCCAGCTGCGCCCCCTCAGAACAGGCAAGGAAAGCTGCTGAGTCACACTGCCAGGCTGCTCCTGGGGCTGCCGTGTGGGAGCTGCAGGATCCGATGATGCCTGGGAGACACTAGTGCAGGCTCTGTCTTCTGCTGAGTCACTGTGAGACACCGCACAACCAATGCTCAGCAGCTGTAAAGAACTGGACTGTAGTGCCCTGGAAGCTTCCCTCCAGCAACCACTGAAGATACTCCAGGACTCCTTTCTACAGCAAGAGGCACCACTGACAGCCAAGTCTGGCAGGAGGACATGTTTGCAGTAAAGCTCATGAACAGCAGACTAAAAACTGTGTCAGAAAAATAAGGTCTACAAATTAATAAAATGTGAACACCCAATACAAAATGGTAAATGTAGAACTAGAAATTTATACGGGAAATAAAAGCAGGAAAAAAAATAACACACATAAAGATGTTCAGCTTTATAGTAACCAATGAAACACAAACTGAAACTGACAATATCTTTTATTTTATCTATCAGATTGTTGAAAATGGAACACTGAGCTCAGGTGGGAAAGACAGGCATTCACATTTTGTTAATAGGAATGAAAACTGGTACGGACTTCTGGAGGAGAAGTTACAGTATGTAGCTAAATTTACATGTGAATAACCTTTGACTTGGTGGAATTTCACTTGTGGATATCCTATATTTGCAAAAGGAGAAGTTGAAAACAATTGATATGTCCATTTTTAGGGAAAACATTACTGTAATGAAATTATTGCAATTCATACATCAAAATGCTACAAAATCATTAAAAATGTCAATGCTGGTGTTTATATGCAGATACCAGAAGTATTTACATTATGTGAAAAAGCAAGCTGCATTGCACTTTGATGGTCTTCTACGTGTAAATCAAAACTGCCCACACACACATTGATAAAGGCACAGAAAGACGGGGTCCCCCTGGAGGAGGGGCTTTGAGAAAGGGGCATGGAGGAGAGGTTCAGTTTTCATGCTTTCTTTCTCCATTCTCTTCCTCCTCCTTCTGTTTTCCAAGTTGAGTACACTATATTTGAAAAGACAATGAATAAACAAATCCAGACATGTGTCTATGTGCTCTGCTGATAACGAAGGGAACCCCAGGCAGAGTTTGGCGGATGCAGGTGACCTGGGAGGGCAGGAGTGAAAAGGTGAGAGCGGCTGGTGCGGGTGTCACGTGCTGTGCCCACACCCCAACAACCCTGAACCACGGCCTCCCCTAGGTGCTGGGGCTCCTAACCAAGAGCCTGGTCCATTAGGACAGGCTGACTTCAGCATGTGTTACCTCAGGAGTCTCCACAGCAACCTCAGAGGGCATTCACACCCAGACTGCCAGCCCCGTCCCCAGAGCTTCCGAGTCAGCAGGTCTTGGGAGCTGACGAGACTTCACGATCCTAAAACGTTCCCAGATGACCCTGATGCTGCTGGTCCAGGGAACCAGCCCTTGCGAACTGGAAAAAAGGATGGAGGAATTGAATGCTGCCATTTCTTCCAGGGTGATCAACTAGAATCAAAAGGGGACCAACTTAGAGGGTTTCAACAAGGTTCTTTGGAACATTCCCCCCCGTGAACGTTACCAGTTAATATTGATCCATGTTTATTTCTGAGCCTCCCCTACACCTGCTCCCGTGCTGGGTGCTGGGACTCTGCCAGGCACGGATAAACCAGGAGGGGCACAGCAGGGGCATCACGCACTCCACTGTGGGCCTTCGGGCTGGGTGGTGTCAGGGAGGAAGGCACGTGCCAGAGAGGTGGGCAGTGGTGGCTCTGCAGCCAGCGAGGGCTCAGATCCTACGTCTGTACTCAGGACAGTAACATGTGCCTGAATGATTGCGGCCAGGACATTCTGGGTCTGGAGGCACTCTGACCAGAGGGACAGTTTCCAGGCATGCTTCCTCACTAAGTGTTTAGCATGGCAGTAAGCTTGCTGCAGCAAGCCACGTCATGTTCAGATTCGACACGGTCTGCCCATCGCCTCTGATTTTCCTCGGGGGAGGAGGTCTAGAACAGAGCACAAAGAACCACTGGAAACTATGGGAAAGGTTATTCTGTGATATGAAAGCCTGTGGTAACTTTATTGACCAAAACGAAAAAAAAAAAAAAACAAACTTCACATAATCTATGGCAGTACCCTCCAGAGCCTTCATAAAATAAGTTCATTTCAAGTTCTGTTTCAGCTTCTCGCGAATTTATTCCAGAAGGGAGGAAAACAGCTTGTCATCCCTGTGTCTGGAAGCCCCGATGGCCTTCCCTTGTTTCCTTGTAAAGCCACAATTATTTACAGGTCTCTTTATCCCTCCAGCTGGCACTAAATACTTGAAGGGAAGCAAGGCTTCCTGCTGTTTCCCCGCTCACGACAGCAGGGCCACGTTATCATCTTGTTACCTGGACTCTTGACAAAGAACAAGAAAAGGGACCCCTATGGTCCTGGGACCAGGGGTCTTGAAAAACTCTCATTGAAATGAGGCAGCCTGCTTTTTTTCACTGGTGTTATTATTAAATTAGGTGTGAACTCTGGCCAGATGTGGTGGCTCATGCCTGTAATCCCAGCACTTTGGGAGGCCGAGGCAGGCTGATCACCTAAGGTCAGGAGTTTGAGACCAGCCTGGCCAACGTGGTGAAACCCCATCTCTACTGAAAATACAAAATTCAGCCAGGCATGGTGGCATGTGCCTGTAATCCCAGCTACTCAGGAGGCTGAGGCACAAGAATCACTTGAACCTGAGGGGCAGAGTTTGCAGTGAGTTGTGATCGCACCACTGCACTCCAGCCTGGAGCGAGACTGTTTCAAATAAAATAATAAAATAAAATAAAATAAAAAGTAAATTACGTGTGAAATCTACGCAGCAGGGAATTCACAGAACTAGAAAGATAGGCTGACTTCCAAACTCCTCCCTGCCCTCTCCTGACACCGCCCTGGGCCCACAGCCCCCACTTCCACAGAAAGACATCTGGGAGATGAATGAGTCTAGTTCTGGTCTAGTCTGTGCCACCCTCTGAAGTTAGGAGCAGAGGATGAGGCTACAGGGACATGCCTAGCTGGACAGCAGTGATGCTTTGCTCACATTTTTGAGTCTTGGTTGATGTAACTATAAGCAATCTAAGCTCTTATCAAAATGTTGGGTCCTTGGTTTCAGAAGTCACCAACACTGCAAATCTACTATTTAAAACAAAGCCAGGTGATAGTAGAGTATAGAACTAGCCACAGAAGCTTATTTTATTACAACTCTTTGAAAATAAAGCTAGCTTCACAGAATATGGTTCTGCATAGAAGTGTATATACTTATTATATATGCATATATGTGTGTGTATATATATATAAATCAAGAAAGGTCCTCTCAGCAAGAAGAATTTTTGAAATTTTTCCGATATGTTTGTTTCCAGGAGAGATTCCTCAATGCTCAGATGCCTCAGCAGATTTTACGTGATAAAGCTCTGCTCTGGAAGTCCTTCCCAGGGTAGCCCTGATAAACTAAAAAGGTCCTCCTGATCCCAAATATAAAAATCTCACCTTTTTATGAAGAAAAAAGTTTTGGTAAATTGGTTCAAGAATGAGGAATGTTGAATTTGAGGCTGACAGTTCCTGATGTGTGGCTGACAGTGTTGCTTTCTGGAGGAGATGATGAGGCCGTCGCGCCCGCAGGTGGGGATGTGGTGGCTGATGAGGCCCTTCCGCGGTCCTGAGAGGCCTTTGCTGCCTCCACCTGCCCCGGAGCTCACCCTGACGCATGGCAATGCCCGCCGCAGGAGTCACCATTTCATCTTCCACTTCTACAGCAGGGAAGATGCCAGGCCACGGTTTCCAACCTTGTCTGGGCCCACAGCTCCCAGGACATTCTGAGCCTGTTCTCTAATTTCCCCAGACTTCAATTTGAAGCCTTCTAGGCCACAGCCTCTTCCTTGATTTCCATGGTTTCCCTTGTATGTCACAAAGTAGAGGCTCCCCAGCTGGGACTTTTGGGGCAGTGTTGATTTCCTGTCATTGCCCTCCATAACAACACGCCCTGTGGGCAATCCAAGGGTGTCTATGACCGCCTCAGTTAAAGATCTTCTCCCTCATTTCCATCAGCAGCCAAGCCAGCTCATCTTTCAGACCCAAATCATCATGTGATCCTGCTGTCCTCCTTTCTTTAGAGAGTGTTCTTTATTGCTCCTAAGGCATTTGCCTTCACTTTTCTTTGTTCGGTATTAGTCTCACCACCAACTGCTTCAGAGTCACCTTCCCTCTAGATGGGACATTCTATAACTCAGGGTTCTTGTAGAGGGGCAATGGCAGAGAGGCAGGGTTCCCAGCAGGGGTGGCCCAAGGGCAGCCAGGCGACAGTGGACGAAGGTCTGACAAGTTCTGAGGATGCAGCATGAGGCTCCCAGGACCCAGGACCTCAGGAGTGTGGATGTTGCTGCAGCCACGTAAGGGATTCTGCTGCCTTTGACACAGAGGGGCTCAGGCCCACCCCACCACATGGACCTGCCTGGTGAACCATTCTGGATTCAAAAGACCCTTGAGATAGACTCTCTGGCTGTTTCTCTGCTCTCCTGGGTTGTTTCCAGTTTGGGGCCCTGATGAATAAGGTACCATGAACAATCCTGTGTATCTCTCTTTGTGGACATTTCTGAGTTCATTTCTCTTGGGAAAATATCTAGGTGGGAAGGAGGGAAATACATGTTTATGTTTCTAAGGAAACTTCAGATCATTTCCACAGTGTTTGGGGCATTTCACCCTCACATCAGCAGTGGGTGAGTGTCCCAGTCCTCTAGGTCCCGGTCAATCCCCAGGGGTCTCAGCATGTTTAACACGGACCACTCCTGTGAGTGTGTGCAGAGGCAGCTCGTTAGGTTTTCGTTTTGTACTCCCCTGATGATACACGATCATGGGCACCAACTCTGTGCTTCTTGATTTTTGCATATCTGCCTTTGTGAATTAACTATTCAGGTCTTTGTCTTTTTCTTATCGAGTTCTGGCATTCTTCACCACCACCAGCAGAATCTCTCACTTTATAGATGATGCATCTCCTGTGCAGTCACACAGGTGGTCCATGCAGGGCTGGGCTTGGACTCCGCTCCTGACTCCAGGCACTTGTGCATGACCTCAAAGTATAGAATATCCTGAGTGGCAGCAGAAAGGCCACTTGGCAGCAGGAGGCAGAGACACATGACCACTTGCCTGTCTCCAAGCAGTTATCTCGGCAGCTGATAATATCTCAGTTCCGGAAGCTGCCTGGGCTCCTCACTCTGGTCTACCCTCCCTGGCAATGGTGCTGCAAAATGATTTCACAAAACCTGCATTACATTTACTTCTCCTTGCTGGCAGTAAGCCATGGCTAGCTTTGTAAATCACTTTCAGCTTTGAAGCTTCAGTGGTGTATAAACATGTGGAAGGGCCCCAATTCTCCGTGTTCCTACAGCACGGCGTGGCACAGGCAGTGGTGGGCTTCCTTTCCTTGGCTTATTTGTATGGTCTTGACACAACAGAGCTGCTGTCTGCTGCGTGGGCCTAGGTGGCTGTGAGTGCCTTTCTCTGTGGTCCTCATTTGGCTTCCTGTCAGTTTCCTTCCTCCTCCTCTGCCTCCCTCCTTTCCTCTTTTTCCTGTCTCAATTTCTTCTTGGCATATTGTTTATTTAATTGCCATGCCTCTTTGAAAGGCCCTGAAGTCAAAGCAGTCAGTTTTGATTCTCTTGCCCAAGAATTTCCACCTAGGACTTTCCTCCATCCTAAGACACTGCTGAGGAAGTCTCCCCAAGGGCAGCAGCAAGACCCATCTGAGAACCCCAGAGGCACACTCGCCTCACTGTTGGGAGGCCACTTCAGCATAAGCGGGGAGCCGACATGTCCACGTCTGTCACAGAGGAGTGTGTGGGCTCCTGGGCCTGCCCTTGGCATGGCTTGTGTGTAGCAGGCCAGAGCCGGCCTTTCTGGCTCACATGTTCTATCTGTAGCCTCTCAGCTGAGCATTCACCTCCACTGTCCAAGCTCTGCATTCATTCTGCCTGAAACAAAGCCATTTGCATGGGGCTAACGTGGACAGATACAGAGTAGCTGTGGCTGTCTTTCTCATGAGGATCACTATGCCCTCAAAATCATCATCTTCCTGCCTTTCAGGGTCTAGATCTTAGAATCCATATGGGGGGCTTTAGAAAGCCTACAAACCTGCTTGCTTTCCCTCCCACCCAATCTGCAAAGCGTGGAGACTGGAAAGCAAGGCTGACCTTCACTTCCTGTTCTGGGATGATCAAGGGCAGGTGGAGGATGCAACTCCGGATAATGGTGACAGAGCCCTAGCGCGATGCATTTGGCAGAAGGGAAAGGGTGGAGCAGGGGTGTGTGCTTCCTGGGGACCACCAGCTTGGCTGCAGCCAGACTCCCCTCCCCAAGGGTTCTGCTGGCCCCACTGCCACTCACAATGTGTTTTGATTGGGTGGGGAGCAGAAAATGCAAAAGAAATTTCAAGGTCCATCACTTAGAGGACAAATGTATATCATTATGCATTGATATTGCCTTTCTTGAAGTGGAAATTCTGCTCAGGGTCCATGCCACGCTTTCCTCCAGTCAGTAATAGTGACCTTCTTCACTTGGAAATCTTTTCATTTTCTCTGCTATAAAGCCCTTAGTGAGGCCACCTCAGTTGATGGTCCACACACCAATAAATATATCAGAGGATGAATAAGCAGAGTGGCTGGCAGGATGGGGAGCACAGAGCTGCATAATGGAAGGTGTCAGGGCTGCTGACTGCAGAGGAGTACTTTGCTGCAGACGTCCAAGTTTGCGGGGCTCCCCTGGTACTCCCTTCAGAAGAGTGTCGACTTAACGGCACGCAGGCTCTGGCAGTGCCAGAAAGCTTTCGACCTGCTTCCTGGCAGCGGTTGCTAATTCTTTTCTTTTCTTCCCAGATAATTTTTACAAAAGGAAGTAGGGGGCTGAGCATGCAGGGGATGCCCCGGAGAGCGAGCCGTACTCACAGCTCACCAGCTTCCTCCTTCCTCTGTCCTAGAGGGGGACCATCCTGTGCTCCTCTAAGTGCCATAAGTACGAACAATCAAAGATGATTTAACATCCACGCTGCACACCAATGACATGAATAAAAGATTTAAAGATACTGCCACAGCTCAGAGAGCCTCCTCTTCAAGTTTTCATCACTACGCTGCTCTCCGGCCCGAGGATCTCCGCCAAGTGACTGAGCACTTGATTCTCCAACCTCCAGAGGCGGCCCTGCCCCAGGGCAGCATTAAGAAGTGCTGAAGAGGGGGCTTATTCTTAGGGTTCCCCCAACCTTGTTCTCCACTTGGCAGTGGGACCCTGTAATCAAACAAACTCAGAAAAGCATTCCCTTTTAGTTTGGTAGCAAAGCATTTTGTTGTTGCTGAGAATTGATTGATGGACATTTCTGAGACTGGGAATCAAACCAGTGTCAGTTCCAGTCCCGGGAACCGGGGAAGGCTTCATGTCTTTTAGCCTTTGAAAGATGCACTACGGAGAATGTTTTCTGAAGTGCAGGAAAAATATCCTTTTGTTCAACGGACATCGGAATGCGGAGACTGCAGCATGATCCTTTTGGTAGGTCATCAGAATCAGGGGAGGAGTTCTCAAAACCCAAGCACCCAGGCCTCACCCTAGACCAGTCACACAAAATTCACCAGCAGAAGGGCCCAGGCATCAACAGTTTTTCATTCAAGTTTTCCAGATTCCTTAGGTAGATAAGACTGAGAACCACTGTTTTCATTGAAGTAGAGCAATCAGGTTATCCCTTGCTCCTCCAGTGAGCTTTGTCATTTGTATTTTCAAGGGACTGGTCAATTTCATCTAAGTTACTGGATTTACAGGTACAGAGTTGCTCACAGCATTCTCTTATTCTCCTTTCAATGTCCCAGGCAGCTCTCGCTCTCGCTCTCGCTCTCGCTCTCGCTCTCCCTCTCCCTCTCCCTCTCCCTCTCCCCACGGTCCCCCTCTCCCCACGGTCCCCCTCTCCCCACGGTCTCCCTCTCCCTCTCTTTCCACGGTCTCCCTCTCATGCCGAGCCGAAGCTGGACTGTGCTGCTGCCATCTCGGCTCACTGCAACCTCCCTGCCTGATTCTCCTGCCTCAGCCTGCCGAGTGCCTGCGATTGCAGGCGCGCGCCGCCACGCCTGACTGGTTTTCGTATTTTTTTGGTGGAGACGGGGTTTCGCTGTGATGGCCGGGCTGGTCTCCAGCTCCTAACCGTGAGTGATCCGCCAGCCTCGGCCTCCCGAGGTGCCGGGATTGCAGACGGAGTCTCGTTAACTCAGTGCTCAATGGTGCCCAGGCTGGAGTGCAGTGGCGTGATCTCGGCTCGCTACAACCTCCACCTCCCAGCCGCCTGCCTTGGCCCCCCAAAGTGCCGAGATTGCAGCCTCTGCCCGGCCGCTACCCCATCTGGGAAGTGAGGAGCGTCTCTGCCTGGCCGCCCATCGTCTGGGATGTGAGGAGCCCCTCTGCCTGGCTGCCCAGTCTGGAAAGTGAGGAGCGTCTCTGCCCGGCCGCCATCCCACCTAGGAAGTGAGGAGTGCCTCTTCCCGGCCGCCATTCCATCTAGGAAGTGAGAAGCGTCTCTGCCCGGCCGCCCATCGTCTGAGATGTGGGGAGCGCCTCTGCCCTGCTGCCCCGTCTAGGATGTGAGGAGCGCCTCGGCCCGGCCACGACCCTGTCTGGGAGGTGAGGAGCGTCTCTGCCCGGCCGTCCTGTCTGAGAAGTGAGGAGACCCTCTGCCTGGCAACCGCCCCCTCTGAGAAGTGAGGAGCCCCTCCGCCCGGCTGCCACCCCATCTGGGAAGTGAGGAGCATCTCCGCCCGGCAGCCACCCTGTCCGGGAGGGAGGTGGGGGTCAGCCCCCGCCAGGCCAGCCGCCCCGTCCGGGAGGGAGGTGGGGGGTCAGCCCCCTGCCCGGCCAGCCGCCCCGTCCGGGAGGTGAGGGGCACCTCTGCCCGGCTGCCCCTACTGGGAAGTGAGGAGCCCCTCTGCCCAGCCAGCCACCCTGTCCGGGAGGGAGGTGGGGGAGTCAGCCCCCCACCTGGCCAGCCACCCCGTCCGGGAGGGAGGTGGGGGGGCCAGCCCCCCGCCTGGCCAGCCGCCCCATCCGGGAGGTGAGGGGCGCCTCTGCCCGGCCACCCCTACTGGGAAGTGAGGAGCCCCTCTGCCCGGCCACCACCTCGTCTGGGAGGTGTACCCAACAGCTCATTGAGAACAGGCCATGATGACAATGGCGGTTTTGTGGAATAGAAAAGGGGGAAAGGTGGGGAAAAGATTGAGAAATTGGATGGTTGCTGTGTCTGTGTAGAAAGAAGTAGACATGGGAGACTTTTCATTTTGTTCTGTACTAAGAAAAATTCTTCTGCCTTGGGATCCTGTTGATCTATGACCTTACCCCCAACCCTGTGCTCTCTGAAACATGTGCTGTGTCCACTCAGGGTTAAATGGATTAAGGGCGGTGCAAGATGTGCTTTGTTAAACAGATGCTTGAAGGCAGCATGCTCGTTAAGAGTCATCATCACTCCCTAATCTCAAGTACCCAGGGACACAAACACTCTGCCTAGGAAAACCAGAGACCTTTGTTCACTTGTTTATCTGCTGACCTTCCCTCCACTATTGTCCTATGACCCTGCCAAATCCCCCTCTGCGAGAAACACCCAAGAATGATCAAAAAAAAAAAAAAAAAAAAATGTCCCAGGCATTTGGAGTGATGGCCCGTCTTTCTTTCATGATATTGATAATTTGTGTTGTCTTTATCTCCTGGTTAGCCTGGCTAGAGGTTTATTAATTGTGTTGATTTCTTCAATTTTTATGTTTGCTTTTCAAAGAACTGACATTTGGTTTTGTTGTTTTTCTCTACATTTTTCCCGTTTATAATGTTATTCATTTCTTCTCTAATTGTAGTTATTTCCTTCCTTTTGTTTAATTTGTTATTTCTCTAGTGCCCTAAGGTAGTTTAGATTATACATATTGAATCTTTCATTTTTTCTAAGATATGCATTTAATGCTATAAATTTCCCTTTAAACATTGCTTTAACTACATCTCCCAAATTTTAAATTATATTTTCATGTACACTAAGTTGAAATATTCTTAAGTTTTCCTTGAGATTTATTCTTTGACCATGGGTTATTGAGAAGGGTTTTTTTCTAAGTTCCAAATATTTGAGAAATAACCTGTATCTTTCTGTTATTTAGTTCTGTCTTAATTATTTTGTTGTCTGCCTCACATACTTTTTATTTTCTCTACTGTTTTTAATCTTTTGAGGATTTTTTTGTGACCCAGAATATGGCCTATATTGTGACTGCTTCACGTGCCCCTGAGAAGAATGTATATTATGCTGTTGTTGAATGAAATGTTCTTTTAATGTTAATAAGGTCAAGTTGATTGATAGTGCTATTCAGGTCATTTTTTATGATTTATATCTTCACTACTTTTCTCTCTGCTTGATCTATCAATTACTGACAAATGAGCATGAAAATCTCTAACTACCATTGTATCTTCTTCTTTCATTTCTATCAGTTTTTGCCTCATGTTTTGACTCTTTGTGGTTAGGAGCACACATGTTTAGGACTGTTGTATCTTCTTAGATAATCGAACCCTTCATCATATCCAGTGTGCCTCCTTATCTATGATAATCTTTGTTGTTCTGAAGTCAGCTTTTTCTCAAATTAATACAGCCACTTCAGCTTTATTTTGATTAGTGTTAGCATAGTACATCTTTTTCCATTCCTTAATTTTAACACATCTGTATCTTTATATTTAAAGTAGGTTTCTTATAAACAGCATTCTGTTGGGTCTCATTTTTTTTTTTTTTTTTTGAGATGGAGTCTCATTCTGTCACCCGGGCTGGATTGCAGTGGCAGGATCTCGGCTCATTGCAAGCTCCACCTCCCGGGTTCATGCCATTCTTCTGCCTCCCAAGTAGCTGGGACTACAGGCACCCACCACCACACTCAGCTATTTTTTTGCATTTTTAGTAGAGATGGGGTTTCACCATGTTAGCTAGGATGGTCTTGATCTCCTGACTTCGTGATTCGTCGGCCTTGGCCTCCCAAAGTGCTGGGATTACAGGTGTGAGCCACCGCACCCAGCCAGTTGGGTCTCATTTTTAAAACTCCAGTTTGACAGTCTGTCTTTTAAATGTCATATATAACTGATAATTAATACAGTCAGATTAATGGTTGCCATCTTTGTAAGGTTGTTGGATTTGTTCTGGTTTTTTCCCCCTCTTTTTCAGAATCTTCTAGTTTCAACTGAACATTTTACATGATTCCATTTAATCTCCTCTACTGACTTATTATTTATACTTCTTTTTTAATATATAGTTTAGTGCCCAGGGTTCATAGTATACATCTTAAACTAATCTAAATTTACCCTCGAATAATACCATACTGCTCCATGTGTCGTGCGGGTACCTCACAACAGAGTATTTGTCAATGCCCTTCTCATTTCTTGGGATGCTGTTTTCGTTTTTCACTTGAACACATGCTCTAATCACCAAAGCCAGCATCACTATTTTTGCTTTTAATGGATAGTATCTTTTAGATAAATTATGAGTAAGAAAAACAAAATATTTTATTTCACTTCTAGTTATTCTTTTTTGCTGTACTTTTTTTCTTTATGTAGATCCAAATTTCTGACCTGTAACATTTTCCTTCTGTTTGAAGAATTTCCTTGCTATTTCTTATAGACTTCAGACCTGCTGGCAATGAATTCCATCAGCTGTTTATCTGAGATAGTTTCTATTTTATCCTTGACTTTTGAGGGATATTCTTACTGAATATGCAATTCTAACTTGCCAGTATTTTTTCTTTATTTGTTTCTTCAGATCTTTAAAGATTACAGTCAACTGCATTCTTAGTTGCACAGTCTCTTTTTTCTTTTCTTTTTTTTTTTTGACGGAGTCTTGCTCTGTCACCCAAGCTGGAGTGCAGGGGCATGATCTCAGCTCACTGCAACCTCCGACTCCTATGTTCAAGCAATTCTCCTGTCTCAGTCTCCCGAGTAGCTCAGATTACAGAGTTGCACAGTTTCTGATGAGAAGTCTGCAGTAGTTTTAATCCTTGTTTCTCTAAAGAGAATGTCCTCATTCTTTTCAGATGTATTCAAGATTTTCTCTTTGGTTTCAATTTTCTATGGTTTAAACAGGATATATCTCAGTTACTTTTGGTTGTTGTTGGTTTGTTTTTGTTTTTTGTTCTAATTCTGCTTGATGTTTTCTAAGATTCTTAAGACAGTGGCTTGGTGTCTATGACTAATATTGGAATATTCTTGGCCATGATTTTAAAAAATATTTCTTGTTTCTTCTTCTGGTATTCCAATTTTCATATGTTACACTAGTGGTTGCCAACCTTTTTGGCACCAGGGACCAATTTCATGGAAAACAATTTTTCCACGGATCAGTGCAGAGGGGATGGTTTCGGGATGAAACTGTTCCATCTCAGGTCATCAGGCATTAGATTCTCATAAGGAGCATGCAACCTAGATTCCACACATGTGCAGTTCATAATACGGTTTGCATTCCTATGAGAATCTAATGCCACCAGTGATCTGACAGGAGGCAGAGCTCAGGTGGTAATGCTTGCTCACCAGCCACTCACCTCCTGCTGTGTGGCCCAGTTTCTAACAGGCCATGGACCAGTACTGGTCTGTGGCCTGGAGGTTGGAGACCCCTGTGTTACACTATTTTGTATTGTTCCACATTCCTGGATTTCCTGTCCTGCTCTGTTTTATTTTCCATCCTTTTTTTCTTTGTGTTTCAGTTTGGGTCATTTCCTTTCACCTATCCTCAAGGTCACTGATTCTTCAGCCATGTCAAATCTACATATGAGCCCAATAAAAAATTATTCATTTCTTTGTCTGTTTTGTATTACTGGCATTTCTTTTCATCTTTCTGCTGACATCCATTTTCTTATGTGTTGTCTACCTCTTCCATCAACGTCTTTCACATATTGATCATAATTGTTTTAAATTACATGTCTGATAATTCCAACATCTGAGTCATATTTGAGTTTGGTTCTGATGATTATTTTGTCTCATCAGTGTTCTCTTGACTTTTGGCCTGCCTTGTAATATTATGTTGAAATATAGACATATGGTATAGAGCAGAAGATACTGAGTTAAATAAGACTTTCAAGTGAGAATTGATGTTAATTTGGCCAGGAGTTGAAGTGTATTCAATGTTTGGTGTAGATTTAGGTGTCAGAAACTTCTAATGTCCTTATTTTTGCCTCTTCTCTTGGCATTTGGATTCCCTTATATATGGCACCTAAGTCAGAGTATATGTCTTGTGGTTTTTCAAGCTCAACTCATGGTTATTATACTGGAAGCTCATTCACATGGTGGTAGGGCATAGGGAAGGACATGTTCTCTGATCTGATCAAGTATCATTCTTTGGAGTGCATAGTTGGCCTGGGGTGCACTCCAGAAAAGGGTATGACTTTCAAATCTTTCTGTCCCTTCCCAGGGTAGAGTTTTCCCCCAAAAAAAGGATGCCACTGCTTCAGATACTAATACAGGGGAAGAAATGAGACCCAGCAGACACATCAGCACATGGGTTTGGGACCAAATGGCAAAAGAGTTATTTAAAAATATGAATAAGCAGAGTGTAAACTTAGAAATTCAGTATTTCAGCAAATCTGAAATAATACATTTTGCAAATGGCCACTTAACAAGAGAGAATGCCAAATTGGTGTTTACCATGTGCTAAGCCAACCAACTGAAACCTTCAAAGTGCAATGCACTTATGATGTGATAAGTTATTTACTTAAGTAGCAAAAGTAAATAGATAAGCTTTCCCAACACTTTGTTTTTAGAATAACAAGTGAGATGCATGTGGAAGATTAGCAAATGCTTTAAGGTTGCTCTCTTTTGTTGAGACAGTTTCTATTCCTTTCTTGTACACATACAAAACATCAGGCTGCAGATATTTGATGGAATATGCTAACTTAGCTTATTTTTTAACACTCTTAAAATATTTAATGCTATCATTTAGCATTATCAACATAATGCTGTTTACTTTGCCCACTGAAGATTCACAAGATTCTTAGCCCTTTTATCTCCATCAGGTAATGTGTTTATCATCATTGCTTTGTATGCCAACGGGCACCTGAGAGGTTATAATAGCATCTCAGTCAAATTGCCTTTTACCTTTTACTGAAATAATGCCATGAACTTATAAGAACTGACAGAAGGCATTTTAGGTCAAAGAGATTTTGTTAATTTGATATATTGATTTGAATAAAGTATTTAGGAAAACAATTGTTCCGTCATTATTCATTTTCCTATGAACCTATTAATACAAATACGTTATGTGTATAGTTTTCTTTCATCCTTGGAAATACAGCTGTGGCAGACTATATAGTCCCAAAATAGCAGCTGCAATTTTTCCCATCCCTTATAATCTTCCAGAGCCTTGACATCTATGTCTCCTCCTATGAATGCCTTGACCAGTACAGTCCAGTACAAGTGATGCTGCCTAGCTTTGAAGGTTGGATCATAACCAGATCTTGTGCTCCACCTTGATGTAGGACGTTTGCTTGAGGAAGCCAGCTGCCGTGTTGTGAGGAAGCTCAAATTAGCCTATGTGCAGAAACCACATGGAAAGGCAATGAGATGGGCCTCCTATGGATGGCTTGTTTAAAGTCCCTGCAAACAGCCAGCACTGATGACCAAATGTGGGAGTAAAGACACCTCCAGATGTTTCCTCCTAGCTGTCAGGTCACCCCCCAGCCTTGGGTCTTCCTAGCTGAGGTCCCAGACATCATGGTGCAGAGACAAACCATCCTCATGCTGCTTCTTGAACTCCCAACCAAAGAAATCATGAGCATAATGAAAAAGTTGTTTATGCCACCATGTATGGGTAGCAGCAATAAATAGATCAGTGTTGTAAATACAATTTTGAGGTTTATCAGAAAACAGGGATCTGGAGTTGTGTATAAAATACTTTCCTTTAAAACTGATAAGAATCACATAGATTGTGGCTTGAAGGTTGCAGGAACTGACACAAAGTTGTCCTGAAGAAGAATTTACCTTCTCCTGTAGGGTCTTAGGGAAGCTCTCCAGGGTGGCCAGGATTTTGAACCTCTTTAGCTGAGTCCATATTTAAACTCCCACGGCCTCAGTTTCCTCATGTGCAGAACTCCACAACATGCCTTGCATCATGCAGGGTCTGAACTTGGAAGCCTCTGCATCACCCTTTCTCTCCCTCAATGCCACTCAAATGGAAGATACAGAACCCTGATTTTGCACATGAAAGTTAGGCTGGGTCATGCCACATGGGGTCTGGGATACAGTATGTTCTGGTCACTAAAAGATGACTTTCCTTTAATGGCTGGAGCTTTGTTGTCTAATAACATCATGAAGATAATGTAGTCAGTCTGGGCTATGCTATTATATAGTGGCAACACTACATTTATCTTAATTATAAACATTAAAAATAAATACAATGTATAGCAAGGTTCTTGAATTATGTGTGTGCATGCACTTGCAAATGCATGCTCTTGTTTATGTCACATAAATACCAGCTCCCCTGAGAATCATCTACGAACAGGAACATGAGGATGGCAGACTTGTCTCTCTTATCACTTTGCAAATATTGAGAAGTGAAACAAGACTGAAGTAGTGTTGTACAAGTGATTGGCTACCCTCCAGCTCCTTTCATAACAGCAACATTTAAAGAGAACAGACTTGATGATGACAATGACCAGTGGGCCCAGGAGGAATGGCCCTGGGTCCCCACTCTTCAGAAAAGCTGCAGTGAAGGCCTTAGGAGCTTATGTGGACACACTGCGCAGCCAGTCCAGATCCTTGTTATGCACCCGATTAAAGGATCCTTGAGGTGTAACACTAGTCAAGTTTGGCTGAGGGCTGAGGGTTCCACTAAGTCAGACACACAGGCTTAACATAGGCATTTTCATTTTTCCAGCATTTAAAACAATGAGATAGACTCAAGACCACAGCTTTTCTTTAACCCTTTTGGCAGTTTTAAATTCCAGGAGGCTTCAACACTCCTGCCCTGCAAAAGAGACTGTAAACCTCAGTCTTCTCATATAAGAGCAGGAGGTTCTACAGAGGCCATACCTGGAAGAAAACAGGTGCGTTTTGTCTCCCTCTATATTATTTGATGATATTTTTTGCTGTTGTTGCAATTAAGGAAATACAAGCCCTAATGCCCTGGTCTCTTGGCTACAGCAGTTACATATCTGAAACAACAACAACCACCACAAAATAAATAAAATAAAAAACAAAGAAAGGAAAAAGGAAAAAGAGTCACATGGAGGGGAAGAGGTAAGAGAGAAAAAAATAAGAGACTCATCCAAAAGAAGAAAAGGTCACAGCAGCTCTTCTCAGTGTGTAAAATACTCCATTAACTTTAATATGTGGAGGACATTAGCATTATGCACAGTGGGAAGGAACATTTTTAACACAGAACCTCTTCTTCCAGCTTCAAAAGATGAGAGGAAAATATAAAGCTAATGAAGCTGCTGTTGGGATGATGTCTTTTTTTCCTCGGAGTATAGAGGAGAATACCCCTTTGGGTTGGCAGAATAGCAGGCTAGTCGGGACATAATTTGTCTGGTCAGAAATGACCCCGACAAGAGAAGGAGAGGCTGAGCCCCGTGGTGCCCACGAGGCCTGGTGCTCTGCCTCCCAGAGATGGTAGAGAACCCTTCTCCCTGGGCCCTCCCCAGGGACCCCCTTCCCCAGGCTCTCCCCCCTCCCCGGGATCTCCTCGCTCCCTGGGCTCTCTGCCCTCACTGGGCTCTCCCCCTTCCCTGGGCTGTCCCTCAGGACCCCCCTTCCGGGACTCTCCCCCCTCCCGGGGCTCTCCCCTCTCCCCGGGCTCTCTCCCTTCCCCGGGCTCTTACCCCTCCCCAGGCTCTCCCCCTTCCCCAGGGTCTCCCCCTTCCCTGGGCTCTCCCTACTCCTGGGCTCTCCCTCAGGACCCCCCTCCCCGGGCTTTCCCCACTCCCCGGGTTCCCCCCTACCCGAGCTCTCCCTCTTCCCCCGGCTCTTCCTGCTTCCCGGGCTCTCCCCACTCCCCGGGCTCTCTCTCAGCATCTCCCTTCCCCAGGCTCTCCCCGCTCTCCAGACTTCAGCCCCCACCCGGGGTCTCCCCCTCCCCAGGCTCTCCCCACTCCCCGGGCTCTCCCGCTTCTCCAGGCTTTCCCCGCTCCCCGGGCTCTCAACCCTCCCCAGCCTCTCCCCACTCCCATACCCTCCCCCAGGACCCCCCTTCCCGGTCTCTCCCCACTCTCAGACCCTCCCCCAGGACCCCCTTCCCGGGCTCTCCCCTCTCCCAGACCCTCCTTAAGCTTCCCGAGCTCTCCCTCAGCCTCCCCTGGGCTCTCCTTGGCCAGGAGCACAGCTGAGAAGGTCCTGGGTTCGCCTACTCTTTTGGGGGGCTTCCTTGTGGTAAATCTCAGAGGACAAAATGCACCCCCGGGCTTTGCTGGGTCGGCAGAGGAGTCTGAGGGTGAAATGGGTTGCCTATGTCTGGGGCCCCTTCGCAGAAGGAGGAGACTCTGACAAAGTCGAGTTCTCAGGAGCACCCGGAGGGCAGTGTCTAGAAGCTCATTAAAGGTCTTGTCTCACAGGCATTGCTGCTGCATCTCCAAAGGATGCAGCTGTGACTGTGAGGAAGGCACGCAAGTCCATTCCCAGCTTTCCTGGGTTCAGAGCAGTGCCATGTCCCCTTTTGTCCCTCAGTCAGCTGGGTGCGGAGGTGACAGGGCAGCAGAGAGGAGGGTGTCCTGATGGGGCAGAGTCGGTGACCGAGTTTAGGAGGTGAGGGAGAGGAAGGATGCGGGCCAGGAGCACGGAGGTTCGGTGGGGACGGCTGGAGGGTGAGCAGCCCCTTGCAGAGTCATGCGATGGGGTGCAGGCCCCGTGCTGCAGGAGAACCCTGGGGACAGCACCCAGGCGGCCACCTCTTCTCGGCCCACCTATCACACCGGGTAAATTTTCTGTCTGTTATGTAAACCTCCTGAGTGACTTAAGCAGCTACAGGAAGAGGGAGAGGCCTGAGAGTGCACGGGTGCCGCAGAGGGCTGTGGAAGCGGGCAGATACCTCCAGAAGCCACCGAAGCCACCTCCTTGGCCCACACCCTGAAGGTCAGCAGCCACCGGGGCTCTGCTACGTGGCCTGGTATTTCAAACCCTACAAGGATGGCGCCTTGGTCCTGCTCTGTGCAGTGTCCCCAGTGCCGGCACCCTGCCTGGCGACAGTAGCTCAGTGAAGGGTTGGGAAGTGCATACCTTATGAGGAGCAGCCGGGCATCACAGCAGCAGCAAACAGCGAAGCTAGCAGGTGATTTTCTCTCCTCCAAGCTCAGCCAGTTGCTCTCCAGGTGTGAAGGCTGAAGCCTCATCCAGCTGCCTCAGCCCTGTCCAGCTGCCTCACCCCCTGCACCTGCTCCTTTCTGCTCCGCCTTGCAGGGGCCTCCTTGCGCCTTCTCCTGGGAGCTGCTGCTGCTCCCCGCAAATCAGCTCCTGTGCTTCCTTCTGCTGAACCCAGAAACCTGGGCCCTGAGGTGGCTGAGAGTGCAGAGGGCAGGCCTTTCACTGCCAGAGGGGAGGCAGGTTGGCCCAGCCAACCTCGGCCCTGTCTGGAATGGGAGCTTATTTCCTTCAAATTAAAATCCCCAAAGGCAGAGCTGGGAGGATGCAGGTGGAGGAGGGGCGCGAGCCCCTGGAAAGGCCTTGGTGAAAGGCCTTGAGCTGGGTGGGAAGGAGGTGCCGGCCAGATGGACAACATGTCACAATGCCAGGTGGGGAACCTCACCTTCTTAGAGCCACAGCCCCTGTCTCGGAATAGTGTTCTTAAATGTATACAATAAAATACAGAGGCTTAAAAGAGGAACCAAATATATTGAAATAGAGCTTTGGAAACATTAAAAATCATAATCAATATAGAAATATATGGGCTACTTTAAGACACTAAATAATAACTAACATTTGGGTTTGCATTTTTAAAGTAGTGATGAGCATAAACAATATTTTAAAATACCATCAACAGCTGTTATGTGATGTGAAGACATCTGTGGTTTCTCCTGGTGCAAAGTCACAACAAACTCTGCCGTGTGTTGCTTACACTCCTAATTGGAGGAAGTGCTAAATTTCAGGTAGAGGTTGATAAAAATAATGATGTAACTAATTTTCCACCCAGGCTCGTGGATGTGCTAAATGATTTCCCTGGACCTCTTAGGGGTCCTTCCTCTACAGAGAGGGGCGGGTGGGGGAGGTGGGGCGGGGAGGGGAGAGGGAAGAATCCCATGTTCTCTGAGCTGCAGGAGGACATTAAGAACTTCGGGCAGCAGCATGCTGAGAGGAGGAGGTGGAAGATGAAAGACCGTGCAGACCTTCCATTGGGCGCCTGTTTCGGGGACAGCAGTGTGGGGATAAACTGAGGACCTGTGTGTGTCCCCTCTGAAAATGTGCCTGTGAGAAGAGGCCACTTGGGGAGGAACCCGGGTGAGTTCTGGACACCAAAAAAGCCTGCCTGGCCCCGGGTCCATGGGGAGGATGAAGTGGGTGCAGCATGGGTTCCTTGTGCTCCCAGGCTCCCGCAAAGCCCTACAGTCTTCACAGAGGGGCCTGGCAGTTAGAGAGAGGTGGCCTCTCTTGCTGGGTCAGGAGCTTGGTTCTGGATGGGTGCTAGAGGAGCTGTAAGAGCGTAGAACCTGGGGTTGGAAGACCCAGGCTGAACCCAGGTCTCGCTCATCACCCCCTTAGGGATTTCAGGTGGATGGTGGGGTTCTCTGAATCTCAGAATCCCGGTTTCCTGCAACATTGGAGTAACACCCCTCCCTGGGCCCATTTCATTTCACATGGGTGTTGGAATGTGAGGATCGTTAGAAGACTGTCACACAGGAGAGGCAGGCTATTAGGGTGGACAAAATGCTGTGTGGACCAATTACATCGATGTTCAAACATTAGCAAGGAAGCTGCCTAACCTACTTAAGATACTAATGTCCTTAAGAATTTCAACAAACATGTACAAATTGGCTGTTAATTTCAAATGTTAGCTTTCACTTATTAAAGTAGGCCACTGAAAGAACTCCTTTGAAACATAAGCTTGTTAATTGCAAGGTAACAGAATTGCTTGAAAGCAATAACGCTGCTTTAAAATATTTGACAAGTCAGATGTTTGAGAATGTTTCCCTGCACCTGGTCCAAACTATAAGGTATTGTTAAGTTCTGTTCATTTCATACTCCATTCACCAATTACATTAATTTATGCATATAAACATTTTAAGTATAGCCTAGGCATTTAAATAGGCGAAGCAGGACTTCTGCTTGACAACAATTTGTCAATAATTAGCACTTTAATAGTATTTGTGTTTTATTTATACCCTGACAACTTCCAAAAAGGATCTGTGTGGAGGGTTAGCTCATTCCTCCCATATGACTCCCTCCCTCCTTTCCCCTCCCCTCCCCTTCCCTCCCTCCCTCCCTTCCTTCCTTCTTTTGATTTTCCTAGTCTCAGTTTCTAAGATCTAATTTAATATATTGCTGTGATCACTCCAGAGTCTTAAATTAGCAACTTTAGGTTAGTTCCCCTCAGATTCTGTTTTCACTGAAGAACGGGAGGTTTGGGGAAAGTGCTCTGATGAGCCAGTTCCCTTGGTTGTTGCCTCCCTACTTCACTCTTTACAACAACCAGTCAAACAAACAAACAAAAAAGTATATTTATTGTATTCCCTTACCAAGCCACAAATTACATGAATACTAAAAAGTCTAATCATGCACATTAATATCTCAGAGTGAGGCTGGGTGCAGTGGCTCATGCCTGTAATCCCAGCAATTTGGGAGGCTGAGGTGGGAGGATCATTTAAGCCCAAGAGTTCAAGACCAGCCTGAGCAACATAGTGAGACCGCATCTCTACAAAAAATTTAAAAATTAGCCAGGTGTGGTGGGCATGGTGGTGTGTGCCTATAGTCCCAGCTACTTGGGAGGCTGAGGCAGGAGGATCAATTGAGCCCCATAGGGCAAGGCTGCTATGAGCCGTGATAGTGCCATTGCACTCCAACCTGGGCAACAGAGAGAGATACTGTCAAAAAGAACAAAAGATCTGAGAGTGATGCCCAACCCCGCTGGCGATCAGAGTGCTCTCCATGGTCTGCCTCACCCAGCACTGGTAACAGCCTCTCTCCCCTACCTGGGAGGCAGCATGGCCTCTCCATTCACGCTTCCCCGCAAAGCCCTAGATTACCATCCTCTTCTGTCTCTAGACACTAAGAAAATTCAGGCTCCAAATCCCATTTATGCCATTTATGCCCTTGTCCTTTGGGTGTCATGATTTAAGCTGGGAATGTTCCCTGAAGTCCCCACTGTAGCAGGAGAAGAGCTGCAGGGGCGCGGCCGTCAGTCTAGAAGGGCTCTGGGAGATGCCGCAGGAGCTGGCTCTGTGTGGGCTGAGCAGGGGTTCCTGGCACACGGTCAGGAGGGCAAGCATGAAGGGAGAGCCTCTGTGTGGAGGTGCCAAGGCAGGGGGTGCGGGTGGCTTTGGGACCCGCAATGGGGGACACAGGAGGCTTGGGGTCTAGCTAGGCACAACGGGTGGGTTGAGGGCAAGTCCTCGCCCAGTCCTGGTTCCATGCTGGGGTCCATGGGCAGGTCTGTGTCATGGAAAGCTGATTGTGAGGCCAGCAAGGAGACTGCACCAAATCTGGGCATGCAGCTCTGTTCAGGGAGACGGCAGGACAGAGAGCGGCTGTCCAGGTGCGGATGGTGCTTTCTCTCTGATTTGCAGAGTAGGCTTGCTTGCTCCCATACAGCACACACAGCAGCTGGCAGCCTCACCACATCCTGTCTTATCTCAGAGGCCCTGGGACAGGGAGTAAGTTGGCCAGGGTCACATAGCTGGGAATGGCCGTCACCAGGATGCTTTCCAAACTTCCAACCCCAAGCACCCAGACCCTTTATCTGAGCAACAGGGAGGTCTGGTATCTTCTAGGTTGCCTTACAGGTGGGCAGTTTAGCCAAGCATTGGGAGGATCTGCTCTGACACCCTGCCTTCACCCCATCCCACGGTGCCATCTCCCAGAGACGCAGTCTCCTCATCCATAAAGCATTCCTTCCCATCTCATCAGTGTTGTGGAGGCACACATGTGATGGAACTCATGAAGCACTCAACATGGTGCCTGGCACATGGAAGCGCTCAGCATGTGATGGCCTGTGGTTGAGATGGGCACACAGGATGTGTCCTGTTGCTAAGGTAGACCCTCTCTGGGGTTTGTCCCTGCCCCTGAGTGACTGGCAGTGATGTTTCTAGATCCAGGAGCCTCTCCGACCCTGAGTTCTTGACTCCTGCAACCATTTGTTTATGGACCACTAAGAGCTGGAACCCTTCATGCACACTTTTTGAAGATGAAGAGCTATTATAATTCTATGCTAGGACTGAGGGGGAATATTTCTGAGTTAAGATATATTTAGAAACATATCTAAGGTTGACTTTCCTTTAAGCCTTTTCTCCTAGCTTTTGAATTCTGTTAAGTTACTGGGAAATAAAATTAATCTTTTGCAGGTTAATGAAAGGTTGTGCCAAGATCAGTTTTAAGTCCTGTTGCCAAAGCCATTCTTTAGTCTTACGGCTTGGGATGCCACGTCATGAATAATAGTGCAGACTGCTTTCTTCTCCTGCTTTAAGACAAAGGCACAAGGATGTTTATGTCAACAGGGACCATCACAATATTCCCAAGTAGACTCAGGACTCGGGGGCACCTGATGTCTGTCCTGGTACCAAAGGGTTAAGCCCTGTCCAAAAATTAAAGACATCTTCCCAGCCCCTTCAGCTAGGGTCACACTGTTCCTATCTAAATAAAAAAGAGGAATTATTTGGAGAAAAGAAAAGTCTTGGGAGGCGTCCGTGCTCCTAAGTGGTGATGAGAATTAATGAAGAATTTGTAGAAAGAATCAGCCTTTCTCATGAACAGCACACAATGGTGGCAGGTTGAATTGTTTGCCTCTAATCACGCAGAACCTTAGAGAACTTGATACATAAACTATGTGATATTCTCTGGGACAATATTTTTCTTGCTCTTGCCATTAAGTGGCTGTGTCCCTGTCAGCACAGCTATGCAATGGAACTGGATATGTCAGGAACACTCTCATTAAGACATGCAATTACAGGAAGCAGTGCAGGGTTTGGTGTTCCCTGTATTTTATTTTAGAACACCTGAATTACAGGATTATCCCATTCTCAGGGATCACATCTGACAGTAACAACAAGAGGGCTCTGGCCAGATTCCCTATGATTCTTGAGCTTAGAATGCTCAAAGGAGATCAGCACCATGGGCTAAAACTGAACAGCAGAGCCATGCTGCATAAGGAAGGGCCTGGGAGAGGCTCCTGGCCCATTTCCTGTGGAAGAAGTGGAAGCTTGTGGGTAGAAGGCCTCCAGGCAGAGGCTGAGGAGGGGCTCCTGGAGGGGTGGCATGGGAGGAGAGGCCATGAAAGGTGGGGGTGGCAAGGGCATACCAGAGTACAGAAGACAGGAGAGAGTGGGAGGGGGAGGGTGTGACCCTCCCGAGACCCCGTGGGGAGGATGGTCCAGCTATGGGTGGGAGGGGGTGCTGGAAGTAGAGCCCTAAGCTGAGTTGCAAGGGCCACCAGCCTCCAGCAAAGGTGCTCTGAGTGAGCTCTGCAGAGAATCAGGAACCGCTGAAGTCTTCGCTGGGGACAGGTACCAGCTTACTGCCTTAGGAGCATTAACTTGGGGACTTTGGCTGACACAAGAGAAAAGGGAGGTATGAAAACAAGGTCGTGAGCTGGAAGAATAGTCTAACGGTTCCAAAAAGAGGCAGGTCATGAGAACCAGAGTAGAGCAAAGGGACAGCAAAGAGGAATGGAGAGGCCAGGAGCCTTCATAGAGAGAGAATGTTTGGGATTCACAACCTGGAGAATGTGGTGGGGCTAGGGGAGGGAGCCGTGGGCCGTGGTTTGGAGCCTGGATGTGGGCAAACAGTAGTTCCAGCAGCAGAAATAAGGCGAACACTCAGAGGCAATATCCTGAGCATCGCGTGGTTCAGCTAGGGGAGCAGATTTGAGAGAATCTGCCAGGAATTGTGCCTGGGAGCTGGCCGAAGACAGAAGATGCCCCTCTGACTAAGGAAATAAGATGCCAGTTCAACTCATTTCCTGTCATTGCAGCAGGGCAAAGTCCTCAAAGAAGACCCAGCCCTTCTTGACAAGGCAAAGGTGCCGAGAGTGGCCTGGCTTCCTCCTGTGGATCCATCTCCGTCTTCCTGGGCAGCACCAAGCAAAGAACACTTACATGCATCTGGGCAAATACACAGTGCCTGGTCCAGGCAGGGAGAAGGTCAGATGGCTTCGTGAAGGGCTCTGCCTCCCTCCAGACTCATCAGCTCATCAGCCAACTTGGGGCAACTCCCTTTCTCACGATTCAACTTTCATGCATAATAAATTGTGTCCTGCTGAGAGTGTTACTTGCAAGATACCTTTCCAATTACCTAAAACTCAGCTTAAGGACCAGAACAATCAGGCAATGCATAAATCTGAGCTTCTTTTGTGTGTGGTGTGTGTGACTCAGGAACCCTGCTGTGGAATCAGAGATGGGGATAGTACATTCATTCTGGCTGATTAGCACTCGCCCCCCCGTGTGCAGAGCTACATGCATAAACATGCTTCCGAGTGCCCACGGCGGGTGATCCGGAATCGTTGCGTGGACACAGGTGGCTCTGGAATGAAGAATGACCACTTACAATATCCCTTTTGGTTTTCACACTCAGTATGACATTCCCAAAGGAATGCAAAGCATTTTATATGCCTATAAAGACCAGGCCCAAATTATTCAAAATTATCACAGGAATGCAGAGAATCATTTTAAAACTGAGCTTGGAGAGCCTCAAGATACCCCGTCTCTCCACCCACCAGTGTCAGTCTAAAATTAGCTGGGTGAGAATTGCAATTTCCATGTTTTCACCTGTATTTAGGATTCCTGGCAGCACCACAAAGTATTGCCCACCTGCTCTTCGTGTTTTCTATGCCTGAAAACCTTTCCAGGATGGCCTGGAAGCTCCTGTACTTTTCCTTTTGACCAAAAAGGGATGACCAGAGGCCCCATGTGGTGGTGGTGAGCAGTGTTGCACGTGGGATGGGCCTGGGAACATAGGGAAGTGGCAAGGAGGATAATGGCAGAATGGGGGTAATGGGGAAGCCTTGGGGTGCAGGCATGTCTGGAAAACACAAGCTCAGGTTGGGTGGAGTGGGCTCTTGAGGGGTGATACTGTCCAGATGGAGGTTGGGCCTTGCACAGTGAGCTGAGATATGAATGTTAAGGTGGCCCCAAACCATGGAGCTTCTGGAGAATCACAGTTGTGCTAGTGACTTTGGTTATAAACTCATCCTTCCAGTTTCCTATACTCTAGTGCAGGGCCAGCTCTCAAAGGCACCTCTCTCTGCCCGTCTGTTTTGCTATTTCCAAATCCCCTGAGCAATCTGCAGTCCTGTTGCATCATCATTTATTTCCGAATTCACTGAGGCATCCATCCCTTCCAGCTCCCAGCTGAGTCCAGGGACTCATCATCCTCTGCTCCTGTGTGTGCTTGAGTGCTGCCACAATGCAAAGCTTCCAGGGACGTACATATGGACTGATACAAGTGAATGCTGCAACTGTGCTTCAGTGACCCTTTACTACTTTATACACAGTCTAGACAGGTTAAAAATAAAGAGTGCCCCGTCTAAAAGGAAGGACAGAAAAAGAAAAGCAAAGAGCATCCCACATCCGCCTTCCACGTCAAAGCACAACCTCAAGGTAATTTTTTCAGCTCTAAATTTGGCATTTGCTATGCTCTCTGTCTGGGATTCTTATAACTCCCTAAGCACCAGAAAATGCTAAGCTAAGCAAAGAGGCAAGAAAAGGGGGACATTGCCGAGAACTGCCACCTCCAGAGTAGTGAAGCATGGCTCCTGTCCTCTTGCTATGACATTTTTCTACAGCAGAAGTGCAGATGGTAATGTGATGAGCACCTTTAAAACACCCATGACACTGAGACGTACGTAAAATAGCCCTGGATTCCCATGAGAATCTATAATGTGCTGATCAACCCATGACTCATTTGTCACCCCTCATTTAAATCTGTAGGTTTGGCTTGCACCAACATACATGTGAGTCCAGACACACAAAATTACTGTCCTCCACACAAAGCAGTACTGTATGCTGTTTTTCTGAACATCATCTAATCTTAGCTTTAATTCTAGAATGCAAGGGTTGGTCAAGAGAACTGAGCTTATATTATCAATATCATTCACATGATTCTCTCCATCTACACTACTTCTCAGCCCCATCCTTACTGACGGCCATCGGGCGGTCTGAGAGGTACTTGTTGCCTTATTTGTGGCTGAAAGCTTTTGCTTACCAACAGGAAAGGTAGTTTCAGTCACCTTTTAATTATTGTCTCATCCGTGAGATCAGCGTACATAATATCCTGTGTATTCCTCCCAAGCATCTTGTTAAGTACACAGGTTTCATGTTCCTATGTACAGAGGTCTGGACACGGGGGCCTTGCGGTGCTGTCACTTGAAGCAGGTCAGTTGGCGGGTGATGGATTGTCACTGTTAAGATTTTATTGGTGGGGCGCGGTGACTCACGCTTGTAATCCCAGCACTTTGGGAGGCTGAGGTGGGCAGATCACCTGAGGTCAGGAGTTTGAGAACAGCCTGGCCAACATGATGAAACCCTGTCTCTACTAAAAGTACTAAAATTAGCTGGGCATGATGGCAGGTGCCTGTAGTCCCAGCTACTTGGGAGGCTGAGGCAGGAGAATCGCTAGAACCCGGGAGGCGGAGTGAGCTGAGATTGCGCTACTGCACTCCAGACTGGGTGACAGAGCGAGACTGTCTCAAAAAAAAAAAATAGGAGATAATATTGCCAAAATTTAAAATAATTTCTGTATTATTTGTCATGGGTTTATACTCTAGAAAGCATTGATAGATCATATCTTTATAATTAAAATATCTTTTATTAGGTATACAACTGGAAGGAAACACTAAAATTCAGCACTGGAGACTAGAGGGTTTAGCTGCCGAAGATGTTTTGAATGTGCTCTGACATCTTGTTTCATAAGAGGATCTCATCCGGGAAAAGTGTTTAAAATAGATTTCTGTATAAACCTGTATTTTAAATATACTTGAAGTAAATTGCAGGACATTATGTTAATGCATTAACGTTACCTTCGGGTATCTGAGATACACATAACTGCCCTTGACTTACCCACTGTAAATATTGGGAGTTTTAAAAGATCATTAGGTTTTCGTCAAATGGAGTACACCTAAAAAGTCTACAAAAACGGAAGAAAGTAATTGATAGAAGGTTCTCCAACTGTGGCCAACTCAAGTCCCAGTGTGCTAGTGAGAGAGCAGTTGGGCTTCCCTGTCCCCACAGCTGCCTGTGAATTTCGGCCCTTGAAGCAGGGAGAGGGGGAGCCCGAGGCCGTCTCCACTGTGAATGTGGCCCATGGAGATGTCTCGCTCTTGAGGAGAAAAAGTCACAGCCAGGCAGCAGGAGGGGTGAACATTCGTCATGGGCCGAGGCTCTTCCTAGCCCCACTCTCCACCCCAGCAGCCCGGGTGAATCAGGCATTGAGGACGGCCCTTTGGCCAGAACCAGGGTGCCCAACTGGGACTCTCATCAGCCCGAACGAGGTGGAGTTTTCTTTCTTTTCTTTATTCTTTTTTTTTTTTTTTTTTGAGACGGAGTCTTGCTCTGTTGCTCAGGCTGCAGTGCAGTGGTGTGATCTTGGCTTATTGCAACATCCGCCTCCTGGGTTCAAGCAATGCTCCTGCTTCAGCCTCCACTAGTAGCTGGGATTACAGATGCACGCCACCACACCCAGCTAATTTTTATATTTTTAGTAGAGATGGGTTTTTGCCATGTTGGCCAGGCTGGTCTCGAACTCCTGACCTCAGGTGATCCAACTGCCTCAGCCTCCCAAAGTGCTGGGATTATAGGCATGAGCCATGGTGCCCGGCCAAGGTGGAGTTTTCAAAAAGAACTTTCACCAGGTCATCAATGGCAAACAAAGGCCAAATGAGTGGAAAGAAAGAGGTCCGTTCATATAACACATGATTCTTGCAAACTCCTTATTTCAAACTCCCTATTGACAGTACTGCCTCAACTGCCCAGGGCAGCTTCAAAATGAAGATCCCAGAATCATCCTCCAAACACTGCTTCTTCTGCTCGTCAGCATCCACTTTCCAAGTCAGCATCCAGGGGTAATCATTCTGACGAATACAGGAGCACACAGCCTTCTGCTGACTCCAATCTTCTTGCTTGGCAGCCTGGCCCCCACTGATCCTGTATGCTCCCCTACATAACCCCAGGGATGGGCACTTGTGCTGCGCTCTGCCCACCTGTAGCACAGAATCTAAACTCCGGATCTCTACTTCCAGAAAACCCATACCGTAAGGATTAACTGGGCTACAGTAAGTTTCCTAAATCTATTCAAAGTAGCATCCAGATGGACATTTCTAATTCAGATTTGTTCTCTTTTTATAATAACTTTCTCAATAATATAATATTCAATTCTATAATAACCTAAGGTTTTACCTTAAAGTGCAATTCCTGCTTTTGATTTAGCATGAGGTCAACAGAACCTAAGATTTGGGGACAAAGTGAAATCTGGGGTAATTATCTGCTAGATATCTATTAGAATTCAGTGAAATAGTTTCCCAGAGAAAATTGTTCATGAGTTGTCGCTCATGGCAATAGGGGTCAGTCCCCTGACCATCAGCTGTTCAGGAGGCAGGGACATCCCACTAACCACAGCCTCATAGCCACATCCCCTGACAGGTGGAGCTTTGAGACTTGGCTTGAGGCCATCTGAGGCCAGCACTGACTGCCCACATGCCTGTTCTGGAGACACTTGCAATGATGCTCCAGTGCCTCTGTGATCAACCAGCACATTGTTGGATCATCCCAGCCTCTGGCCAGGCTGGCCTGGTAGTCACAGAAATGGCCACAGATAGTGACCAGAAGCCGAGGGACACCACACAAAACCATAGTGCTGTAGGACCTGCACAGAAGTCCTCGATCTTAAAAGAGATGCAAAAGAAACATGTGGACAGCTTTACTGTCGGAGGCATGCTAAATTCTAAAAGCTTCAGGTACATCATTTAAAGAAAAATGATCACATGTTGGAAATGTAATTGGAGGTGAGCCCTAAGTCCAAAGGGAAGAGTGCACAGCTTGTAATGTAATGCATTGCTATGTCAACTCTGGGTCCCACACGTCACAGGCTTTGCAGACTCTGCCCTTGGACAATCAACATGCATGTTTTCTCTGCTACAGACAAATAATCACAAAATCAAGATGCTAATTACCAAGACAATGTATCACCTATCAGTGGAAAAAAAAATCTATCCAATCCACTGCAAGGAGCAAAGCAGACATGATGTATTTGTTCATTTATACACTAGAACAAGTTAAAATCAGTAACTAACTGCAGCATGGATTCCAGAGGAAAAAAATACATAAGAAATCTGATTTGTCTTGGCTGCACCAGATCATTAATATTTATATGGAATTGTTTAAATCCAGAAGTTGCAAAACAGCTCTCAGAAGCTACAATCAGCATATTAAATATGCATATTGAGACAGAGATACAGACTGGGGGAGGGAGAGAGAGAGAGGAGAGATACCATTTGACTATTTAACTGCCCTCACACATTTCCCTGATACAAGTTAAAATAAACCCATGTAGTAATATTGGAGCCGTTCCTCTAGCAATGTTTTTCAATGCATTTGTCTGCAAAGTCAATGTTATGCTTGTATCTAGCTGGGCTCTTGTAGCCCTCATTGCAACCTTCGTTTACATGTCACTCACCCAGGGAGGTAGATGTGGGCCCACGGCAAACCCTTCCCACCCATCTGTCCCTGGGTAGCATTTTCTTTCTGCGTGGCTCCATCACTCCTGCTTGGTTGGGATGCCCTTTGCCAGGACTTTCTCCTGGACCCCAGCACAGGTTTCATGTCTTTACCCAGATGCCCCCCAACTACCTGCCCATGACCTTGGATGCCCTGTGACTCTCAAGGGAAAACTTGGGTTTTGGGCTGATTCTGAATCTACCAGAGCCTAACAGATGCATTCATTAGATGGGACTCAATTTACTATAAATCTGAGGACGTTAAAAAATAATGAACTTAAGGATAAAAGTGGGATCTGGCGGGGTGCACGGAATATTATCCCAGTGTTACCGGAAAGGAGTCCCGATCCAGACCTCAAGAGAGGGTTCTTGGACTTCATGCCAGAAAGAATTTGAGGTGGGTCCATAGAGTAAAGTGAAAGCAAGTTTATTAAAAAAGTAAAGGAATAAAAGAACGGCTACTCCACAGGCAGAGCAGCCCCAAGGGAGGGCTGCTGGTTGGCTCTTTTTATGCTTATTTCTTGATTATTTGCTAAACAAAGGGCGGATTTTTCATGATTTTTCTGGGAAAAGAGTGAGCAATTCCCAGAACTGAGGGTCCCTCCCCTTTTTGGACCATATAGGGCAACTTCCTGACATTGCCTTGGCATTGTAAACTGTCATGGCGCTGGTGGGAGTGTCTTTTAGCATGGCGGTGCATGTAATTAGCATATAATGAGCAGTGAGGAAGATCAGAGATCACTTTTGTCGCTATCTTGGTTTTGGTGGGTTTTGGCCAGCTTCTTCACTGCATCCATTTATCAGCAAGGTCTTTATGACCTGTATCTGGTGCCAACCTCCTGTCTCATCCTGTGACTTAGAATGCCTAACCTGGGAATGCAGCCCAGCAGGTCTCAGCGTTACCTTAACCAGCCCCTGTTCAAGATGGAGTCACTCTGGTTCAAATGCCTCTGACACCCACACTTATGGATGATTATGAACAAAACCATCGAGTGTGTGGAATCCGTGGAGCTCCAGTTCCACACAATGTACATGTTCTAAGCACACAACTTTGAAAAAAAAAGAAAGAATAATACAAATTTCAAAAGAAGTCTGTCTTTGTGACAAGGTTTAGAGAGAACATGAAAATGTTGTTTGTTTTGGTAAGATAAATGATTAGAAAGATGGACAGGTGACAGCTTCGGAGAAACCCAGGGCATTTTGTTTCAGATGTTTGGGAAAGTCCCAGTTCAATTATTGTGTCAGGCAAAGGTTGACTGTGAATGTGCTCCTGGTTGGGGGCAGTTGAGTGGAGGAGAATGAACTCCCCTGGCATTCTTTCAGATATTCTTCTCCCCATTTGTCTGCAGGAGCAGGTATCCACTGTGACCCCACAGTGCCTGACGAATGTCTCTGCTCATTTCCTTGTGAAGAAAATTCTTCTGGGCTAAGGATGAGTTGTTTTCAGAACACACCGTTTCCATATGCTGCTTTCTGACAACTCCTCCTGATGGTCTACTCTACTCTCAATGCAATGCTTCCTCGCTGAGAATGCCCTGTTAGTGGACAGACCCTGCTTTGCACTCAGGGCTTCTGACCCTCCGCTGCCATCCCAGGCGTGTGTCCATGTCTCCCTTCTGCTGCATACAGCTGAAGTCCTGCGATTTACTTCCTCCCTGAGGCAGTGTCCCACTCAGGGCACGCCTGTCATTATTGTTTCCACTTACCGTGCAGGAACAAGCCAGAAAGACCAGGGAATTAACACCTCTTGTGAACAGCTCTCACCTATGGGCACCTCCAGCCCTCACCTCCCTGCTCAATGGCAGAGCTTGGAGCACTAGGAATGAAGCTCTCCCCAGAAGTCCCCATGGGTTGGGGACACTTGTCTACAGCCCTGCCAAAGGCATGTGCTCAGAGGATTTGGCAGCATGGTTTGATCCTAGCCACGAACAATCTCTCCCAACTCCGGACACTTTTTGGTAATGCTGCATTTATAAACCACATGGTTCATCTTTATGAAATGACCAAGCAGAACACGGGTGTGCACATCTTTGCATCAGATACAAACACAACCAGCATTTAAATGAGCACCTACAATGTGGCAGATTCCATGCCCAGTGGCTCTTTGTAGCATTTAAATAAAGATTGTTTCTTTATTTGCATTGGAGTGAGCTGTATGGCCTTCGTCCCATGTCCTGACACTCCTCATTAGCCTCGATAGCATTGTGTTGGTTACTCATGCAGTGCAAAGAGCCAGTTAGAATTTCAGTTAGCACCAGAAGAAATGAGAATTCAAGTGACAGATAATCTAGGTCCTTCAACCAAGCTTCCAATTTTGTAGTTAAAAATATTTCTGTTATAAAAATAATACATTCTCTGTATAAACAATTAAGGAAACAGAAATATAGATTTCTGCTTCTAATAATGCCAGACTGGTAACCCTTCTACAGAAGACAGCTAAAAATCCTTAAAGAAACATTAAAGAAAATATTTTATAAAGCATTAAAGAGGTAAGAAGATGAGGGATTATCAGGCCAAGGCCAGGGAGAGGACAATAATTCAGAAGGGTGGACCAGGCATATGAGGACACATATTCCCTAGGGATGTTTGCTGACCATAAGAGGTGTCTGAGAGGGTGAATTTTGGGTTACTTTGTGAGATCATAGGAATCCAAGTTGGATTTCAGAGCCCAGTGAAGAGGGAGATCCTGTAAACCAGCCATAGGATGAAGCACCAAAGAGCTAAGCCATGAGAGAAAAGGTGACATGAAAGTACACCAGCCCCTCATGAGCTACAGCCCAGTTCTGCTTCACCTCGGAGCTTGAGTGTGGACTAAGATGGTCTTGAATTTTTTGTGCCGTATGTGCTGGAAAAACAGCAAAGAAATAACTTATCTGAAGAAAGGTGGCATCATCTTCATCTTCAAAATATTACTATGAATACTTTGTCAGAAACAATGACCAGCATAAAATCAGTAACATCTGAGAAAATATACCATGAGTGAGAACAAGGAAAAACAACAAACACCCAGACTCACAGGGATCCCAGGTATCATAATGATCAGGCATAGACTATAAAATACCTCTGCTTACTATGTTCCAGGAAATAAAACAAAGCTTGGAAGTGTTGGCAGGTGATTGAAACATACAAGAAGGGTTGTAGGTGATCTGAAAAAGAAGACACATGGGAATTCTAGAACTGGAAAATAAAAAAAAAAAACAATATTATAATGGGTTTGGCAGAATTTGAGACACAACTACAGAGGAAACTGTGGACCAGAATTCTATACCTAATGATCATACCTGCAAGAATAAATGTAATAAAAAGGCATTTCCAATAACATAAAACAGAGAGTGTTTACCACAAGAAAAGCCACTCTAAAGGAAATTCTAAAGGATGTTCTTTAGGCAGAAGGGTATCATTCAAGCTGGAAGATTAAAAAATTTAGGAAGAAATGAGGAGCAAAGTAGTGGAATCTAGGGATTTCTACAGATAAATATCAACAATGTAAAACAATAACATTGTCATTTTGAAGTATTTCTTTCTGTCTGTCTATCCATCCATCCCCAGAAAAGATAATCTTCTCTTTAGTTCTTAAAGGCCCAAATTCATATTTTAAAAATATTATTAAAATTGATTATTTTGATGAAACTGACAAAATCCTAGAAAAATATAACTTGCCATAACCGATATGAGAAACAACAGAAAGCCTAATCAGAGATATCGATATTAAAGAAAGGAAATCACTAATTTAAAATCTTCCTATGATGAGAAGTCCAGGCTCAAAGAGCTCCACCAATGACTGCTATCAAAGATTTGAAAAATAGGTCAGTTTTAAATAAATGTTCAGAGAACAGAAAAAGGGAACTCTTCACAACCAGAGTAACATTGATATCAAAACTTAATGAAGAAATTACCACAAAGGATAATATACATCAATCTCTCTCGTAAACAGAAACACAAAAATGTTAAGCAAAAGAGCACACAAATTCAGCAACATATACAAATTATGATCAATTAGGGTTTATTCTAGGAATGCAAGGTTGGTTTAACATTTCAAACCAGTCAATGTAATTTATATTAGTAGATTAAAGGAAAATATTCATATAATTGTTTTCCATTTGCACAAAAAGCTTTCGGTAAATCCAACAGCCATTAATGATTTAAAAATGAGTTACCTAAAGAGCCTACTTAACAGTGAAATGTTGGAAATTTTTCCGTTGATACAAGATAAGAGTGCCATTCAGATGCAATGTGGCTTTGCAAGTGCAGTAAGGAAAGATGAAGACATGGGCTGGGCATGGTGGCTCATACCTGTAATCCCAGCACTTTGGGAGGCCAAGGCAGGCAGATAGCCTGAGGTCAGGAGTTCAAGACCAGCCTGGCCAACATGGTGAAACTCCGTCTTTACTAAGAATACAAAAATTAGCCAGGCGTGGTGGCGGGCACCTGTAATCCCAGCTACTCAGGAGGCTGAGACACGAGAATTGCTTGAACCTGGGAGGTGGAGGTTGCAGTGAGCTGAGATCACGCCATTGCACCATTGCACTCTGGTCTAGGTGACAAGAGTGAAACTCCATCTCAAAAAAAAAAAAAAAAAAGAAAGAAAGATGAAGACATGAAGGTTAAGGAACTCAAATTTAGGTGGTAAAATAATAAAAATGTGCAAGAAAAGTGTGTTCTGTGGAGGTCATTCCAGTGGTCACTGGGTGGGGAGGAAGGGCAGCGATAAGGAGGAAGGATGGCTGGAAGGTGCTAGTCCTTCTACCCTGGGGGTCCCAGGGACATTCCTGACCTGGGTGATGGTGACTTGGCCACTTGCTTTAAAATAATTTGTTAAGCTATGCATTTAGGTTTCTATTCTGACTGTTATTTTCAAACTAGGAAAGGTTTGACAATCCCCTTCACATTAACGGTGCTAAAACAAACAAATAAATAAACACAAAGACTCATTCAGGAAGGAAGAGAAAAACCACCCATTGCCTACAGATGGCGTGATTTTCTTCCAGTCTCTTTTCCTTTTTTCTAACTTTCAAAAATGTATAATAATATATCACATATGTGGAAAGCTCGATATTTTTTGTGAAGACATATGAAAGAAATTACTTGATTCTTCCAACAAATGACTGTATACTGTAGCATAACTTTTTAAAAATTTGTACAAATTTATGAGATACCTCTGAAATTGTGTTAGATGTATATAATGTGTAGTGATCAAGTCAGGGTATTTAAGGTGTCCATCTTCTGGATATAATAGAGTTTTGTTTAACTATAGTCACCCTACACTGTTATCAACCGTTGAATGTATTCCCTCTATCTAACTGTACATTTGTACCCTGTAACTCACTACTCTTCATCGTCCCCCAACTACTCACTCTTCCCAGTCTCTGTTATCTATCTTTCCACTCTCTATCTCCATGTGATCAGACTTTTTAGCTCTCATGTGTATAAGTGAGAGCAGGTAGTATTTGCCTTTTTGTACCTGGCTTATTTCACTTAATAATCTCCAGTTCCATCCACGATGCTGAAAATGGCATTATTCCATTCTTTGTTATGGCCAAATCGTATTCCATTGTGTATCTATACCACATTTTCTTTATCCATTTGTCCACTGATTGGCACTTCGGTTGATTCCATATTTTTGCCATTGTGAACAATGCTTCAGTAACTATGAGGGTGTAGGTATTTATTTGATATAATTATTCCTTTTTCTTTGGGTAGATACCCAGTAGTGGGATTGCTGGGTCAAAGGTATTCTATTTTTAATTTTTTGAGAAATCTCCATACTGTTTTCTATAATGGTTGTACTAGTTTGCATTCTCACCAACAGTATATAAGAGTTCCCATTTCTCTGCATACTTAGCAACATCTGTTATTTTGTCTTTTTAATAATAGTCATTCTGACTGGGATAAGATGATGATATCTCATTGTGATTTTGATTTGCATTTTTCTGATGATTAGTGGTGTTCAGCATTTTTTCATACATCTGTTAGCAGTTTGTCTTATTTTGAGAAATCTATACAAATCCTTTGCCCACTTTTTAATGGGATTATGTGTAGGTTTTTTTCCTGTTGTTTGAATTTCCTGCATATTCTGGATATTAATCCCTTGTGAGATGTCTAGTTTGCAAATATTTTCTTCCTCTCTGCAAGTTGTCTCTTTACTCTGTTGAATATTTCTTTTGCTGTGCAGAAGCTTTTCTGTTTAATTAAGTCCTGCTTGTCTATTTTTGTTTTGGTTGCCTGTGCTTTTGAGGTCCTAGCCATTAATCTTTCGCCTAGACCAATATCTAGGAGCGATTTCCCTAGGTTTTCTTTAGTAGTTTTATAGTTTTTGGTCTTATGTTTAAGTCTTAAACTCATTGTGAGTTGATTTTTGCGTATGATGAAAGATAAAGGTCTACATAGTGTCAATTTTAAAATCACAAAACTGACCCTTTGGGATAAATGGAGAATAACTGATAAGACATAATTAAAAAATGTTTCCATGGGAAAAATAGTAAACCAAAACCAAGCACTGTTAAACTGAAAAGCAAATGAGGTCATGAATGAGATTGGACTAGAATCTGTAGGAGCCGATCCTGAGCACCTAGAGGTGCTTGTGGATTTCCTCACAGTTTCACCCACTGTGGGCCCCACCCAGTCCTGGCGTGTAGCCAACCTGCTGTGTGATCCTGAATAGCTTAAACAACCTTGCTGGGTGCTGACTTCCTCACTTGCTGGGTACAATAGAATTTTCCTATTTCAGGATTCTCTTGAAGATGAAATAAAACTCACTGTAAACTTTCTGTGAAACAGTGGCTCTGGGTATATCTGAAGGCTTTTAAAACAGCACAGACCCTGATTTGTACAGACCTGGATTCCAATTCATAAAATTTATCATCTGTAAAATGGTGATAATACTAGTACTAATTTCATGGAGCTGCTGTGGGAATTAGGTGGAATTGTGCGTCTAAAGCACTTTGCCCTTGCTGCCATTCTTGTTTCGTGAGTGCATGGCGGCAAGCCCTCCACTCCATACCCTGCACAGTGCCCGTCTGCAGCAGCGCATTTCTTGGCTCAACAGAGAACTGGAGCTGTGGCCAGCGAAGGCTTGCTGCTGACACCCAAACAGGCCCCTACTGCACTCAAAACAAGGCTGTCCTGGTGAGAATGTTATTACCCTCTTTAACCTGGGTTCCAATTTGGCTAACACAGGTTGCACTCTGAAAAAACGATTGATGTCAGCTTATTATATAACCCAAATTGTCATTTGATGTGAGGTGGTATGGACCAGAATGCACCTCTATGCTGCAGTTTTGACCTCCTTGAGTCTTAGGAGGAAAGGCAGTCTTCTATGCTTTCTGATGAAGGCACCAAAGCTATGGAGGGGCTAAGGTGCTGCTCTGATTCTTGCACACCGAGGTGACTCTCAGTTGGTGCTTTTGCTTCCAAAGGGAGAAATATCAGATGTTGCCCTGCCTCCTTCCACACCTCCTTTCCATTTCCCCCGTGTTCGCTGGCCTGGAATCACACTTCTAAATAAGGCCTCGGAATTCTAACCTTGCTGCAGGTTCTGTGTTCTAGGGAGCCCAGTTGAGTTGATGGACTCAGATATTTCTGTCCAACGCTTACCACACTGAGTGCATCACACAGCTGTCATGTTAGGGATCTCAGAGCCTCCAGGAAACACAGTGACCAGAATTCCAGCCCCGATCCACCACAGACTCACCCAGTGAGTCTGTGTAAATGCAGCCCCCTCCCAGCCTTAGCATCCCTTCCAGAACAACGAAAAAAGTGGAAGAAATGCTGTGGTCTTTAATGTCTTGAGCTCTTTGGAAAAAAGACACAAGACGGGATAAGGCAGCCAAGGGGGAAACAAACTGTGTCCTGAAATAGTATAGCAGGAACAAGGGAAAGTACACGCAGCCATTTCCATGACACAAAGCCAGAATCTTTTCTGCACTCTATTTCTTCCCTCCCAAACTGCACTTTTATGTGCAGACAAATGTACAATGGACATCCATTATCTGTCTCCTGGGGAGAGCTACTGGGACAATTCTTCCAAATGTGTTCTGGAAGAGGACCATGGAAAAGGACACGAGGGGAAGGAAGGAGGAGGGAATTCAGAGAGAAATCTGTTCATGGACTCCCAGTGGAAGACAGGGTCAGACGGCCTTCCGCACACCCAGGGTACTGCACTCCCCCCTCCTCAGCACTCAGAGCCTCTTTGCGTCCCACCAGCAAGGGGTGTGCCCCCCTTTACCATCTACACAGGCTGCAAATGCCTGAGTAAGGAGGATGCTGTGTGACCAGTGATATCCGTTGAATCCAATGGGACTAAACACGCGAACGTGGCAGGTGTCCAGTCGACGGCCAATGAATCGATCTGAAAGGGACTGGGGGAGATTGAGGATGCAGAGCTTATATGTCCCGGCACTGACTGCTGAAGAATTCTGAATGCAGGGGAAGGGCTCCAAGTGGGGTGAGGATGAGAAACAACTTGTAGGTAAAACACCACGAGTCAGGAGTGTAAGAAAAGGTTTGGAGGCCAGGCCCGGTGGCTCATGCCTGTAATTCCAGCAGTTTGGGAGGCCGAGGCGGTCTGATCACTTGAGGTCAGGAGTTCGAGGCTAGCCTAGGCAACATGGCAAAACTCTATCTCTACTAAAAATACAAACATTAGCAAGGCATGATGGTGGGAGCCTGTAGTCCCAGCTACTTGGGAGGCTCAGGCAGTAGAATTGCTTGAACCCGGGAGATGGAGGTTGCAGTGAGCTGAGACCATGCCACTGCACTACAGCCTGGGTGACAGAGTGAGACTCCATCTCAAAAGAAAAAAAAAAGGTTTAGAGATTTCACATTTAATTATCTCTTGAATGAGTAATTGGCAAAATAAACACATAAATACACATTAAAAATGAGTTGTTTTTAAAAAATCAATGCAAGGAAAATCACTTAAAACCATACACTTATATGGAAATTAAACAACCTGCTCCTGAATGACTTTTGGGTAAACAATAAAATTAGGGCAGAAATCAAGGAATTCTTTGAAACTAATGAGAACAAAGATACAACATATCAGAATCTCTGGGACACAGCTAAAACAGTGCAAAGAGGGAAGCTTATGGTGCTAAATGCCCACATCAAAAAGTTAGAAAGATCCCAAGTTAACAACTTAACATTACACGTAGAAGAACTAGAGAAACAAGAGCAAACCAACCCCAAAGCTAGCAGAAGACAAGAAGTAACCAGAATCAGAGGTGAACTGAAGAAAACTGAGGAGTGAAAAACCATACAAGAGATAAACAAATCCAGAAGTTTGTTCTTTGAAAGAATAAATAAGCTTGATAGACAACTAGGTAGACTAATGAAGAAGAAAAGAGAGAAGGTCCAAATAAACACAATCATAAATTAAAAAAACTCTCAGAGAGTACCACGAACTCTTCTATGCACACCATCTATAACACCTAGAAGAAATGGATACATTGCTGGAAACACAAAATCTCCCAAGGTTGAACCAGGAAGAAATTGAACCCCTGAAAAGGCCAATAATGAGTTCCAAAACTGAATCAGAAATAGAAAGCTTAGCAACTGGAAAGGACTATATGGCTTCACAGCCGAATTCCACCAGATGCATAAAGAAGAGCTGGTACGATTCCTACTGAAACTATTACAAAAAAGTGGAGGAGGAGGGACTCCTCCTTAACACATCCTATGAGGTCAGTATCATCCTGGTACCAAAACCTGGCAAAGACTTAACAGAAAAAGAAAACTTCAGGCCAATATACTTAATAAACATAGATGTAAAAATTCTCAGCAAAAACCACAAGCACATCAAAAAGCTAATCCACCACAATCAAGAAGGTTTTATCCCTGGGATGCAAGGTTGGTTCAACGTATGCAAACCAATAAATGCAATTCAGTGCATAAACAGAAATAAAAACAAAAACCATAAGATCATCTCAATAGATGCAGAAAAGGCTTTTGATAAAATTCAGCATCCTTTCATATTAAAAACCATTAATAAACTAGGCATTGAAGGAGCACACTCAAAATAATAAGAGCCATTTATCACAAACCCAAAGCCAATATCATACTGAATGGCAAAAGTTGGAAGCATCCCCCTTGAGAAATGGAATAAGACAAGGATGTCCACTCTCACCACTCCTGTTCAACAAAGTACTGGAAGTCCTAGCCAGAACAATCAGTCAAGAGAAAGAAATAAAAGGCATCCAAATAGAAAGAGAAGTCAAACTATCTCTGTTGGCAGATAATAAGATTCTATACTTAGAAAAACCCATAGTCTCTACCCGAAAGCTCCTAGATCTGATAAATAACTTCAGCAAAGTTTTAACATACAAAATCAACATGCAAAAATCAGTAGCATTGCTATACACCAACAACACCCAAGATTCAAGAAAGCAATTCCGTTCACAATAGCCACGAATAGAATAAAATACTTAGTAATACAGCTAACAGGGAGGTGAAAGATCTCTACAATGAGAATTATAAAATGCTGCTCGAAGAAATCAGAGATGACACAATCAACCGAAAAAATATTTCCTGCTCATGGATAGGAAGAATCGATATTGTTAAAATGGCCATACTGCCTAAAGCACTTACAGATCTAGTGCCATTCCTATCAAATTACCAATGACATTTTTCACAGAATCGGAAAACAAATTATTTTATAACTCACATGGAACCACAAAAGAGCTCAAATAGCCAAGGCAATCCTAAGTGGAAAGAATAAAGCTGGAGGCATCATGTTACCTGACTTCAAACCATGTTAGAAGGCCACAATAACCAAAACAGCATGGTATTAGTACAAAAACAGACATATAGACCAATGAAACAGAATAGAGAACCCAGAAATAAAACCATACACCTGATCTTCGACAAAGTCGACAAAACAAGCAATGGAGGAAGAACTCCCTATTCAATAAATGGTGATAGGATAACTGTCTGGCTAGCCATATGCAGAAAGTTGAAGCTGTATCCCTTCCTCACACTGTATACACGAATGAATTCAAGATGGATTAAAGACTTAAATGTGAAATGTACAATTATAAAAACCCTGGAAGATAACCTAGGAAATACCATCCTGGACATAAGACTTGGCAAATATTTCACAGTGAAGACATCAAAAACAATAGAAACAAAACCAAAAATTGATAAACCATACCAATTAAACTAAAGAGCTTCTGCACAGCAAAAGAAATGTTCCACAGAATAAACAAACAACCTACAGAATGGGAGAAAATATTTGCAAACTATTCATCCAACAAAGGTCTAATATCCAGAATCTATAAAGAACTTAAACAAATTAACAAGCAAGAAACACTTGCATTAAAAAGTGGGCAAAGGACACGATGGATTTTTTTTCAAAAGAAGACATACATGCAGCCAACAACCATATGAAAAAATGCTCAACATCACTAATCATTAGAGAAATGCAAATCAAAACCACAATGAGAAACTCTCACACAGTCAAAATGGCTATTATTAAAATGTCAAAAAATAACAGATGCTAGCAAGGTTGTGGAGAAAAGGGAATGCTTTTACACTGCTGGTGGAAGTGTAAATTAGTTCAGCCATTTTAGAAAGCAGTGTGGCAATTTCTCAACTAACTTAAAAGAGAATTACCATTTGACTCAGCAATTCCATCACTGGGTATACACCCAAAGGAATATAAATCATTCTACTATAAAGACATATGCGTGCATATGTTCATCATAGCACTATTCCCAATAGCATGGAACCAACTAAATGCCTATCAATGGTAGACTGGATAAAGAAAATGTGGTACATGTACACCATGGAATACTACATAGCTACAAACAAAAGGAGATCATGTCCTTTGCAACAACATGGATGGAGCTGAAAGCCATAATCCTAAATGAACTGACATAGGAACAGAAAACCAAATACTGCATGTTCTGACTTACAAGTGGAACCTAAACATTGAAAACACATGAACACAAAGAAAAGGAACAACAGACAATGGGGCCGACTTGAGGAAGGAGGAGGGGAGGATGTCTATCAGGTACTATGCTTATTACCTGGGTGATGAAATAAGCTGTACATCAAACTCCCATGACATGCAATTGACCTATATAACAAACCTGTACATCTACCCTTTAACTTTAAAGAAAGACAAACTGAGTTTTTCCAGCAGCAGTGGGCCAGAGTGTGGACGTTGAGCTGAAGTCCTCAGGATTTCCTGATTTCTCCCTACTTTCAGATGATTTACTGACCTCAACTTTTTCCATGGGCAAATCAACTTGTTCTTTCCATATTAAAAAACTGGGGGCCATACAGGGGTGGCTCACACCTGTAATCCCAGCACTTTGGAAGGCTGAAGCAGGAGAATCATTTGAGCCCAGGAGTTTGAGACCAGCCTGGAAAACAAAGAGAGATCCCCATCTCTACAAAATATTGAAATTAGCTGGGTGTGGTGGCAGGCACCTGTATTCCCAGCTACCTGGGAGGCTGAGGTGTGAGGATAGGTTGAGTTTAGGAGGCTGAGGATGCAGTGAGCCATGATCGTGCCGCTGCACTCAAGCCTGGGCAATGGAGTGATACCCTGTCTCAAAAATTAAATAATTAATTTTAAAAACCTGGAAAGTGGGGGCAAATCATCCAAGTCTGATTATGATGGCCCTGTTGATTAGTTCATCAACAGCCTGGCAGCTCAAGAACACAACTAAGAAAGCAAATTCCAACTGCTGGCATTGTTTGGATCTCTGGGAGGAACCCATGTCCCCACACTCTCTGAGCAATGTCTTGACGGTGGTTACAGGAAGGTTTAGGCTCTTTCTGGGAAATGGATAGAAAACATTGCATCCCACACACCAGCCATAAAGAATTAGAATTAATATCCAGAGTAAGATTGAGAAGGGAAGCACTTAATTCCTGCTGGAACAATGATGGTGTCGTGTCCCTTAATGTCCTACAAGGCTTACTTGAGTGACAAGTTTTCACACCCAAATCCCAAAATTGTTCCCTCCACCTTTGCAGAATTTGCAGAGCATCTTATTCAGAGGAGAAAGAACAGCCTGTACTTGACTTATACTTCTACTCTGCTACAGAACATTAAATTCAGGAGAAATAATAAATACCTTTAGTATATATCATTACCCAAGATAGCTTGGTTCTCTCCCATAATTAAATATGATCCAGTTTTAATGGAGTCAGAGAGAGAAGGACAGACTTATCCCTGGGAGCTGCAAGCAGGGCTGCTATTTAACTGAAAACAAGAGGCAAGGATATCAGACTTCTATAGTTCTTCCCTATGTGGGTATTTGTAATGTGAAAAGCAAGACTATGATTTCCTCTAACACTTGGGCAGTATTTGGTGGAATCTGTCACTAAGTGACATAATCACTGACCACTGACCCAGAAGTGGGCATTGATGGTGGGGGCACCGAATCCTGGCTCTACCCTTGGAAGCATGACCTGGGAACAGCTACATGACTCTCGCAGCCTAATACCTCATCTGCATCTGCCCCAAGAAGTGTGTGATGTCAACTATGTGCGAGGTGCTTGGGGGCTTTTTATTGCTCCCCTAACTGTCCCCCCATTCTCCTTCCCACTGTATTTCACAACATCTATTTTTCTCTCTTTTGGGTCATTTTCATTATGAACAAGTATGCTATCATTTCTCCCACTTAAAAGCAAAAACAAAAAACAAAAGAACACTCTTGACATGACCTCATTAAATAGCATCCCATTTCTCACTCTCCATTTACAGCAAAACTCTTCAAAAAAAAAAAGATAACTAGATGTACTATGTTCAGCTACTCTCTTTGCACTTCCATATGTATATTTAAAGACAAGGTCCCATTCTGTCACTCAGGCCTGGGTGCAGTGGTGGGATCATAGATCACAGCAGCCTTGAACTCCTGGGCTCAAGTGATCTTCCTGCCTCAGCCTCATGACTAGCTGTGACCACAGGCATGAGCCACCACGCTCAGCTAATTTTTTTTTTTAAAATTTTTGTATACATGGGGTCTGTTGCACAGGCTGGCTTCAAGCAGTTCTTCTCCCTAGGCCTCCCAAATACGTGCATTTTCTAAATGTTTTAATTGAAGTATAGTATTCTTACAGAAAAGTGCACACACACACACACACACACACACACACGAAGGTGTAAATAAAGCTCAATGAGTTTCCACAAGCATACAGCCAGTACCCAGGTCAGGAAAGAGAATGTCCCCAGCACCCACAAGTCCCTCCGCGCCCCTCTGCTGTGCCTGCTGATCCAAGTCCCAGCAGTGCAGCTCTGCATCGCTGGATGGTTCCCTTCCTCTTGCTCTGGAGTCCGCTCCTCGGTGCTGTCCCTCCCTGCATGCCTGAAGCTGCTCATCAGCGGTCAATGCTCCCACGGGCCCCTCATCACCGCGCCGGTGCTTGATCCCCAGCTCAGGCCTTACACTCCTACCCTCGGCCCAGACGTCTCCCTGGAGCCCCCATGGTTCAGTGCCTCCACGCAGAGGCCGACAGCTCCTGGAGTTGAGAGGCCCCGCTGCAGGTGCTGCCTATCCGGCTGCAGGAAACCCCTGGTCCAGGGCATCCCTCCCTTCCCTCTTCCTTTCACACTGCAACCTAAGCCCAGGGGTCATTCACCCAGAAGACACCCCGCAGCTCCCCACTGCTTATGAAATTCCCAGCCACTCCTGCAGCACAGGACTCCACGGTTCTGCGTTTGACCACTGCCGTCGTCGCCCTGCGCCTCCCCCTCCGCCCTGTTCTCTGAAGGCTCCCGGGAGCATGTGGCCACAGGGGCTTCTCCTCCGCTCAAACCCCCGAGGCTTCTTATCCCAAAGTGGAAGCCCCGCTCGGTCACAGCCTAAAGAGTCTCGGGGTCTGCCCCTGTTGGCCCCGCCTTGTTAGTTACCCCTACCCCCATTCCCCACTCCACACCCGCGGCCCCCAGCCCCGCCGCGCCGGCCCCACCTGCCCCACGTGCTCCCCCCAGGGCCTCGGCACTGCAGGCCTCTCTGTCTGGAAGCTCCTCCCCAAGGGCTCCCCCTGGCTCAACTGGCGGCTTTATCAGAAGACACCATCCTCTCCGCGAGCCCCGCCACGGCCACCCTGTTAAAAACGTTTCTCCCAGTTCCACGCTCCCCATGTCCATCCGCAGCTAATAGCCAGTGAGTAAAACGGAGAAAAGTAAAGCTGACATTGCAAGGAAGAGAGGCAGGCGACGAGCACGTTAGCTCTGACAAGCGGGATTTGGTTTGCTCTGTTCACTGCTGCATGCCTGGCACTTACTGAACACGTGGGAGGTGTTCACTAATCAGTGGGTAAATGAATGGATTCCAAGGGGCTTTGCTATTAGCTAGGTTGCACTCTTCTAGATTTTCAGTACCATAAAAAGATTCTCTTTTTTCCCCTAGTTTGCCCAATTCCCTTTGCTGGTACTATTCATAAAATTCATAATCTGCTTCCTAATACCCTTTTCTCATTTAATTATTGTTATAATGTTGCAGTTAGTAAAGGAAAGAAACATTTTATGAAATGAAATTAGATCAAGACATAATAAATGCTTGGATGCAAAGACATCTGCCAGCACAGTCAACACAGGAACCCTCGGGCCTGCCCGGCGCAGGTCCAGGCCCAATGCCCACCTTGGGGGCAGGGATCTGGCTTTGGTCCCCGGCTGCCCCCATCACATGGGATGGAGTGAAGTGCCATGAAGACCAATGCCACACCATGCTCAGACAGGCTTTCCTCCCCTGCAAGCCTTTCCAAGCAGGGTGGGGGGATGGTGAATTTAGAAGCAAGGACTGTGGTTCTATTTTCATTTGCAAACAGATAAAAGTCAAAGCTACATTGCAGAAAATATGGCTTTAAGGGTTAGAAATATTAATATTTCCCTCATGTGCCCATACTTGCTACCTCTGTGATTTCTGTTACTTATTAAATCCCTTGAAACTTCAGTTTTGTTAATCTGTAAAATGGAGATAATAATTTTCCACCTTCTGGACTCACTGCAAAGATTAAATAAGATAAAGTGTGTGCATTAACTAGCTGACAGCAGCCACTCAGCCAATTATGGGATTCATGTCTATCCTCAGTATCATTCACAAATGTCAGTTCCTAGATGAAGCCACACCACCCTAATCGCACACACCCACATCCTCCTCTGTATGAACTGGTTTACAAAGCGTGCTTGCAATGGGGGCTGGATGGAACATTGTTGGGCAAAATGAAGTTGTAGACAACATGCTGCCCTCATCTGCCCACCCACCCCCACCCCACAGCTCAGGGACAAGCCAGATGCCTCCCCCAGAGAAGGCAGGTGCTTCCGAACCTGCACATCCTGCTAGCTCCAGCCTACTGCTCACCAATGTTGGCTTTAGGCACATCTCTCAATCTCACTGAACCCTGATTTCAGCACCCATGTCATGGAGTTCCTATGAGATAATGCATGTAAGACAGCAATATTCACAACCGAGCAACATCAGAACCCAGGGCATCCCTCCCTTCCCTCTTCCTTTCACACCACAACCAAAGCCCAGGGGTCATTTCTTCCAAAAGACATCCCGCAGCTTCCCACTTCTTATTAGATTCCCAGCCGAGACTGCAGCACAGGTCACCACGGCCCCTCCCGGGTGATGGCAGCAGCATCCATGAGGAGCTGGAGGCCTCCTCAAAATGCAGATTCCTGGGCTTTGCCCCAGAGACTCTGACTGAGCAGGTGTGTGGTGGACCAGACAGTGTGCATTTCTAGCAAGTGCCTAGGGGGTCCAGGACCACATCCTGGAAGCAAGGGTGCATGGCTCCAGCGCTGAACCTGGCGCACAGTAGGTGGTCAGCCAATGTTACCCACCTCACTAACACTTTGATTACTACTGTTATGCTACTTCATGAACATATTTTTAGAATTAGCAAAATCTGCTGGGAAAGGTGTGTCTGTGTCTTTCCAGGTGTTCCTTGGCCTCTGGACCCCCAGCACCTGGAGAACTCAGGTTTCCAGCAGGGCACGACCAGCAGCAGCTGCTCTGCAGGTGCCTCCTGGGAACTTTCACTGGCCTTCATCTCTAACCCTCAGCTAACCGCACACCCTGGAAATCATTTTAACATCACTGTATGGGTCAGGAAACAGAGGCATGGGAGAGCTGCCTGCTAAATGGGACCAGGCTACAACAGGACAAAACAACATACTGGAGGTGCATAATTCTAGAGATGGCATCCCTCATTTTCTCCACTGCCCAATTTAATCAGACCACCATAAGATGTTGTTTTGTTTTTCTGTAATGGCTTGGCATGTTCCTTTGACTTCACTGAACAGTTATTTTGACAATGAGCAGACACAGCCTGACTGTCAGTGAGTACACTGTGATATGATCTGAGATAAAAGGGAAAAAAAACCCAAAGTCACACTTAGATGTCAAAGATTTCCTTGTGAATGGCACTGAGGGCCTGGAGAGCCTCAGCTCCACCAACATGCTCTTTGCCCAGGTGCATCATCCCCTTGACCCAACAAGGCAGCAGGATGTGCTGGCCACTGCGGCAGAGAGGGCTCCGGGCTTCCCCCTCTCCAGTCCTGGGCTTCGCACTCCCAGCTGGCCTCGCTTAGGAAAGCACTGATTTAATTTAGTGCAAGGATTCTCAGATTGCATCTGTTCTATTCTGTGCCACACTCTCTCCTTGGCAGCTGCCGGCTTCCCCACGATGGCCTGCTGGAGACCACGCATCTGCGGTGCGGGCTGTAAACAGAATGCTCAGCAGCCTGGTAGCCGGCTGAGGCGTCCTGTGCAGGGCTGCTTGTTTCCAGGATCTGCAGCAGCTCCCGGAACCACCACTGCAGACTGAGGGGAGCTGCCTGGGATGGGAGTTCTGATTGGAGACGGATGCAGACACAGGCCCTGCCAAGGGGACTCAGCTCCACAGGTATCTTTATAAAAGTGTTAGCACCTCTTCTCTGTTGTAGTTTTACCACAGGGAAATACATTCTCAAAGCACACTGAAAAGGGAGGCTGCAGCCAGCGGCCCTGAGAGCTCCTCTCTACGCCCATAGTGAAGGCAACACCTACACCCACCCCCGAAAATGTTTCCACTTCACCTCCAAAAAATGTGGTCAGAAGCCTCTATAGAAAGTGCATTTCCCATTTGCAGCTAAACAAGTAATAGAAATCCTCTTCACTATCTAATGTATCAAACACCATGAGTCCTCAGACCCAAGCCTAAGAGGCTCTTACTGTGTTCAGAATAAAATTACTTTCTGAGAAAGACTCTAGACACAGTCTCTGCAGTTGTAGCCTTGCTCTTTATTATTATAATGGTGATCTTTTGGATAGAGACGCTGTCCATACCTTGCCCTGCACCAGAGACTGGGGCTTCAATCTGAACACACGGAGCAGCAGAGACCACGGACACCACAAAGGACTGGTCTCTCCTTTGGCCACGTAGGCAGCCTCTCCCTGTGGCCCCTTGCCATCTATCCAGGGCTTCCATCCACCCAGCACTCTGTGGCACTTTTACAGGGATGCCTCAGCGGCTGGGCCCCATGATGGTGGGTGTGTCCCTATCCTTCCCCACATGGAGATGACGCAGGGCTGGAGTGTACAAGGGAGGCTTCGGGGGTGCGTTTGATGTCACCTGTCCAGCTCCCGGGCCCAATCTCTCCTTCCCTTGCAAGACTGCTCTTGTCTATTGGCAGCATCAGGGTGCAGTTTATGTGGCACAGCAGGCTCTGCCCACCATGGGCCTGTGCCCACACCCATTTCTCCAGCTCCTGTGTGTCCCAGTCTGGGACCTCATCCTGAAGCAGGGTTCACTCATGCCTGCATCCACTCCACAGCCACCAGGCCCTGCCAGACCCAGGAGTCAGGCTTCCCACCCCATGCTTGTGCTGATGGAGAAGGGGTTCTGTGGCATTTGTGGGACGAAGTCACAAGAGAAGCTCCGACAGACGCTCAAGATCAAAGCTGGGTCTGGAAAAACTGCTCAGCCTAGCCCCGGCAGATCAAGATTTCCCCACTGTGCCCCTCCAGCTACACCCCTGCCTGCAAAAGCTTCCCAACTTCTTGTGCCCTGTCAGGAAGCGCTTGCCCTCAGGAGGACCACAGACCACCCACCACTCTCCCCTGCTCCTCCTTGGATGTCAGAAAGAGGGGCCAGTCACCACTCAAGATGTGCAGGGGAAAACAGAAATCCCATAAAGGCAGGGCGGATTCTCCTCTCACTCGTCCAACAAACCCAACCAATACAGAAGCCATCAAGAAGCAACTGCTGGGCTCAGCCAGGAAATCTGTTTCAGACGAAGGACCTGCCAGGCTCAGTTGTGTGCAGCCCTGGTCCTGAACCCTAGAAGCTGGAGAGGGACCCTCTGTACCTTTGAGGCATCTTCAGCCCTCCCTGAGAACACCCCATGGGTGCGCAGCACCACCCCGACCCTGGGCCAGCAGAGGAGTGCTCTTTCTCCCTGTTTTGGTTGGGCAGATAGCAGTGGGCCATGGTAATGCCATCAGCTCACTCTGTAATTGGCAAGTAGAAATGTCTTTCTCTGATTAATGAAAATGTGAATATAGCTGATTTCTGAATGAGTACTCTGAACTTGCTAGAGAAAATTCCTTCCAAATATTTCAAAATGTAGGTTGCATAAGGGGCAACAAACAGGATGCTCTGTAGTGAAAAAGGCTGGGAATCGAAACCTTTAGAAGCCTTATGCTGGGGAGGAATGGCAGATGTCATGCTGAGATGTGCTATTTCCACAAGCAGGGCGTTTACCTGGGGCAGGTACATGGGGGCTGCTGTGGAACTGGAATCTATTTTACAGGAATGAGCCTTTAGCAAGGAAATCAGAACCCTACTTTTCTCCTCTCTCATTAAGTTCAATGTAGCCCACCTGGGCATGGTGTTTCCCGGCACTGGGGTCACCCCACACACACAACACCAGCACCTAAATGAAAGACAGCCTCCCAAAGGCCATGTGCCTTCTACCCAGCAGACACCGGCTTCAGTTCCAAAGCCTCTTCGGAACGCAGTCCCACCTCTGCGAGGACACAGCTGCATCTGGGGTGAGGCAGCCGGAATGCCTCCTCCCGGCCCCAGGGTGCCCCGACTTCTCCCAGCCTATCCTCCAACTGGGCAAGTGCCGACCCAGCTGTAGCAGGAGCTGTTTGGGCTTCCTTGCTTCTCCTCCTCGGCTGGGATTGCCGCCCCCACCCCCACCCTGTGAACACCTGCACACCACGTGCGACAGACCAAGGAGGCCTTACCTCATGGGACAAGTAGAAGGCTGCGATGCCCAGAGGCCAGAAGCAGCAGAGCATGGAGAAGACACTGAGGCCCAGGTGGTCCCGCGGGGGCATCATGAGGAAATTGTCCTCACTCTCTGTGTCGCTTGAGTAGTCGCTCTGCAAGAGAGAACCAGCAGGACAGGACAGGAGAGAAGATTAATAAAGGAGTCATCCTGGGGTGTCCAGGGATGTGGGATGACCCCTGGCTGGCGCAGGCCCTCCCCGGGAGGCAGCTGCAGTTGCTGACGTTGTTCGAGTCATCGTTATTGCTGCAAGTACACAGCCTCCCAGGAAGGGCAGCCAGGCCAAGGAAATGCTTGCCAAGAGCAGGAAAATAATAATGCCAAGTACGGGGCTCTTGGGTCACTCGTTTGCAGAAGAAATCCTACAGAAAGCAGTATTTCTAAGATCGCTGGGATGTGAGTGCCTGGATGGTGGGGACAAAGGATGGGACTGGGGACTTTGCAGGGACTGCCTGTAGGGACTGCCTGCCTGGAAGCCACCTGCAGAACTGGCCCCGTTGCCACCATGCACTGTCGGTGTGTTCTGAGGATGGACTGGAGACTCTCAGAAGGCATAGTCCAGGCGCGTTTTTCTTTGTATTACGAGACTTCTCACTAGCGGACAAGGACAAGGCAAGGCTGATGTGGATCGACGGAGGACATTGTCCCCTGAATCTCTCTTTTAAGTTTCTCTTGACTCTGAACTGAGTCAAGACACAGGTGGGGCCTGATTTCCACCTGGAGCACGAGGGTGGCTTCCTGAGGAGCAGAGGATGGCCCTGTGAGCCTCAGCTGTGCCCTTCTGCTCTGTGGCCTGGTGGCAGGGGCTGAGTGAGACTCTCCTGGGGGTTCTGATGGAGAAGGGGTGTGCTGGGAGCAGGGAATCAGGGTGAAGCTGGGCACAGGAATTTACTTTTTAATTTTATATTTTAAAAAGTTTTTTTTAGGTTCAGGGGTGCACGTACAGGTTTGTTTTATGGGTAAACTCATGCCATGGGGGTTTGGTGCACAGATTATTTCATAACCCAGGTATAAGCCTAGTGTGCAGCAGTTATGCTTTCTGCTCCTTTCCCTCCTTCCACCCTCCAACCTCTGGCAGGCCCCAGTGTCTGTTCTTCTCTTTGCGTCCATGGGTCCTCATCATTCAGCTCCCACTTACAAGTGAGAACATGGGGTATGTGGTTTGCGATTCCATAGTAATTTTTGAAAAGCAGCTCAGATGATTCCAATGCTGACCTAGCAAAGAGAACCACTGCCCCACCCTCCCCACAAAGGGCAGGTGACTCCTCCAGGAGGCTGAATGGCTGGGCCCTGCCTTGGTGTTTGTGCAGAGGGTGCCTCCTGTCTGTCATTCCACTGGCTGGGCTCTTTCCTCATCAAAATACGGAGCCCTCACACCAACTCTTCCAAACGCCAGGGCCACCCTGCCTAGGCATTTGTCCTATACAAAGATGGCGCCCATCTTATTCCAGATATTGTTTTCTAGGAGAGTAGTCGCTCACTTCCTCTTGGAGGAGGCCCTGGCTTCCTAGCTCTCTGCCAGCTGCCCAAGGTTGTTAAGCAGAGGCCTCCTGCCGCAAGCTGGAGCGCTTCGAGAATGACTGGCAGTGCATGGCAGTGTCAGGGCCATTTCTTCAGGAGGCTTCCAGACAGACCCTGTGAAGCCAGACAAAAGTGCAGGTGGGCCCACCCCGTGAGTGCAGCACTTGCGTGGCTGCGAGCCCGCTGCTTGCCACCGATGCCTGAGTGCCCCCAGACATTCCTCCTTACTAGCAGAAGCTGGGAAGGCCCACAGGTGACCACGGCTCCCTTTCCCATTTTTGTTAATTAAACACAAGTAAAACTGCCAATCAGAGCCTCTAATCACTGTGCAGCCAGCCGCAGGGCTGCAGTGAGACCTGAGGCTCCCTGGTACGGCATATTTTCATGGGATCAGTCCAACAATAAGGACGTCCCAGGTGGCCTCTCGTGGAACTTGGGCTCACTGTTTACTCGCCCCCCAACAAGCCTGCAGGGCAGGGACCTGAAGTGCCACTCCACCAACAGGGCAAGCAACTTGCTCAGGCTACAGTGCCAGCTCCTGGCCTCGCCCCTCCTGCTGGGCACAGGTCAAGGAGTCGCTGCCTCTGCTGTGGTGGCTGCTTCATGTGTCTGGGGCTGCGAAGCCTCTGTCCACGGAGCCAGGCTTGTGAGATTTCTCTTCTCTTTATTCTGCACATTGGCCCCCATATGGTCTCCAAACAGTAAGGAGATATGAAAATTGCCATCATTATGGCTAAGGGGGAAAAAAAGTGGAACAGCCCACAGGGATGCATAATTCACGGGGGAGTTGTGAGGCCCCAGCCTGTCCAGGTGGAGATGCTCACTTCCCAGCCTCAGGTGCTGGAGTCTGGAATCTGCAAAAAGGACGTGCGGTGGGAAGGACAAGCAGTGGGGAGGGTGTGCCACTTGGAGGATATGCAGGGGGGAGGATGTGCAGGGGTGAGGACATGCAGGGGGAAGCACGTGCAGGGGGAAGGATGTGAAGGGGTGAGGATGTGCAGGGTAAAGGATGTGCAGCGGGGAGGACATGCAGAAGGGAGGACATATGGGGGGAGGCCATGCAAGGGGAAGGCCATGCAGGGGGGAGGCCGTGCCGTGGGGACAGCATGAGAGGGGAGGGCGTGCAATGGGGAGGACGTCAAGGGGGGAGACCGTGCAGTGGGAAGTATGTGAAGGGGGGAAGGATGTGCAGTGGGGAGGATATAAAGTGGGGAGGAAGTGCAGGGGGCAGGATGTGCAGCGGGGAGGACTTGCAATCGGGAGGGAGTGCAGTGGGGAGGGAGTGCAGCAGGGAGGACGTGAAGGGGGAGGACGTACATGGGGGAGGACATGCTGTGGGAAGGCCATGCAGGGGGGAGGACATGAAGGAGGGAGGCCATGCAGCGGAGAGGATGTGCGGGGGGAGGACATGCAGGGGGTGGGACATGCAATATGGAGACTGTGCAGAGGGGAGGATGTGCAGTGGGGAGGACGTGCAGCAGGGAGGATGTGCAGGTGGGAGGACGTACAGTGCAGAGGATGTGAAGGGAGGAGGCTGTGCAGTTGGAAGGACTTGCAGGGGTGAGGACCTGCAGTAGGGAGGATGTGCAGGGGTGAGGACGTGCAGTGGGGAGGAAGTCCAGTTGGGAGGACATGCAGCGGGGAGGATGTGCAACATGGAGCACATGCAACATGGAGGAAATGCAGTGGGGAGGATGTGCAGTATGAATGGCATGTAACATGGAGGCTGTGCAGTGTGGAAGGCTTGCCCCATGGAATCTGGGTATCTGCCCCGCTGCACCTCATCACACACGGCCCTGTCGACTCCACTCTCCATCCCTCACTGAAAACATGTGGCTTCGGGGGTGTCAGAGAGCTGGTTTTGGAACTGCTGAGCTTCAGAAGGGGCTATCTCTGCAGGAGATGCTCGGGAGGTCCAATCTCTGACAAACCAACCCATGTCCAAGACTCCTGAAAGCAGCAGAGCCAGGCTGGGGAATGGCCATTTCTCCAGTGCGCAGCTCAGCCCTTGACCTCAGGGAGCACGGCAGCCATGGATCCCGACGTATCCTTGCAAAAAAACAAAAAATCCGCCTGTCTGTTTATTTATCTTTTAGTTTCTTTATTTTTAGTTTACAGATGGTGTTATTACTATCTTCATTGTCATTGTCGTTTATGTTTTACAAAGGACAAAGCTGAGGCTCCAAGAGGTTAAAACACGTCCACTCACAAACCATCCTGTGAGTGGCTGCTGGAGTCTGGAATCCCCGATGCCAGCTGCGCACCCAGGGCTCTGAGCTGCGTGCTGGGTTTGCACATGGCTGCTTTGGCTGCACACAAACCCCACTTTGCCTCCATTGCTTCTCATGAGAAGATGAGGTGTCTTCCTCCCCTCTCCCTGCCAGGACTCTGATGACTCTGCTTCTTGCTAAGTCTGTCTCATGGTGGTGACGGAGAGGCCCATGGCAACAGTGAGGTTTTCCCGATCTTAGTCAACGCTTGGGGAACCGTTGACCCGGACCACGTAGGCACTTGGAGGCATTGCCTTCCATCTTTAGAAATTGCTTTAGCATTACACAGTCCCCAAGAAGCAAAGATTTAGCTTTCAGGGCACTCCTCCAGTCTTCGCAGATTTTAATTTAGAAGCATAAAGGAATCACACTCTGTAAATTACCAAGCTGAGGCTAGATGACATCAAAATAATTTGTCAACTTTGATTGAAATAGATTTTAAAAACTGAGGGGTGGGCATGGTTGTTCACACCTGTTACCTCAGCACTTTGGGAGGCTGAGGTGGAAGGATCACTTGAGGTCAGGAGTTCGAGACCCGCCTGGGCAACATGGTGAAACCCTGTCTCTACTAAAAAAATATAAATAGCTGAGCTTCGTGGTGCATGCCTGTAGTCTCAGCTACTTGGGAGGCTGAGGCAGAAGATTGCTTGAACCCAGGGAGTGGAGGTTGCAGTGAGCCAAGATTGCATCATTGCACTCCAGCCGGGGCAACAGAGTGAGGCTCCGTCTCAAAAATCAAACAAACAAACAAACAAACAAAGCTCAGACAAATTACAGGGCAGACAAAAACACCCCAGCTCTTTTCTTTGTTCCTCTTCTGCCAGGAATGTTCTGGAGTATAAATGGTTGTGGGCATCATGCCACTCGCGAGGAAGGAGAGGAGACGAGGCTGGCCTAGGAGAGGCCACACAAATACCAACAAGCCAAGCAGAGAAATACACACAATCCCCAACACCAAGAAAGACTCATCACGCACTGCAGCTGTCTTAAAGAATCCTCTTCATGAGTCATTTAATCTGTACATCTGCGGACTGAAAACATTGCGAAGGAGTCTGCAATTCATGCAGAGGTCCCATAGTTTTGAGCTAAAGCCAAGGCAGAGAAAGGCAGGTGCCCTCCAGGGCCGCCCATTCTACTGCATCGCCTGCCTGTTCTAGCCCAGTTTTCCTTACCTCCACAGAGAGAGAGGGCTCTCAGTTCCCTCGGGGTTTTCTTCCTGGGAATATTTTAACAAAATAATCATAGCGCAGGGCATGACACCAAATGTTTGCACATCACAATGTTCAGCATTCATGGCAGCTTTGTGAGCAAGAGTGTGAGGCACCTGTTTCAGGAGTGGGAAGCTGAACACCACCCATGGCTCACTTCTCTGTGCTCACCGACTCTGGTGAGCATCTCACGCACCATCCAAGGGTGGCGGTCCCAATGGCCACATCTGCACTGAGGAGCCTGGCAGCCACTGGCCAACGTGGAGCTGTGTCCGCTTAAAGTGCTCACAAGTACACACAACCAACACTGGTCCCTCAGTGACACCACATGCTCAGGAGCCACACGTGTCCCATGCCTGTCACGTGGGACAGCACAGATGCAGAACGTTTCCACCACCTCAGAAGGTCCTATTGGACTGTGCCGTTCGTTGTATAGAGCACCTTTGACATAAGTGACTCCATCTTAGAAAGACTCCATCTTATATTTCATAGGGCAACAGAGTTTTCAAACAGAGACCAGAGTTTTTTTGCCTGATCAATAAAGGCTGCATCCAACCAGACAAGGATTTAACCAAGCACATTCTGCCACTATTAGTCCTCACCAGAGGACTCTGCAGCCATAAAAAGAGCAAGACTTCAGCAGCTCGAAAACAGTCATTTTAACAGACACCATCTTGCCATCACTTGTGATAAGGGCCCAGCATCTGCCATTGAAGGCTCCGCCCACAGCAAAGACTATTCCTTGCAAGACACTGACCACTGACGGAGCACCCGGGCCAGGCCAGTGTATTCTTTCCATTCTCGCCACTCTCCCTGGACTGGAACACGAACCCCTTTTCCTATCCCTTTTCTCTTGATGTTAAATGTTACTTAGTTTGTTGTGGAATGTTTAATCTATAACATTTATATGTTGATTAAATATACTGTGATGTACGGTTTGCAATACTGACTGACGGGTGGCTCGGCTCAAGCCTGCGTGCCGGCCACTCTCACTCTCGAGGCAAGGGGAAGCACTAAGGAGAATACCTCCTGGGAACTCCAGGGAGCTCGTGGCCTTTATGATGGAGAATGCAGCATCAATAAAAAGCCTGACACTGTGGAAAGGCACAAAAGTGAGGATCTGGTGATCTCTGACCTTGCGCTCACAGCAGTCTCGTGGGATCTGACCCTCTTTACTCTGGGCTTGGCGTTTTCCACCTGCAGGGAGCTCCCTGCTGCTCCTCCCACATGCGTGTGTGCCCTGCCTGCATCAGAGCCTGTGCACCTGCCGTCCCCTAAGCCAGGATGCACATGTGCCTAGCTTGCCCACTTCATTTGAGGCTTTTGCGCAAATGCCACTTCTCATCAGAGCCTTCCCTACATAGCTGCAAAGCTGCCACCACCTTCCCAGCCCCTCTAACCCCAGCCTGCTAGGGGCTTCTCTGCATTCACGTGATACCGATTTGTCTACTTTCTGACTCTCTTCCTTTTTTTTTCTTTTCTTTTTCTTTCTTTCTTTTTTTTTTTTTTGATACAGAGTCTCGCACTGTCTCCCAGCTGGAGTGCAGTGGCGCGATTGGGGCTCGCTGCAACCTCCGCCTCCCGGGTTCAAGCAATTCTCCTGCCTCAGCCTCTGGAGTAGCTGGGATTACAGGTACGTGCCATCATGCCCGGCTAATTTTTGTATTTTTAGTAGAGATGGGGTTTCACCATGTTAGCCAGGCTGGTCTCGAACTCCTGACCTCAAGTGATCCACCTGCCTAGGTCTCCCAAAGTGCTGGCATTACAGGCGTGAGCCATCATGCCCATCCCGACTCCCTTCCTCTAAGCACCAGGAGGGCAGAAATCTGCACATTTTATCCAAAGCTGTATCCTAAGTGCCCAGAACAGTGCCTGGCACATAGTAGGACCCACGCACATTTGCTGAATGAATGAGGGATTCGCCTGTGGCCTAAGCCAATATGAACAACACTAACTAAAGTGGTGAAGCCCCTACAATTTGCACAGAGGACAGTGGAGTAACCAGCAGCTCCACCTTCCTTTGGGCCTATCATTACCCATGAATACTCTGCATTCAGCCCTGCTGCCTGACCTCTGATCCTCTCTTCACCCTCTGAAATGCCTTCCTATGCTCTCCAGGGCATACATCTTCACCATCATTTACATGTGCCTCCAGAGAAGGGTTTCAACGTTGGGTGAGAATGATGACTTGGCCACGCTCAAGACTGTCTTATTTATGGTGGCTCCAGGGCAACTGAGGACAGGACCAAGGACAGCACCTGGGAAAGCTGTAGGCAGAAGACACAGCTCAAGCCCCTCTGCATCTACGGGAGGTGCACTCATGTTCTCTGGTCTTGGCAGACAGCCTGGAGCGAGATACCCTCTGTCCACATCACAGGTGTGTGGAAGTGGACCCAGCTGCCTTTGAGGTCTCCAGGCAAGAGCTTCCACTCCCACAGAAGGGAATGAGTCTTCATGAGCCACGTGGGTGAGGCCCGTGTCTGAGATGTGAGCCATGGAGACCTTGCAGGGCCAGTGCTGGGGCCATCCTCCAGCACCTGCACCATCGGGGCAAGCCCCAGGGGTCCACTTGGGTCCCTCAGGGGTTTTCCGTGGGCTGCCTGGCTGTAGAAGACCCGACCCCTTCTGCCCATGTCAAACCATCCTCTCTGCACCAGGCTTCTTCAACATCTCGAGGCCCCTTGTTCTCTCCTTTACTTGAAGTCAGGTCACGTAAAAACCACAGACATCTCCTGAGAACCCCCAATGTGTGATGCACACAGGGCTCACACATACACAGCTGTATGGAGATCTGGGGGTTCCAGAGTGCAGAGTCCTAGGAAACCCTGTTTTCATATTTGAACACACATTGCCCTAAATTACTGACCAATCATCTTGGGTATATGCTGTCATACTTTTAGTTTTTCCTCCTAGGTAGCAGTTTTTTTTTTGTAGAAAGAGGATATTTCACATACTGGTGTGAAACAAGCAACAACAAACTGACAAAACCCCTCCACTTTAAAACTGCCTTTTAAAAAGCTTGTCTGCTGAGCAGGTTGTTACATTTGGATGGGTCAGGTAGAGAACTGAGGAAGGGGATGGGAAGAGATCCATGGCTTTCTCAACAGAAGTGAGGATTTAGGAATCCTTACGGACGTCCATGCTGGATTGCTGAGAGATGGGATGGGGAGGAGGAGACAGGGGGCCATGGAGGCGTCAGGGCCTGAGGCACTGCTGAGGGTGGGGAGCAAGTGCCCAGCCTGGGGGCAGGGCTGGGGAGTCCAGGGACGGGGGTGGTCATTACTATTTAGCACATGGGTAGAGTTCATGTCTGTGACTCCCTTCCCGTCAGCGCCAAGTGCTCAGATGCGATCTGTGAGTTCACAACTCAGGAGTCAACCATGACAAGGGGCAAAGCAGATCTCAGAGCCCCGCCTTGACCCAGCCCCTTCCAGGTATGTGATGCCAGGGGCACGTGCCCCCCGATCAACTGTCTTCCATCACACATCGCAACAGCCCAAAGCAGGTACAGCAGAAACGCTCAACAATCATCAGCCACAAACTAGAGCTCGGAACCATCATAAGAAAATGAAATCGTGGGCAATGTCGTTAAAATGTCAACTGTATTTCACTCTTTATTCTAATTCCTAAAATCTGAGAATTCAGTTATTCTTTGTTAATCAGCTCTCCATTACCCAGATAATTCAACCAACAAAAACACCAGATTTTCTAGTAAATAAGTATTTCTAATTGCAACATATTAGATTTTGCTGTAGTCACAAGGATATATGTACCTTTGTGCCCCTGAAAATGGGGAAAACATGCCCTCTGCCATCAGTGGTGGGCCTGGTCTAACCATTTGGTCTCCATTTGGTTTTTGAGGGACGTCACAGAGCACAAGACAATGTGGGTGGCGATGCCATGTGTCACTGAAGGAGAGGGACTTTCGTGCTGTCACCGATGCAGTGGTTTCTCACTGTGCTCTTCAGGGCCTGGGGCCTCCATGAAGGGGCAAGTGGTGGTGGGGGGTGTGGGGTGGATGTCTCAGAGTCCCTGAACCTGCCCAGGCCCAAACAGCTCAGGCTTTTCCTGTTTTGTGTATTGGCTTCCCAGGCAATCTTTTCTAAAACAAATGGATCTCAGCTAAAATAAATAAATTAATGTATAATGCTCAAAAATGAGCGAGTCAATGCATCATTCAGAAGTAAACAGATTTTTCCTCCTAGTAGTATCTAGTCCAATATTCCTAAATCATTTTATATTCTTTGAGGAGGGAGGTATTTTTAGAAGAAAATAATCCAGTTAGGTGCATAAAATATGAAACTTTTCTGTACAGAAAAATATATTAACCTCGCAAGATAAATTAAATAAAACACAAATGCCTTGCACGTCCTAGAACAAATGAGATGAAGTTCCCATTGTGAGCGTTTGGGGCTTGACTGCTGTAAATGAGGTGCACACCACGCTCCAGCCCTTGGAGGTCAGGACTGAGCTTTTCTCTTTTGGAAGCTCCCAGTTTGATTCTGGGGCCAGAGTAGATGCTTGCAAATATCTGAAGAAGATTATTTGCAAACAGACTCTCTGGGAATAAATGAACGTTCAGTGTGTATGGGCAGAACGGTTGAAGCTGACCAGACCTGCCTTAATGGATCACCTCCGTCCTATTTCTTTAAATTTTGTTTTCTTCCTTTGGGATGGGTGCTTTAGGTCTTAGCTCCTAGCACATCCCCATGAAGACTCAATTCCCATCATCAATAGACATGATTAGTGGGAGACTTGAACTCCCTTTCAAAAACGTTCAGCTCTTTGAGGCAGGGATGGGGTCCTGGAAGGCAAACTTTGGGAAGAAAGCCCTTGTAAGGCTGCATTCTGCATTCACTTGTGTCAGACAAAAACCTCACCAGAAGTAATGGGATGAGGCTGGGGAAGCACATCCAGGGTTTCCCTGGCAATATCTACCGTGCTCCAGGGAGACAAGCATTCATTCACAAAGGGAAGTTGTCAAAAGAGAACTGTCTCTGTTAATGTCTGCTTGTCCTGGGTAAAGCACAAATGTATTTCTCCTCTGAGAAGTTTCTGATTAGCACCTAACGACGGCCCTAGGGATCTGTAATGTTCTGGAAGCAGGAGCCGAATGAAATGAAATTCATTAAGATTCACCTCTGTGTGTAGCTCCTGGTTTGTCTTTGTGAAGGTAATGGTGTTGTACACTGGACTTCAGGTTTTATGATGTGATAAGACATATCATTATATTAGAGGACTTGTTTTCCATATTCCTGCATTAATTGAAATACTTGTCTTTTAACTAGCTATAGGCATTTAATCCAATGGTTAGAGTAGGATAAGAAGTTCCTTCATTGAGTTCACCCATCAGGCTAAGTTCTTCCTGTGGCCTGGAAGTGCTCAGTGGCCTGGGAGGGCAGCTTTAGCAAATGCATTATTTTTATTTATTTATTTATTTACTTATTTATTTATTTATTTTAGAGACAGAGCCTAGCTCTGTCACTCATGCTGGAATGCAGTGGCACAATCTCGGCTCACTGCAACCTCCACCTCCCAGGTTGAAGCAATTCTCCTGCTTCAGCCTCCTGAGTAGCTGAGACTAAAGGTGCATGCCGCCATGCCTGGCTAATTTTTTTTTTTTTTTTAGGTTTTTAATAGAGACGGGGTTTCACTGTGTTGCCCAGGCTGGTCTCAAACTCCTGAGCTCAGGCAATCTGCCCACCTTGGCCTCCCAAGGTGCTAGGATTACAGGTGTGAGCCACCGTGCCCCGCCTAACAAACGCATTCTTGAGGCCTGGCTCCTTGCAGCAGAGCTTGAATAAAGGATTCAGGTGCAATTGCTTTTTTGGGAGGTGATCTCAGCAAAGATGATGGGGAAGAGAAGTGGGAGCCTGGAGGCTGCTCCTGTTGGGACCTCGAGGAAATCAGTGTAAGATGTATTCTGAGTTATCTCTCTGGAATAAACTGACCCTGGTCTCCTGGGGGCAGAGATTCTCCCACCCTTTGCAGGGCAGACTTCAGGTCTCCAGAGAAAGTTCAGGCCCAGGGGTGTCTCAGGCAAGGGTAACACCTGAGAAGGTGTGGGGTAAGGGGAGCTGAGAGCACCTGCTGCAGAGCCTGTGGAGGAACTGGGGGTTGCTGGATACCCCCATTACTGCCCTGGGGCAGCCCTATGTGGAACACGACCATGAGACTCTGGGACACTTGAGAGGAGGTGACAGACACATGACGAATACGTCATGCAGGATGAGAAACCTCATCACCGCTGCCAAACAGATGGGTGCAATGAACAGATGCATACCTTGGTCTTCAATGACAGGGTGGGCCAAAGCTTTCCAGGACTTGGTGTGAAAGATCACTACGTGATTCAGGTCAAAGTGACCAGGGCGCAGCAGGCCATCAGTGTAAGCTGGCGATGATACTGTTTTCTCCTTCTTTTTCATTCTCGTATGTTTTTATTTTCACAGTGTGGATATAATTTGTGTTGTACACTGGACTTCAGGCCTTGTGAAGAAGGGTCTGGCAGCCCGTGACTCATTAAAGGACTTGGGTGCAGGGAAAGCAGCACAGGCAAAGCTGGGGGTAGGGAGTGGGCATCACACACACAGGACTGTGGAGAGCCAGACCACTTCTCCCTGCCTGAACAAAACCGAGCTCATCCCACATCAATCTACGTGACTGGGACATAAATAGGGATGCAGCCTTCTATGACCCATCCAGAAGGGCTGGTTTCATAGCTGAATGTCAAGTTATCATTGCCTGTTGATCCAGTTACTAAATGAGTACCTCTGCTTACAATGTACGTTGCTTGCATGGTAATTCTCACTTGCGCCACAGGAATGCTCTTCACAGGATGCCCACTCTCAAAAGCAGAACAGAACCACCGCCAGGAGCCAGAAGGAACTTACAGCAGAGCAGTGGGTAAAACTTCAGACTAATGTGGGTCAGGACGGGGGCTGGGAGGTGGAGGAGGCTGGTAGAGTGCCAATCCTCCCTGGAACAGAGGGCAAGCTTGGAGGAACCTGACATCCATCCATCCACACTACCCATCTGAATCGTCTCTGAGCTTCTTATGAGCACCAAGAATGATTTCCCCATTTTTCCTCTGTATATCTCACCCTTCCTCCATCCTTAACCCCTGGCAACCACTGCACTATCAGTTGTTACAGTTTCATCTTTTCAAAAATGCCATGGGAATGGAAAGATACAGTATACAACCTTTTGAGTCTGGCCTTTTCCACTCTTGAGATCCATCCAGCTTGCTCTGGGAGGGGTGCATATGAACACAACTGTATCTCTTCCTTTAAGAGGCCAGTGGCCATCTCTACTCCCCATATCCTGCCCAACCCTGTCCTCCACCCAAGGGCACCAGAAGCTTCTTCGGCTTGAATGAGAACCACCTTACTCCAGAGTGGGAAGAATGTGGGTCTCCCACCTGACCAGTCGCTCCACGCTCTCAAGAGTTCCAGGCAGTGGCCAAAGTCACCAGCCCTCTGCAGTTTGAGAGCCTTAAATCTGCATCTCTCATCTCTGCAACAAGAAGAGCCAGCTGCCGAAGATGTGGCACAGGAGAACCCTGAGTTCAGGTGATTCCAGGAGCCTCCCGCCCAGTCTCTCTGAGCTCTCCTGGCTGGCCCCCTGGCCACATCCCCTCACGCCAGAATGCGACTGTGGTTCAGCTGGGCTGCCTAGGTTGCAAGGATTTGAGTATTTTCCAAACTAAAGTCTTACTGAAACACCAGGGGTTAGGTCTAGGTCCTGCTGCTCGCCACACAGAAAGCCAATGACTGACACAAGGAGTATTGCCAAGGAAGAAGGCTTTAATTCAGTGCTACAGCTGAGGAGATGGGAGCTCAGTCTCAAATCCATCTCCCTGACCCACTAAAATTAGGGGTTTATATAGCAGAGAAGTAATGTAACAGTGTGTAAGAAAATAGGAACCAGGGAGGCCTAAGGAAGCAATCAAGTGATGAATGAGGGGTCTGGCATCTCCTTCTCTGGATACAGTGATCTGGTAAGTTTCAGTTCTTTGATAATTTTTTTGGGTTGAAAGGCCTGAAGGTCCTCTCTTGAAGAAGGAGCTCAGATAAAACAAATGTAAGTTTCAGGCTTTAAGATCAGAAGGGTCAATGTCTGTTTCTTCAAAAAAACTGTCAATGGGTCAATTTCAAAAGGTTGCCTCTGTGTAAAACCAAATTATAGTAAACCTCTGGTTATTTATCAAGGGATGGGCTGGGGTGTTCTAGGTAATTGGACATTAGCTATTTTTAATAATCACTAACTTCCTTTTTTTCTTCACTGTTCTAAAATGTTCTGCTTTGTTGAAAGAAAAGCATGTATTTAAGTGATATTTTTAGTTACAGTTTGAAGACTACAGAAAGAATATTCAAATTCATTAAACATGACTTCATATAATATAAATGTATATCTGTGTATATATGTATAAGTTATATATATACACTTTGAAATATTGTGTGTGTGTATATATATATATGCACTTTGAAATAATTTTGGACTTACATAAAATTTTCAAAAATAGAACAGAGTTCCTGTAGGAACTGCAAAGATAGAACAGAGAGTTCCCATATACCCTTGCTTGCCTCTTACATAACCATAATGCAATGATCAAAATCCAGAAAATGACATTGGTATAACACTTCTGACTAAACCACAGACCTTAATCGGATTTCACCAGTGTATCTGTGCCTCATTCTTGTGCGTGTGTGTGTTTGCAGTGTGTAGTTCTATGGATTTTGTTGCATGTATAGATGTATGCCAAGATACAGAAATGCTTCATCACCTCCAAAGAACTCCCTCATTTTTCCTTTTCATATCCCACCTTTCCCCATCCTTAACCCCTTGCAATCACTGCACTGCTGTTGGTTGTTACAGTTTCGTCTTTTCGAGCAGGCATAGGAATGGAAACATACAGTATATCAACCTTTTGAGGCTGACCATTTCCACTGGCACAATACCCTCGAGATCCAGGTTGCTGGGTGTATCCATAGTTCATTCATTTTTTTTCCTGAGTAATAGTCCATAATAAGTAACACGATGTGTTTAATCCATTCATCCAAAAATGAAGAGCATTTGCTTTTCCAATTATGAGTTATTAGAAATACATGTTATAGACATATATGTATGGGTTTTTGTGTGAATGTAAGGTTTTATTTCCTTAGCACAAATACCTTGGAGTAGGATTGCTGGGTCATATGGTGTTTGAAACTGACAGTGTTTTCCAGAGTTGCTGTTCCAGTTTGCATTCCCACCGGCAATGTATGAGAGTTCCAGTTACTTTGCATCCCTGCCAGTACCTAGTATTTTCAACATTTTGGATTTTAGCTATTCTGAGGTGTGCAGTGGTATATAATCATGGTTTTAGTCTGCATTTCCCTGATGGCTAATGATGTCAAATATCTTTCTTGTGTGCTTATTTGCCATTTATATATTCCCTTTCATGAAGTGTCTGTTCAAATATTTTGCCTATTTTTAAACTAGATGGTTGCAATTTCTTACATTTAAATTTAAGAGATAATTTTTCTGTATTCTGGATACAAATTGTCAGATATGCAATTTACAAATATTTTTCTCCCATTGTGTAGCTTGTCTTTTCATCATTTGACAGTGTTTTTTTGCAGAGCAAAAGTTTTTAATTTTGATTAAGTAAAATTTGTCTATTCTTTCTTTTATAGATTGTTTTTCTGATGTCATAGCTAAGAACTCTTCACCTTACCCTAGGTTACAGAGATTTTCTGTTTTCTTCTAAAAGCTTTATAGCTAAGCACTTTACGTTTAAATGTGATGGCCCATATATTTTCAGAGCAGTGTTGCTACACATTTGTTCAGTAAATCAACTCTGCCAGAAGATTTTGCCTGTCCATATAAACTCTATAACATTATAAAATACAATACTGAAATTGGTATATGACCATTTTCAAACAGCAGATTAAAAGTGGATAAGTCAACAAATGGTGCAGAGAAGACATCTTTTTTACTCCTGGCATCAACCTGCACTTCAAATAGATACAACAGACAGAACACTTAAAAGAATTATATAGTGAATGTTCACATATTCATCACTTAGGTTCTACAACTAGCATCTTTACCGCACCAACTTTATCATTATTCGTGCACCTGTTCATCCTCTTATCCACCCATCGCTTCATCTTATCTTTTCTGATCCATGTCAGAGTGAGTTGCACACAGCAGGACACTCCCCCTAAACACTTCAGCATCACACCATTAACTGGGGTTCAGTATTTGTTTGCACTTTTTTCTGGGGTAAACTTTACAAAAATTGATTTTTTAATAGAAAGCTGGGGTTTTTGGTTTTGATTTAGATAATTTGGATCCACTTGACCTTAAGATACAGGTTAGTCAGTATAATAGAATAGAAAAAGCATGAGATTTGGAGTTAAATTTTGACCTACCCCTTCCTAGCTGAGACCCTTGGGCAAGTCACCAATGTCCTTGGGGTGGGCTACCCCGGGGCTCACTCAGGGGCTTCAACACTCCTGACGCCCAGGTCTCTGATGCTCTCTCTGGGCATGTGGAACTTTATAAGTGAATTAATCATATGTGATTCTAACATAAGACCAGATGGAAAACCAGCAGCTGGAACCTCAGATTCATCACATGTAAAACAGGGATGCCACCCCTTTGAGCGAGGAAAAGCACTAGACATGGACACACGAGTCACTCTCCTGTCACACGCTGCCTGGATTTGAATATTTTCTTCTTGCCTTTTTGGTCACATACAGAAATTCTCCTCCTGTGGTCAAATCACAGTAAAGGCTAAAGAGGGGGAACAGTTTTCAGTTTGCAGAAATTCCAGCAGTCCCTGACTGATTTATTGAGTTCGTATTTCCGACACCAAAAGGTGTCATGTCACTTGAAATGGGCGGGCTCTCGAGGGACACCTGCACTGTCTCCTCACAGAGGGTGGGACAATTTCCCCAGGTTGGCGTGATGAGCTAGCAGATGTGAATTCCACCTTGCTCCCAGAGTCCCTCAGGCCTTCAGAACTGGTTACGGACGTGCACCATCTCTGAGAAGCCCAGCTGATGAGTGGAGGTGGTGACATGTATGAACAGGGGGCACAGGACCACCTTCGGTTCAGGTGAACACATTTATGCAGAAGTGAATCTTCCAAAAGAGGACTGCAAGAAAATGTTGCCTCCTGCCTTTCTTCGGCCCTAATTGTTACATCAAATGCTGTGACTACCTCTTGCCTTGAGCTCAGATAGCACATTTTGAGTGCTTATATGAATACATAAAGTCCTCATTCCTCACGTTTTGGAAATCCTGTCTGCTGCTTACAGATCCACGGAGGTGATCAGGACAATGTGCGCCATACCTCTCATTGGTTTGGCCGCTGGCTTTTCAAAACTCTCCTCAAGGTTAGTATCATTTTTATCTCAGTTTCTGGTCCCCCAGACATTGAAGTCCTGTGTGTTCAGACTTGACTCCAGGTGTTATGAGAAGGGAATAAAAATGAGAGGATGACAGACGCCTCCCGAGGTCACCAGCCCTAGGAGTCTGATATTCTCACACCTCTCCACAGCCCATGCTCACGACAGACAGATGGGGCTGCTACAAGGGGACAACTCCAGCTGAAACAAAATGGTCCATTCTGCTACCAGGGAAAGGAAAGGGAAAGGGAAAGGAATAGTCCCTTTTATGAGCACATTTATTTCTTTCAGCTCATTACCTGAAACAAAAAGAAAGCACATGCCTCCAGCAGCTGCAGTGCAACGATGTCCCCTACTTCTCCCACAAAACTGGACCAGCTGCTGCATTTCTTTTTCTTTCTTTTTTGTGTTTTTTTTGAGACAGACTCTCCTTCTGTCGCCCAGGCTGGAGTGCAATAGCGCGATCTCAACTCACTGCAACCTCTGCCTCCCGGATTCAAGCGATTCTCCTGCCTCAGCCTCCCAAGTAGCTGGGATTACAGGCACCTGCCATCACCCATCATGTCCGGCTAATTTTTATATTTTTAGTAGAGACAGGGTTTCACCATGTTGGCCAGGTTGGTCTCAAACCCCTAACCTCAGATGATCCTCCTGTCTTGGCCTCCCAAAGTGCTGTGATTACAGGCGTGAGCCACCACGCCTGGCCCAGCATTTCTAGCAACTGCAGACACAGTGGAGAGGATGGTGCCCCCATCATACGCACATCACATGGGCCAAGTGGGAAGCCCAGTGTGCTCTCCGTGCCTCCCTCCCATCCTGGAAGGAGCCTCCTGAGTTTTCAGGGAGGCAGTAGGCAGATGCCACCAGGTGGGCACAGGCCCTGCTGGATGGACTCCATATGGGGCAGGAGTTAGAGGAGCGGTGCTTGGAAGCTAAGACTTGCAGGGATGTCTCCAGAAAGGAGGAGGCTGGAGGCTCTGTTCCACATCACACAGGTCAGAGCCCCTTTGGGCTCTCCTTTTCAAGGCTCTTTTCAAGAGGGCCCCAGAGTGACGGGGGACCCAGGAGAGTGGCTTACCATCCTGGGGAGAGTGGAGATGCTGGGGATGTCCTTCAGAGGGCTCCCCTGGGCAGGAAGTGCAGGTGTGAGAGTTGTCTTCACTGGATGGGCCATCCTTAAAATGAGACAGCCAGGTGGGAGGGGGCCCTGGAAAAACTCCAAGCAGCCTGCACACTGGAGAGAGTGTGCACCGATGTGGAGCCACAGAAGTCTGTGCTGTTTACTCTGCCTGTGTGGAACCTGGGATTTGAACTGCCAGGGGGAAGCACTCCAGCAGGGACTCTGGGCTTCTGGAGAGTCCCTGTTTCCTCCTTTTCTTCCTTTTTACTCAATAAAACCCTGCTTTACTCACCCTTCAAACCATCCGCAAGCCTGAATTTTCATGGCTGTGAGACAGACAAGGACCCTGTCTTTAGCTGAACTAAGGAAAAGTCCAGCAACAAGAAGAGGGCAGGTGTGATCTTGGGGCTTCCATAAGGAGCTACAAGGGGTCAGGCCATGTGGCTAGAGAAGGGTTATGCTCCCAAGAAAGGTCAGTCTCGTGCCTCCTCTGTCCCTGAAGTGGTTAGAGAACATGCATTTGGACCTTCAACTAGGAAAGTCCATGTCCTTCCCGCTCAGGGTGGGGCCCCTAGCAGCCGTAGGAATGCAGACTCTCAGTCCCGCCCCAACCTGCCCTGGGAGCTGCACTTTAACCAGACCCAGGTAATTCACACACAGGCTGAAGCCTGACGGACTTGGGAGAGGGCTTTGGACGGGGCATCACTCAGGGTGGCTCCTTCACTCTGAGTTTTCAGAGATGGGGACGGGAACTCAGTGCTCCCAAACCATTTTTCTTTCCATGAGATGAGGATTCCATGGAGTACACTTTAAGGGATGTGTGCAGTGATTAGTGATTAGTGATTGCAGCCAAATGTAATCAGAACAAGTCCAGCCCTTCACACAACAAGCTGACTGCTTCAGTGATTAAGACCACGGTGTACACCAGCGCCTTAGACCCATGCTTCTGAAATCAGGATACCCGCAGGGCTTTGATAGTTTCATTTATTCTCTGATAGTTTCATTTATTTCTCTGATAGTTTCATTTATTTCTTCAGATATTTCATTTATTTTCTTCAGATATTTCAAACTTCTCTGATAGTTTCATTTATATCTTAGATGAATCAGCCAAATATTAATTATAATTATGTGCCTACTGTGTGCGAGCTCTGGGCTAAGATCTGGAGACCTGTCTAGGAGTTGACTTCTCTGCTCCTCAGGGAGCCTGTGGCTGCTCCCTGCACAGCTCCCTGGTGGTGGCAGCCAGCAGGCCTTCAACCATCACAGCCATCACCTGCATGGCAGAGTCCCCTCCAGGTCAGGCTGAGATTCCCTCTGTGGGACTCTGGCTGAGACAGCTCCCCTGCATGAATTCCCCACTCACTCACTGCTCCTCCCTGGGAGGAATCTCTTAGCAAATCACTTGCTCATGGCTCCCACATCAGTGTCTGCTTCTGGGAAATGTGACCTAAGACAACTGTGTCCGGCAAGACAGAAAATAACAAGTACACACACACACACACACAAATAATGGCATTTAAATGGAGATCTGGAGGGTGATAAGAAGCCAGCCAAGTGAAGGGCAAGAGAAAGAACATTCCAGGCAGAAGGAAGGGCTGCAAGGACTCCCAAGACAGGAAAGCCCATGGAGTGGTTGAGAAGTTGAAAAAGGGGCTGAGACTCAGGGCTGTGAAGCGGGGGAAGGAGAAGGTGGGAGTTGGGGCTGCTGGGAGATCCCCCACAGGGAGTCTGGATTTATTGAGCTGTCGGGTGATCTGCTGCCCAGGGGCATTTTTAAACGGCTAAAGCAAAGCATTAGAGGAAGAGACACAACAATGGACTAATCTGTCCTAGTGGCTTGCTTTCCCCTCTATTTTCTAGAAGAAACAAATTCCATAGCATCTACCACATTGAGAAACACCCAAACATCACCCAGCCTGGGCCAGAAGAACACTACATGCTTTGCTGGGAGAATAGCTGTCTGCTGGGACCTCAAGTTACAGATGCCCCGTCCCCCATCCTGTCCCAGCACCCTCCACCACCAGGCCTCCTTGAAGCACCACTGTTATCTCGGCTGAATGATTCTTGAAGCTGTATTTTACAGTCTCGGCCTCTGTGTGCCATGTCTTATGTAAGGTTATAGGATTCTGAGCTATACATTCCGTTTCTAAAGATACTTCTTGCATTGTAACTGAGGAATGTTCCTTCCTTCACATATTCTTGTTTCAGGGTGGCACAGACTTCCACTATATCCCCGGTGGTTCTCACCTTTCCAAAAATGGGATTTCTAATTACTTGTCCCCTAACATATGGTATCACTGAAGCTGGCTTACTTTTTGCCTACATGGGAATTTGAGGTCCAGTGAAAACTTACTGAAGATTCAGATGAACCGTATCAAGGGGGTGTTTTTTAATGAACACCAGTGAACAATAGCAGGTACCTCATTTTCTGAAGATTTATTCTTTAAGCTGGACAGAGGCTGTTTTCATTAACACAGTCTCGTGTTCTTCCGGGGTCTGGTACATGGGGCACAATGCGGGCTTCATTATCCAGGAGGAAAACATCTTTTCTTCTGGAATCTTCAGCCAGCTCCAAGTTCCAGGACAGCACAGCAGCAGCTTTCCTCTTTCCTCAACTTGTGAATGAGAACACATTCTTCAATACAGATGAGCCCAGGCAAGAATCATTCAGCACACTTTGCACAGTGGGGGCCTCCTTCTCACCTCTTTCTGCTGCTGCTTCTTCCAGATGAATCAGAGTGCCAGCCACGTGTACCATTTGTACCAAGTCCATTAAAGATCGATGAGCTTGTTCTTCATCTGTAAGGACAGACTATCCTCACCCTTCTAATGATTTTAACAGCCACAACATCTCCAACAAATAACGCACCTCTTTTTATTATTTTGGAGATCTACCTTTTAACAGTACAGCACACTGAGAATCACTACAGCCTCATGGCCTGTAACATATTACAGTTTCTTTCTACATATGAGAGCTTGTGATGCACCCCAAACTACCAATGTTTCAGATGTGGGTTCTTCTGTTTTTAGGAAATACTGTGAAATCATTTGCTAGAGAAAAAGGAAGAAAGATATTGGTTGAAATAAAAGCTGGGCTCACCTTTGGATTTTAATGTGCACTCTGCCCCTGTTGTGTAGCATGATTAATACATATCTGAACTGTATTGTAATACAAAGACTGTTTCTCTTTACTCTTTTAAATCAACACACTGTCATCACCAATATATTGAATTCAAATAATGTGTTTCTTCTGTTTAATTTTAATGTTTATCATCACTTTTTTCCTTATAATATTATGATATGATAAGTAGGAGATGCTGTTTTTATCTACATTGGTCAGGTTGAAAGGAATTCTCAAGGCCTTGTTACTGAAATGCTAGGGGTTTGGCCACGGTCCTGCTGCTCGCTGAACAGAAAGTCCATCACTGAGACAATGAGGACTGCCAGGGAGAAGGCTTTAATTGGGTGTTGCAGCCACAGAGATGGGAAGTCAGCCTCAAATCTGTCCCCCCAACCAACTAAAATTCGGGATTTTGCCAGGTGCAATAGTTCATGCCTGTAATCCTAGCACTTGGGGGAGGCCAAGACAGACAGATCACTTGAGTCCAAAAGTGTGAGATCAGCCTGGGTAACACAGACCCTGTCTCTACAAAAAAACAAATACAAAAATTAGCTGGACATGGTGGTGAGCACCTGTAGTCTGAGCTACTCAGGAGGTTGTGGTGGGAAGATTGCTTGAGTCTGGGAGGTCAAGGCTTAACTGAGCCAAGATTGTGCCACTGCACTCCAGCCTGGGTGACAGAGCAAGACCCTATCTCTAAATAAATAAATTTAATTAGGAGTTTATATAACAGGAAAGAAATTTAACCCTGTGTGGGAAAACAAGATTTAGGGAGTGATAAGGATGAGGAGCTGGTCAACACGCAGCATGTGGTCATTTAGGCAATTGTGATGGGTGAGGGGTCCGGTGTCTCATCCTCCAGATCTAGTGATTTGGTGAGTTTCAGTTCCTGGTGCTCTCTGGGAGGGCTGATGGTTGGTTTCCTGAGAAAGGAACTCAGATAAGACAAATCTAACTTTTTCAAGTTTTAAGATTGGGAGGATCGATTTCTGTTTATTCAAAGAAACCATAAATATCAGTTCTATGGGATAATTGGGCCAGTTTCAGCCTCAAGGCTAATCACTGCAGAAATATACTTTAGACACATATTAGAGAGTTACCAAAGTGCTGAAGACAGAGGCAGGTCCATAAAGAGAGATGTTTTAATAAGCCATCGAACACATCTACATTATAGGGCATTCTGAAGGATCCTTTTTATTGGTACTGGATTTTGTTTCAGTGAGTACTACTTGAGACAAGAGGGCCTTCAGTCAAGTTTGGGACAACTTTATTAAACTACAATTTCATTTAGAATCAACATTTTACTACTATTTGTTCAAAACTGAGTGTGGAAGAGGTTCATGAATTATGGGCCTCTTAACTACTCAAACTACATTTGTCACAATTACTTGTGTCAGAAGGTATTTCACTCATAGCTCCATGTAAATACAGAAAAGTTGGATTTCATTATAATAGTTATAGCCTTACAGTAACAAAAGATTACAATTCTTTGACCATTGTTCCCTTTATTAAGGCAGCCACAGATGGAACAGGTCTCTACTCACCCACAATTTTACATAGTGGCATGGAAGCCACATCAAGAGATCTGAAAAGCACAAGTCTGAAAAATTAAAAAGATTTTCTTTTCTCAGCACACACATTTGGATAGATGCCAGCACCCCTTTTCTTATCACATTGTTTCAGAGGAAAATGAAGAATGGTCCCCTTGTATTATTATCTGGGAGATTCTTTCCCTCTCACCAAATGGCTACATTTCACACCCCAATGCCTTTTATTGATGCACATAAGATGAGAATGTCTAAGATAATAGTGTAAAGATATTGATTTTTATTTTTTGAGAAACATGCCTTGAGTGACACATTTAAATGAGTTATTATATTTTTGATATAGAAAATTAAAACATTAGATGCCATACTACTATTCCAATCATGTTCATATTTCACAAAATATTTTTGATTTCATTTTTGAAAATTGTAAGTATTTGGCATGCCCTCAATGGTGGCACATATTTGCTTCATGAAGGAAATTCAATTTCTAGGATGAGCCAGTTATTCATGCTGGTGGCTCTTCACAGAATAAGGTGGTTGCTGCAATTTGGGCAGCACAAAATGAGATGCAACTATAAGGAGGTGAAACTGATTCCTTTGTGTGAGTGATCCACACACAGATCTGGAAGAATCTGGAATAAATGAGATGCAACTATAAGGAGGTGAAACTGATTCCTTTGTGTGAGTGATCCACACACAGATCTGGAAGAATCTGGAATAAATGAGATGCAACTATAAGAAGGTGAAACTGGTTCCTTTGTGTGAGTGATCCACATGCAGATCTGGAAGAATCTGGAATATCTAAATGCATTTCTCTATTTAGGGACTGCTCCAACAGAGAGAAATGAGTAATTTAATTTTCTAATGCCATAAGCAAATAGATATCATATTATTGAAAGATAATTAATTTGATTAACATTCTCAACCTAACCACAAGCCATGTGTGGGCATCAACACATTCTTTGTCCATATTTACTGCATGTTGGGAAATGCACGCCCAGCGCTTAGATAGTATCCTGGCACGGCTTCTGCTAGGGCAGTCAGGAGGCAGGCCGATCTCATGCCCAGGAAACAACTGGACAAAACTGACAAACACAGCCATAGCCAGGCTCTCAAACTGACCAGCAGCCAGCAATATATCAAAATGTGTTATTTATGAAAAATTGCTAAATTCTGAGTAGTAACAGTGGGAGTCTGTGGTGTTCTTGCCCTGGGCTGCTCCAAGCCATCCATCAGCTTGGTCCATGAAGTGCTTCTACTAGAATGGGGTTAGCCATGGAAACCAGGAACTTCACTGCTGGAAGGGGTTGAATTGCTTGAGAGCAGAGGTTGGAAAACCACGCCCAGCTACTGGTGGAGGTGCTTCCAGCTCTCCTAGTCTAAGGCTATAACTCTGGTTGGGTCAAATGGCAAATTGGAGGACAACCAGGAATTTAACGGGGAGCTCCTGGAAATGAGGGAAGCATAGCAGGGCTTGGTAAGCTCTCCTCACATCCTGAGTGGACCTGGTGGCAATGTAAATGCACAGAGGAGGCAGAAGAGAGCCAGACAGGCAGCAGGGGCTGGAGCAGACTTGAAAACTGCCTGAACCTTGAAATGCATTGTCCAAAGCACACACGGAGCTACTGGCAGACAGAGAAACCTTATCTGCTTGAGGTATTTGAGCCCAACCTCTACCCAATAATTAACTGACTGACCTCTAAGCTATGCAGACCCAGAAGTGAATCCCAGGAGGTCAGGCTTAGCAATAAAAAAAGAGTTAAAAAAAAAAAGACAAAGCTGAGGAGACATCAGTGGCTGAATACTACAGAGGAGAAAGATTCTGCACATTTAGTCCAGATAAGTCACTAAAGAAACTAAAACAAGACACCCAAAACAACACTTTTTTTTTTTTGTTTTTTAGAAACACCAAGTAACAATCATAACCTTAGGGGTAAAAATCAGAATCCTGTATTGCTATGCTATATCATTCAAGTTGTCTAGTTTAGTTTTCAACCACAACAAAAAATACTAGCCAGGTATAGAAACAGGAAAGCATGACCCATACCTAGTTTAAAAAAAAAAAAAAAAAAAAAGTAGTCAACAGAAACTGTCTCGGGGGCAGGGCAGGGGCACAGTTGTTGGATTCAGTAAAAAAAAGACTTCAATGCAACAGTGACAAATATGTTCACAGACTAAAGAAAACCGTATTTAATAATAAAAGGAAAACATGATGACAATGACTCAATGTAAGAAAAGGCATAGAACCCATAAGAAGTAACTGGATGGAAATGAACATACAATATGAAATGAAAATTCACAAGAGGGGCTCAACAGCAGATTTGTTATGACAGAGGGAACTACACATTTGAAAGATCAATTATCCAAGCTGAAGAACAGAAAGAAAAATGTTAAAGGAAAAGGAACAGAACCTCAAATATCTGTGGAGGAATATTGAGCATAACAATGTATTTGCTATGGGATTTTGAAAAGGAGAGGAGAGTCCAGCCTGGCCAACATAGTGGAACCCTGTCTCTACTAAAAAAATACAAAAATTAGCCGTGCATGGTGGCATGTGCCTGTAATCCCAGCTACTCAGGAGGCTGAGGCAGTAGAATTACTGGAACCCGGGAGGCAGAAGTTGCAGTGAGCTGAGATCGCGCCACTGCACTCCAGCCTGGGTGACAGAGTGAGACTGCAAAAAAAAAAAAAAAAAAAAAAAAAAAAGGAGAGGAGAGAAATGTTAAAAAAAAAAAAAAAAGTCAAAGAAATAATGGCCAAAACCTTCCCAAATATGAAGAAGAAAAAAGTTATAGATTCAAGCTTAGTGAACCTCAAATAGGAAAAGACCAACACCAAGACATGGCAATTACATTATTGAAAAACAGAGAAAACTTTGAAAGCAAGAGAAAAAAACCACAAAAGACTTGTCCCGAACAGGAAATATCAGGACAACTGATGTCTTATTTATATGAAACAATGGAGGCTGGAAGGCAACAGAGTGACATGTTACAAGTGAAAAAAACTTCCAAACGAGAATTCGATATCCAACAAAACAACCTCTCCAAAAATGAGAGCAAAAGAATGACATTCCCAGGTAAATAAAGGCTGAATGAATTTGTTCCTAGCAGACCTGTCTTACAAGAAACAGTGAAAGAAGCCTTCAGGCTGGAAGTAGATGATGCAGATGGCAATTTGAATTCACAGGAAAAGACGGAGAGCCCTGGGAACAGTAAATATGAGTGAGGGTAACTATATAATACTGTATAAATACATTTTTATTCTCCTGTGATCCTGTGTCGTTTGTTTGTTTAAGGCTTATAGATCTTTTTTCCTTTTTATTTGTACACATTTATGGAGTACATGTGCACTTTTATGACATGCATAAATTGCATAGTGGTCAGGTCATGGCTTTTTAGAATATCCATCACCCAAATTACATACCTTGTACCCCATTAACCAATTTATCATCATCCTCCCTGCTCCCACTCTCTCACCCTTCTGAGTTTCCACCCACTTAGGAGGTGAACATGTGATGTTTGTCTTCCTGTGCCTGGCTTGTTTCATTCAAGATAACAGCCTCCAGTTCCATCCATGTTGCTGCAACTGACATAATTTCATTCTTTTTTAGGGATGAAGAGTATTCCATTGTGTATATATATATATACCACATTTTTAAAAAATCCAATTATCCATTAATAGACACTTAGGTTGATTCCCTATCTTTGCTATTGTGAATAGTGCTGCAATAAACATATGAGAGCAGGTATCTTTTTGATATATTGATTTCTGATATTGCTCGATCAAATGGTAGTTCTATTTCTAGTTCTTTGAGAAACCTCCAAACTGTTTTTCCTTGTTATAATTTTTAAAAGACATAATTGTATAAATCAACTGTTGTAACACTACTGTTGGATTTATAACATGCCTGTGAAATACATACATGACAGTATGAGCAAAAAATGGGGACAATTGGGCTGTACTGGAGTGCGGTTTCTATATTTTACTGGAATGAAGTTAGCACTAACTTGAAGTAACTTGGATAAATTAAGATGCTTATTGTAATTTGCAGAGACAATACTAAGAAAATAACAATACAGTTAAAATATCAACAGAGAAACTAAAATGGTACGCTAAACATATTTACTTAACATACAAAAACAGAAGTAAGAAGAAGTAGAGAAACAATAATAACTACTAAACCAGGATACATGCAGAAAACAAAAATCAAAATGGCAGACATTATTCCAATCATCGAAATTATGGTTAATGCCAATGGACTAAATACTCCAATCAAAAGACAGAGATTGTAAGGCTAAATTTCGAAAATGTGATTCAGGTATGTCCCTTCTATTTACAAAAATCAATTGTAAGTAAAAGGATAGGAAAAGATACATCACACAAACAATAATAATTAAGAAAGAGTGGCTATGTTAATATCAGACAAGACAGACTTTAAGACAGAAAATATTATTAGACACAAAGAGGGACATGAAACTGAACCAATAGTCCAGTAGACAATTTTTTTTGGATAAATAGAGAAATTGACACTTCTGGTCTTAAAGATTGAAACTTAAAATTGTTTTATCTGAGTTCCTTCCTCAGAAAAGTACCCCCAGGCCTTTCAAAAAGTAGTGAAGAACCGAAACTCACCAAATCACTGCATCCAGACTATGAGACACCAAGCCCCTCATTCATCACGATTGCTTCCTTGTCCCTCCAGAGTTCCTGTTTTCCTATACATTGTTACACTTCTTCCCTGCTATATAAACCCCTAACTTTAGTCTGCAGGGAGACGGATTTGAGACTGAGCTCCCATCTCCTCGGCTGCAGCACCTGATTAAAGCCCTCTTCCGGCGAGGCAGCCAAGATGGCCGAATAGGAACAGCTCCGGTCTACAGCTCCTAGCATGAGCGACGCAGAAGACGGGTGATTTCTGCATTTCCATCTGAGCTTTGAAGAGAGCAGTGGTTCTCCCAGCATGCGGCTGGAGATCTGAGAACGGGCAGACTGACTCCTCAAGTGGGTCCCTGACCCCTGACCCCCGAGCAGCCTAACTGGGAGGCACCCCCCAGTACGGGCAGACTGACACCTCACATGGCCGGGTACTCCTCTGAGACAAAACTTCCAGAGGAACGATCAGACAGCAGCATTCGAGGTTCACGAAAATCCACTGTTCTGCAGCCACCGCTGCTGATACCCAGGCAAACAGGGTCTGGAGTGGACCTCTAGCAAACTCCAACAGACCTGCAGCTGAGGGTCCTGTCTGTTAGAAGGAAAACTAACAAACAGAAAGGACATCCACACCAAAAACCCATCTGTACATCACCATCATCAAAGACCAAAAGTAGATAAAACCACAAAGATGGGAAAAAAACAGAGCAGAAAGACTGGAAACTCTAAAAAGCAGAGCGCCTCTCCTCCTCCAAAGGAACGCAGTTCCTCACCAGCAACGGAACAAAGCTGGACGGAGAATGACTTTGACGAGTCGAGAGAAGAAGGCTTCAGATGATCAAACCACTCCGAGCTACAGGAGGAAATTCAAATCAAAGGCAAAGAAGTTAAAACTTTGAAAAAAATTTAGACGAATGGATACCTAGAATAACCAATGCAGAGAAGTCCTTAAAGGAGCTGATGGAGCTGAAAGCCAAGGCTCGAGAACTACATGAAGAATGCAGAAGCCTCAGGAGCTGATGCGATCAAGTGGAAGAAAGGGTATCAGTGATGGAAGATGAAATGAATGAAATGAAGTGAGAAGGGAAGTTTAGAGAAAAAAGAATAAAAAGAAATGAACAACACCTCCAAGAAATATGGGACTATGTGAAAAGACCAAATCTACATCGGATTGGTGTACCTGAAAGTGACGGGGAGAATGGAACCAAGTTGGAAAACACTCTGCAGGATATTATCCAGGAGAACTTCCCCAATCTAGCAAGGCAGGCCAACATTCAGATTCAGGAAATACAGAGAATGCCATGAAGATACTCCTTGAGAAGAGCAACTCCAAGACACATAATTGTCAGATTCACCAAAGTTGAAATGAAGGAAAAAATGTTAAGGGCAGCTAGAGAGAAACGTCGGGTTACCCACAAAGGGAAGCCCATCAGACTAACAGTGGATCTCTTGGCAGAAACTCTACAAGCCAGAAGACAGCGGGGGCCAATTGTCAACATTCTTAAAGAAAAGAATTTTCAACCCAGAAATTCATATCCCGCCAAACTAAGCTTCATAAGTGAAGGAGAAATAAAATACTTTACAGACAAGCAAATGCTGAGAGATTTTGTCACCACAAGGCCTGCCCTAAAAGAGCTCCTGAAGGAAGCACTAAACATGGAAAGGAACAATCGGTACCAGCCCCTGCAAAATCATGCCAAATTGTAAAGACCATCGAGGCTAGGAAGAAACTGCATCAACTAACGAGCAAAATAACCAGCTAACATCATAATGACAGGATCAATTTCACACAAAACAATATCAACTTTAAATGTAAATGGACTAAATGCTCCAATTAAAAGACACAGACTGGCAAATTGGATAAAGAGTCAAGACCCATCAGTGTGCTGTATTCAGGAAACCCATCTCACGTGCAGAGACACAAGTAGGCTCAAAATAAAAGGATGGAGGAAGATCTACCAAGCAAATGGAAAACAAAAAAAGGCAGGGGTTGCAATCCTACTCTCTGATAAAACAGACTTTAAACCAACAAAGATCAAAAGAGACAAAGAAGGCCATTACGTAACGGTAAAGGGATCAATTCAACAAGAAGAGCTAACTATCCTAAATATATATGCACCCAATAGAGGAGCACCCAGATTCATAAAGCAAGTCCTGAGTGACCTACAAAGAGACTTAGACTCCCACACAATAATAATGGGAGACTTTAACACCCCACTGTCAACATTAGACAGATCAACGAGACAGAAATTTAACAAGGATACCCAGGAATTGAACTCAGCTCTGCACCAAGTGGACCTAATAGGCATCTACAGAACTCTCCACCCCAAATCAACAGAATATACATTTTTTTCAGCACCACACCACACCTATTCCAAAATTGACCACATACTTGGAAGTAAAGCTCTCCTCAGCAAATGTAAAAGAACAGAAATTATAATAAACTATCTCTCAGACCACAGTGCAATCAAACTAGAACTCAGGATTAAGAAACTCACTCAAAACAGCTCAACTACATGGAAACTGAACAACCTGCTCCTGAATGACTACTGCGTACATAATGAAATGAAGGCAGAAATAAAGATGTTCTTTGAAACCAACGAGAACAAAGACACAACATACCAGAGTCTCTGGGACACATTCAAAGCACTGTGTAGAGGGAAATTTATAGCATTAAATGCCCACAAGAGAAAGCAGGAAAGATCCAAAATTGACACCCTAACGTCACAATTAAAAGAACTAGAAAAGCAAGAGCAAACACATTCAAAAGCTAGCAGAAGGCAAGAAATAACTAAAATCAGAGCAGAACTGAAGGAAATAGAGACACAAAAAACCCTTCAAAAAATTAATGAATCCAGAGCTGGTTTTTTTGAAAGGATCAACAAAATTGATAGACTGCTAGCAAGACTAATAAGGAAGAAAAGAGAGAAGAATCAAATAGATGCAATAAAAAATGATAAAGGGGATATCACCACCAATCCCACAGAAATACAAACTACCATCAGAGAATACTACAAACACCTCTACACAAATAAACTAGAAAATCTAGAAGAAATGGATAAATTCCTTGACACATACACCCTCCCAAGACTAAACCAGGAAGAAGCTGAATCTCTGAATAGACCAATAACAGGATCTGAAATTGTGGCAATAATCAATAGCTTACCAACCAAAAAGAGTCCAGGACCAGATGGATTCACAGCCGAATTCTACCAGAGGTACAAGGAGGAACTGGTACTATTCCTTCTGAAACTATTCCAATCAATAGAAAAAGAGGGAATCCTCCCTAACTCATTTTAAGAGGCCAGCATCATCCTGATACCAAAGCCGGGCAGAGACACAACCAAAAAAGAGAATTTTAGACCAATATCCTTGATGAACATTGATGCAAAAATCCTCAATAAAATACTGGCAAACCGAATCCAGCAGCACATCAAAAAGCTTATCCACCATGATCAAGTGGGCTTCATCCCTGGGATGCAAGGCTGGTTCAATACACGCAAATGAATAAATGTAACCCAGCATATAAACAGAACCAAAGACAAAAACCACATGATTATCTCAATAGATGCAGAAAAGGCCTTTGACAAAATTCAACAACCTTCATGCTAAAAACACTCAATAAATTAGGTATTGATGGGACATATCTCAAAATAATAAGAGCAATCTATGTCCAACCCACAGCCAATATCATACTGAATGGGCAAAAACTGGAAGCATTCCCTTTGAAAACTGGCACAAGACAGTGATGCCTCTCTCATCACTCCTATTCAACATAGTGTTGGAAGTACTGGCCAGGGCAATTAGGCAGGAGAAGGAAATAAGGGGTATTCAATTAGGAAAAGAGGAAGTCAAATTGTCCCTGTTTGCAGATGACATGATTGTATATCTAGAAAACCCCATTGTCTCAGCCCAAAATCTCCTTAAGCTGATAAGCAACTTCAGCAAAGTCTCAGGATACAAAATCAATGTACAAAAATCACAAGCATTCTTATACACCAATAAAAGACAAACAGCAAAATCATGAGTGAACTCCCATTCACAATTGCTTCAAAGAGAATAAAATACTTAGGAATCCAACTTACAAGGCATGTGAAGGACCTCTTCAAGGAGAACTACAAACCACTGTTCAATGAAATAAAAGAGGATACAAACAAATGGAAGAACATTCCATGCTCATGGGTAGGAAGAAACAATATCGTGAAAATGGCCATACTGCCCAAGGTAATTTATAGATTCAATGGCATCTCCATCAAGCTACCAATGACTTTCTTCACAGAATTGGAAAAAAACTACTTTAAAGTTCATATGAACCAAAAAAGAGCCCGCATTGCCAAGTCAATCCTAAGCCAAAGAACAAAGCTGGAGGCATCACACTACCTGACTTCAAACTATACTACAAGGCTACAGTAACCAAAACAGCATGGTCCTGGTACCAAATCAGAGATATAGATGAATGGAACAGAACAGAGCCCTCAGAAATAATGCCACATATCTACAACTATCTGATCTTTGACAAACCTGAGAAAAACAAGCAATGGGGAAGGATTTCCTATTTAATAACTGGTGCTGGGAAAACTGGCTAGCCATATGTAGAAAGCTGAAACTGGATCCCTTCCTTACACCTTATACAAAAATTAATTCAAGATGGATTAAGGACTTACATGTTAGACCTAAAACCATAAAAACCCTAGAAGAAAACCTAGGCATTACCATTCAGGACACAGGCATGGGCAAGGACTTCATGTCTAAAACACCAAAAGCAATGGCAACAAAATCCAAAATTGACAAATGGGATCTCATTAAACTAAAGAGCTTCTGCACAGCAAAAGAAACTACCATCAGAGTGAACAGGCAACCTACAAAATGGGAGAAAATTTTCGCAACCTGCTCATCTGACAAAGGGCTAATATCCAGAATCTACAATGAACTCAAACAAATTTACAAGAAAAAAACAAACAACCCCATCAAAAAGTGGGCGAAGGACATGAACAGACACTTCTCAAAAGAAGACATTTATGCAGCCAAAAAACACATGAAAAAATGCTCACCATCACTGGCCATCAGAGAAATGCAAATCAAAACCACAATGAGATACCATCTCACACCAGTTAGAATGGCAATCATTAAAAAGTCAGGAAACAATAGGTGCTGGAGAGGATGTGGAGAAATAGGAACACTTTTACACTGTTGGTGGGACTGTAAACTAGTTCAACCATTGTGGATTTCAGTGTGGCGATTCCTCAGGGATCTAGAACTAGAAATACCATTTGACCCAGCCATCCCATTACCGGGTATATACCCAAAGGATTATAAGTCATGCTGCTATAAAGACACATGCATATGTATGTTTATTGCAGCACTATTCACAATAGCAAAGACTTGGAACCAACCCAAATGTCCAACAATGATAGACTGGATTAAGAAAATGTGGCACATATACACCATGCAATACTATGCAGCCATAAAAAATGATGAGTTCATGTCCTTTGTAGGGACATGGATGAAATTGGAAATCATCATTCTCAGTAAACTATTGCAAGGACAAAAAAAAACAAACATCTCATGTTCTCACTCATAGGTGGGAATTGAACAATGAGAACACATGGACACAGGAAGGGGAACATCACACTCTGGGGACTGTTGTGGGGTGAGGGGATGGGGGAGGGATAGCATTAGGTGATATACCTAATGCTAAATGACGAGTTAATGGGTGCAGCACACCAGCATGGCACATGTATACATATGTAACTAACCTGCACATTGTGCACATGTACCCTAAAACTTAAAGTATAATAATAATTTTTTAAAAAAGCCCTCTTCCTTGGCAATAATCGTCTCAGTGATTGGCTTTCTGTGTGTGGAGCAGCAGGTTCTAGATGGAACCCCTGGTGTTTCAGTGACAGAAGCTTTATAATAAAATGGCCAACAGTTCAGCAAGATATAACAATTATAAATGTACACACTCTTAACAACGGAGCCCCAAAACACATGAAGTAAACACTGACAAAATAAAAGAAAGAAATAGACAATTCCCTAAAAGTAAATATTTCTGATACTCCACTCCTAATTGTGACAACTAGGCAGACAAACAGAAAGAACAGGAGACACGAACAGGAATTAACTCACACGACCTTGCGAATCTGTATAAAACACTTTGCAGGACAGAACACTCATTCTTTCCTTGTTCACATGGCATATTCCCCAGAACATATCAGACACTAAGCCACATATCAAGTCTCAATCAATTTAAAAGAGAAATTATACAAACTATGTCCTTCAACCTTAATGAGATTTAATTAAGAATAAATAATAGGAAACAACAAAATCCCTGAATATTTGGAAATTAAACAACACATTAATAAATAACTCATTAGAAAAATAAAAAATCACAATGGCTACAGAAGTATTTTCAACTATATAAAAATTAAAACACAACAAATCAAAATTTACAGGACACAGTTAAAACAGTGTTTGAAAGAAAGTGATAGCCTTGAATATACATTATAAGAAGAAACAAATGTCAAATAAGTAATCCCAGCTCACGCCTAAAAAAAAAAATAGGTAAAAAAGAACAAATTTAAGCCAAAGGAAACAGAGGGCAGGATGTCATAAATATCTGAGTAAAAAATTAATAAAATGGAAAACTAAATAACGAGAGAAAAATCAATGGAACCAGAAGTCAGCTATTTGAAAAGATCCAAAAAATGATCAATTTCTATCTAGACTGACCAAGAAAGAAATAGAGAAACTTAAATTACTAAAATGAGGCATGAAAGAGTAAATATTACCAACCATACAGAAAGTAAAAGGATTTAAATGGAATATGATGAACAACTTCATGCCAACAAATTAGGTGTCACAATACTAAAACTGGGACAAGAATAAAGGACGATCTTCAGATTTTCTTTAAAACAAGAGACTTAAACTAGTAAAGTAATAGAATCAGTTCAGTAATTGAAAATCTTCCCACAAAGAAAAGGCCAGGCCCAAATGCCTTCACTGGTGAGTTCTAACAAACAAAAAGAAATCATACCAATACTAAACAGAGTCTTTCAGAAAATAAAGAGAGAAATAATTCCCAACTTATTCTATGCAGCCAATATTACCTTCATACTAGAGCCCAGAAAAGATGGCACAAGAAGAGAAAACTGCAGATCAACATCCCTCATGAATATAGGCACAGAAATCCTTATCCAAGGATTAGAAAAGATCCAGTGACACTTAAAGAGGATTATAAACCACGACAAAGTGGGATTTACCCCCAAATGCAAGGATGGTCTGTTATCTGCAAAGCAGTTAATGTAGGCTGGGCGCAGTGGCTCACACCTGTAATCCCAGCACTTTGGGAGGCCGAGGCGGGCAGATCACGAGGTCAGGAGATCGAGACCATCCTGGCTAACACAGTGAAACCCCGTATCTACTAAAAATACAAAAAAAATTAGCCGGGCATGGTGGCGGGCGCCTGTAGTCCCAGCTACTCGGGAGGCTGAGGCAGGAGAATGGTGTGAACCCGGGAGGCAGAGCTTGCAGTGAGCCAAGATCGCGCCACTGCACTCCAGCCTGGGCGACAGAGAGAGACTCCGTCTCAAAAAAAAAAAAAAGCAGTTAACGTAATATACCACATGATTAAAGGATGAAAAAATAAAGGACAACAAAGAAACACCACACATGATTACCTAAGTAGTACCTGACGAATTGAACACCCATATGCAACTCCCTAGAAAAACCACAAATAGAACTACCATACAATCCAGCAACCCCACTACTTGGCATTTATCCAAAGGAAACGAAATCAGTATATTAGAGAGACATCTACACCATGCGTTTGTTGCAGTGCTATTCGCAATATCCAAGATATGGGATTAACCTAGGTCTCCAACAACAAACAGATAAATGGATAAAGAAAATGGGGTAGTTGTACACTGATAGGACAGGAATCAGGGAAATACTGGGTAGAAGAGGGCAGTTTCCTGGCAAAGCCCCATCCTCAAGCCTGGATATCTGTGGCCCTAAGTGAGAAAAGGCATTCCTGTTTTTGTACCCAAAAAGTTGTATTTTGGCCCGCATGCCTACACCCATATAAACCCTGAAACCCAGGACCCAGAAGCAGACTAGCAAGCCAGAAGACCAGCAAATAGACAGATGGCAGAACAACATGGCAGAGAAAGGGAGAAGAGGAGGAACATCTGAATGCCGAGAGGAGTTTGGTTGGGGATGGTCAGAGAGGAGTCCAGCCACTGGGTGGCCCAAGTCCAGGGGAGGATCACCTTCCCACTCCAGTATCCTTCCCGGCTCCACATCCATCCCACTGAAAACCACCTCTACCACTCAAAAAAACTTCACATTCATCCTTCAAGCCCGTATGTGACCTGATTTTTCCAGGATGCTGGGCAACAGCTCTGGATCCAGCCCTCTGTCCTTGCGAAAAGGCAAAGGGCCCATTGAGCCTGTTAGTATTCAAGCCGTCTGTGGACAGCAAAGCTGAAAGAGCTTTGTAACAGTGGGGTTGCAGTCACCCACCCCTAGACACTACTGCAAGGCCAGAGCATAAAGCACTCGCCCCAGCCTCTGCACCTGCCCTTCTGCATGCTCCAGTCCTGCAAGGGGTTTGAGCAGCAACAGAACAGGTGAACCACACCCACCCCACGTCCTGCAAGGGGAATCAGGGAACTCTCCCATTTCAACACCACAGGATACTATTCAGCCATAAAAAAATAATGAAATTATGTCATTTGCAGCAAATATGGATGAAACTGGAGGACATTATGTTAAATGAAATAAGTCAGGAGGGAAAGTTAAGCATTGCATGTTCCACTCGTGGAAGCTAAAAGGAGTTAATTTTATAGAAGTAAAAGTAGAAGGAAGAATAGTAGAGAGTGGGCAGAGTAGGAGGAAGGGAGAGATAGGAAGAGATGTATTAAAACATACAAAATTACAGCTAGATATGAATAACTTCCAGTGTTCTACAGCACTGTAGCATGAAAACAGTTGAAAAATAATATATTATGCAGTTTCAAATAGCTAAGAGGAGGTTATTGAATGCTCCCAACACAAAGCAATGATCAAAGTTTGAGATAATGAATATGCTAATTACCCTGATCTGATCACCATATGTTACATGTATCAAAACATCACTATATACCCCATGAATATGAATATCCCATTTATTTGTCTATTAAAAAATAAAATTAAATAAAAAATAAAATAAAAAACCTCTTCAACAAAGTAGTGACAAAGGGAACTTCCTATACCTGATTATGAGTGTCTACAAAGAACTACAAAAACATCACCTTTCATCATGAAAGCTAAAAGCTCCCCCTAAGATCAGGAGCAAGGCAAGGATGTTCGTTCACTCACACTAAACAATGTATTTGAGGTTCTGGCCAGTGCTATGAGGTAAACAAACAAATGAGCAAAACAAAACCCCCAAATTTCCTTCCACCCAAATCAGCAGCACCTCAAATCTCTCTGGAGATACTAAAAATAATTTTCAAAATGCTGTTTATTATTTTCTGAACTCTTTCTCTTTCCTCTGGGTCAACTGTTCTATTTGTTGTTGTTCTGTCTCATTCATGCTTTTGGGTTTTCTTCACATGTGTGTTGAGTCCTCGCCCCTCTTTCCATACTTATGACTGAGGTATATGTAAAGTGCTCTATTGCAGTTATAGAATTCTGTGTCCTCCAACAGCTTTCAAGTTTTTACATGGGAAGACAGACTGGAAGGCCTTGGAAAGCTTGGCGGAGAGTTCACAGAAGTGAAGTCCTGGTGCCGTCTCTTCCTGCTTTGTCCTTGGACTCTGGCATAATGCTGAAACAGAAGTTTACTGGAACACATTTTTCCCCCTAATGTAGAAAGAACAGCATCATCATGAGGAGACAGAGTCTAAAGTCAGGAGATCTGTCTCAGATCCAAGGGCTGACAGCAGAGCCACGTGTGTGATCTTGGAAACACCCCAAGTTTCTGTCTCTCCACGTGTAGGATGAGGACAGCACCATGACCCATCCCCAAGCGCTTCGAGGATTCGATGGCCAAGTGCACTTGGAGGGCGTGGCAGAAAAGGTGCTCCATCGATGAGCGTTCCCTTCCCCCTTCTTCCTTCAGTGAAGAAAAGGCTCAGCCCCCATGGGCACCGCTTCTAGGTGGTGACCGTCATGTACTTCAGGTCTGAGAGGTTTTGCATTGCCACAGGTAAGTGCCATTCAACATCTGGTCACCATCTCTAAGGGCAGGAGGGTGGTCAGGCCTCTGCACCTGGACTCCATCCACTTCATTTCATGGCTGTAAACTCAAATTGTATATTTTGTAGACCTACTTCATTACTTGTCCCTGAAGTCTCTCTGAGTTTATTTGTGTGAAAGGAGAAGTGGCTTCCCACTGCTGGTATTCCCAGAGACAGCAGTTTTTAGCTACTGGCTGGGAAGTGGATGAAGCAGTGTTCACATACCTGGGAAGAGGCCTGGGCTGTCGGACATCAGGCCCAATTATCACTACCCAGGATGCCCTGAGGGCACCCCCACAGGATGCCTGTCTTGTCACCCTGAGCGCAGTGGCACTAGATAATGAGCGGCATGGCACCTCTGCACTCCCGCAAAGCCCCAGAGGTCCCCTACATCTACCTGTCTAATGTCAAGCCATGCTCTACTTGGCGACTTAAGGTGGAGCAGGACAGATCATAAACACTTGCCGAATAGTTGAGAACCTCCCATAAATATTCTCAAAGTTAGCCATAGAACCTGTTCTTGTTACTACCACAACCTCGAAGGCAAACTGAACGCTCCACATGCCCTTGCAAACATATGTCAGACAGGCCGACCTCTTCGGACCTGGAGAGGCTCCTTCATAAATGCCAGGGATGCACCTGTCTTGGGAAAGTGATTGGGGAAAACACAGCCAGCCACCCAGTGCCCAGGAGCTCCAGCAAGGGAGCCCCGCTCAGAACCAGGGAAACGAGGGGCCCTGCTCTGAACCAGGGCAATGAGGGGGCCCTGCTCTGACCCAGGACAATGAGAAGGCCCCACTCTGAACCAGGGCAATGGGAGGGGCCCTGAACAAGGGCAATGAGGTGGCCCCCTCTGAACAAGGGCAATGAGGGGGCCCCATTCTGAACCAGGGCAATGGCTTTTTGAAAACGGCATTATTTGGGAAACAGTATCCATTTGCTATAAACCAAGTGAAGCTATACAATACTCAAAGAAGTTAAAAATCACATTTTTTTTTCTTTTTTGGCTGAGTAGAACTGCCTTCTGGAAAGAGCTCAGATCAGTATTCACTGTTCTTTTGTTTCAGTAGTTGTCATTCTGTTCAGTTAGACCATCTGAAAAAAAAAATGATGCCAAAAGTCTATGGTTTTTGGCTCTGTGGTTGCAGTACTGGCACCCAATTTGTTATCACTTCCCTATATTGTGACCCTAAGCAGTCTCTCCCACACTGACTGAGCTTGGCTGTGGGACCTGCTCTGGTCAATGAGATAGTAACATGCAGGACACAGGCAAAGACTTGACAAGCCCTCACAAAGTGGGCCCCACCTCTCTGGCTGCCGCAAAATGAAGCCTGGGACAGGATGGGTGACAGCTGGGTGATGCAGTTACCTCTGTCACTGCAGCCAACAGCCCACCAGAGGCTGGCTTCCCAGCCTATCACAGCTAGCTATGGACAAGTGAGTGAGCCCAGGTGAGACCAGCAGAACAATCACCCAGCTGAGCCCAGCTCAATTGCCGACCCTCAGAAATCATAAGCTGAAGAAAGAGTTGTTAAGGCACTGTGTTTTGGGGGTGATTTGTTATGCAGCAAATGCTAACCAATACATGACCCTTTATTATTTAATGGAATGGAGAAAACAGTAAACCAAAGAACAGCTACTGCATGTTCAATGACACTTCTAACCAGTCATTAGTATTTTGTTAATTACCGAAGAAGGGAATGAAAAGCACCATAGCTATACTGTAAGAATGTTTCTGAGAAAATCTTTGTTTTCAGAGAAAAAGGACGAAGTTAACCACCGTGGTGAGGCTCTGAAATCCTCCTTGGCATCCTGAGCCGCATGTAGAAGCAGCAGCAGCCATAATGTGTCTCCATTCCTTCTGCTCAGAGCCTGTGGAAGGGGCCATTTCTTGGTCCAGGTGAGCTCCTTGGAAGCCGACCAGAAAGTCTCACTAAAGTGCCTAAGTAAACAACTTGCTGTTTCATCGATGTTACTTTAGTATAAATGCCAACATGCTCCATCTTACGTTATATTCAAAAGTCACTAGAAATATTAATACAGAGTAGGCACCGTTATTATGACTAAAGATTCTTATTGCTGTATTATTAAAAGAATTGTTTCTGGTGGGCTTCCACTTCTGCTGCTAGATCAGAGAAGCAGGACTGGGTGGGAAAGGTTACCTCCCCAGAAGTCTATACTACTTGTCAGAGCCTTGGACCTACTAAGACAGACAAGTCTGTGTCTGCCCCCACCCATTCCTAGCTTTTATTTAAGCTCCCCTCAAGCCTCCTCTTACTCATCCTCAAGACTCAGCCGGGGGAGGGCTCCTGCCTGTGTGATGACTTCTGAACCCCGCATTGAGCTCAGGGCCCCAGACCCTCTTCAGAGCTGATGGGGTATTCCATTCCCATAACTCCTGGGGCTGCATTTTCGTGCATCTGCCTCTCTAATTCCACTCCATGCGAGTCGGGCAGCATTTACGCTTTGCTGTCAGCAAAGCCCTCAGATCTTGGAAAACTTAGTAGACAGGGCAGAGGCTTCTGAACAGAAGCCAAGCATGCTCCCAACTTTCCACAGCTGCAGCGTGAGTGCCCTCCCTTCACAGGTGTCACCAGAGGGCATTGGGGCCTGCGCAGATGCCCAGGCATCACGTCTTGGTCCTCTTCCATGCCACGACTCTCCACTCCCTGCCAGTGGGCTTCCCGGGCTCCACCGGCTGGAGTTGCACCAAAGTTTCCCTCTCCATTTCTAATCCTCCCTCCTGACTAACGCTGGATCTCTCAGCTCCTGGTTCTCAATGGGGTCTCTCCAATCCTGATCCTCTGGTCTCCTTGGCCTGTCATTCCCTTGCAATTTCTCCGGCCTTTCTATCAAGTGTGGGGTCCCATGGTTGTGGGTCTGATTCTGCTCCAAACTTCCTCCCTATTGCTTTCTCCTGCCTCCTCCACCTTCCAGGCAGAGTGCACCTTGCCAAGGGAGCCTCACCTGCTAAAGATGGTCCCACATGGCTGCAGAAAGTCACAGAGCCCTGGGTCTGACCAGATCTTCACACAAACTCATACTGCAGCTGGGCAGTTTCTCCAGGAGTCTTTTCTAGAATGGGCACTTCCCCCAGTTCATTGCTCTAGACTGTCTGCAATCTCCTCACACCCCAGGAGCTTCTCTGGCTGTGCTGATGCTCAGCCAACACGAACCCCTCCTTTTCTTCCTCTTCAACCCAGAGCCCTTCAAACTTTCCCTTACCCCACCCTTCTCTTCTCTCCCAGGCCAGCATGTGGACTTCTTCTGAGAGGCCAGCTCTCACACATACATGCTTGGAGTTCAGCTCCTGCCTCCCCAAGACCACTCCCCAGCTGCTGGCCACGATCCTGAATTTTCCATTCTGAACATTTCCTCTCCACCTACAAAAATGTTCTCGCCTACCTTAGTGAAAAACAGACATCCCTTCCCCTTTTGGCCACACACTGCCTCTGAAGGTTGGACCTGCTCGGCGGTTTCCTTCCCCACCAAACTGACGGAAAGCCTGGCACGTGTTTCCCTGACATCGCGTCCTGGGAAAACACCCCTGGCCTCACTGCAGTGGAATGACTTGGGAGGCATGGGCAGCAAACCGCTAGTCCATGGCCTGCAGCAGCTGCTCTCACCCTCTCACCGGTGCTGTCCTGGGGGGACAATGTGCCACACACTCAGCAACCACTGTGCCTACCACACTATATCCAACGTGCAGTGTGTACATCTCTGTGCATGTAATTCAAATGCTGTCACCTGCCCTCCAGTCCATTAAAGAAGCGAGTCATCTAAGAAGTCAACTTATCTTCCCTTCAGGCTATCAGTACCTACACTTTCTTCCAGCACGGTTCAGCTCTATCAACAATCTCTCAGTAGTAACTGTGGAATGCAAAGTCAAGGAACCACAGGTGACAGTAGAAGCACCTCCCAAAGTGTCCCCTGTCAAGTATATTTCCAGCCTCATGTGGCTCTAGGATCAGGTGTCCCTCTCTCATCTTGTCAATGACCTCTCTGTCTCATGGGATGCGGGAGAGCAGGGAAAACCGATGAACCCACCAGCACTGCCATCTGCAGCCATTACCTGGGGTCATCTCATACCAGAATCACCGGTGAAGCGCCCCTGGGTTTCTGTTAATCTAAGTCTTTCCTCTCCTTCTATCTTCCATAAGCACTCAAGAGTGAAGGGCACCAAGACTGCCTTTGGTTTCTGCATTTTTGCACACTAGTTTCATTCCCTAACTTTTGCCAGGCATTCATGGCTCCTGCCCTCCCTAGAATCCCCATCACACATTCTTAGAGGGCCTCTGACAAACACATCCTGTGACCTCCAGCTCCTGGAACTCCTCCTCCTCCTCCACATCGTAGGACAGGGTGTGGATTTTTATGTCATCAGCTGAGAGGTCAATGAACTTCCCATCCGGGTACTCGAGGCTGTCTTTGGTGGGCGACCGGTCCTCGATGAAGGTGGTCTCGCAGCAGTCGGCGGCCACACCGTCCCCCCAGGAGCGCAGCACGCCCTCTGAATAGAGGATGATGTTGGGCCGGTAGCGGGACTCCACTGACTGCTGCAGGGTGTTGGGGTCCAGCAGCTGCTGCATCGGCTCACTCCTGCTGCTGTCCAGGCTGGCCGGCACTGTGCTGGCCCCCACCCGGTGGCTCTGGTACTGGGGCGCTGGGTAAACAGACACCAGACCATCTCTGCTCTCGGCCATCAAGTTTCTGGTGTTAATTAAACCATTCCTCTTGCCAGCATCACTGATTTTACTGTGCACCAGCATGCTCTTCTGTTCAATGATGCCATCCATGGTACTCTCTCCCTGGCTGGGCGTCAGGCTGGTGGGCTGGGAATGTAGGTTACACTTGCCTCAGGGAAGCCATTTCTCCTGGAGGAGGAGAAAACAGAGATGAGACAAGAGAATCACACTTGAAAACAAGCTAATCACCCAGACCCACATTGTTTCAGACTGTACCAGCCAGCTGATAAACGCATAGTAACTGTGAGAGTTAGATAAAATGCAGTCCTACCTATTCAGTGAATGTTAAAAAGGGTCTGTGGGGGCGGCTAGCCAGAGTTAGCAGAAATTGATTACCTGAATCTCTATAAAGTCTCTGCTTCCAAATGAAGGAGACTGCAGGAATTGGCTCCCTTGCAGCCTAGAGGAACCTTTGATTGCTAGCAGACATCCTGAAACCCACAGGTAAACCCAATCGCATTAGCATCTGACAAGTCCATAGGAAAACAGAACTGCAAATCTGTAAAGGCGATTAGCTCTTCCCAGGTACATGGCTGTTCATTCAAGCAGGAAATTATGTGATTGCAATAATCTCTACTTAGTGATGATCTTGAGGTGTCAAGTCCCAAACACGAATCTGCTACTGAGGCATCTTGAGAGAGGCACAGCTTGGTCTCCTAGGGTGCTCTCTATAGTTGGCCACTCAGAATTTGCTGAGAACCAGAAGCATCAGCACCAGCTGGGAGCTTGTTGGAAATGCAGAATCTTGAGTAGCACCTGCACCTACTAAATCAGAATCTGCATTTTAACACGATCCCAGCTGATGAGTCTGCACATTAAAGCTGAGGAGGTGCTGGGCTACAGTGTACAGTGCACATTTTGGCCTGCTGAACAAGTTGATTTTACAACTGATTATTTACTAAATTTTAAAATGTACTCAAATTATGTCAAACAATTTATTTTTTTAAAAGAACAACTTTTTTTTCTTATTGAAGTGAATTTTTTCAATTTTGAGTATCATAAATTATGACTAAGTATGAATGAAAGGGATCAAAATTAGTGGAATTTTATTTTGTCATTTCCGCATCCTTCGATATCTCTTTCAACACAGACTGGTTTGTCATATATATTGCCTTTGCTTCATAATTCCCATTAGCTCATTTCCTTCCACGTTTGCTGGTACCCACTCCTACCTGCTCAGAGCCTTTCCCTGGGCCTGGGTTCATCCGCTCAGAGATGAAACTGGGTTGATGGGAGGAGAGAGAATGCCTCTAATGAGGCTGCCATCTAGGGTTATCCACATGGCTCTCTGTACCAATGCACTCCGGAGTCTTGCCCCAGGACAGTGCTACTGTTCTTCCAATTCCCTTTATAACTTTTGTGGGATTTTTTATTTATTTTTTTCTCAGTCGATGATACTCAGAACCAGTAGCTACAGAGATGAAAGCCTCCTGCCTGACTCTTTATTTCTGCATAAGCAGTCTCTGCTATGTCTAGGATGCTCCCTTCTCTTGACCAAACACTTTCTGGGCTGCATCAACCACTGAGTTCCCCGTGTCATCATCTTATAAGACTGGGAGTCTGGTTTTGAGCTTGGCAGAGGAAGCCGCCTTAAATGCATCACTGGCCAATCATGCTCCACCTGCTTCCTTATAGAGGAAGGCAGCTGGAGGAGGAGACAGGATGAAGAGGGGCCTCTGTGGCCTTGCATTTGAGTCCCTAGTTCTTAATCTCTTTCTATAACACTATTGTAAGAACTCTCCTGGGGAGTTACTAACATGCACAGCTAACCATGAGTCGTGGTGAATATCAGGTGAGTGGGAAAATTGAGGGGTTGTGAAAGAAAAATATAAGTCAGAAAGTAGGTATACAACATATTCTATACAAGTTTTATATTCTACATAAACACATATACATTTTTTTACTTGGAGACTGTCACGGTATAAAGAACACTTTTTACTAAAAGTCACGAGGCCAGAGATTCAGCCCTAGTTTTGCTACTAAATATCTGACTGTTGGCAAGTGGCTTATGAAAGTGGAACTATTAATGGGGTGATTGAGCAAGGAAAGTTTTCAGGTCCCTTTCAGCTCTGATTTTTTCTGTCTTAGTCAAAGAGTTTTAGGGTTTTATGGCAATAGATAGAGATTTTCTACAAAATGGCTTCAGTGGTGAATTGTAGCAAACATTTAAAGAACTAATACCAGTCCTTCTCAAACTTTTCCAAAAAAACTGAAGAGAAGTGAGCACTTCCTAAGTCATTCCATGAGGTCAGCATTACCCTGACACCAAAGCCAGAAAAGACACCATAGGAACATTACAGACCCATATGCCTTATGAACACTGATGTAAAACTCCCAACAAAATACTACTAAACTGAATTAAGCGGCATATTAAAGGAATCATATACCATGATCAAGTGAGATTTATTTCTGGAATGCAAGGAGGGTTAAAATCATGAAAATCAATCATTGTAATACACCACATTAACAGAATGAAAGACAAAAAATACGTAATTATCTCTATTGACATAGAAAAAGAATTTAATGCCTTTCTACTAAGCATTTCTGGAAAAGCATTGATGCTTTTCCTTTTCATGATAAAAACATGAAACAAACTAGGAATAGAAAGAAATTACCTCAACAAAATAAAAGCTATATTTGAAAAATCCACAGTGAACATCATACTCAATGGTGAAAGCACCTGTAACATCAAGAACAAGGCAAAGATGCCCACTTTTCCCACTTTTATTGAACACTGTACTAAAAACTGTAGCCAGAGAAATTAGGCAAGAAAAAGAAATAAAAGGCACTTAATTGGAAAGGAAGAAGTATGATCTCACATATAGAAAACCCTAAAGATTCCACAAAAAAATCTATTAGAACTAATAAATGAAGTTAGCAAAGTAGCAGGATACAAAGTTAATACACAAAAAATCAGCTGCATTTCTATATACCAACAATGAAGAATCTGAAAAGAAATTTTTTAAAAATTCATTTACAATAGCAACAAAAAGAACACAATACTTCAGAATTAATTGAACCAATGAGGTGAAGGACTCATACAAAGAAGTCATCAAAACATTGCTGAGGCAGGGCATGGTGGGTCATGCCTGTAATCTCAGTACTTTGGGAGGCTGAAGTGGGTGGATGACTTGAGGTCAGGAGTTCGAAACCAGCCTGGCCAACATCATGGTGAAACCCTATTTCTACCAAAAATACAAAAATTAGCTGGGCGTGGTGGTGGGCGCCTGTAATCCCAGCTACTCATGAGGCCGAGGCAGAAGAATTTCTTGAACACAGGAGGCAGAGGTTGCAGTGAGCTGAGATCGTGCCACTGGACTCCAGCCTGGGTGACAGAGCAAGACTCCATCTCAAAAACAAACAAACAAACAAACAAACAAACAAAACACTGCTGAAAAAAATTAAAGAAGACACAAATAAATGGGAAGACATTCCATATTCATGCACTGGGAACCTTAACATTGCTAGGATGTCAGTACTACCCAAAGTTATCTATAGATTCAGTGCGATCAGTAGCAAAATCCCAGTAATGTTGTCTGCAGAAACAGAAAAACCCATTCTAACATTCATATGGAATCTCAAGGAGCTCAGGCTGGACTTAGAACAAAGTAGGAGTACTCACACCTCCTGATTTTAAGACTTACTACAATGGCACTAGAATCAAAACAGTGTGATATGGCATAAATACACACATATAGACCAAGTGAATAAAATAGAGAGCCCAGAAATAAACCCTTGCTTATACAATCAAATGATTTTTAACAAGGGTGCCAACACCATTCAATAGGGAAAGGACATTTTTTTTCAACAAATGGTGCTAAAAAATTGGATATCCACATGCAAAAGAATGAAGTTGAACCCTTACCTAACACCATATTCAAAAACCAATCCCAAATAAATCAATCACCTAAATGTAAAATCTAAAACCATAAAACTCTTAGAAGAAAACAGGGCAAAAGCTTCATGACATTGGATTTGTCAATGATTTCTTGGATGTGACACCAAAGGCAGAGGCAACAAAAGAAAAAACAAGTTGGACTTCATAACAATTTAGATATTTTTGTGCATCAATAGACAATATCAACAGAGTAAGAAAGTAAGCCACAGAATGGGAGAAAACATTTGCAAATCATATATCTAATAAGGAATTAATACCCAAGATATATAGAGAATGGTTAAAACTCAACAACAAAAAATAATCTGATTCAAAAACTGGCAAAGGTCTTGAATAGAAATTTCTCCAAAGAAGATATACAGATGGCCAATAAGCCCAGGAAAAGATGCTCAACATCACTAATAATGGGAAATGAAAATCAAAACTACATATGAGATATGACCTCATACTCACTGGGATGGCTACTGTTAAAAAAAAAAACGGAAAATAACAAGTGTTGGTGAGGATGTGAAAAAATTGGAATCCTTGTGCACTGCTGGTGGGAATGAAAAACAGTGCAGTCGCTTTGGAAAACAGTATGGCAGTTCCTCAAATAATTAAAAATAGAATTACCGTATGGTCCAGAAATTCCACTTCTGGATATATACCAAAAGGAGTTGAAAACAGGGTCTTGAGGAGATACTTGCATGCCATGTTCATAGCAGCACTATTCATAATAGTTGAAATCTGAAAGCATCTCAAGTGTCTGTGGATGAATGGATAAGCAAAATGTGCTATCTACATTCAATGGAGTATTGCTCAGTCTTAAAAAAGGAAGGGAATTCTCACATAGGCCACAGCATGGATGGACCTTGAGGACATTACTCTAAGTGAAATAAGCTAGTCACATAAAGACATATGCTGTATGATTCCATCAATATGAGGTACTTAGAGTCATCAAAAGTACTCAAAAGTAATCAAAAGTGTGGTTTCCAGGGGATGGGAGTGGTGTGAGGAGTTATTATTTAATAGGTATGGAATGAAAAGGGATATAGAGATAGATGGTAGATAGATGGTGGTGATGGTTACACATTATAAGTGTACTTAATACCACCGAACTGTACACTTAAAAATTGTTAAGATTGTAGATTTTATGCTAACATAATAAAAAATTAGACAAACTCAATTAAACTGAACTAAAATAAAACATAAAAAGAAGAGCTATCTATGTGGAGATTCATGCTAAAGTATTTACAGATGAAATAAAAGATACACTGTCTGGGACTTGTTTAAAATCATCTGGATAGGAAGGAGAAGTGCACACCATACCGAGAAAAGAAGACTGTGCGCTGACCACTGATCATCTCAATTGGAATTCTCATCTGGAATTCCTCCTCCTCCTTCACATCCTAGGATGTCAAGGAACCACAGATGACAGCAGAAAGTCAAGGAACCACAGGTGACGGCAGAAACACCTCCCAAAGTGTACCCCCTCAAGTACACTTCCAGCCTCATGAGGCTCTAGGATCAGGCATCCCTCTTTCATCTTGCCAATGACCTCTCTGTCTCATGGGATGTGGGACAGCAGGGATCCCCGATGAACCCACCAGCAGTGCCATCTGGAGCCCCATCTGACAGCCATTACCTGTGGTCATCTCTGACCATCTCTGATCACTGAAGGAGGAGTGTATACCATACCGAGAAAACAAGACTGGCAGCAGGAGTTATGAATGAAGGTGTGCTGTATACCATACAGGGAAAACAAGACTGGCTGTGGACTGACCACTGAGGGAGGAGTGTATACCATACAGAGAAAACAAGACTGGCAGCAGGAGTGATGAATGAAGGTGTGCTGTATACCATACTGAGAAAACAAGACTGGCTGTGGACTGACCACTGAAGGAGGAGTGTATACCATACTGAGAAAAGAAGACTGGCTGTGGGCTGACCACCAAAGTTGGTTGATGGGTGCATGTGATTCATTATAGAATCCTCTCTCCTTTCATGTGTGTTTGAAATTTTCTGTAATAGAGAGGTTTGAAAAAATCAACAGGTTAAGCTGTGCAGGGGAGATGTTCCAGGCAGAGGGAACAGCATAGGTAGTGTTTAGGAAGCAGAGGAGGAGGCTGGAGAGATAAAGTTAGGAGGGGCGGGTCTCATTTAGAGGCTCATAGTAAGCAATAGGCATGTGGAAGAAAGGCTTAAGTGGGATGTGATCATCATAGAGGCAGTTCAGGCAGATGGATGTGTGAACAGCATGAGGAATGGGTACAAGGAGAAGCACAATAAGCCCTGGTGGTGTGGACAACTGACAGATGCGGTGGTCCTCTACTGCTCAAAGTGCTTTTGGGCAGTAAGAAGGGTGTGATGCCCTCCAGGAAACTTTGGGGTCCAGGACCCAACAGAGCCCCAGTGATGGTTCCCTGCTTTATGTATTTTATTTGAAAAATGGGTCATGAAGAGGCAAAATGTGTAGCCTCATCCCACAGCTGGAGGATTCCACATTCAGCAGCTCAGATCACAGGGTCCTCCCTGCGAGACATGGGGGGCCTGAGACCATGCTGGCAGTAGGAGTGATGAATGAAAGTGCGCTGGGGCTCTCACTTGTCCCTCTCAGGTACAGACACTTCTCCAGGCTGTGTGTGGAAGGCTGTTCAGCTTGGCTCACCTGAGTAAGCAGGCGTAACCCGGAGGATATTTAGGAAGGGCACACCCGGTTTCTAACACAGAGGTGGCTATGGGGCCTGAGGCTATCTCCAATATGCCCAGGGAGAGCTCCCAGACAGACAGACAGCGCTTCTTAGTGCCTTGAAGGAGCTGATCCAGGCAGCCGGGTCTCCTGAATGGGGTGGCAATGACATATTCAGTGGGGCCTTTCTTGCTTGGAGAGTGTTTGAGGAACACAGCAAGACTCAGGATGCCCAACTCCTCCCTGCCTCTGGAGACAAATGTCCATTCTGAATTGGCCTTTGAGTGCGCTGACACCCACGGGAATGTGGCTCCCCGGTAATTTCACCCGTGGCCACACTCAGATATCACCTCTTTCTGGAGCAGAGTTGGTCATCTGGGCTCCCAGGCTGCCCAGCTCAGGCCTGGATGACAGCATGGCCACGCCCCTCTGGTTCTGCTGGGGACAAGTCATCGCGGCTGCACTGCAGGCTCTCCCATCACAGCCATGATCTCAACCATCCTTGCAGTTCTGATGATGCATCCTGTACAATTCATCTGTTCCATTAGCACTTGATGAATAACTGAGTGATGTTTTGCCAATAGCAGCCGCAAATGAATCCTCAAACATGTGTGTCAAGAACTTCACTGATGAAAACAGATGAACTCTCCATCAATGAGGAAAAATTACTTGTTTAAGTCAGTACCCCAGTGAAAGTTGTCAGAATCAAAATGGAGTCAGTAACGTTAAGAAAACCCTGACAAATAGAGCCAGGGGAGGCCATGAAGAGAGGGGTCTCATGCTTGTATGCTTAATAACAAGACTACAAAACCCACAGCATTTTACACAAAAAACACTTCTGCGAGATCATCTGCCCAGCAACTGCCCGTCCAGACTCAGAGTGGTGTCACCCTTGTTATTAATCTTTATAGCCAAGGATAATTATTTCAAAACAATTGTGCAATCTTCACCCTTTTTTTTTCATGAAAAACCTTTGTCTTCTTTTACCTCCCTGAATGTGCACACAGTTTACTATGGCATGTGTGTTCCCATTGCAAAGCTTTATGCCCAGATAAACATCTTTTCTTTTAGAGAGCTTCTCTCTGTTTATGATTAAGGTTGACACCTAGAGACATGTGTAATTTAAAAGCCCGTCTATCTTGGATTAAGTTATTGAACGCTAGTAGCTTTTCTTGATTTGTAAATAAACCTTCCATTTGGGAAGGAACTATTCTAGCCAGAAATTCAGTAGTACTTAGGAAGAAAGCACACTGCTGTACATTTAGTGATGAGGTTTGGATCTTCATCAAGCAATTTCCCACATCTTCCCTTTGACATGAAGAGCTACTCCTATGCTCTCACCAGGAGGTGTCTACACACAAGCCAGCAGAAAACATCGGCAAACAACTATGGTGCTGCTTCAGAACTGGCAATGGTTCCCATCTCATCCCTGTCTTAACTCAAGGTAATGGCCTACTGAAACCAAGATCATAACAGGTAAAGAGTCACTGTTTTCTTATGGCTCTGCATGTTGGAAGCTTCCTAAACCTAAACCAGCAAACACCACACCCCACACCAAGTGACAATCATCTCTCAATGCAAGTGAAAACCATCCAGTGGTTGGTGACAAAATAATACTCCAGCTGGGCAAAAGCCAGCTCTTCAGAGCAGAGGTGGCCGCAAGTCCTAATGCAATGTCACCAATAAAAGTTTCAAAACAGAACTCCCTCCCTCAAACCCAGGGAATAAAGGAAGCCGCACCGTGTCCAGCCCCTACCACACCACGAGCATGTGGCAGGTACTTCCATGCATCCACCTGACAGGCACTTAATGGGTACCTACCGTGTGCAGGCAGTGTGTAGTGTGTTGAGTGCGGGGGTGTAGCTGGGGACCTAGGTGACCACCAGCAGGGACCCTGCACGCAGCACAGGAGAAAGACAATTTTTTGAATGAGCGCCAACGTGTAACCAGTGGGCGAGACAAAGCTGCCTTGAAGGAAGAAACACAGGGCACAATCTCCTGTGAAGACCCGCTGACGGCAAGCCCTGAACGGGGTGAGGAGTTAGCCAGGGCCAGACCGAGGGGCACTGTTCCGGCTGGGGGAAATCCCTGCCCAGCACACTGGGCCCTGAGGCAAAGGCCAGCAGAGGGACCTGTGCAGAGGTTCAGAAAAGAAGAGAGGGAGGGCACAGGCCTGGCCAGGCAGGAGCCCCGGAGCTTGTGCTGACAACCTCAGGAGTCCAGGTGGGATCTACAGGCTCCTGGGGCTTCCCTGAGTGCCCCAGATGGAGGGGAGGGGTGGAGGCTGTGAGGAGGGGGCCCCCTGCTTCTAGCTTAGGCCCTCGGATTAGGGAAAGGGATGATGACAAAGTCACATCAACCAGGGGCTGTTACAGTTTAGATGTTTGTGGGTTCCAAATCTCAGGTTGAAATGTGATCCCTAGTGTTGGAGGTGGGGCCGGGAACGAGGTGCCCTCCCTAGGGTAATAAGCTCTCGTAAGAGCTGGTTGTTGAAAAGAGACTGGGACCCCCTCCTCTTTCTCTTGCTCCCCCTTTGTCATGTGATGTGCCTGCTTCCCTTCACCTTCTTCCATGAATAAAAACCTCCTGAGGCCTCACCAGAAGCTGAGCAGATGCCAGTGCCGTGCCTGTACAGCCTGCAGAACCGTAAGCCCAAACAAACTTCCTTTAAAAATAAACCATCCAGGCTTAGGTGAATACCTTTATAGCCATGCAAAATGGACTAACACAGGGGCTGAATCCGTGGGTGCCCTACTCCGTGCCCTGGCTCCCATCATCCCAGGGATTGATGGTGCTATCACGGCTCACATACAGGTCAGGCCAGGCCAAAGGGGCTATGGCACCTGGTGCAGCCTCAGCCAGTGACAGTGAGAAGCTGATGGATCAGCACCCAGCACCTTTGTCCTGGGGTGGGACAGCTCGGAGGCTGGTGTTTGACACTTCCCCAGCGCCCCCCAGAGATCAACTTGCTGTACAACACAGCATTTGTCTATGGCCTTCCCTCCTTGGTCCTCGGTGGTGCTTCCCGGGATCCCCTCCTCTCCCAAATTCTCATCCCCAGGCTTGTTTCTTGGGGACAAACCCAAGGCATCAGACTATTGTCAACAAGCCTGCGAGGTGTTATCACAACTTCTGTATGGACAAGAAAACTAAGCAGGCCAACTTGTATGTCTGTAAACCCACAGCTCTGTAAATATTATTAGACGACTGCAGTTTGTTTCTGTGGTCAGAACTGGAGAAGGGGGTAAATATCTGCCTTCACAGGTCCAAGCAGAAACCACCAGAAAGAGCTGGAAGGCCTCCCAGCCTGCAAGGAGGAAGGTAATGTGCCTACGTGGACAAACACGTCTTACAACAAAAATTAGAAAAAGGCCAGGACAGTTAATTCTTTCTGCAAGCGTATAAGCTGCCTGATTGCAGGGAGAGCATGTCTCGGTGTCCTCAGTTCCTAGGAGAATGACTCCTCAGTGCTCAATGGCATTCTGGTCCTCCAGAGCAGTCTCAGAAGGCGGAGTAATCTAATCCTGCCCCTAAAAGACGGATTCTCTCCCACGTGCTGGGGAACAGTTAGCTTTCCTGGCTTCTGAGACCCAGGAGAAGGAAGACTCAGACCCCCCAACCCCTTTCCAAGAAAATGACTGCTCCAGCAACCTCCAGGATGTGCCCTGGTGATGTCTTTTGGATTCCACAAGGTCCTAAATCCTAACAGTTGTTGATCTAAATGCAGATAGAAAAGATACGAAGAGAAATAGGTGGAGATTGAGCCCAGGAGTTTCTGACTCCAAGTCTTACAGTCCTCATGGAGCAGAAGACCCCAGGTCTCTGTTGGAAAGCTGGCGAAACAGCTCAGGCTGTGGGGCCATGCATGGATGCTCACGGCTGAAAGGCTGGGAGTGCAGGAAGATCCCAACTCTGTTGCTTTCTTTAACTTTAATTAGTATTTTCATTCATTTTTTAAAATAATTGCTTTACTGAAATATCATTTGCATGCCATGAAATTCATCCAAATTTAAGGATGTATAATTGAGTGAGATTTAGTATATTCACCAAGTTGTGCAGTGCAACCCTCATCACTATCTGATTCCAGAACATTCCTGTCACCCCATGCCCATGATGTGGTTCCTTTCCCCAGCCCCTGGCAAACACTGATCTACTTTCTGTCTCTATGGATTTGCCTATTCTGGACATTTCATATAACTGGAATCATACACTATGTGGCCTCTCATGACTGCCTTCTTTCACTTGGCATGATGTGTTTGAGGTCATTTCTTCTCATGGCGGGCTCATATTCCATGGTACGGAAGCACTGCACTGTGTTTACCTTCACTGTGCTTTCATTGTGGGGGGAAATGGTGGTTGCTATCCTTTAGCTCTTGTGTAATACGGGGCTAATTATGATTACAGCTCTTTGGCTGAATGGTTGATAAGACAGTGTGTTCTTTTTCTGGCAGGTATATAGTGAGAATAAAACTACCTTAAAAACAAAGCCCTCAGTGGTAGAGTACCTCTGGGGTGAGGGAATGGCATTTTGTGTATGGCCTGGAACACAAAGTGACAACATAGTAGATGTTCAGGAAGCAGAGGCATTAGATGGACCAGACAAATCCTGCTGGAGGCAGCCTCTGTTACCCACCAATGGAAGAAAATGCTGCAGGCTGGGCCTGCTTACTCACTGTGAGATAGAAAAACTCAGTCCCCTAAATACAGCAGATGCTTTTGCATGCCGAGTGTCCCAGCAGAATAAACCAGCACACGCAGAAGCCATCTTCCCCACCAGAAATGGGATCTGAGCAATTTCATGCTCCACCTGCACGTAGCACACATAGCACACACCTTCTGTGAAGAAGGCCAGCCTGCTCCAGGGGGAATTATGCATTGTAAAAGTGACAGAGTTATACATGGTCCTATCCATGAAGAAATTTTGATTACTCATTACAGGTAGCATTTTTTTTTTCAAAATTGTCTCTAATGTTTAATAGATGGTTTTGCTCTGAGGAATTGGCTAGAAAAAATCCAGTGAATGTTTTGGGAACCAGGATTGCAAGTGCAATTATTTTCAAACAAATGCATGAATAAAGAAATACAGAAAAACTGGAGAATCAGAACTTTCTCTTACTAGTTTTCCTTTTTTTCTGAACCTACGAATAAGTCTAGATTTTTTTTAAAAGTCTATGTCTCGCCCACCCTACCACCCACTCATCTCCCTTTCTTAAACATACCTACTCCTTTCACAGAATGACTTAAAGATCTGCACTGTTGGTTTATGATTTGTTACTGTATAGAGTGGAAGGAACTTCACAACATAGTATTCCATGTCCATCCCTGTGTGGCTAATTAGAAAACTCGAATGCCGATTATATTGTGCAGTATCAGTCATATTTAACATATAAGACCATCTCTGTAGCAGCCTCTCCAAGTAGAAACAGAATGAAGTCAGCTACCTATGCAACTGAAGGAGAAAATAAAACTAATTGCAGGCCAGGCACGGTGGCTCACACCTGTAATCCTAGCACTTTGGGAGGCTGAGGCAGGCAGACTGCCTGAGCTCAGGAGTTCAAGACCAGCCTGGTCAACATGGTGAAACCCTGTCTCTACTAAAATACAAAAAAATTAGCTGGGCTTGGTGGCATGCGCCTGTAGTCCCAGCTACTCAGGAGCCTGAGGCAGGAGAATCGCTTGAACTCAGGAGGCAGAAGTTGCAGTGAGCAGAGATTGCACCACTGCTCTCCAGCCTGGGCGACAGAACAAGACTCCGTCTCCGAAAAAAAAAAAAACAAAAAACCCAAAAAACAAACAAACAAAACCCCCCACAAAACTAATTGCAGTTTCATTTAGCCAGAGTGTTTGGCATGTTTGACAGGTATGGCTGCTCCTGACCCTTCTTATACAGCTCAATTTGTCAAGGCATTAGGAGGGCACCAGGTGCTGGGTCTTTCCCAAACCCTAACACTGTTAGAAGCCTTTTGTGTAAATAGTAAAACTTCCCTACTGCTAAGCGAATGATACGTGTAATTCACCAAGGCCCAAGTGTATAGAGAAAAGAGCTGCTTGCAAACCCTCATTAAAACAATTAAAATTTGCCTTTAGCACACACAGAAAAGCCTGTGATTTGGCAGTGGAGAGAGTTAATGAAACATTTGGGACCAGATCAGTTATTACTATTTAGCATTTAAATGGCACATTACAATTGCAAAATGCTACATCATCCTATGTATCATTTTTGGTGGCCTGGGACTTCCTGTTCACAAAGCCAACCCAAACTTCTGCTGGTGAGTGATGCTTTGTCATAGCACAGCACCACTGGGTCACAATCCACAGGAACTCCAAATCTGATTTATAAGCAGTCAGACATATATAGCAGATATGATGTGATTTTGGAAACAAGAAAACCTGCAGATTCAGACCATTGCTGCTTTTAAAAGTTGTGCCAACTCCCTTTAGCTTTGTAAGTCTCCACTTCATTTTTAAGGATAATGTGGAGGGAGGAAGCTTCTTCCCCTGTGACACTGCCATGTCCACCATTACCAACTCCACCACCCTCACCATTACCACCATCACCACGACCATCACCATCATTATCCCCACCACTGACACCATCACCACCACCATCACCATCATTATTCCCAACACTGACACCATCACCATCATTATCCCCACCATTGATACCATCACCAGGAGTACTACCATCACCCTCACCACCATCACCACCATCATCCCCACCACTGACACTGTCAGAAGGAGTACCACCGTCACCATCCCCACCACTGACACCATCAGCAGGAGTACCACTATCACCGTCCCCACCACTGAAACTGTCAATAGGAGTACCATCACCATTACCACCATCATCCCCACTGCTGACACTACTGCCAGGATTTGGAAAATCAAGGCCACAGAACAAATACATCTAACACCTGCGTTTGTACAGCCCACAAGCTAAGAATGGTTTTCACATTTTTAAGTAGTTGAAGAAAATAGGAATATTCTATGACACACAAAAATTATGTGAAATTCAAATGTCAGTGTCCATAAATAAAGTTTTATTGGACTACACCCACAACCATTCATGCACATATGTCTATGGCTTCTTCTTCATGACAAGGGAAGAGTTGAGCAGTTGTGACAGAGACCATATTGTCCATGAAGCCTAAAATATTATCTGACTCTTTACAGAAAAATTTTACTGATTCCTAGCCATCATCCCTTCCATACCACCACCACCACCACCACCATCACTACCAGAAATCCACAACCACCATTACATCACCACCACTACTACTACTAACAATAACATCACTGTTGGTACAAGTAATGTCACCAGTACCATTGTCATCATTACCATCAACAGTGATGTCCTCCCACACACACAGTCCATGGTTTAGAGATGCAGAGGCTCCCATGTGACCAAAGATTTAACTGATAAGATTGTGAATGTGGACACAGACTCAGCCAAGACGTCTTCCTCCCCACCCACTGAAGGACAGAAAGAGAAAGCCTTGAACGCATTCTCACCTCTAAAATTATTTTGGGTAAAACTGTTTTTTTTTCCTTTGGAGGAGGGCCAGAGGGGCTTCATCTCTGAGAATTTCTAACCACAAGCCTGCACTCACACTCTCTCTGAGATTTCACACTCTTAATGTGCCTTGAAAAACACAGTTGAACACTTAGTTTGTAGTGTTTGGGGCTGGGAATCCACCACTGTGATTCTTGGCAGAAGCAAATGCAAATGTCCTCTAGGATAATGTATGTTAAAGACAGGACTAGAAAATGCCCATGGATAGTCTCAGAAAACAACCTGAGTTTGGGATTCAAGGGAGGGAAATGAGCACTGCTAATGGTTTGGATGCATATATTCCTTTGCAATTAATATGTGGGAACTAAATTCCTGAGGTGATGGCATTAAGAGGTGGAGCCCTTGGAGGTGATTAAGCCCTCGCCCATAGGATTAGTGCCTGTACAAAAGGGCTTGAGGGGGAGAGTTAGCCCCTTCTTGAGCTTCTGCCATGTGAGCACACAGTGTTCATCCCCTCCAGAGGACACGTAATAAGGTGCTATCTTAGAAGAAGAGAGTGAGTCCTTATCAGACACTGAATCTGCCAGCACTTCAATGTTGGACTTCCCGGCCTTCAGAACTGTGTGAAATAAATTTCTATTATTGATAAATTACACTGTGTGGTATTTTGTTGTAACAGCAGAAGCAAACTAAGACAAGCACTAAACACAGGAAGAAATAAGCAAGGGTGAGCAGAAATATCACAAATCTGGCCCACAGTGAATGTAGGTATTAACACTTTCAGATGAAGATTATAAAACAACCATACTTAGGATACTTTACAAATGAAAGATTTAGGACTTTTAGAAATAAAAATACATCAGTGAAATTAAAAGTCAATGGACAAACTGTTATTTCTAGCATTAGAATTGACTAGATGCTCTGAGAGATTCTCTTGTTACAAAATTAGATTCAGGATTAGAACACACTTTGAGACATTACTGATTGCGAAGGAAAATCTCCAAATATCACCACTCTTCCATGGAAGATTACTTGAAGGGGCAGAGCTGCACTGATTTAGGCATCAACAGTAACAGTAATAGTAAGTTATATAGCCTTGTAGAAAGACAAGATAGAGAAGTTGAGGCTGAACCTTATTCTAAGCTAAGATTCTTTACGGATGTGGTCTCAGATTTAAGCATGCATTTGAATCACCTGAAGGGCATGTTAAGCCCCAGGTTGCCAGGCTACAGAGTTCCTTACTCAGGGTGGAAAGGGATACCCAAGTTTCCATTTCTAAGAAGCTCATAGGTGACGCTGCTGCAGCTGATCCAGGGACCACACTCTGAGAACCACTGTTCTGTCGATTGCAATAGAGCCAATTCAGTGACGACTCCTCATTACAGGCAGAATAGAAACAAACATCTCTAAGAGAAAGACCCCCTCCCCAATTTAGCCACAGAGTAAGGTCAAATAATGAGCTGAGAAAGATCATCATGCACAAAAGACTGTATGCCACCATAAGTGAGAGTCTATAGAGAAAGAAGGAAGGAAAGAAAAGAAAAGAAAGGAAAAAAAAAGAAAAGAGAAGAGAAGAAAAGAACAACTCTGGACCATCAAGGACTTTACATATTTTTATAGTGAGAAGAAAGTATAGAACAATTGTTCATGAAATACTTACATAAATAAAACACAAGAAGGAGCAAGTGACAAGTGACTACCAGAATAAATAGAAAAATGAAACGTGTGAATTTCAAAAAGCAAAAAATATTTTTGTTGGAGTAAAAAACACAACGGAAGATATGGAATCTAAACAGCAGAATAGACACAGCTAAGAAAAAAAATGTAATCCAGAAGACAGATCTGAGAAAAATACCCCAAATGCCTCACGAATAGAAAAAAAGATAGGAGACAGCAATAAGCAGCAAAGAGCCTGGCAGGTAGAATGAGAAAGATCAGTCTCTTCTAATGGGAGTCTCAGAAATGGAGACAGAACTCCTGGGAGAGAAGCCGCACCTCAAAGGACGCTACCTGTGAAATGTTCAGCACTGATGAGAAACACAAATTCACTGATCCAGGAAATACCACATTGACACATTACATGAAACTGCTGAAGATTAAGTGGAAAGGTCTTAAAAGCAGTCAAAGGAAAATAGTGGATAATCTACATAGCAACAAAAACTAGAATGGCAAGACACATATCAAGCAATAATGGAAGCAAAAGGACAGAGGATAATATCTTCAATATATTGAGAGATATTAACTCTCAACCTTGAACTGGACATAATGAAATTATCTTTCAAGAGCCAAGTGAAAAATCCATTTGCAAATAAATAAAAAATCTACTTAGAGACTTAAACTAAAAGGAATTCTAAAGGATGCACTTTAGGAAGAAGAAAAATAATGCTGGGTGATGACCTGAGATACAAGGACTTATGAGCACACAAACTCACGACATACTTATAAATCCAAACAAACATTGATTATATATCTATCTATATATCTATATCTATATCTCTCTCTCTATATATATAAATGTAAATCATTAGATTTATTCTTAAAACTCTAAACACAGGAAAACAATAGCATGTAAATCAGGAGGTGAGCTAAGATTCTTTTAATGTTCCAGAAGTGTGTGAACATGTTCAGCTTTATACTTAAATATACATAGGCAAATGTCAAGGATAACTACCAAATGAATGGAAACATTTCTAATCATTCTAAACCAGGGGAGAGAAGTACATGAGTAAGAATGAAAATAGTAGTAAAACCTCAATCAAATAAAAAGAGGTAAGAAAAAAATGAAACATAAAAAAAAAGTTGGCCAAATTCTAAATAGAAAACTAGGATAATAGCAGATCCAAACATATCAGTATTCACAATAGGTACAAATTAATTTAAATTGTCAATTAAAATAAATTGTTAGTTTGGATTTAAAATAATATCCAGACATATGTTATTTATAAGAGATAGACCTAAAGCATACGGACATGGAATCGCTAAAAGTAAAAGGATGGAAAACATATATACAAGGAAAATCCTAGGCAACAAATAAGAAATCTGGCACAGTGTAATGAATACAAAACAGATATTAAGGAGTAGAAAGTATTATTATATAGTAACATAGTTACACAGAGAGAGATCCAATTAACCGTATACAACAATTCTCAAATTCCATGTACATAATCCATTTATATCACATTATATAAAGCAAAATTTATAGAATTATGGGGATAATGTAATATTTTCACCATCACAACAGGAGACTGCAAAGTATGCTCTCAATTATGCTGAGAAATAAACAGGCCAAAATTAAGAAAAACATAGAATATTTGAATAATAATTTTGATCAAAAATGCACATATAAAACTTGGCATCCAACAGAGAATACAAATTCTTCTAGGCATACGTGTTCTCTTTCTCTCTCATTCTCTGTCTCTCTCACTCTCTCTCCATTCTTCTCTCTCTTTCTTCCTTTCAAAAATTGATCAAGTATTAGGCCATGAAGTATGCTGGGCATGGTGGCTCACGCCTGTAATCCCAGCACTTTGGGAGGCCGAGGCAGGTGGATCACCTGAGGTCAGGAGTTCGAGACCAGCCTGGCCCACATCGTGAAACCCCGTCTCTACTAAAAATAAAAAATCAGCCAGGCATGGTGGTGTGTGCCTGTAATTCCAGCTACTCGGGAGGTGGAGAATTGCTTGAACCCAGGAGGTGGAGGTTGCAGTGAGCCAAGATCGTGCCACTGTACTCCAGCTTGGGCCACAGAGTAAGACTCTGTCTCAAAAAAAAAAAAAAAAAAAAAAAGAAGAAGAAGAAGTATGTATAAAACATTAGTATCTTACAGATCATTTTCTTTAGCCACAATGCAAATCATATAAAAGTTGATACAATTAATAAAAACCACGTTCATTTAGAAACGAAGGAAAAGAAATGCTTTCTTAATAACCATTTGATCAAAAAGGAATCATAACAAAATATAAAAATACTTAGGTCAGGATCATTGAGAAACTAAATTATTGAAACCTAGAGATGCAGGAGAAGAGGGAAATATGTAGCCTTAAATGCATATATTATTTTTAAAAGGTTAAAAATTAATGAGCCCCATCTAAATTAATAAATTCACCAAAATAATAATAATAAAGGCAAATAATACATGACAGGTGTTAATAAGGTAAGAGCAGAAGCTAGTGAAACAGAAAGCAAAGATACCACACAGAGGATCCACAAGGCCAAGTCTCTTCCCTGCAAAGACAACTCTCTGATGAGGCTGTGTAAAGAGAGAGCCAGGGAGCCTGCTTCTAGGCTAGATGAAGAAGTGGACTCACATCACTCTTCCCCTCTCTCCAAGACCCCGTTAAAATGTTAGTGAAAGAGCAAAAAGAATCTTAATGGAAGAGAAAATGGAAAAAATCATCCTTAACAAGATAAATTTTTTTTTTTTTTTTGAGACAGAGTCTCGCTCTGTCGCCCAGGCTGGAGTGCAGTGGCGCGATCTCAGCTCACTGTAAGCTCCGCCTCCCGGGTTCACGCCGTTCTCCTGCCTCAGCCTCCCGGGGTAGCTGGGACTACAGGCGCCCGCCACCACGCCCAGCTAATGTTTTGTATTTTTAGTAGAGACGGGGTTTCGCCTTGTTAGCCAGGATGGTCTCAATCTCCTGACCTCGTGATCCACCCGCCTCGGCCTCCCAAAGTGCTGGGATTACTGGCGTGAGCCACCCTGGCCGGCCAACAAGATAAATAATTTTAAAGCGTAACAGTAGATGAGGAATCTAACCAAAGGCGAGAAGAAGGAGTGTGGACAGAAGCTGCAGCCAGGAATTTATGTTTGGAGCCCGCAGATGGCCAAGAGGACACAGGAACATGGGCTGGCAGAGGACCTTTCATCAAAACCATGCACATGGACAGGCAATGGGTCAGCGCCTTCGAAGTTGCGAGAAAAACCTTTAAAGTATGTACTCTACCAAGCACTCCTCCAAGGATGAGTAAAAACAAAAAAGGAAACAAAACAAGGATGACAATAAATATTTTCAAGAGTCAGAAGATGTAGCTCACAGCAGCCTGTCTGAATAAGTAACTTAGAGATTTACTCCAGAAACAAATGGCAGTGAAAACCATGGATGTGGATAATAGAGGATAAGGGGAAAGCAGTGAATAGCTTAAATGAATAAAAAGCAATCTCTGCATGGCAGCTGGCCAGCAGCAATCTGTCCCATTTATAACAAACACCCGTGGGCTTCACAAAGACCATCTTTGTGAGCAAGAACGGCAGCGCGCATGCACAGCTGGAAGTTAAGATGGATGCTGTGAGGAAGGCACAGGTTTCTTTCCTCAATGTGAAAAGAATGTCATTTAGAAACTCCAGAAAAACACACACAGCCAGAATAGGTGTATAGGAACTCCATCGGTCCAAATATAAAGCAAAACAAAATTTCCCGTCATTTTACACAGCTGTGGAATTTAAAAAGACAGAATCCGTTTGACCTGGACACTATATTTTCCTTTATCTGGCACAGGGGTTATGATTCAGGAGCTGAATACAGAGGCAATATTAACTTATTACCAAAACTTGGGTTTATAGCCATAACATTTACAGAATCTTGACAATAAATGTTTAGTAATTTAACATTTAGAATCTACATATAAACCCAACGTAACTGAAAACCAAAATTTAAAGGTGCCTCACCCTGACCAAGTTGACATCATTGTTGTTGTGGTCATCATCATCAGTTTGACCAAGAGTTCAGCTTCTCCTAAATCCCAAGCATCGTGCTAAACTTTTAATAAGGACTATCCTGTTTAATTTTTATAACAACCCCATTAAGTAGGTATAGTTATTATCATCCCTTTTGCAGATGTGGAAACTGAGGCATCAAAAACTGAAGCAACCTGTTTAAGGTCTTTCGCCTATAAGCTGCAGAGCTGGATTTCACAGCCAGGAAGCCTGACTTCAGGGTCTGACTCATAGCCAGTAAGCTGGACTCACTCATTCTCATGTACAATTGAAGACACAGCCAACCTCAATAGGAAAGTGACACAGTTTGCTTGTGTGTCCCCTCCAAATCTCATATTGAAATGTGATCACCAGTGTTGAAGGCAGGCCTAACAGGAGGTGTGTGGGTCATGGGGGTGAATTCCTCATGAAGGGCTTGGTGCCATCCTTGTGGCAAGGAGTAAGTTCTTGCTGTGTTAGTTTACATGCGAGCTGCTTGTTTAAAAGACCCTGACATCTCTCTCTTGCTCCCTCTCACCAGGTGACATGTTGGCTGCCACTTCCCCTTCTGCCATGATTAAAAGCTTCCTGAAGCTTCCCCAGAAGCCAAGTAGATGCTGGCACCATGCTTGTACAGCCTACAGAACCACGAGCCAAATAAGCCTCTTTTCTTTACAAATGCCCCAGTCTCTGGTATTCCCTTACAGCAACACAAAACGGACTAATACAGAAGGCCAATGGGGAAGAGAGAAACAGTGTGGGTAAGCATGCCAACCACAGCCTCATCCCACAGAGTGAAATGAATACAACAGTAACCAAGGGAAGGACTCAAAATAATACATCCCTAAGAAGTTGGGAGAAGTGGGGAGGAGATAGGCAGTAGTGTAAGTGAACTAAATTCTAACCTTAAGTGAACTAATCTCTACCCTTTCAAAGCAGGGAGTCCACTGGTAGAATTTAAAGCTAACGGATCAAGAAATAACTTGATGCGGCCAGGTACATGGGCTCATGCCTATAATCCCAGCACACTGGGAGGCAAAGGTGGGAGGATCGCTTGGAGCTAGGAGTTGGAGACCAGCCTGTGCAACACAATGAGACCCCATCTCTACAAAAAATTTTTAAAGCTGGCCAGGCATATGCACCTATAGTCCTAGCTACAGGTGGGAGACTAAGGCAGGAAGCTGAGGCTGATGCTGGAGGATCACTTGAGCCCAGGGGTTTGAGGCTGCAGTGAGCTATGATCATGCCACTGCACTCTAGCCTAGAAAACAGAGCAAGACTCCATCTCTAAAAAGAAAAAAAGATAGAACAGGATGAACACAGCTGTCAGGGTATGGCAATAACAGTCAAAAGAGGAAGGTGGGCAGGAGCTGCCTCTGAGAAGTGTCTGGGCAAATGAAGTGATATGTTAGGGGCCAAGGGGAAAGGTTTGTAACTTTCATTACTATTTCGGGGTATTACTTAATTTTTTTTTTTTTTTTGAGAGGGAGTCTTTCTTTTTCACCCATGCTGGAGTGCAGTGGCGCAATCTTGGCTCACTACAACCTCTGCCTCCTGGGTTCAAGCGATTCTCCTGCGTCAGCCTCCCGAGTAGCTGGGATTACAACCATGCACCACCACACCCAGCTAATTTTTTTGTATTTTTAGTAGAGACGGGGTTTTGTCCTGTTGGCCAGGCTGGTCTCGAACTCCTGACCTCAGGGGATCCACCCTCCTCGGTCTCCCAAAGTGCTAGGATTACACGTGTGAGCCACTGTGTGTGGCGAGGTACTACTTAAATTTTAAATATGCCTTTATTATACTAGCAGAATAACCATATGAAAATAGCCTTTAAAATTCATATTATTGTAGAGAAACTGGAACCCTGTGCGTTGCCAGTGAAAATGTCAAATGGAGTGGCCACGGTGGAAGACAAGACGGTGGGTCCTCAAAGATTCAACACTGAGTTACCATACAGCAGCCATTTCACTGCTGAGTATACACTCCCCAAAATGGAAAGCAGGTGTGATTGTGTCACTGTACTCCAGCCTGGGCAACAGAGTAAGGCCCTGTCTCTTAAAAAAAATTGAAAGCAGTGACTCCAACACAGATTTGGGGACACTGAAGTGCATAGCATCATGATGCAGAAGTAGTCAGAAGGTGGGAACAATGAAAACGCCCATTGACAGAGGAATGAATACGCAAAATATGGCATATGCTACCCTGAATTATTAGTCAGCCTTCAAAATGAAGCAAATTTTCCTCAGTGTTACAGCATGGATGACCCTTGAAGACAACATGCTAAGTGAAATACGCCAGTCACAAAAGGTCAAATACTGTATGATTCCACTTATATGAGGTACCTAGAATAGTCACACTCACAGACAGAACACAGCTGCAGAGGCTGCAGAAGGGAGGGAACGGAGAGTTACTGCTTAATGGGGACAAGGTCTTGGTTTAGGATGGTGGTAAGTTCTGCAGATGGACGGTGGTGATGGCTGCACAGCAATGTGCATGGATTTAATGCCATTGAATTGTACATTTAAAAAGGAATAAAATGGTATATTTTATATGTATTTACTACAATAAAAAAGGACTTTTCTCAAAAAAATAAGAAGTAACAATGTTGGTGTACAAGCCAACATTGTTAGGTGCAAGTATACACAAGTATAGTACCTTTGAACTTACTGTAATTTTTTTTTTTTTTTGAGACAGAGTTTCTCTCTTGTTACGCAGGCTGGAGTACACTGGCATGATCTCAGCTCACTGCAACCTCTGGCTCCCTGGTTCAAGTGATTCTCCTGCCTCAGCCTCCTGAGCAGCTGGGATTACAGGCGCACACCACAACACCAAGCTAATTTTTGTATTTTTAGTAGAGACAGGGTTTCTCCATGTTTCCCAGGCTGACCCAAACTCTTGAGGTTGTGATCCGCCTGCCTCAGCCTCCCAAAGTCCTGGGATTATAGGCGTGAGCCACCGCACCTGGCCTGAACTTACTGGAATTTGATGTAAGTTAGTTCTACACTTTCTGGAAAATATAAGAACCTCAAACATATTAATTCTGATTACAATCTACAAATTTAGTACTGTAGTACTATTGTTGGCTTTATTTTAAATTATATATAATATACATATACTATTATGTAAGATATAAAAACATATAAAATTATATATTAAACATATATAAGCACCACAATATTTTGTTAGTGTTTTTTCTTTATTCAGTCAGTATTCATTTAGATTTACCTATATACATAAAAGCATGCTCAGGGAAAAGCCCCGTCGGACTCCATCAAGGGTCAGAAGCCACTGACTGCGAGGTGCATCACTGTTTCAGAATTTCAGAAATAGGAACAAATGAAAAGAAAGGAATGTACATCCTAGAATTGGAGAAATGCACTATTAAATAGAAAATAAACTAAGAGAGAAAGAGCCACAGACTGCAACACTACTCAGAAAATTCCTTAGCATGGGTTAGTTACTAAATGAGTTTAATCTACAGTGATGACATTCTGTGTTTTTCGTGATGGCGGTGGTGGTGGGGTGTGTGTGTGTGTGTGTGCATGTGCGCGTGCGTGCGTGTGTCTGTCTGTCTGTCTAAGGGAGAGAGAGAGAGGGAGAAGGAGAAGGAGGGAGAAAGAGAAAGAGAAAAATCCACTATGCACTGAGGGTTGCATGAGTAATACAACTTTACCAAAAGATCAAAGGAGCCACATGGCTGCCATTCTCTGTATCAATAATAAAGGCACGTGGTAGAGAACTGGGATGTGGATTGGCTGTTGCCAGGATCCATTTTGTGGAAGAGGGTAAAAAAGAAACTTGAAGAATACTATGCTTCTAACCTTCCCAAGTTCACAGAAGTGAACCCAGAAGTGACAACATGGCCAGCTCATCATTCACATCATAAATGATCTATTTAAAAATCCTTAGGGTGCAACATGAGATCTTAAGTACCCACAAAAACAAAATGGTGGAGTGACTTGCTTTTTCCTGTGCCATTGGTTTTTACTAAACCTCAGATTTGCTGAAATAAACCAAAAGCATAAAAACAAAAAGTGACTATTTCTCACATTTTTCCTATAACTAAGTGCTTCTTCAATATGGAAGCACAGTTTCTTTATTACAAAAGGTTCAGAAATGACTACACAATTTCACGGACAGTATCGTGGTCCATCTTGTAATTAATTAACATCATAAACTCTCACACTGCCTCCTGGACCTGTGGATGAGAAACAGAGCAACAGCTCAGTCTGGGAAACATAAAAAATATCAGTAGCTGAAATTAGTTAATCAGCGTGCTGACTGATGAGAAAATGAGTCACATTTCAATCCAGCATTTCCATGTTAATATCTCAAGTTTATTCCTGGGGCCATTTGCTCTTGAGTTATTCTCTGCCAGCTAGTAATGGGCTGCGCCGCCCTAGCAAGGTCAAGAAACCCAAATTGGAAGAGGGTACTCACTCCAGAGACCCTGCTGGAGCACCCTGCTTCCTCGGGGTGTGTCTGTGGTTGCCAGAAGACAGGTGGTGATGGTCCTCGTTGTTGTCACCAGGATGCCAACAGACAGAAACTGGTTTCTCTTGGTAAATTATTTTATGTTTTGAAGACCATGGTTTCACGAGTGAAACATGGAGCTGGGAGGTATGCTCAAGTGGTGAATATGGAGATACGTCCTCTGTGATGGCCTTAGGGCCCTTGTGAATCAATACTAGCAGGAAGCCAGAGGCTGGGACACGAGCAGGGCCACCCAGGAAGCTGCTCCCAGCACCTTCTGCCCAGAGCGTCACAAGAAGTGAGCTTTGTTTTGAAACAAGGAATTTCTCTTGTACAAAAATACTTTTCTGAAAGATTAGCTGAACCCCCAGACAAAAAGTGCAATTTAGCCCTGCTGGTGACAGTGTTGCCAACGGGACAAGGATAATGCCCATATACCGTGTTTCCACAGCAGAACCCTCCTGCAGCTACAAAGCTGCCCTCGATCCCTGCTTCTGAGCCATGCCCTTTCTCACAGTGGCAGTCCCAGCCCTGACAGCTCCTCCACTGCCTGTAGAGACTGCAAAGAGTCCCCATTGCTAGGTGTCGATGCTTCTCCCTAGTACCAGTCCAGAGCCGGCCACTCCCCTGCTTGCTCCCGAGAATATTATTTAGCACAGGCCCCCATCCTTGAAGAACCTTCTCCTCCTACTGAAGATGTTCCCAATATTCCATGTAGTCCATTTTCTTGCTGCAGCAGCTAAATTCAACCAATTTCATTTGACTATAAGTGTGTTTCTATTGGTCTTTGGCTAGTGGGCTTCAATGAAAGTGAGCCTCAAAGTCCTAAAAAACAGCACTTTGGGAAGCTGAGGCAGGTGGATCACGAGATCAAGAGATCAAGACCCATACTGGCTAACACGGAGAAGCCCCATCTCTACTAAAAATACAAAAAATTAGCCGGGTGTGTTGGCGGGCGCCTGTTGTCCCAGCTACTTGGGAGACTGAGGCAGGAGAAAGGTGTGAACCTAGGAGGTGGAGCTTGCAGTGAGCCGAGATCGTGCCACTGCACTCCAGCCTGGGTGACAGAGCCAGACTCCCTCTCAAAATATATATATATATAAAAAATATTTTTTCAAAAAAAATGTGTGTATGTATATATATATATACACACACACACACATACACATATATAATATATATACATACACATATATATACACATATATATGTGTATATATATATACATATACACATATATATGTGTGTATATATATATGTGTATATATATATATATACTTTTTTTTTTTGACACAGAGTCTCACTCTGTCACCCAGGCTGGAGTGCAGTGGCGCGATCTCGGCTCACTGCAAGCTCCGCCTCCCAGGTTCACACCATTCTCCTGCCTCAGCCTTCAGAGTAGCTGGGACTACAGGAGCCTGCAAACATGCCCAGCTAATTTTTTTGTTGTATTTTTAGTAGAGATGGGGTTTCACCGTGTTAGCCAGGATGGTCTCGATCTCCTGACCTTGTGATCTGCCCGCCTCGGCCTCCCAAAGTGCTGGGATTACAGGCGTGAGCCACCACACCCGGCATATATATATATTTATTTATTTATTTTTTTTTTTATTATACTTTAAGTTCTAGGGTACATGTGCACAATGTGCAGGTTTGTTACATATGTACACATGTGCCATGTTGGTGTGCTGAACCCATTAACTCGTCATTTACATTAGGTGTATCTCCTAATGCTTTCCCTCCCTGCTTCCCCCACCCAAAACCAGGCCCCAGTGTGTGATGTTCCCCTTCCTGTGTCCAAGTGTTCTCATTGTTCAATTCCCACCTATGATTGAGAACATGCGGTGTTTGGTTTTTTGTTCTTGCGATAGTTTGCTGAGAATGATGGTTTCCAGCTTCATCCATGTCCCTACAAAGGACATGAACTAATCCTTTTCTATGGCTGCATATCATTCCCTAGTGTATATGGGCCACATTTTCTTAATCCAGTCTATCATTGATGGACATTTGGGATGGTTCCAAATCTTTGCTATTGTGACTAGTGCTGCAATAAACATACATGTGCATGTGTTTATAATCCTTTGGGTACATACCCAGTAATGAGATGGCTGGGTCAAATGGTATTTCTAGTTCTAGATCCTTGAGGAATCGCCATACTGTCTTCTACAATGGTTGAACTAGTTTACAGTCCAACCAACAGTGTAAAAGTGTTCCTATTTCTCCACATCCTCTCCAGCACCTGTTGTTTCCTGACTTTTTAATGATCACCATTCTAACTAGTGTGATATGGTATCTCATTGTGGTTTTGATTTGTATTTCTCTGATGGCCAGTGATGATGAGCAGTTTTTCATGTGTCTGTTGGCTGCATAAATGTCTTCTTTTGACAAGTGTCTGTTCATATCCTTCACCCACTTGTTGATAGGGTTGTTTTTTTCTCGTAAATTTGTTTGAGTTCTGGATATTAGCCCTTTGTCAGATGAGTAGATTGCAAAAATTTTCTCCCATTCTGTAGGTTGCCTGTTCACTCTGATGGTAGTTTCTTTTGCTGTGCAGAAGCACTTTAATTTAATTAGATTCCATTTGTCAATTTTGGCTTTTGTTGCCATTGCTTTTGGTGTTTTAGACATGAAGTCCTTACCCATGCCTATGTCCTGAATGGTATTGCCTAGGTTTTCTTCTAGGCTTTTTATGGTTTTCGGTCTAGCATTTTAATCCCTCTTGAATTAATTTTTGTATAAGGTGTAAGGAAGGGATCCAGTTTCAGCTGTCTACATATGGCTAGCCAGTTTTCCCAGCACCAGTTATTAAATAGGGAATCCTTTCCCCATTTCTTGTTTTTGTCAGGTTTGTCAAAGATCAGATGGTTGTAGATGTGTGGTATTATTTCTGAGGGCTCTGTTCTGTTCCATTGGTCTGTATCTCTGTTTTGGTACCAGTACCATGCTGTTTTGGTTACTGTAGCCTTGTAGTATAGTTTGAAGTCAGGTAGCGTGATGCCTCCAGCTTTGTTCTTTTGGCTTAGGATTGTCTTGGCAATGCGGGCTCTGTTTTGGTTCCATATGAAGTTTAAAGTAGTTTTTTCCAATTCTGTGAAAAAAGTCATTGTTAGCTTGATGGGGATGGCATTGAATCTATAAATTACCTTGGGCACTATGGCCATTTTCACAATATTGATTCTTCCTATCCATGAGCATGGAATGTTCTTCCATTTGTTTGTATCCTCTTTTATTTCATTGAGCAGTGGTTTGTAGTTCTCCTTGAAGAGGTCCTTCACATCCCTTGTAAGTTGGATTCCTAGGTATTTTATTCTCTTTGAAGCAATTGTGAATGGGAGTTCACTCATGATTTGGCTCTCTGTTTGTCTGTTATTGGTGTATAAGAATGCTTGTGATTTTTGCACATTGATTTTGTATCCTGAGACTTTGCTGAAGTTGCTCATCAGCTTAAGGAGATTTTGGGCTGAGATGATGTGGTTTTCTAAATATACCATCATGTCATCTGCAAACAGGGACAATTTGACTTCCTCTTTTCCTAATTGAATATGCTTTCTTTTGATCTTTTCAAAAAACCAGCTCCTGGATTCATTGATTTTCTGAAGGGTTTTTTGTGTCTCTATCTCCTTCAGTTCTTCTCTGATCTTAGTTATTTCTTGCCTTCTGCTAGCTTTTGAATGTGTTTGCTCTTGCTTCTCTAGTTCTTTTATTTGTGATGTTAGGGTGTCAATTTTAGATCTTTCCTGCTTTCTCTTGTGGGCATTTAGTGCTATAAATTTCCCTCTACACACTGTTTTAAATGTGTCCCAGAGATTCTGGTATGTTGTGTCTTTGTTCTCATTGGTTTCAAAGAACATCTTTATTTCTGCCTTCATTTCGTTATGTACCCAGTAGTCATTCAGGAGCAGGTTATTCAGTTTCCATGTAGTTGAGCTGTTTTGAGTGAGTTTCTTAATCCTGAGTTCTAGTTTGGTTGCACTGTGGTCTGAGAGACAGTTTGTTATAATTTCTGTTCTTTTACATTTGCTGAGGAGTGTTTTACTTCCAACTATGTGGTCAATTTTGGAATAAGTGCGGTGCGGTGTTGAGAAGAATGTGTATTCTGTTGATTTGGGGTGGAGAGTTCTGTAGATGTCTATTAGGTCCACTTGGTGCAGAGCTGAGTTCAATTCCTGGATATCCTTGTTAACTTTCTGTCTCACTGATCTGTCTAATGTTGACAGTGGAGTGTTAAAGTCTCCCATTATTAATGCATGGGAGTCTAAGTCTCTTTGTAGGTCTCTGAGGACTTGCTTTATGAATCTGGGTGCTCCTGTATTGGGTGCATATATATTTAAGATAGTTAGCTCTTCTTGTTGAATTGATCCCTTTACCATTATGTAATGGCCTTCTTTGTCTCTTTTGATTTTCATTGGTTTAAAGTCTGTTTTATCAGAGACTAGGATTGCAACCCCTGCCTTTTTTTGTTTTCCATTTGCTTGGTGGATCTTCCTTCATCCCTTTACTTTGAGCCTATGTTTATCTCTGCACATGAGATGGGTCTCCTGAATACAGCACACTGACGAGGCTTGACCCTTTATCCAATTTGCCAGTTTATGTCTTTTAATTGGAGCAATTAGTCCATTTACATTTAAGGTTAATATTGTTATGTGTGAATTTGATCCTGTCTTTATGATGTTAGCTGGTTATTTTGCTCGTTAGTTGATGCAGTTTCTTCCTAGCATCAATGGTCTTTACAATTTGGCATGTTTTTGCAGTGGCTAGTACCGGGTGTTCCTTTCCATATTTAGTGCTTCCTTCAGGAACTCTTGTAAGGCAGGCCTGGTGGTGACAAAATCTCTCAGCATTTGCTTCTCTGTAAAGGATTTTATTTCTCCTTCACTTATGAAGCTTAGTTTGGCTGGATATGAAATTCTGGGTTGAAAATTCTTTTCTTAAAGAATGTTGAATATTGGCCCCCACTCTGTTCTGGCTTGTGGAGTTTCTGCCGAGAGATCCGTGTTAGTCTGATGGGTTTCCCTTTGTGGGTAACCCGACCTTTCTCTCTGGCTGCCCTTAACATTTTTTCCTTCATTTCAACTTTGGTGAATCTGACAATTACATGTCTTGGAGTTGCTCTTTTTGAGGAGTATCTTTGTGGCACTCTCTGTATTTCCTGAATTTCAATGTTGGCCTGCCTTGCTAGGTTGGGGAAGTTATCCTGGATAATATCCTGCAGAGTGTTTTCCAACTTGGTTCCATTCTCCCCGTCACTTTCAGGTACACCAATAAGACGTAGATTTGGTCTTTTCACATAGTCCCATATTTCTTGGAGGCTTTGTTTGTTTCTTTTTACTTTTTTTCCTCTAAACTTCTCTTCTCGCTTCATTTCATTCATTTGATCTTCAATCACTGATACCCTTCCTTCCAGTTGATCGAATCGGCTACTGAAGCTTGTGCATTTGTCACATAGTTCTCGTGCCATGGTTTTCAGCTCCATCAGGTCATTTAAGGGCTTCTCTACACTGGTTATTCTAGTTAGCCATTCAGCTAAGCTTTTTTCAAGGTTTTTAGCTTCTTCGCATTGGGTTCGACCTTCCTCATTTAGCTTGGAGAAGTTTGATCGTCTGAAGCCTTCTTCTCTCAGCTTGTCAAAGTCATTCTCCATCCAGCTTTTTTCCATTGCTGGCGAGGAGCTGCGTTCCTTTGAAGGGGGAGAGGTGCTCGATTTTTAAAATGTTCAGTTTTTCTGCTCTGTTTTTTACCCATCTTTGTGGTTTTATCTACCTTTGTTCTTTGATGATGGTGATATACAGATGGGGTTTTGGTGTGGAAGTCCTTTCTGTTTATTAGTTTTCCTTCTAACAGTCAGGACCCTTAGCTGCAGGTCTGTTGGAGTTTGCTGGAGGTCCACTCCAGACCCTGTTTGCCTGGTTATCACCAGCGGAGGCTGCAGAACAGCAAATATTGCAGAACAGCAAATGTTGCTTCCTGATTGTTCCTCTGGAAGCTTCATCTCAGAGGGGTACCCGGCCATGTGAGTTGTCAGTCTGCCCCTACTATGGTTTGCCTCCCAGTTAGGCTACTCGGGGGTCAGGGGCCCACTTGAGGAGGCAGTCTGTCTGTTCTCAGATCTCAAACTCCGTGCTGGGAGAACCACTACTTTCTTCAAAGCTGTCAGACAGACACATTTAAGTCTGCAGAGATTTCTGCTGCCTTTTGTTCGACTATGCCCTGCCCCCGGAGGTGGAGTCTACAGAGGCAGGTAGGCCTCTTTGAGCTCCACCCAATTTGAGCTTCCCAGCTTTGTTTACCTACTCAAGCCTCAGCAATGGCAGGCGCCCCTCCCCCAGCCTCGCTGCTGCCTTGCAGTTTGATCTCAGACTACTGTGCTAGCAATGAGCGAGGCTCCGTGGGCGTGGGACCCTCGGAGCCAGGCACGAGATATAATCTCTTGGTGTGCCGTTTGCTAAGACCCTTGGAAAAGTGCAGTATTAGGGTGGGAGGGACCTGATTTTCCAGGTGCTGTCTATCACCTCTTCCTTTGGCTAGGAAAGGGAATTCCCTGACCCCCTGTGCTTCCCGGGCGAGGCAATGCCTCGCCCTGCTTTGGCTCACACTCAGTGGGCTGTACCCACTGTCCTGCCCCCACTGTCCGATGATCCCCAGTGAGTTGAACCCAGTACCTCAGTTGGAAATGCAGAAATCACCCATCTTCTTCATCGCTCACGCTGGGAGCTGTTGACTGGAGCTGTTCCTATTCGGCCATCTTGGAACCACTGCATATATATATATATATATATATATATATATATATATATATATATATTTTAAAGACCAATGGTGCCTCATGGCTGCCATTCTCCTATATCAGTAGCAAAGGCTTGTGGTACAGAACTGGGATATGAACTGGATGCTGTTAGGGTCCATTTTGTGGAAAAGGGTAAAAGGTGGAATATATTATGCTGAATCATAAATGCCTACACAGGAGTCAAAATAATATTACAGGTGATGAGTTAGAGACTGAACAGAGAGTACATGCCCCCTGACACTAGCCAATTTTAGTCCTGCTGAAAGACAGACGTCATATTGCCAGATCTTCAAATTTCTCAGCAGAAACTGGTTTTAAACCTGGTGCCAGACTCACTTCAAACACTTCCTGCAATAAAGCATGTAAGTATGCTGCATAACATAGCAATTTTTTTAAGCCACAGCTAAGGTCATAGGAAAGCAAGGGAAATCTTCAGGGGCTAGAATTAAGGAGGAAAGTTAGATATGAAGCCTTAAGCCCAAGCTGATACTGCCGCAGTGTGGGGAGAGAAGCCAGTCCTGGCAACAGGGCATGTGTTTAGTGGCGGGGGCAGAGGAGACAGGGCCTGGGTCCCCTCAAGAAGGGAGTGGAAATCAGACCCCCAAACAAAGACGGGAAGCTCAGAGAATAACGTATCCAGTGAAAACTCAGAATCCAGAATCACCCTGCCCATCAGTTCAGTGAGGGAAAACATGGGGTGGTCCCATTGGCCTGGTGCTGGGAAAGTTCTATGCTGAAAACACAGCACCATGTGGAGCCGGGGTTTGGGATTTTAGTATTTGTGCAGCTAGGAAACTCCTACACTGAGGAACTAACATAAAAAGTGGTGACATGTCAGTGATTCCGAGGGGTACCTGGTACTGCATCCTCACTTCAGGAAATGCATAATGACAGTTTTCAGTTAAAGTGTCATGGAGAAAGGTTGACATTCAAAATTTTAAAATTTACCAAGAAATGGCCTGCCCTGAGCCTCAGTCAGCAGGGAAAGCATCTTTCCAAGAATTTCAAGTGATAGATAAAGTAAGTCTCTTTTAAGATATTCTAGCACACAAGGAGAAACCAAATCCACACAGGGAAAAATACATTATTAAAAGAGACAAGGCAAATTGGAATTTCCTGAAATAAAAATAACTACTGAATTTAAGACACGATGGATGAGTTAATAAGCAAACTTGAAATATCTGATGAGGGACTTGAACTGGAATATGGAACTGATGATACTACCTAGAATTCAGCATAATATGGAAATTATGAAAGACATATTAAAAGGTAGGAAGATAAAAATGAGAAGGTCTCCCAATCTACTAATAGAAAATCCAGATGAATAGATTGGGAATTCTAGACTGAGAGAACATTGAGAATGGGGAAGAGGCAATATCTGAAGATATCTGAGAATTTCTCAGAACTAATAAAAGATGTGAATTTACAGATTCAGACATACATAATACAAGGTAAATTAAAGCTATCCCACACTAAATGTAGTAACTATACAATACAAAAGACAAAAATATGATCTCAAACAGAGAAAAATATTTCTTTTCTTTTTTTTTTTTTTTTGAGATCAAGTTTCACTCTTGTCACCCAGACCAGAGTGCAATGGCGCAATCTCGGCTCACTGCAACCTCTGCCTCCCGGGTTCAAGAGATTCTCCTGCCTCAGCCTCCCTAGTAGTTGGGATTACAGGCGCCCACCACCATGCCTAACTTTTTTTTTTTTTTTAAGTACAGATGGGGTTTCCCCATATTGGCCAGGCTGGTCTTGAACTCCTGACCTCAGGTGATCTGCCCGCCTTGGCCTCCCAAACTGCTGGGATTACAGGCGTGAGTCACTGCGCCCAGCCCAGAGAAAATAATTTCAAATTCCTATAGGAAAAAAAGCAAACCAAGAGTAGGTTTCTCAACAACAGCAACAGAAAGTGCATTAGGCTGTTCTAGCATTGCTATAAAGAAATACTAGGTAATTTATAAAGAAATGAGGTGTATTTGGCTCATGGTTTTGCAGCCTGTACAGGAAGCATGGTGCTGGCATTTGCTCAGCTTCTGGGGAGGACTCAGGAAGCTTCCAATCATGGTGGAAGGAAAAGAGGAGCAGGCAGGTCACCTGGCCAAAGCAGGAACAAGAGTGAGCGGGGAGGTGGCACACACCTTTAAACCACCAGATCTCAGGAGAACTCACTCATTATGGTGAGAGCAGCACTAAGGGGTCAGCGCTAAACCGTTCATGAAGAAACCACCCCCATAATCCAATCACCTCCCACAAGGCCCTACCTCCAACATTGGGGATTACATTTCAGCATGAGATTTGGACTGGGGACATACATCCAAACTATGTTAGAAACCGTTAAGGAAATCAAAAATAATTTCAGCATTTGTGAGAGAGAACATTTTATCCTAGAATTCTACACCTATTTAAACTATCATTCACAAATGAAAACTTAAGGCCTTTGTACAAAAACTGAATGAACCACTAACAGCCATTCATTAAGGCTACTAAAGCATATTCTCCAGAAAAAAAGAAAACTGATCAGACAAAGTAAAAATGAGATGCAAGGTGGAAAGTAAGTAAAGAACACGAGTGATATTTAATGAGCATTGACTATAGAAAACAACAGCAAAACTAACCACACTCACAATGGTTAATTCTACTGGAACAAAAGTTAGAAGGAACTGAAATACAGAACAATAGCATAAGAAAGCAAGGGGATTCTAAACTCCTTGTATTGTTAGGAAGAAGGATGGACAATATTAACTCCAGAATTTGCACATTAAGAAATGCATATTAAAAATTTAAGGGTAACATCTAATGATAGAAATAAAATATAAGCCAGTAGACAGAGAAAAGAAAAACAGTTCAGAGAAACTGGAGCTCCAGAATTATTTTATAATCACAAATAATTGAAATACACACACACATATACATACATACACACATGTGTGTACACTAAATCCCTCAAGGGGCTAAATAAAACATGCCCATAACCCATCAGGTTGTAAACTCACACTAAGGTGTCTGCATCAGGGGTTTCTGCTAAAATTACAGGGACCAAGGGACATCAAACAGTAAACCAATGCTCATTGCAGGGAGGTTTATGTTTAAGGCCTGTGGGATTCTTTACATTTTTTACTGATGGTCTTTTGACTCCATGTTACTTTCTTAAATCGCCATGAATGTGTTGGGTTGTGGGACCTGGCATCTGGGCAATTGGGTTTTTATTTCTTGTTGACCTGGTAGTAACATCCTCGATTTCATCTTCAGCCTCCCGCTTCCACCTCTATTTATTCCCCTTTTCTTCAGTTCTCATGTGACTCCAGCCTGCGCCTGCAGGGTAGTGGAGTGGGAGCTGGTGCACACTCATGGTTTTTATCAGTCTGAAGAACTATATTTATTGCTCTTCCAACTCCTAGCCTTGTTTTAACTTTTGCCTGCTCATTTGGTTTTTATTTTTACTTTAAAATTTGATCTTCAACTTCTAGGCTTTCCTCTGAATTTTTTGGCTCTAGTTTTTTTGTTTGTTCATTTAAACGTTTGTTTAAAAATCTCTTTTATTTCACCTATGTTTTTCTTCACTGGGGCTTTGAAATTATCTGACATTTAAATATTATCCTCCTGGGCAGGGCATGGTGGCTCACGCCTGTAATCCCAGCACTTTGGGAGGCTGAGGCGGGCAGATCACTTGAGGTCAGGAGTTTGGCCAACATGGTGAAACTCCGTCTCTACTAAAAATACAAAAATTAGCTGGGCGTAGTGGTGCACGCCTGTAATCTCAGCTACTTGGGAGGCTGAGGCAGGACAATTACTTGAACCCGGGAGGTGGAGGTTGCAGTGAGCCGAGATTGTGCCACTGCACTCCAGCCTGGGCTACAGAGTGAGACTCTGTCACAAAAAAAAAAAAAAAAAAAAAAAAAAAATTATCCTCCTTAATTTTAATTTTCCACTTACCTCATGGTTAATGTTTTTGTGTTAATCTCTTAACCTTCTCACCTTTCTTATCTATGTTTTATCTTCTCTTTTCCTCAGGAATTTACTTTTCATTTCTTTTTTTATTGGTTTATGCTTTTAAGACCACATTAGGTACCTGGGGAGATCCAGAACACTTCTTCGTAGTTTGGCCTGCAGTGGTCCTCTTGGGCCCCAGGCTCTTCTGAGAGGTCACTGTTGTATCCACTGAGGGTGCTTCCCTGCAGGAAGGCAGCTTCCCTGCGCAGGTTCCTGGGTTGTGGAACAGCGCACCTCCTGGCTGTCCCACCAGCACTTCTCGGAGATGAGCTCCTTGAGTGGGACCATGGATTCTGGGCAAATGGTACCCATTAGCATGTCCTGGACAGGAGGAAACAGATGGCCGCAGGAGGCCCCTGCTGCCTGCTTCTCTTCTGGTTAAATGGAGGAGGAGCCTCGGCCTAGCTCAGATGCCTTGCTCACACCCGATACTGCTCAGTTTCTTATCTCTAGCAGGGAAGGCTCCCCCACACCCACAGACCTTCAGCAGCCAAAGGAGGAAGCTGCCACCTTCCTACTAAGCAGGTGCAGGCAAGGGGACTCTTCTGCAGGCCACATTCACGGCTCCAGGCGCGCAGCAGAGTGTGGCAAGGGCTGGGTTCCTGGAGCTGGAGAGGGATGGGCTAGGAACAGAGCTTCCAACAAAGGAGGGGCCTTGTGCTGAGCTCATCACAGCTCCTTCCGGAAAAGCCCTGGTTCTCACCAGCCAGGGACAAATTGGTATTGAGTCTTATTTATTCCTCCTTCAGGAACCACGTGAGAATATAGATGATGAATCAGAAAGGTTCAGGCATTCCTGGTGCCCGGCTGTGTGTCTCAGCTCTCATCCCTGGGCAAGCCCTGGCAGCATCCTCTGGCCAGCAGGCAGCACGCTCCTGTGGGCAACAGGCTTGGCAGGCTGTGGGGGGAGGTCAGAGCCCAGGAGCAGTCGCAGCCTTAATGGACAGAGGTGGAGGATGGACCACCAGTAACTCAGAGGTGGACTGGGGCCCATTGCCCAGCTGGGAACGGCTGATGACGAAGTGTGTGTTGGCCAGCCTCCCTAAAAGCTCACTTCCCACTCCACTTCCAGTGCTTTCTGGCATCACTTCCCATGCAAGCTACATGCACCCAAATCACCCAAATCCTTATCTCAGGGGGCTTCTGGGGAGCCCATCTAAGATACCTGGGCACTCTTGCCAAATCCTTCCTTTATTCTAGAATCCCCTCATGACTAAATGAGCTCCGAGGCTTTCTTGCCCACTGCCCAGCTTCTCTGCCTGTGTGAGTGACTCAAACCTGCCCCTCACATGTGACTGGGGCCCACAGGGCTCAGGTATGCCTGGCTTTGGGAACCGATGTGGGACTGCCTGGGACCACAATAACACGGCTTGCCAGGTCCTGGAGGAGCCACTGCCCCGGACACCACTGCATCAGCGGATTTGAAATAAACCAGAGGGAACCCATGGGAGCTTTTATTTTAGATGTGGCCCATCCCAGATTAGGCCCACAGGGCCACAGTTCCATCCCAGTAGCAGGGCCAGGCTGGGCTTCCAGAGAAGGACCTTTTCTGGTGGACCTTAATAGGACTTCAAGAGAAACTTCAGAGTCTGAGATCTTATTGCTTCAGTTTTGAAAGAAAAAAATAACAGTGCCAATCCCCAAAGCACTGTCCACCCTCAGCTGTGGTGGCACCAGGGGGACTGTGGCCATGCTCTCCCTCTCTTTGGCGCTTGGGGGAATTTCTGTCTCCTAAACCTGGAGTGGTTTCCTGACAACTCAGACGTGGCATCACAGTCACACTTTCCCTTTTTGGGTATGTGGGTGTGCTGCCACCTGGCATGTGGCATAGTTAGATAGAGGTTTCACCTCATCTTATTCCACATGCCCCTTGTCTTATAACTTGCTAAGGATATGGATGGCTGGACAGACAGACTCTTACCTGGGCAATGGGTATGTTCTCAGCTGCAGCTGAGTTCACATTCATGGAAATTCCTCCCGGAGATTATTTATGAACCAGACCTGGCGGTGCCAAATTAAGGCACTTAGGATAAACTGGGGCCAGGACTTGAGAGTTGGTGGGAGCTAAGTCATACTCTTGGGGTCGGCACTGGAGGTTCAGCATTTGCTGTGACTCCTCTCTGATTCCTGCCATCCTGGCACCTATGTTCTGGACCAGTTACAAAGAAACCATTTCCCCTTAGCAGTGTTGTTTTCATGACTGCATCTAGCTACTACCAAACCACAGAATTTGGCAGAATAGGGAGAATGAGACAACTGAAAATGCTTCAACTCTTTTAATGGCATGTCTCTATTGTCAGGATTTTTTGCAACTTTGCTTCAAGTGCTGCAAGGGGAAAGTCTAGCATCCCACTTTCTATATTCGGATTTCTGATCTTCTAAAATAAGTCCCAGCTCCACTGTGCCCTGATGTCCAGGACTTGGTCTCCTAAGGAGAACACTGAGAGGCATCCAGACAGCATAAACAGCTGACCTGGGCGAGTGGAGTAAACATGAAGACAGCAAATATGGGCGGAAGCCACCTAAGATTGCCTAAGAATGAGGACCCAGTCTGCTCTGCAATTTAAATTTTATTAAAAATGTTGCAGTGCCATTTACAAAAACCCCAGAAGGGAACAATCCATGTGGATTCCTAAAATCCACCCCAATTTAGCTGCTAGGTTGAGTAAGGGGGGCAGATCTGGGGTTTGGATATGTAGGAGCCACTCTGAGCCCCCCTCTTCCCCGCTGAGGGGGTCCTAAACGCCAGTGAGTCCAGAGGATGACCGCCTCTGCCCACCAGGCCTGACCTCAGACAAATATGACACCCTGGGCATCTTCCTTCTCCTTGAGAGAATTTCCCCAGGGCTCCCCTGGCTGCGCACCCTTGGCTGGTTTTCCTGCTTCCCAATGACTTCTCAATGACTCTTTGCCAGGTCCTCTCTTCAGCCTTTTCCAGCTCATCTCCCTGTAGCCCGCGGTGCCACCTACCTACCCTGTGCCGATGACCACTCAGCTAGCAAGCTGGACACGCACAGACCCTCTGCTGGCTCCTCACCCACCACGTCTGTGAACAGCCCTGCCGCGGCTCACCTGGCCTTGCCCCACACCTGGGATCTGTTCACCACCTCCTCCATGAAAATCAAAGCATCAACAAGTCCTACTGATTCTTCCCCCTTGTCACCCTGGACCAAGCTACCATCCTCTCACCCAGGCCACTTCAACGATTTCCTAGTTGCTTCCCCACATCCTTACTGGGCTATTGCAGCAGTCACAGGGTCTTTCAGATGGGGAACTGATTCTGTGACAGCTCTGCAGGAATTCTTCAGTGACCCAGCTCCCGGGGCACAGACCAAAGGCTTTTGCGTAGCTCATGAGAGCCAGCATATGCCAACCCCCGTTTAGTCTCCGTCTCAACTCTGACATCTCCCAACTCTCTATGTTCCCTCGTGACTGGCCTTCTTTGAAGTAGAAGCTGTTCTTCATGAGCTACAGATTTTAAAGTTTGGATCCGGATTCATTCTGAAGAAAACTGAAAACTAAGAACATCCATGCTCCACCACAGGGACAATACAGCCTCAGGTCCCAGCCCCCAGGCAGCCTCCGAGCCACAGATGGAGACCTAGAGCCAGGGTGAGGGTGGCATCCAGAGAGGGCCAAGGGAGCTCAGTCGGGCTTGTTTGGGCTTGGGTTTCCTTCGCTGCATCTCTGTCCTGTCTTTCCCTGTTTTCTTTCCAGGGGTTCCTTTAAGCCTTTTTGCTACGCATAGGGTCTCTTTATTATGTGCGACTTCATTGCTCCCCGGGCTACCTATGCCACAATCTACACTGCAGTGAAACAAGCCATCAGATAGCCACACCAATGAAAGTCCGCAAAGCATAAAACTGCTCTCCTGGCTGGGCGCGGTGGCTCACACCTGTAATCCCAGCACTTTGGGAGGCCGAGGCGGGCGGATCACGAGGTCAGGAGACCAAGACTATCCTGGCTAACACGGTGAAGCCCTGTCTCTACTAAAAATACAAAAAATTAGTCGGCGTGGTGGCAGGTGCCTGTAGTCCCAGCTACTCAGGAGGCTGAGACAGGAGAATGGCGTGAGCCTGGGAGGTGGAGCTTGCAGTGAGCCAAGATCATGCCACTGTACTACAGCCTGGGCGAAAGTGTGAGACTCCGTCTCAAAAAAAAAAAAAAAAAAAAACCTGCTCTCCCTGGATCCCACGGATCTGCTTTGTAAGCAGCAATCCTCATGAAATGTCTTCAATCCAGTCATTCAACAAGTCATGCCCGAGTACGCACCCTGCAGTAGGCGCTGGGGGTGGCAGGGAAGCAGCCAGAAGAAGCCTGTGTTCTTGTGAAGCTCACACTTGACCTAAAGATGAGAGGCAGATCATGAGCTCAATGAGTGAGTTCTGCAGATAAGAGCTGTAGGAAAGTTAGCACAGGGTCAGGGGGATTGGAGTGCCAGGGGGCTGAGATCATGAGCTCAATAAATGAGTTCTGCAGATAAGAGCAGTGGAAAGCTAGCAAAGGGTCAGAGGGACTGGAGCGCTGGGGGGCTGGGGAGGCATTCCCATTGGGGGATTTTGGGGGTGACGCTCATTGCTTCTATGAGAACTCTGCATCCCGTATCAGAGCAAAAGTAGACGAGCTTCTCCTGAGCCCCTGGTCTATTTTTACCGCGTGGACACTGTGAGTCATGCTGCTGATTGTGTCTCCCTCTCAGCACTGCTGCTGAGCACACAGCCAGCTCTAGACACCAAAATATATTTGAGGTGCTCACCTCCCTCTTGGTGTGATCTCATTTTTCCTGATCTTTTTCCTCCACCTTGTTAGGATCATCTGTGCATTTAGTTAGCTGGTTATATTGCCACCTGTCCGCCCTGCCTTGCGTGATAAGTACCGTGCAGAAGGAACGCATCCCCAGCTATATTTCCAGGCATTACAAGCCGCCTTCTGGCAGGGGACGCCTGCCTTCCCCCACAGTCCTCAGGAAGGAGCAACAGAGAAGAAGGAATGAGAAGAATGAGGGCACAGTCTGCTTCCCAAGCTCAGCTGAAGACCACAAAGCTTCTGAGACCCTGACCATGAATCTGTCCATTCACGCATCCCAGATAAAGGGCCCTTGAAACTTGGAAGTGTGATGGGCTTCATGCTATGACATCTTGAATGATCACTGAACATAATTGTGCCAAAGTTCGTATCTACTTAATTTCCCAGAGTTTAAAGCAGAATTAACATAAATGCAAAGACAAAACTCCCACGTCAGCGCTCTGCTTTCCAGACACGTCAGCAGGCACTGTATGAATCAGTACTGTCACTCTTCTCTTCTTCAGTGACCTTTGTATTTTATTTCCTTTAACAGAGAGGACAGCCCCAAGGCCTTCACACCATCCTAACCAGAAGCCAAATGGCAATGCACTTGGAGGATGTGCATTTGATCCAGAAAAGCAAATTAGCATGTTCTTAACAAAGATTTGAATGGGACATCCATGGAATGACACTAACTCTTAAAAATCACTAAAATAGCTTGCTTAAAAGTCACTGAAATAGCTGCCAGGGTCAAATAAATGATTGTTTCAAAGTCATTCTTTCCCAGAACTCTGCAGGGAAGATTCAAGGGTGAGGATTCTGAGAGATTCTGTCTCCCTGACATTCATTCCTGTCTGTGCCCGGGGTATGATTCATCCTGGAGAGGCCAGGACGATGCTCTGTGAATCAGAGCAGCACTGATGCACAGGCAGAGATGCTTCCCAAGAGACACTGCCTCCCACGTGACACTCCAAGCCCTGCTCGCCACTTGTCCTGGACAGGATTCACTTAGTGATGGGGAGAAAGCAGATGACGCAGAACAGGCCTGCTGCTTCCACAAGGCTATGACTCCTGCATCCAGGATGATGCCCAAGACCTCCCAGAAGCTGGCCCTGCGACGAGGATCTGAGTGCACTTGGGAGGTGGTTCCAGAAAGCACTGGGTAGGGGCAAGAAAGGTAGGGAACAGAAAGAAGGTGAGGGGTATGTGTGGTTAAGCCAGTTGCTGCTGCCAGTGGCTGGGGCTCAGCCCTGTGGGAACGTCTAGGGGACTGTATAGGACATTCACTCACAGCTATCAGGACAGGGGCATCTTCCCAGCAACGTCCTGCCCGCCACTGGCCAAGGGCTGCTCGTGGGCCATTCGTTCTCGGCCCTTAGCTTGCCCTGGCATGGGCAGAGCAGTCTCCCCTTGCTGGAAAAGAATCCCCAGGAAAAAGGCCACAGGTGTCAGCCAGAAGCAGCTCGGGGCCTGCAGAGGTGAGTGCCCAGTGGGTACACCTGGGGCACCGGCCTTACTTGCTCTGATGCATAAAACTCTCCTGGATGAGACACCACAAGTGGGTGCTTCTTTAACTCTGTAAGACAGAGTCTAGTGCATGACAGATGAATAATATCGGAAGCACAGGGACTAAGCTTACCATGAAATACGTAATAACCCCCTGTGACATGGACATTCTATAACTACCCCCATTTCCAGAAGAGGGAACAGAGGTACAGAGAGGCAAAGTATGTCACTGATGGTCACACAGCTAATAAGTGGCAAGGCTGGAATCTGAACCCAGCCGGTGTGGCCTTGGGACCTCTGTCCCCAGTCCCTACTCTATATAGCTTCCCATCAGAAATGCAGCCACATAAACGGCTGGGCACAGCACAGCTTAGGGCCTGAAATAAGCTTGAAGGGTGATCAACGATATCCGTGAACTGGATTCACAGATTCGATCCATGGAATCCACTCCTGCTGCTCAGAGCACCTCACACGTGCTATCTTCGCTGTCATCCGGGGCTACTGCCCTGTGCATGCTGCAGAGGATATGGAAGCTACAGGTACGACATTTAGGTCCCAGAGGAATCGCCATCTTCAAGAGTTTTAGTAGATTATAAGTAGAAGTACAATCTGCAAAGCAAAGCACACCCTACATATGTAAAGTACAAAATAACCTTTATAATATAAAAAAATAGATGGAATATGTAAATATGCTGTCTACATAGGTAGATAGATGTTATCTACATAGGTAGATAAGTAGATAGATAGGTAGATTTCTTTTCCTAAAAGCTTCAAATTATTTTAGTATGCTTGCCAGTTTGAGGAAATATCTTTTTTTCAAGTTTCATTTCTTGTGTTTTTTAGTGTTTATACGGTAGAGTTGGACAGCTACCCCACTTCTGTTTTCAATATTTCTTCACTAGTTAGAAAACTTTCCCTCAGGGCTTCCCCAGAGTTCTGCATACACCTTGTCAGCCTAAGATCATAAATGCAATTTATTTTGCTTTATGAGGAATGAATCTTCCACAGTACATGCTTCCAAATATAAATCCCACACTCTGCAGTGTCCTCCTTGGTCAGGCAGGTCACTGATATTCCAATGGACATGGCTGACAGGACCATCATTTTAAAAGCTGAGCTTTAACTAAGCATGTTGTGGAGCCAGACGTGAGGTCAAGTCTAAAGAAAGATGCTGTGGTGTCTGCACACAGCAGTGCGCTTGGGTTTTACGATCTGTAACAAGCATGGCACACATCACTTGAATTAAGACAGAAGGAAAAAAAGAAGAAAGAGAGAGAGAGAAAGAAAAAAGAAAGAAAGAAAGAAAGAAGAAAGAAAGAAAGAAAGAAAGAAAGAAAGAAAGAAAGAAAGAAAGAAAGAAAGAAAAGAATCTGCTTTTGTTTTCCAACTAGAAACAGCCAACTCTCTAAGTTGATACTGAAATGCCTGAACAGCCCAATGTTTTGTGGAAACTCATGGAAAAAGGATGAAAACAACACTCGATAGAAAAGGACTCCATCCTTTCTTTGGCAACATAGAAGGTATTTCTATTTTTTCTGCCATTTTCTATCAACGATTTCTGTGAATTATATTTATTCACTTTTAAAGAAACATAGGAATCACATTTGGCATCATTTAAAATGCCATTTGAGAGATATACATGCATAAATCAAACATCACCATCACCGAGAGGACTAGGGATGCTAGCAAGTTCTGGTGCTTTTGTCGACACAGACGCACAGAAACTGAGTCTGGAGTCTTTGGCAGCAAACCCACAGTCTGGACACGGCTGGCTGGCTGTGGCCTTTTTTGGGTTCCCTTTCCTGATGCCCACCTTTGGGCCATTTCACTTCTCACTAAATCCGGGGAGATGAGTGGGTACGGAGTGAGCAGTGATGGCACTTCTCAGTGTAGCTATTTGCATTAGAATCGTGAAAATTACTGGCATGATTTATAAGGCATCTATTACCCCACTCCCTTGGCTGATAATCAGGAATCAGCCTTACATATATTGATATGAACTATGTATAAAGATTTTCATTGTGTTGTATAGAATTTTTACATGATGGGAGCGTGTTCACTCCTTGCCTTACCAAGGATGCTTTTGCTTTCCTGCTTTCTCTCCCACCAGTGAGCAGCCTCTACCCGGGCAGGGCATGGAGAATGGCTGTTTGGACAGTTAGGTTCTTGGCAAAGCCAGTGAATCTGGACAGGTACCGACCGACTCAGTCCGTACATGTCACTTCTAGTCCACATTAGTTGCTGTAAGTGTTTATGCCATCAAAGGTTGGCGCATGTTGGTAGTTCTCTCATGTTCATAGGTAAACATCCTAATTGTCATTTATGGATGTATGCAGTGCAGCCTTGCCTGGGTAGCAGAGTAGGGTGGTGGTGAATATGAGTTAATTATCCTTCCACACTGCCAGAAATAACTGTGCCACTGGGCCTGAGAATGAGAACATAAAACCTCATGTCCTATTCCTCCTCTGACCACTTGTGGCTGAACTGGATCAGGAAAGATTCCCATCTTTCACTAGGCTGAGCGCAGTGGCTCACGCCTGTAACCCCACCACTTTGGGAGGCTGAGGCGGTTGGATCACTTGAGGTTAGGAGTTCGAGACCAGCCTGGCCAACATGGTGAAACCCCATGTCTACTAAAAATACAAGAATTAGCTGGGCATGATGCTGCACACCTGTAATCCTAGCTACTCGGGAGGCTGAGGCAGGAGAATCACTTGAACCTGGGAGGCAGAGTTTGCAGTGAGCCGAGATCGTGCCACTGCACTCCAGCCTGCACTTGCGACAGCTAGACTCCGTCTCAAAACAAACAAACAAACAAACAAAACAGGAGAAACTAGTGCCTACTGAGAGTCTACTGACTGGTGTAGCCACTGGGGAAAACAGTTTCTCAAAAAATGGAAACTCGAACCACCCTATGACCTGGCAATCCTGCTTCTGGTTGTGCATCTGGATGCCGCACACCCGTGTTCCCTGCAGCATTCTTCATAACAGCCAAGGCATGGAAGCAGCCTAAGGGCCCACTGATAGGCAAATGAAGGGAAAAAAGGTGGTGTACATGCCACGGAACACTGGTCAACCTTACGAAAGAGGGAAATCCTGACCTCTGTGACATGGACAAGCCTGAAGGACATTATGCTAAGTGAACACAGCTACACACAAGAACACATCTACATACATGACATGAGGAATCCTGAAGGACATTATGCTAAGTGGAACACGGTTACACACAAGGACACATCTACATATATGACATGAGGAATCTAACATAGTTAAACTCACAGCAGCAGAGAGTGGAATGGTGGCTGCCAGAGGCAGGGAACGGGAGATGGGAATGGGGAGGTGTTGGTCAAGAGGCACAAAATTTTGGTTATACAAAATGACAAAGTCCTAGCAAGCTACTGTGCAGCTCAGCGCCTATGGCTAACGTAGAAATTTAAAGGACAAAATTTTAATATACACTTATAATATACACTATATAATATACACTTATAATTTTGCTAAGAGGGTAGACCTTATGTTAAGTGTTCTTATCACAAATACTACTACTAATAATAATAAATAAATGGGGTGGGAGGAAGCTTTTGGAAGTGATGAATAGTGATGAAGTGATGGCACAAAGTATGTTGATGACTCCAGGGGTGTACACTGAGGTCCAAACTCCTCAAGTTGCATACGTTAAACACGCACAGCTTTTTGTGTGTCAGTCAAACTTCAGTAAAGTCAGCTGACTTGTTTTTGTTTAAAGGCTGGGCTGTGAGATCAGCATGTGGGAAACCACCCTGGAATGAGGGCTGTGAGATTCTAGTGTTTATTTAAATAACCTGCCCAGGCCTTTGGCTGATGGCCAAGTCTGCTCTATATGACAGCCTGTGTTGAGATTCCAGTGTAAGATCATGGGTCTGGACAATCCAGGTTGAAAGAGCTCTTTACTGTCAGCACTTAGCCATTGTTTTCCATCTCCTTCAGGCAGAAGTGGATCCACAGATCACATATAAAACCAGAATAGTGCATGATCTTCAAATACACTCTGGGGCCATAAGCTAAGCTCTGCTCTTCAGCCCCTGTAGCTGACATTCTTCACTAGCTCCTGGTTTTTCTTTTTAACAGCAATGGGCCCCAGGGTTGCCTAGAAGCCCTTGTATCCATTTAACTTTGGGCAGAGACCCCAGGTTCGTGAAGAAATGCTCCTTTTCCATCTGTTCTTACCTCCCCTCTGTATGGCATGGGCAGTACAGTGCACATAGAAGACTAGTTCAATCCCTTCCAAGACCCCAACTGCGCTGAAATCTAAGAAGCCCATTTGTGATTTAAAAGAAAATACTAAATTAAGAGAAACCGAGGCCAGGCACAGTGGCTCACACCTGTAATCCCAGCCCTTTGGGAGGCCAAGGTGGGCAGATCTCTTGAGGCCAGGAGTTCAAGACCAGCCTGACCAACATGGTGAAACCCCATCTCTACTCAAAATACGAAAATTAGCCGGGCTTGGTGGTACACACCTGTAGTCCCAGCTACTCGTGTGGCCAAGGCACAAGAATTGCTCGAACTGGGAGGCGAAGATTGCAGTGAGCCGAGATCGCATCCCTGCACTCAGCCTGGGCAGCACAGAGAGACCCTGTCTCAAAAACAAACAAACAAACAAACAAAAAACACATAAACAAACAAACAAAAGAAAAGAAAAAGAGAGAAGCAGAAAAAACTTACTTGATTCACAGGGCCTGGACATCAATCATCTCATTTCAAATATGTAAGAACAGAAGAATAAAATTCTGATAAAATTCTATCTCCTAAGATAGATATGAGCTAGCAATGAAATAGTAAATTAAGCAAATGGTATTAGTACTACTGTGAAGATATAAAACTCTAATAAGCCTACTAAGGCTGGATCTAGAAACTCAAAGGTACCAGGAGGATTTTGAGGGGGAAGGCATAGAAATTGAGAATTAGAAATAGATAAAAATTACATCACTAAAGAAAAAATAAGGATAAGAAAAATCTTAAATATTTAAAGTACAAAAGTGAAAGCCAACAGATCTTTTTTTCTCCCCCAGCTCTGGGTATATTGTGTCAGGGGATATAGTGCTTTAGTGTCAGGATAAGCTTTACTGTAGATCTGGGAAAGGAAACTAGTATTTACCACACTGTGCTGTGTATTTTCACATACGTTATCCCAAGTGATCATCTCACTAAGCCAAGTAGAAATGAATTATGATGCCCATTTTAAAGATGAGAAAACAGATGTTCAGAAAAAAACAAAACAGTATCTTGCCCTGCATTACAAACCTGGTCAGTAAGAGTTACACCCAGGTGTGCCCAATGCCAAAACCCACATTTATTCCACTATAGAAACCCATGCTTTTAGAATCAAAAAGGATAAAATCTTAAGGAATTAAATTTAACAAAAGAAATGAAACATTTGTCTGCTGAGAGCTACAAGACATCTCATTGGAAGAAATCACAGAAGACCTAAATATATGGAGAGATATCCATGTTCATTAACTGGAAAACTGAGTATCATTAGACGGCAACACTTCTCAAACGCAGCCATAGATTCAGTGCGGTCCCATCAGCACCACAGCTGGCGGAACGGACAAGTGTATCGTCAAATTAACATTTACGGGGAAAAGCGAAGGATGGGTTCCCTCTCTTGCTGCTCCTGAAACATGCAGTCAACCCCAGTTTTTAAAAACAGAAATATGGCCAGGCTTGGTGGCTCACGCTTGCAATCCCAGCACTTTGGGAGGCCGAGGCGGGCTGATCACGAGGTCAGGAGATCGAGACCATCCTGTCTAACATGGTGAAACCCTGTCTCCACTAAAAATAACAAAAAATTAGCCAGGCGTGGTGGCAGGCACCTGTAGTCCCAGCTACTCGGGAGGCTGAGGCAGGAGAATGGCGTGAACCCAGGAGGCGGAGCTTGCAGTGAGCCGAGATCGTGACGCTGCACTCCAGCTTGGGCAACAGAGTGAGACTCCATATCAAAAATAAATAAATAAATAAAATAAAAATAAAAACAGAAATAATAACTACCTCCATTTCTCAGGCAGTTCTCTTTGCCCAGCATTTGGCCAGGGCGTTGGCCCACCTCACCAATGTGATCCCATGTGAGTACCGTCAACTTTAGAACTCAATTACTCTCGTTTTGTGCATGAAGAGAGTGAAGTCCTAGCCCTAGGACTTGATCCTTGTTCTGTCCAAATAAATCCCCAAGGCACTTTTCTAAGGGGATGTTCTCTGGCATGTTTGTTCCAGCTATGCACATTGCTGCTGGAGGCTGGGTTGCGAGTCAGCATCTCAGGGAAAGGTGGATCAGCACAGCCGCCCTCCTGGCCCCAGACCACAGGCTACATTCCCAGACTCGCTGCCATTGCATGACAGAGAATCCGTCAGCTCGGGGAACTGGATGAAGCGGGCTGGGACTGGTAACTGGGGTGATGCCTGAGGGATAAACTGGGGTGCGGGTGGCCTTGGATAAGTGTCATGTGCAGTGAATGGGGAGGTGACCCTCTAAAAGCCGCCAAGTGGCTGGCCTCCAGCAAGCCAGGGGCAGACTAGAGGGCAGGTCAGAAGTGAGCTGAGGGCCTGGAGGGTAGTCCTGTCTTCTGAAACAGCTGACAAGAAATCCACCCTCCCTTCTGATGTCCCTGAGAATGTCATAAAAGTGGGTCACAAAGTTTAAGTGGCAAATCCCACCCTAGTAGAGGAACATGGCCATTGTACTGCATCGTATCCTTGTCTTAGTTTAAATTTACAGTGTTAAGCATAATAAATACAGCTGTCAATGACCATGACTACCGCAGATGCATTAGTGACTGTTCTTGTAACTGAGTTCTACCTTTTTAACTGACCAGGGCATGGTTATAGATTGAATGAGAACCCTGGACCTGGACTGAGGTAGTAGGAGTCACTCCTGACAGAGGGTCCTACATTAATGCAAAAACTCAGAGGGCTGAGGAGGCCCTGCACCCTGCCAGGGCACCAAGTGCATTTCTGGGCCTCCCTCAGAGGGGAAGAAGGCCACCAGGTCCTCTCTCAGTACATGGGGAAGGCTGGAGGTGCCTGTCACGTCTGAGGTCCCTGAAGCCAGCACAGCAGGGGTTCCTCTGGGTAGTCAGGCCAGCCTTCTGCAGGGCAAAGGGACAGGGTGAGTAGGGTGGCCCCTCAGGGCCCCGGTCCCTGCTGCCTCCAGTCCTGCCCACCCTCCCGGCCACATGCACCTCTCCCGGGGGGGTCTGTTCCCTGCATCCTGTTCCTCCTCATCCCTCGGGGCTCAATTTCACAGATGTTTGGTGGCACCAGTCCCCCAGGAATGAGTGATGTCAGCACCAGGCGCCCTGTCCATTCACCCACCACTGCCTACGCCACTCTCTGTGACTTCAGTGCCCACCCAACGTGCTAGCTTCTCGAGCTCGTCACGCCCCACTTCGATGATCTCTCCTGCTGCTCCTCCTGAGCCATCCACTCCCACAGTCACCCTCGGACCCGCCAGCTCCTCTAGCTGTGTGGTTCTAAGGCCACTCTTCTCAGCATTCCTCCCTGCTCATGCCCCCAGCAGCTTCCCTGACACTGTGCGCTCAATCCTCCATCCTTCACTATCTTCCCTTACACCACAAGTCCCACACATACTGCCCTGCTGTGCTTCTCAATCTGCACTCAGTGATCCAGTCCTCGGCCATGCGCGCCGCCCCGCCCCCGGCCCTCTTCCCTGCCCCTGTACTTTGCTGGTGAAGCCTCTGCTGTGTTCAAACCCAGTTCTCTCCCAGATCCTCCCTCCCCATACCCAGCGAGCAGGGGTGTGGCCGGGATGCAACCAGCCGAGCTGCCAGAGCCAGGGATCTCAAAAGGCCAGTATCCGCGGCTCTGTCCCCAGCTTCCAGGGCTGGGTCTCCTCCTCTGGGCCTCCACACGTTGGGATGACTCCAAGACCCTTCCTTTATCTTTTCTTCCTTCTCTCACTACCTACTGAGCTTGGCCAGCCGGGGGGCTCAGTGCTCTTCCAATGCTGGTGGTGACTCCAGCACCCGGCCATGCCTCCCCTCTGAGCTTGCGGCTGCCCAATGGTCCCCTGAGGGTGGGGGTAAAGCTCCTCACACTACAGTGTCAAAACAGAGCTCTGCTCCTCCTCCACCACCCTCCACTGCTCACCAACTCCACTGAGCATTTGAGCATCTTCTAGGTGCTAGATTTCAGGCCCAGTTGACAGAGCAGTGACAAAACCAGACAAAAACCCTCTCATGGAGCCTGCAACTCAAAACCTTCAAGGATATTTAATATTGGGGAAGATGTAGTTAAAACAAATCTACTTAAACCAGTAAGCAAACTTCACCACAGTGTGTGTACCTGCATGTGTGCATGTGGATGTGTGTGTGCCCATGTATGTGTGTGTACCTGTGTATGCCCATGTATGTGTGCGTACCTGTGTGTGCCAAGCATGTGTGTGCCCGTGCATGTCTGTGTGTGTCCACATGTGTGTGTGCATGCGTGTTTCCATGCCTGTGCATGGATGTGTGTGCACGTGCATGCTTGTGTGCCCATGCATGTGGATGTGTGCACATGAGGGCCAGTTCAGCTTCATGCCAATAAAGGAAACCCACAACTAGGAAAGTGAGTTCATTTAGCTTTTCACATTACTTGGATTATAAGTATGTGCTAATTGGAGTGAAAAATGATCAAGTGTCATTTAGGTTTGCTTGTGTAATTTTTCCAACGAAATTGACTTTGACAGAAACAGGAAAGAGAATGACTTATGCAGAAATATTCAAAGGTTTCCCTAAATTTTCTGAGGGCATCTCAATATTTTGATGGCCTTGAATTTCAATATCCCTTACCTGCCTGAAGCCTTGTAGATTTTCTCTTCTCCAGTCATTAGTGAAATTAGCACAACAGGATCATCACCACCAATGCTTCAATCTCACACAAAGCCATGCCCAGCATCACGTGCATCAGCACCTTGAATTCCTGCCACTTTCCAAAATGTGTCAGTTCTTTTGCTTAGAGGATTTGGCTTTCAGGTTGAAGGGCAGAGTTGGACTTTGGCTGGATGCAGGGAGAGGCAAGGCAAAGGGGAAGGAAGATGGAGAAAGGGGGATGGGCGTGCAGGTGGTAAGCTGGGTGCTGGGCCCCTCCCCTGGGCAGCCCTTTGGCCTTATAGGCCCCTCACACTCCAGCAATGTAGCGGGGGAAGGAGGGGTGGAGGGGGCGGTTGTGGGGACTGCACTAAGGATCTAAGGACCCCACCTGAAGCTGCTCTTCTTACACTCTCTCCCCACCTCAGGGCTAGGTGGGGGATTATGCAAACCTGGCTCAAGCCAGCCTCTGAAGAAAAGAGAAGGCAGTGCTGTCCTTTATCCTGCAGGGGAGCCACCGTGAGGTTTTGTTTTTCCTTTGAAACTTGGATGTTTACCAAAGTCTTTCCCAAGATAGATGACAATGCACATGTCCCCTGTGGTGGCCAGCAGCTGATCTCGAACCAGACAGCAGAGGCGGCGGGGCCGAGCCTACCCTCCTCATCTCCTAGCCACCCCTTAGCAACTCTCGCTGAAGGCCAGGCTCAAGGGCTGCTTTCTGTGTTCACTGTGGCTACTTGGCAGAGCCCCAACCCTGACAAGAAACCAAAAGCCCACCAGAACAGCGAAAAGTGGGGGGCACATTCCAAGGGGGTGTGGAGAGAAGGCTCTCCCCAGCGTCCCTGCGGTGCCTGGAGTTTCACTGTGGACACGGACGCGACAAGATGGGAGGATCTGTTCACACGGAGCCGGCCGGGGGCCTCTTGCCTGGGTCACCTGTTAGTGGGGTCCTCTCAGCAGGCGTGTGCCTGGCTCTGCCTAGGGCACAGGCCTGCTTCAGTCCTATTTTCATTCTTTCCACCTGTCTTCAGCATTTCTTGTTCTTGTATTTTTTATGGTTTTTGTTTTGTTTTGCTTTTGTTTCCAAAGAGTACTTGCATTGAAGGAAACGATCAGCTTCCTGATGGAAGGTCCTCATTTTCCATTTTGTTTTCTTCCCAGAAAGTGCATGACACAAATCTTGATGTGCCCAGGAGCCCAGAGACTTATGACTTAGTGAAATGTCTTCAAGCATAACCATACTTTTAATTTCCTCCAGATACTCCAAAGTGCTGTCAAGCTAGTGTCCTTTGCTGGTGTTACAGTTGGATTTTCTACTTTGCCATTTGACTGTAAGGTCAGTGTCAGTGTTGGGTCTGCACCTGGAAGCCACTGAGGGAGGTACATGTCACATCCCCTGGCATCAGGAACGTGACGGACCTTGTCCTGGGTCTGCTATGGGGATGGTGACAAGGCAAATCCCTCCTGCAGCAGGGCATGCTGCTCACCCTGTGCGCAGCTGTGCCCTGGGCCAGGCCCTGCGCTGTCAGAATCAGGAGCTAATAACATCAAGGCAATAGCATCTGAGGCTCGCCACTCTTTCATCTTCTGCACCTGTCAACCTACGGCAAGTGAATTGGCGTTGTTCGGACATGACTGGCCCTGCAAAAAGACTTGAGCATCCTGTCCTCTCCTGGCTGCTCTCCCAGCCTGTACAGACCTCTGTTCTCCAGGGGCAACCCTTACTTTGTTTTATTAAGTATTCCACGAGTCACCACTTGTGCCTTCAAAGAATTCCCAAAATGGATCGCGGCTGACCTCACACTCATTGGAGCCAACTGGTTAGCATCTTAAGGACTGAGGCAGTGGTGCTTGCTATTGAAACATATTTTCTGTATGTTTTACTATCAATCCCATAAGGGTTATTGCACGCCATGGCGCCTGTCCTTTCCTGACCCTGGACCTCAAAGGCCGACCCTTACCTGCCACAGCAACCAGACGCACGAGGAGCTCCAGGGGCCACGACTCCATGGCACCTCCCTAAGTGGGCTCAGTACTGCCGCTGGGCTCTAAAATGTTGGCCCAGGCCTTCTCCTCTGGGATTTACTTCCTCCCTGGCTCCACCTCCACTCACACTGGTGCAAATTTCCAGACTGTGGGGCTTGGCTTGCTGATTGACATCTGCCTGCCCTCCTCTGTGCTGCCCTGGAGCCTGGCGCTTCCAGGTTCCTAGCAGAGCTTCACCTGCCATATGAAGGGCCCCGATCAGCCCATTCCCTGGTGCTAGCCTTGGCTGAGGCCCCACATAAGGAGTCCTAGCCACAGCTGTCATGCCGGCCCCTGCTTCGTGACAATCCTGCTGAGCACTGCACATCTCTCATCCAGGTAATTGCCCCGACGACACCATGGAGGGGTAACTGGCGTGCTCGCTTCATTCATAAGGAAACCGAGGCACAGAGAGGTTGAATGATCTCCCAAGGGCTAGGGGCGAGCCAGGGTCCAAGCCCGGGCACATTGGCAGCAGAGCCCCAGATACAACCTTCTTTATGCCTAGCCCCTTCCACTGCCCACTCCAGCCCCAAACCACCTTTCCCATGAGGACTGTGACTTGGTTTCCCCTCCTCTAGGCCTCTCCTCATTTCCAAACTGCCAAGAGCAAATCCCATCCTCATGGGCTCATAGGCAAGGCATAACTGCTATTTTAGGTGAAATAGCTCTCTATAAATAAAAATCAAGAAGCCGCAAAGACGAGCTTTACATAAAGTACTCTGGGAACTGTGATCTGCGTGTTCCTCATTCAGGCATGGAAACACACTGATCCCTCCATGACAAACCAGACCCGCAGAGGCACTCCGCTGGGCCTTCTGCCCTGCCCCTGTCACTGCCCACAGCATGTGGATGGAACAGGAAAGGGTGCAGGGCCCCAAAGGTATCCTGGAGGGTGCCTCTCTGGCCCCTGTCCCTGGCTGCATACTCCCCTGCCTCTCTCTTCTGTTATTTGTGGGAGCAGATGTGGTGGATTCAGCTCGGGGGCCACACACAGATGGCACCCTCACCCTCACCAGATGAATCTGGGGCTCCTATGCACTGCAGCACCAGCGGCCAGGCCTGCTTGGTGATGACACAAAACAGCCCACAGGGCTTCTTAACGCACTCCAGTGGCTGTGATCAGAACTTCTGGTTCTTGACTTGCTGCTCGAGTCTGTCCCTGAACCGCACACTGTCCTTTGGCTGGAGGCCCCTGGCTCCCCAGTGGCAACTCCCTCCTCCCTCCATGCCGCAGTGACATTCACAGAGGTGGGAGGTTACTGTTCAGGTTATAAGTGTGCCTGTGTGTGCATTTCTGTGTCCATATAAGTGTGTGTGGTGAATGTATGTCTGTTTAAGCATGTGTGTGTGCATTCATGTATGTGTCTGTGTGTGGTCATGTGACTGTGGTGTGTGCCTGTGTCTGTGCCTGTCCCTGTGAGCATGTGTGTGCATGCATGTGTACGTGTGTGTGCATGTATCTGTGTCTATGTGTCCATGTGTCTGTGTGTCCATGCACGTATGTGTCTGTGTGCATGTGTCTGTGTGTGCATGTATCTATGTGTCTGTGTCCATGTGTCTGTGTGCACATGTGTCTGTATCTGTGTCCACATGTCTGTGTGTGCATGCATGTATCTTGTGTGTGTGTGCATGAATCTATATGTGTGTCCATGTGTCTGCGTGTGCCTGCATGTGACTGTGCCTGTCCCTGTGAGCACGTGTGTGCATGCATGTGTGTCTGTGTGTGTGCATGTATCTACATGTCGGTGTGCATGCATCTATCTGTGTCCATGTGAGTGTATGTGTGCATGTGTATGTGTGTGTGCCCCCATGAGTGTGGGTGTGTGCATGCGTACAGATGGGAAGGTGGCCTCCACATTTCTAGAACACTGCCTTCTAAAAGAAGCTGGATGTTCATTTCTGGGTCAGGACACCTGCAGGAATCTCAGCCTCCACAGGAGCTTAGACTTGCCAAGACCAAGGGACAGGGCTCAGCCACAGTGGGGAAATGATGACTAACAGGGGAAGAGGCTTTTCACATAGAACAGGAGGAAAATCCTGACCCCAGGACCAATGCCCCATTCCAGAGCTGTGGAGCGAGGCGTGTCCCTTTCCTCCGAGCGCCCGGGGATGCTCTGGCACCAGGCCTGGCATTAAAGACATCAGCAGATACTGGAGAGGTGTTTCAGCTGAGAGTCCAGGCAGGAAATGTATTCCATATTTAACTTCTGTCCTGTGAAACACTCACACCTTGGTCCCACTGAGCTCATCAATGAGACACCGTGGGCCTGCCTGGGGTATAGAGTTCTTGGCAAAGGCTGAACAAACGAGGACTCACCTTTCTTGGGCAAGAGCCAATGTGATGCCCAGGGACGGCTCCTCTGGTGTCCACACCCTCTGGCTCCAGCAGGACAAAAGAATTCTGTCCTTCATCAGTTTGTGCCTGGAGCCTGCAGAAGGGCTTGAAGCAGATGAAGTGTTCCCTCTGCTCCCCACTCTGGGGCTTGTCCAGCTGGTCTACCATTGTTGTCGGCACACCACCAGGTAGTGAGAGCTACAGTGAGTTACAAACAGACGTGGAGCACTGAAGAGAAGTGGGGGCACCCCACAAGGCACTGGGCGAAGCACTTTGTATGTGTGCACAAATGGGAAACGTCTGTTTGGCTCTCACGTCTGGTTCACTGTGAATGCAGTGCCTCGCATGGTGCCTTGCCTTTTACCAGGGCCAGGATCCCGGCTGAATTATTTCCCACACTTCCTCTCTGCAGGAGCAATAAATGACCAGCTGAATTCCCTTCCAACGTTTACTCAAGGGCTATATTGTTGAGTGTAAATATAGAGTATTATGCAGAGATATTTCTAGTCCATTTTTTTCTAGCCATGTGTTATTACTTGTTGTGTAACCAATCACCCTAAGAGTTGGTGGGTTAAAATGGAGTCATCTCATTTTCTGGGTTGACAGGTGAAGCTGCGCTGGGATGCTTGATTCTTGGCTGGTCTCTCCTGGGGTCACTGATGAAGCCGCAGTCAGCTGGAGTAGATCGGCACACTACAGCCTCACCGACATGTTTGGACAGCTGCTGGCTGTACCACCTCAGAATGGGTCCATCGCCACTTTCGCTTCCTTGTAGTGCTCCAAGCCAGTTATGGGGTCAGTCCAAATCCAGATCCCAGGACCTCCTCTTCTTGACGGGAGCTGTGGCAATGTCACAGTGCCAAGGGCTGGGCTGTGTGAAACAGGATGAGAGGAAGTGTTGCAGCCCCTGTTACAAACACATCACATGGGGCCAAATATTCCAGAAGGAAGGAATATTAGCATGCATAGATGCATACTTATACACACACATATACATGTACACATACACATCTGTGTGCACGTGGGGGTGCATTTCCATGTGGACACGGATTCATTTCTTTAGTCCCACTGCATGAAAAAAGTGCGCTGGACCCTTTGCAGGCATTACCTCACATTCCTGAGATAACAGCACTCATCTCTCACTTAGAGATGGAGGAACCAGAGCAGATAACTCAGCATGGCCACGGGGCTGTAAGGGACAGAGCTGGCATCTGGACCACCATCCCTTGTGAACCTGGGCTCTTGCTGTGTCTTTTGTAACACTCATCACCTCAGTAAACCCAGAAGCATAGCAGTTGCCAACTACAGCACTGATTTTCTACCTCCAAATGTTTAAATAAAAGGATGGTAAAAATTTGTTTTTTATTATATTGTTACATAAGACAAATTTTAAGCATATTATATTTCTTGACCCAAAATCCAGGTTGTATAAGTTTACTTAAGGCAAATTAAACCATAAGTGAAAGTCTGCAAGCTCTGTGCTGCTGGCCTCTCCAGCTGAAGCCATTTCTTCCCTCCTGTGGCCCAGCCAGGGACAACTACTCCCAAATACCCCCCACCCCACATCCACCGACCCTCTCCCCCCAACCTTGGCCCGTGATTCCCCGGCTGCTCAAAGTGTGTCCTGCGGGCTAGCAGCACTGTCATCACTGGCACTTGTTAGAAATGCACACTCTCGGCTGCGCACGGCGGCTCACACCTGTAATCCCAGAACTTTGGGAGGCCGAGGCAGGTGGATCACGAGGTCAGGAGATCGAGACCATCCTGGACAACATGGTGAAACCCGGTCTCTACTAAAAATACAAAAATGAGCTGGGCATGTTGGCGCACACCTGTAGTCCCAGATACTCAGGAGGGTGAGGCAGGAGAATCGCTTGAACCCGGGAGGTGGAGGTTTCGGGGAACCGAGATGGCACCACGGCACTCCAGCCTGGTGACAGAGCGAGACTCCATCACAAAAAAACAAAAAAAAAATTAAATAAATAAATAAATAAATGAAAGAAAGAAAAAAAAGAAATGGAGACTCTCAGGTTCCAGCGACCCACTGGACCAGAGCTCGCATGCCTGCAAATCCCCAGGTGTTATGTGAGTGCATTAGAGTTTGAGGAATGGTGCTTGAACAGACATTTCAGTAAGCAAAACTGATTCAGCTGCTGCTTTAATATTATAGACTAAACTCAATTTTTGGTCTTCACATTATTTGTGTATAAACCAATTGTTAAATATCCCCAGGTGAATCTAACATGCAGCAAAACTTGAGAACCACTCTGGACCTGTGCTATTCAAAGTCTATGGATAAGCAGCAATGGCATCAGCCCAGGGCCTCCACCTGGCTCCCCAGCCCAGGCAAGGGGGTTGCCACCTCTCCAGCACCCACCCTGCCCTCTCTTGTGCCATCCTGCCCACACCACACCCAACCTCACACCCACCAGCAAACCACTGACTTTTCTTTTGATTTCATAAATACACCCAGTCTTCCCTTCCCACACCTACCCTGTGATGTGGCCTTGGCACGCCTGTCACTGAGAGCTGGGGTGACCCTCCCTGGCTGAATAGGGGACCCACTGCTGGATGTCAGTGCTTCACCCTGCCCACCTTCACCTGGAGGGTGGAAGAGTTAAGTTCTCATTAAATCCTCAATTGTACCCCATACTTTCTTATTACCAAGGGTGGCCACGAGACAAAGCTTGGGCCAAAGACATCTCCTGGGGGGGTCTCTGTCCACCTTTCTCACTTCTTGCCTTGACCTCAGATGTGATATCGGGGGCAGTAGCAGCCATCTGGGAGCCAGGAGGGAAAGGCCACAAGGACTATAGAGATCCAGCTCCAACCGCACTGAGCTGCTGAGTCAGTAGCTCCTGCTTCCAGATTCCTCCAGGTATGGAAAACTCCATTGTTTAGCTCCTGAGTAACACTCAGCCACATTCAGTCTTCTGTCATTTGTTGCAGTACCATTTCTACGTTGTATACACACACTTGCTAAAAGGGCTCTTTCTTTAAAGGAGATATTACTGTACGAAATAAAGAAAAAAAGAAGTAAGGCAATAAAAAGCTGTATCCAAATTATATCAAAATTAGCTTTGCCACTGATTTCTGCATAAGTCTGGAGAAGTCACTAGATCTACAAGGACCTGAAACTTCCAAATTTTTCCCACTTTTCCTTTCTATCTCTTCAGTGAAAACATTGGAGAGAGATGGAATTGAAGAAAATTCCAAAGACCTATAATTTCCTTACGTAATGACAAATGCATCCATCTAATGAACAAAATTGGTGCTATCAATCTATGTCCCAGATTCTGCATCATGGACTCAAGTATAGCACCACACTCTAGAAGATACTTTTAAAGAACAATATGACACACTAAGAATATATACAGACATTGGAAAATAATTAAGACTATGTGTCTTAGTCTGTTTTGTGTTGCTATAACAGAATACCTGAGACTGGGTAATTTATAAAGGAAAGAGGTTTATTTAGCTCAGTTCTGTAGCTGGGAAGTTCAAGGCCATGGCCCCGGCTTCTGGTAAGGGCTTTTGTGCTGCATCATAACATGGCAGAGACGGTCAAAAGGGAAGTGTAAACGCAGGGAAAGAGACCAAACAGAAGGAGGAACCTTGCTTTATAACAACCTGCTCTGGCTGGAGCGCTAATCCAGTCTCAAGGAAGAAAGAACTCACTACTTCAAGAATAGCACCAAGCCATTCATGGGGATCTGCCCCCATCACCCAAACCCCTCCCACTAGGCCCCACCTCCAAACACTGCCACATTGGGGATCAAATTTCAACATGAGTTTTGGTGGGAACAAATAATTCATACTCAAGCCATAGCACTCTAGAAAATCCATATGTTAAACAAATAGATCTAGATAAATTTCTGGTAAGAAAAGGCTCTACTTTTCATTATTTTGTGACCTAAAGACCTATTGTGTGTAGGGCAAGTAATTGGAGTATTTTGTTTTTTAGTATCTGTGTCAGATCATCGTTTCTAAAGGTGGACACAACACTACTTCCCATCCCACATCTATTCCTGGATATGGCCCTGATACTCCTCTCAGTGAAACGTGGGGTCTCTGCTCCCTCCCCTTGAACCCAGGTGGGCTTGAGACTCACCCTGAACAGAAGGAGTGTGGCGACAGTGACGTGACCTGACCTCTGAGGCTAGGTCAGAAAAGTTCACGCAACCTGTCTTTTACTAGAAAACTCAAACCGGAGCCTTGACCTTCCTTTTACGAAGTTTAATACCTCAAGGCTGCCATGCTGTGAGAAAGGCCAATATCGTTCATGTGGGGAGACCACGTGCAGCACCCCTGAGGTTACAGTTACCTGGCTGACCCCCAGTAGCCCCAGGCCCCCCACTCTTCTGGCTCCAGATACACTCTGACAGCACCTGCCTGAGAGAATGGGGCTGAACACGCCCAGCCGACCCCTCCAAAATTCCCAACCCTCAGCAGCTTTCATGCTATACATTTTGGGGCAATCTGGGCAGCAGTAGGTAGCCAGGACTGCACTTGAATTCGTCTGACCCCATCTGTTGTTTCTCGTGTGGGCACCTGGATCTCAGTAAACACCACTGATGCAGACGGAATTCTGAAGTCACATCCAACTTCCACCTCCTAGGTGCGCGGAGGCCTCTGTGACCTCTGCCCTATCCTGCACCCTCTGCCGAGAAGACCCCTTATTTCTACTCCTCCAGGCTAGTCACTCTTTCGCATTCCGAGTCTTGGCTGCATCTGGACGCAGCATCCCCGCTGGCCTGCCTGTATCGCCACTTGCACTTGCACCGTGTCAAGCAAAGTGAGGCCCTGCACACTAGGCAGGGCCTCTGAATGCCCTTCTTCCATGAGGGACCAAAGCCTTTCATCTCTGTCTCTGGGGTCTGCCACAAGGTCAAGCAAATGGCAAGTACTCAATATGTGGTGAACGAACTACTCTTGAAAACATATCCACTGCTGTGGGGCTTAGAGCCAAGACGGTCAGCCGCAGGCAGGTGCGTGCACACGCGTGCTCAGAGGAGAGGGGCTTCCTCAGGCTGGGACTCCTGGGTGGGAATGCAGAGCACGCTCTTTCAAGGGGCAGGGAGGTGCCCAGGGGAAGTACAGGAAGAGCAAACACTGGCTGAGCACATAATGTGTGCTAGCTCTGGGCATAGGACGTGGGAACATAAAATATGATTAAGAAACAGATTTTCAGTCAAATGAGAGAGAGAGCAAAACAATTTCTAAACTTTTGGGTTTTTTTTCCTAATCAAAACAGTAATCAAGGATCAAGTTGAAAATCAGAAAAGTACATAACATAGGAAATGAAATCCACATGTAACCCCATGCCTGGAGCTACTCGTGGCAGTACTGGCATCTCCTGCAGTCCCTTCCACACATGCACACCTTTCTCTGCATGCGTGTGAGTGCCCACGGCTTGGACTCCTGCTGCGTCACACTGCAACCACAACGTGCACTGCATGCTTGACAAAGACACCCTTCACTCAACTTCTAGGAGGCTCCAGGCTTTCCACTTCCCCCAAATCAGGTATGAATGTGAACGTGTAGCCGAAACATTACATCCAGACCTCTGATTACTTCCAAAGGATAGATATGTGTTTAAATAGGTTTTTTAAATTGCAAAAACAACACATATTTATGAATTCAAATCATACCAATGCATAGAAAATTAAAACCATGGAAGTTCCTATTTCCATTCTACTCTTCATGGCTACATACCATTAACAATGTGGAGAACAGCTTTCAAGAATTATCTGAATAAATATTTAAACTCTCAGAGAATAACATATTCACACAAATGTTCAACATATTTTCCTTTAGCTTTCCATCCTTAGTAGTTTACCATGGACATTGATCCATGTAAATACATACCCAGCACAGCCCTGGCCAATGGACAAGGGATTTAGAATAATTTAATCATTATTTTAAGAACATCATAATAGTTGCATCATATTTAACCATCCCCTTTTGACAGGCATTTAGTTTTTTTCTGACAGTTCATTACTGGAAGCAAGATACACATACTCTGCGTGTATCTTAGAAATGTTTTAGTGGTTCTGTTGTGTGGCCACAGATATAGGGGAAGGACCTCAGTGAACATTTCAGTGAAACTTTCAAGACAAGAGATTCAACCTCCCCAGTGATCCCAAAGGCTGCCTCAGGTGCCTTTACTGAGCAACTGGAATCTCTGAAGCTGGGCAATCATTTTGGAAAGATGTGTCTTCCCTAACTTTCATGTGCATTTTCATCATTACAAGTAAAGATGCACGGCCGGGCGTGGTGACTCACGCCTGTAATCCCAGCACTTTGGGAGGCTGAGGCAGGTGCATCACAAGGTCAGGGGAGACAGAGGTTGCAGTGAGCAGAGATCACACCACTGCACTCCAGCCTGGGTGACAGAGTGAGACTCCATCTCAGAAAAAACAACAACAACAACAAAAACCAAAAAACAAGTAAAAATGCACATATGTTTTTCCATGTATTTCTTTCTTAGTCATTTCCACTTCTTCTCACCTTTTTCTCCATGGCATGAGCTCAGTTTTTAATTAGGTTGTTTGTGTTTTCTTATTTGCTCTGTGAGGATTATTAAGCATTTGTTAATTTGTTGCAAATGTTTGTTTCCAGATTATTATATGCGTTCCAATTTTGTTTACAGTGCCTGTTGTATAGAATGTGTACATATATATATATTTAATCTTTATCAATTTTTTTTCACTTGGGATTACGGTAAGATGTTCAGGCTGAATTTATTCATGCTTCTAGAATATTTATTTATCAATGCTTTTTATATACATTCAGAACTTTTTATGAAATAGGGAGATATAAATTGACTTTACAGTCCAACTACCTACTTCCAAAGTGCTCCATGTTGACTAATTCAGCTCTCCCCGCCAGCTCCCACACATTCATTAGGCTCTTGGGGCTGGCATCTGTTTCAGAGCTCTCTGTCTGACCTACCTGTCTGCATGGCAGATTGAATACATGGTTCATAAATTCTTTCACACACCTCCCTTCAAAAGTGGGGTCTAATTTGCCTCCTTGATTCTGGGCTGGCTTAGAAACTTGCCTATAATCAGCAGAATCTTGTGGCGCTGACCCAGAGTGGCTGTGGAGACGGTTCAGGAGATCGTGCAGTCTTGACCATGTTCACACTCACTTTTGGAGCAGAAGCCTCGGCATATGAAGTCTGGCCCCCTTGACACCATGCTGGGAGGAAACCCAGGGAGAGGTCACGTGTAGGTGCTCCTGGTCCAGGCTTCGAGTGAGCCCAACCTGGGCAAGGACTCCAGCCCCAGCCATGTGAGTCTTCCCAGCTGAGGCCCCAGGAGCCATGGTGCAAAGATAAGCCGTCCCCACTGTGCCCTTTCAAATTCCTGACCCACAGATCCATGAACACTGAGTTTTGGGGGCAGTCTGTTATGCAACAGTAGATCAGAATAGCCTGTTAACTACATACCAGTAACTAGAATCTTACATTTCCAATTAATGTAGTTTTTTTTTATTGTGGCAAAAAACACACACACACACAACATAAAATTTACATAATCGTAACCATTTCTTAGTGTGCTAAGTATATTGACATTGCTGCACAAGGGTTCTCCAGAACTTTTTCATCTCGCACGTATGCAACTCTATACCCTTTAAACAATAACTCCCATCTCCTCTTCCCCAAACCCTCACAACCACCATTGTACTTTGTGCCTCTGAGTTTGAGAACTCTCAGTATGTCAGATAAGTGAAACCATATCGTATGTGCCTTTTTGTCTCTGGCTTATTTCACTAAGCATAGTGTCCTCAGGGTTCATCATGTTGTAGCCTATGACAGAATTTCTTTTCTTTTCAAGGCTGAACTATATTTCACTGTATGTGTTTAGCACATTTTGCTTATCCGCTCATCTGCTGATAGACTCTTGGCTTGCTTCCACGTTTTAGCTATTGTGAATAATGTTACTATCAAAATGGGCATGTGCATATCTCTTCAAGACTCTGCTTTCCATTATTTTGGATATATACCCAGAAGTGGGACTGCTGGATCATATGGCAAATCTATGTTTAGTGTTTCTGAGGAACCTCCACACTATTTTCCATAGCAACTACGTCCTCTCACAGTTCCCCAAGTAGTGCACATGGGTTCCAATTTCCAAACGTCCTTACCAACACTTGTTATTTTCTGTGATTTTTTTGACAGTAGCCATCCTAATGGATTTGAGGTCAATTAACGTAATTTGAACACTTCGTTTTATTATCTGGTAGGACATTTCTTCACTGAAAAAAATTTAGTACTGTAGCCTAAATTTCATGAACTTCTGAATAATTCTGTCAAGCTCAAAAGGCAATATAATATTGGCATTCTGATTGAAATAGCATTATATAGGTCTTACACATTTCTTGACAGTTACTTGTAGATATTTCATCTTCGGTTGTTCTGCTAATGCCACACCAGTGCTGGGATGGGCCCAGGTGCCAAGGACACCTAGAAGCGGGGATGCCAAACTTGGAGGAAGGATGCTGGGAAGAGGTGATGATCAAGCTAAGCCTCTGAACCTCAAAGGAGATTAGCAAGAGGCAAGAGGTAGCCAACTGCAGGTGGGGGAGGTGTGGGACTATGTAATGTGTGTGCGTGCGCGCGTGCACGTGTGGGACCATGGAGTGTGTGTGTGTGCAGGCATTTGTGTGTGCACATGTACCTGTGCATGGCAGGGCAGGAGTAACTCAGTGTTCTGGGCACCTAGAGAAATGGTGATGAGGCTGGAGGGTGAACAGGGACTGACAGGACAGCCTTGCCTTGTATCTTTCCCAAGCAGCCTGTCCAGTGCCAGTAGGGGGCTTCGAGAGGAGCGCCCCAGAGGCGGATCTGCACTTGAGACAGCTCACTCTCCTGGCAGTCCTGGAGGCAAGAGGCACAATGCAGCAGGCAGGGAGAGCTTGCAGGACGGTACTGAGATGATCTGGCAAGAGATGAGTGTGCATATGGGGCCAAGGGTGGAAAAGATGCAAGAGAGAGGCAGGAAATACTTAGATCTAGTGATGAGGAAGAGGAAGAAGCACAGGGGCTAGGGAGTTTCTGGTGTGGATTCCTGGGTTACTGAGTATCATTATCAGAGGAAGGGGCATGGGAAGGGAAGCCTGAGGGGCTGGAGGGAGCAGATAGAGAATGGGTTCACTGAGGCTGCTGCCCCAGAGAACATCCCAGAGATGGCCTTGGGTAAGGGGTAGGGACAGGAAAATATCTAGGGCAGCCAGTTGTGCACATAGGAAAGCTCAGTTGGTAGAGGTGAGTCCTGCCCCTGGGGCCACTCCATTCTGACAAAGAAGGCCTGGCAGGCGGAATCCAAGGAGGGTGAGGGCTCGGGGAGAAGGTCTCAGAGGAGCGGGAAGAACCCATCAGGACGGGGCTCCCAAGTCACTCTCCAGGGCTGGGCCAGGCTCTGGTGGAGACAGAGACCCTCTGATTTGGGTCCCCAAGAAGCAATTTGCATCCTTGTTTTTACTCTAATTAGGCACCAACTTAGTCTTATGGAGAGACTGAAACAGTTGGCAGAGCCCAACTCACCAAATATATATTTCTGTAATATTTAAAGCTCTGAATAGAAATTCGAGGAAGATCAGCATTTCTGGGCAGTGTCTAAGGAGAAAGAACATTTCCATCTTCCGGGAAAAGCCTTATGCTGAGAGCGAGACAAGAACACAGTGCCCACGAGGTCTGACAGTCGACCTGCTGTCCTGCGGAGTTCAATCCGATATTCTCTCTAAATGTCTTGGCCTCTGGCATTACAGGAATGCAGCTTCCCCTCTGCCTGCCTGTGAGTTCTGTGGGAGGCTTCTGTTCTCCCTGACTTTTCTAAGTGCATGACTCCTGGCCTGGCCTAGGAACTGGGCCTCCCCTTGCCCATGGTGCCCCTGACTGGCTGTGGCGCTCTCCTCCCAGGAAACCACTGAAAAGCACAGATGGAGAAATGTCCTCATCACATTGTGTTCTACCTGGGGCTTGCTGGAAGCTGGAGCTGTCTGCATCTGTTTGTCTACGGTGCATGGGGTCTGTCATTGTCCCAAACAGTATTCTAGGTTCCAGCAATGCCAAGAAAACTAAGTACAGTGGGTGAGAAAAAATGCACTTTAGAGACAAATACAAAAGCAAGCAAGCCCTGAAAATTTGGGTCCCTGTGCCCTGGCTCTGCCTCTGGCAGACAGTGAGGCTGGACGGCACGTTGGGGAAGCCCTCTGGGTCTCTTCATTCCACCAAGTGTCAAACAGGCATCTGGGGAGCTCGCCGAGGGAGTCACACAGAATAACAGCCAAAGCTCAGTCTCCACCCCTCCCTCCTAGGGCTCCTCCCTTGCCCTGCCTGGCGCTGCCACTCTGGTCCCTGAGACAGACACCGAAGCAATAAGGCACCAATGGTTGAAGCTGGTGGTCTTCCTGAATCTCCTTCATGACAACATCCAAACAGGCCCTGCCAGCTTTAATCTGACCCTTCGGGTTTGAGCTCCCTTTATTTCCTCACAATTGTTTAGCTCACCTCTATTTCATCCAGACCTGAAGAGCAGAGCCACCCTTTTAGGGCAGCCAGGCGGCCCTGTGGTGAGGCACCAGGCTTACCTGGTTCTACCAAGAGAGGATGCTCAGCCACTGGCAGGGTGGAGTTCTTGTCCAGCCCAGAGCCAAATCCTGAGGTCGGTAATGCTGGAAGCCCACGTCTGTGTCTTAGGTCCAGACAGCACAGAAACACCTGGAGTTTGGAGTATCTATAACCGTGTAGAAGTGCTAGTGACTGAGGTCTATTCTTTGGCCAATGCTGGGCTTTCCATCAGCCCCTCCATCGCACCCCAGCCTCAGTCTCCCCTGAAGGGCAAATATCTCCCAGAGCCATGGCTCTCCCTACTCCACTTCCATGCACTGGCCTGGCCTTCTGCATAATGTACAGGACACACTGGAGCCAGGGGCAGTGGGGTGCTGTATACCCCATCCCCTCAGTAACCTCTGCAGGTATCCAGGGCATTGCAATCACTGGAGGACAAGATGATGGAGAGGCAGGGCAATCACAGATGGGTTACAGCTTGGCTCTCTGATCCAGAGACCATCAGGAAGCCCTTTGTTCCCACTGTCTATGAGTCTGGGTGCTACAGTCCCAGGTGCACCGGGGGCAAGGCTGAAGTAGCAGAACAGACTAGCTGGTAACTGCAGTGCCAGACTCTGGGTGGGACAGATAGGTGACTGAAGACAATCAATGGGATGCAGGAAAGCTTAGGGAGGAGGGAGGTGTCCATGTGGCCCTGCTCTGGTAAAAAAAGAAAAAAAAAACAAAACAGTGTGTTTGAGGACGGGCTATGGCCCAACATCAATGGTGAGACGGTAGGGCCACCTGGTCACCCCAGCACTCACTAAGCAGCCCTGTGCCACTTTGCCCTGTAGGCATGTGAAGAGCAACAGAGAGAACCGTTGCTGAGATTAGGGATGCAAACTCATTTTTGTGTCCCAAGAGTGTGACGCATGTTTTTCCTGGAAAGGTATGTGGCAAATCAGAAACTCGAGGTCTAGCAATAGGCAAGGAAGGAAGCTACAGAATTCTGCACATATTGAGTCAACAGATACATTTCATGTCTATGGTTCTAAAATAGACTGTGATGTCCTCAAATATATCTAGGGCTCCGATTTACAGCTAATACACCTACACCCAGAACATTCAGATTAGCAAGTGTACCAATGAATGTTACACAAGAGGACCCACAGGAGCAGGGCCATGGCAGATGGCAGAAGGACAGAGATGCAGCTGGACAAATGACTCTCCTTGCTCCAGGCTACTTTAGTGGGACAGCTGTGCTGCAGGCTGCAGGGTCCTTACCAAGTCCAGAGCAGTTAGGAGAGGCTTCCAGCAGAGCCTTGATGATCCCATTGTGAACAAAGTGTGTGATACTTAATATCCACAGTTTTTTTTTGTTTTTTTTGTTTGTTTGTTTGTTTTTTTTTTAGTTGGAGTCTTGCTCTGTCACCCAGGCTGGAGTGTAGTGGCGGGATCTCGGCTCACTGCAAGCTCCACTTCCCAGGTTCACGCCATTCTCCTGCCTCAGCCTCCTGAGTAGGTGGGACTACAGGTGCCCGCCACCACGTCCGGCTAATTTTTTGTTATTTTTGGTAGAGATGGGGTTTCACCGTGTTAACCAGGATGGTCCTGAACTCCTGACCTCAAGGGATCTGCCCGCCTTAGCCTCCCAAAGTGCTGGGATTACAGGCGTAAGCCACCGCGCCCGGCCAATATCCACAGCTTTTAAAGATCAGGATAATAATGAAGGGCAGAGAATAAACTTAGAAATAACAAAACAGATTATTCCCCTTGACTCAAAGTTAGCTTTCAACAAAAACCTGTCTTTGTGAGGAAATTTAGTGTATTAAACTATTATTAGAGTACTGAAATGAATGAGCTGTATCTCTGGGTTTAGTATATAAGAAAAAAAACTGTTAAGATACTATGCACATTAGGCTGGGCACAGTGGCTCATGCATGTAATTCCAGCTCTTTGGGAGGCTAAGACGGGCAGATCACTTAAGGTCAGGAGTTCAAGACCAGCCTGGCCAACAGGGTGAAACCACGACTCTACTAAAAATAGAAAAATTAGCCGGGCATGGTGGAGTGCGCCTGTAGTCCCAGCTACTTGGGAGGTTGAGGTGGAAGAATCGCTTGAACCCGGGAGGCGGAGGTTGCAGTAAGCTGAGATTGTGCCACTGCACTCCAGCCTGGGTGATAGAGTGAGACGTCATTTCAAAAAAAAAAAAAAAGATACTATGCACATTAATTAGCTCACAGTTCTCTGTTGTGGAGCCACTTGTCACAAAGGCACTATGGAAACGGTGAGGAATTGGGAGAGAAAAGTAAAGCCAGAATCGTACACAGGCAAGAGATGTCTGAAAGCATTCCAAGACTAGGTTAGGATTGGTGGGACTGCCCTGTGCAGGGTCCTCTCCAAGGTCCTCACAAATACAGGGTTTCCATGGGAGATCTGAGGCAAACGAGTGCCTCTTACAGTCAATCCATGACAGTCAATCATCTATGACTACAAGCCCAGGCCAGCCCCTGTGCTTAGACAGCATGTCAGAAACCACGCACACTACCTATCACATTTCAACTCTTTCAACTGCCCTACTGGTCCTGTGCCATTATCCCATGGGGCACTCGACCCATAAGGACAAGGTTTCTTATAAGGGAGACACATGGGTGATGGGCTGAGGCTGAGATGTCAGACATGAAGGTTGGCTACAGAAACACATAGGCTTTCTTAAATGCACTTTTAGAAACTGCAAATAATTAACAATGGAATTGGTACCAATCTTTTGTAGGATGAGTTGGGCTTCCCTGGGGGCTACCCTAAAGCTAATGCCTCAGGCCACTCCCCAGCATGGCTACTGGGTTTCCACTGGGAAACTGTCCCAGGACTTAATCCCATTAGCATCTTCAGGAATAAACTCCTGCATCTCAGACCCATGCTAGCTGAGGGTCTGTACCACCAACATGTGAGGACCAAGATCATAGGAGGAAGTTAAAAACTGCCTATTGTACTCATGACAGAAGAGTGAGTTTCTGTAACATTTCATTTATTTGCTTTTCTAAGTGGGGGCATGGGGGGTGGTTCCAAGTGTATTTGAGGTAAGATTACTGTATCTCCCTTTCAGAAAGATCTGTAGTTTAAAGTTGAGGCAATGGAATAAAACTTTTGTGGTTCTAATTATCTGAAATGTGTTTGCTTTCTGGTTTTGTTTTGGGCACTGAAGTTTTCTGAAATAGAGGAAAGGTAAGGAAGAAACAGATGGAGGTAACGTGTGAAAGCGGGCGCCTGCCCAGTGAGGCCAAGTGATAGATTACAACTGAACTTGTTGGAGACCTAAGAATTGTTCAAAATAGAAATTTAACCTAAGTGAGCCGTTCTTGAAAGACGCAGTTTGAAATCCACGCAAGTACTCTCTCCTTCAGACTCATTCTCTAAATGCCACCCCAGTATTTAAAAATGAATGTTATTGACAAAAATTCAGTTAACAACTAAAAACCAAGCAAAAAGTTTTTCACACTGAACACGGATTGCAAGGCCCATCTCTCTGAAATAATGCTAACTGAACTCCTAAATTCTTTTTATGCGACTAAACAGGCAAGGTTATCCCCTGGGTTGTGCCTTTGGAAACAGCTTTTATTTTTATTATTTTCTACCTGTGTTTAATGTTTCCTGGTTCTGTTATTTTTGGTTCTAGCAGTTATTTTTGATCCTGAAGCTTATCTGTTGTTGTTCTTTAGAGTTTCTATTTTCCTTTGTTTTTGGTAGTTTAACAGGTCATTTATCAAACAATAGTTTAAGATGATTTACAGTTTGTCATCCAACCATGCTTGCATCTTGAATCATCACATATTATAAATGGAGGGTGGTGGTCTGTTGGTAATCTGTTTTAAAAATGTTTCCATCTTAGAGAATGCATCATGTAAGTTTTATAACATAATATGAATCTAATTTAGTTATGCTAAGGATAAATTTCATAAGCTATTGCTCACATGCCTTTCCTATCCATTCCTGTAAATCTTTAGCCCACATGGCTATGTACACACCCTGGGTACATTCCTGTGCATGTATCCATCCACCCCAAGTGAGTGCAAACACACTGTCCCAGTCCTCACTCTTGCTGATGGCAGGTTGTAGGCTCCAGACTCTGGGTTCTGCTGCTTGCTAGTTGAATGATCTTAGACAAACCACGTCACTTTTCTGAGACCATTTCTTTTCAACCATATTCTTTCCAGGATTTTGAAAACCAAGCGTTAATGTTGTCACAGCTTGTTAAATGAAAAAGACACTGGATTGAGGACACTTCATTGTCTCAATGTTTCTCTGGGTAAATTTGTATTCACATGGCATTCTGAGAAAACAAATGGGACCTTCCAGATTCTGGAGCCTATGTCTGCTCATGGCACTCGGGAAAGGCCCAGGGGGAAAGAGGGAGTAGCCTGGAGACAGGAGACACTCTGCACGCCTGTCTCCCCAGTGCGTCCCTCCCCCACTCCCCGTGCAATCCAATATGCTGCCTGGACATAAGCAAAGCAACCATGAGGGCACTGAATCATAGCTGGTGCCCGGGTTACTTCATCTGCTCTTTGAACACAAGTTTAGGATCTCTCAGGAATCATTCAAAATGGGCATCTTGCACAGAGAATGCTGAGAAACCACATTTGTTCAAACCTCCTGCCGACAACTTCATTATTCTAATTCTGGTGACGTGGTTAGAGACCTGGTCAGCCTATCTCTAATGTTTTGAATACTGCTTTGTAGAGATTTTGACACCATGCCCCTAGTGTAGTGATGCCGGGTCAAGAGCTAAGGCTCCAAAAACTTCTATCAGTGCACTGCCCCAAAATGACCTTATGCAACTTTCCACTGATACAAGAGGCTGTTTTGCTAGTCATTTACCCCTAGTGTTCTGCTGGTGTTGTCAAATTAACACCCCACATACTTCAGTCCTTGTCACCTTTACCCACTCATTCAAAGAATTTTGCTGATAATGTGACATCTGTTCAAACTATGGGCCACAGCGGTACATTTACTCTGAGATGGAGCCTGCATTTTCCAATGTGCATGAGGGTCTGAAAGGCCAATGTGAGGGGCACAGGGTCAAGCTGGAGTCATGAAAAGACAAGGTTTTATTTGGGGATGGGTGACAGGACATAAAACTGCTCACCTACAAGATGGTTATTCATCTTACAAAAGGTTAACTAAGGACACCTTTAAATAGTGCACTTTATAAAGGTATTCAAAAGTCTGACTGACTCCTCTAAGAACATCACTGACAATTTTTAGGAACTGCTTTTATATACAGGAAAGCACAGAGGTGTGCAGAATGGGAGGGGGCTGGTGGAGGGAGGGCCTCCCCTCCCACTGCCTCCAGTGCCTCCCTGCGTGCCATGCCTCTCCAGACAGTAGAAGTCACAGTGAATATCACATCTCAGCAAGCACAGAGCCTTTTCAGAGGGCAGAGCAGGTGTGACCTGGAGGATGACCAAACATTTTCTAATTAGACAATGAAATGTTCAGTACTCTCCATGAACCTCAGAATAGCACCGACTAGTGCCTCAGATAGAAATCTTACATAAGAAAACAACTTTCTATTCTCTGATAATAGTAATAACTCCCTAGAAAATACGATTTAAAATTAATGAGAAAAATAACTCAAGTCTGGTAGAGCACTTTTAATTTATCTCAATGCTAAATGTGGAAGAAATTAATTGCTTATAATTTTTGAACTGAGTTTTAAAGTTTTTATCAAAAAAAATTCTCTTGCCTATCATGGCTCAACCAGAATCGTGTTCACGCCCTTCATGAATTAGAATGAGTCTGTTCCTATTGCTAACATATCTGTCTTCCCAGGATCCGGACTTGTCTTTCCTTCTTCAATATCTCACCCCTGTACGCCTCAAGTAAAGTTGGCAGGTTTTCCTTTTCTACCCTAAAATGGGAATGGAGGGGGCCTTCATTTTTATTTTAATATCACCTATACTCTAATGGGGTTATTAAAAACTGACATTTCTGATAGGTGAACATAAAATGAAATGTCATCAGCTGGAGATACAGAGGGATGTGTTTAGAGGTGAAGTGAGTTTGGAATGGTTTTTTTATTTTTTTGAAGTTTACATCAAAGTGATTTTGTATTTTTACTGAATTGGTTTATTTTATCAGATATTAACAAATTATAATTGTGTATGTTTATGGGGTACAAAATGATGCTGTGATATGCGTATACAATGTGTCATGACTGAATGGAGCTAATTAACCTACTATCCAATACTTAGCATTTTGGAATGAGTTTTGAAATACTTCATCAAACAAGGCTTCCAAAACTCTGTGGCCTCCAAAACTCTACCAAAGGTAACTGCAGGTGGTGACTGGGTGGGGGGTACACAAAGCTTCAGTGCTATTCTCTGTCTGTCACTGTGTACAACTGAAATTTTCCATAATAAAAAAGTTTAAAAATAGGTTTCTCCATCTTTTCTTTCCTTTTTTTTTTTTTTTTTAACAAGGCCCTCTTGATTATGAGGATTCCGTTTTCAGGCAGGAAATGGGGACAGGGTGAGAGAGGGCGCCGATCAGCTACTGTCAGGCTTGCTCCTTGCAAAGGGGCGGGCGGTGGAGAGAGAGGGGAGGGAGGAATTAAGGGGATCGCGCTTCCTCAGGGCCCACAGGCCTCATACCTGTGGTGTGGACCTCCAAAAGAACGGGCCACACCACCGCCAAACACAGAGCACGCAATTCAACTAAAAATTCGACTTCAGTTTCTTCCTGTCCGCGCCAGAACGGACATCAGACTGCCCCCCGCCCGCCTCCTAGCAGCTCCTTTTCACTTCGGCTGCTGCCAGGATTTCGCGACCTAGACCCCTCTTTGAAGACCACTTCCGATCCCCGACGCGGCAGCCCTTGAGGTCGCAGCCTAGCACGGAGAAGTTGGCCGGCTCTGGGGGCTATGAGGCTGCTCACCCCACAGGCGCAGGTCTACGCAGCACACACACCACCTCCTTCTTTGGACTCAGACCAAACACGCTGGGCTGTAGGAGGGAGACGGACAGATACACGGACTCGCGCGCGCACGCCTCACCAACTGATTCCAACCAGAAAACGGAGCCACTGTGTAACGCCCAGCCCCCCTCCCCTCGACACCCCCAATCAGCCAAGCCTTCGGCCGGTGTCTGCTGCACTAAACACCAGGACGTGGCCAGGGAAGGCGCAGGCATCGGTCCGAGCCAGGAGCGCCGCGGCGCCAGCGCATCTGACGTCGCAGGAGGACTGTGCGCACCTGAAGTCTGGGTGCCAAGCGCCCAAGCCTCTGCGTGCAACGAAACCCCCAAAGGAAAACAGGACTACCAGAAGACCCCTTCCTCTCGTCTTTCAGAAACGCCAAGCGGCCCCTCTGGCCGCCTCCTCAAAGCTCGGCTGCCAGAGCCACTCTAGTAGGGTCTTGCAAAAAGCGCATAGGGACAAAGCCCCTTCCCTAAGAAAAGTGCCCAACTCATCCAGTGAGCCATTCCTTCCTCCTCACTGCCCAGAGAGTGCACATGAAGAGGCAGAAATCACGACTAGGAAAAAGCGAGATTCAAATTGGAACCAAAAAAGCGTATGTGCTCGCTCCCATCTCGGCGCCAGGGCTGTGGCTCCCAGGGCTGCAGGCTGTCGCGGCTGCCAGGGGCCAGACAGCTTTTGAAGGCAGGTCTTGTCCTGGCTAGAGGAAAGAGGCTCCAGGAGTCTCTGCTTCCGCCACGGTCGCCCGTCGGGATTCCCCATCCCAAGCGCGCTTGCACCTTGCCTGCCGCTCCGCTCGGAGAATTAGTCTGTTTCCCTTCCTACTCCCAAACAGACCTAGGTCCCCAGCTCCGTGGCCGCCCGGCTCACCAGCCCTGGCTGGTCTCCTTCGGGTCACTCCGAGGGGCAGCCCGAACCCGCAGAGCCTTGGCCCGCCGCGCGCCCTCATGGCCCTGCTGGGCAGCCTGGCTCCGCTACGCTCTCAGTTCTCGGTCTCACCAGCTCCCATCGAATTCGCACAGCAGCCCCTTCGCGTCTCCCGGGGTGGCAAGGCACCAAGGTGCAGCCCAGGCCAGCATCGACCCCTTCCTGGGCATTTTCTCTGCCGGCTCAGCTCCCCCTCCCGCCCTGCGACCCCGTGTCTCCCAAGTCTCGTCGCGGCGACCACCCGGACTTACCGCGGGCGCCACGCCGCCGCCGGGTCTGCGCGCTCCGAGGCGGAGCCAGGACTAGGACACCCGCCAGCGCAGGGCAGCCTCCAGCTCCCGCCGCCAGCTCGCGGCCCCTGCCGCGACCCCGCCCACTGCGGGCCCCTCCGCCCGCCCCCGCGGCCGGGAGGTCTGGACTTACCTCCGGGACAAGGTGACCCGGCAAGTGCGCCCAAGCGGCCGCCCGCGACTCTCCCGAGCGAGCGAGCGTGCGGGGCGGTGCGGCGCCCGCCTCTGCTCCTCCGCTGCCAGGCTCTCTCCTCCTCTGCCCTCCCCTCAGCGCCGCTCTGCTCCCCACGCCTCTCCCCGCCCTGCGCTCTCCGCCTGCGCCCCCGGCTGCCCCGAGCGCCGGGCGCGGGGCAGCGGCGGCAGCCCGAGCGGCGGGGAGTCGGGAGCTGCGGCGCCGGGGCGGAGCCCAACCCTCTCGGCCCCCGGGAGAGGAAGGGGTGCGGGGAGACTCTCGTCGCGCTCGCCTGGCCGGCAGGCTGGGCGAGGGGCGCCCTGGGGCGAGCCGCTCCTCTTCGCTTGCCGAGCCTGCCGACGCGCGTGCTGGAGGCAGCGGGCGCGGGCCCCGGGGGAGGAGGGCAGGGAAGAGAAGGAGGGCGCAGCCCGCGCGAAGGTGGCCACCAACTTTGGCCCAGACCAGGGAGGCCCTAGCGGGGGATCGCGTCCAGATGGTGGCCCGCGGCCAGTGTCTGACAATGTGAGGGCCACAGAGGCTGGGGGCGGGGGATAGCTGCGGGGGACTAGGAGGACAGGAATTTGCTGCCCGACTAGAGGAAGGGATGGCTCCCCTCGGTCCTAAAGGCCTCCCCAGGCTGCGGTTCGGTTTTGAGGTTAAAAATGACCCAATTTATGGATCCGGCGAATGTTCAAGTCCTGACCAGCTAAGCCCTGGAGGAGCAAGCGGGCGCGGAGTTCAGACTCCAGAGACCCCCTCAGCCCTGAGCCAGCCTGTTGTTGGCCCATGGCGGGCCCGCCCCAGTTGGAATTGGAAGGAAACTAGGGCGGTGGTAAGACAGTCTGCGTTCTAGGAGCGGAGGAGGTGGTGTTTGCAGTGTAGATTTCATAGAGAATCAACTCTGAAAAAAAGATTTACCAGAAAGGGGGTCAAAAGTTATTTAGAAAAGCATCTGTGCGCCCCCGTTTCAACACTAGGCAGAGGCCCCAGTCCTGCCACCCGCAGGCTGGTACACTGGTGGTCAGAGAAGGTTAAGCTCCAGAGTTCCATGGCTCCCAACCTTCCTAGAGCCCTCCCTCCTGCCTGGTAACCCACCATTGCGCTGCGTCTTGCCCAGGTGTCCTGGTGGGCAGGGGCAGGAGTTAAAGGTGGTGCCAGGAACAAGAGGTCCTTCCTATATTCCTTTCAGGGGACGTGGCTTCTAGGGAGCCTCCGCAGCCCAAAGAGAATGCTGAAATGCAGAGTGCCAGAAGGAGGCATTTGAAGGAGGCGCGGATGAGTGGAACCAGTACTATCACCTGAATTCCATCCCCGTCTTCATGTCTGCAGCCCCGCGAGACACACCTGATGTTTCTTCCTTTAGGTCCCCAGAGCTGCAAGGCTGTGGTCTGGAACACTCAGAAACGGGCACTGTTCATTTCTCCCATCTAGCAGAACTTCTCAACTTGGAAGAACATGCCACCACACTTTAATAAAGCAGCTTACCTTTCCGGAGTCCTTTCCTGAATAAAGCAGTTTCCCATCTAAGCCATTAGGTTGAGCAGATACTATTAGACCCATTTGAGGTGGAGAGTCATTGATCCCATTTATCAAATGAAGAAATTGAAGTTTAAAAAGGGTAATTGAGATTGTGTAGCCACCCAATGTGCAGGAGTAGCCTGAAGCTCGGGTTCCCTGCCTCTAAGTCACTGCTCTTTCACTTGCCCAGCCTCTGGATTGACTTTTGAGGCAGATTTTGTTTTGACGAGAGAACACCTGCCTGGGCTGCAGCCAGGACTCGCCTTTGTCTCCTGGGTGCTGTTTGAATTTAATCGCGCCACTGCATTCCAGCCTGGGCGACAGAGTGAGACTCCGTCTCAAAAAAAAAAAAAAAAAAGAAAGAAACAGAAGGTGGACTCTTCCCCCATGACACACACACACACACACACACACACACACACACATCTTTCTGTAATTCAAAGGGGCCTTACACTTCATTTCAAAAGAAACTCACAGGGCCAGGACGTGTATGTAAAGAAACAGATGTCACCCACTCCTGGCAGATGCAGCAGCTCATTAAGGGCTCCTGGTGGGAAGCTCAGTTGCCCAGCACACGATGGGCAGTTTCTCTTACCTGTGATTCCCTTGTTGTGGCTTGAAATATTATCTGGTATGCTGTGATATAGCATTGAAATAAAGACTTTCAAGAAAGTCAGTGAGGAGCTGTCACATATTAGGCAATGGGGCACAGTAGAAATTGCCAAGTCTCTTGGAAACTGGGGTAACCTTCTCAACAATGCTTATCTCTCAGAGGATGTTACAGAACTTTCAGAGCTAAGAGAGGTCTGTGGGCCACCTCCTGTGCTGGGAAGAACTGTCACTCAGGCACCGAGCAAGCTGCCACACCTTCCAGCCAACATTTTTTTTTAACTTTCAACTTTTGTTTTAAGTTCAGGGGTACGTGTGCAGGATGTGCAGTTTTGTTACATAGGTAAATGTGTTTTTTGAGACAGAGTGTTGTCCTGTGGCCCAGGCTGCAGTGCACTGGCACAATCATGGTTCACTGCAGCCTCAACTTCCTGGACTCAAGTGATCCTTTCACCTCAGCCTCCTGAGTAGTTGGGACTACAGACACACCACCAAGCCTGGCAAATTTTTGTATTTGTGGAGACATGGATTTTGTCATGTTACCCAGGCTGGTTTCAAACTGCTCAAGTGATCCTCTTGCCTCAGCCTCCCAAAGTGCTGGGATTACAGGTGTGAGCTACCAAGCCCGGCTCCAGCCAACTTTACATGCCTAGAGGTAGGTGATTTGATGAGGGGAAACACAGATTCAGTACTTTTTCAAATGGGAAATATTCCTCTTTATGTCTTGAACTCAAAAGCTTTTGACTGTGGGGTTACAAACAGCCCTGCTATGCACTGTCTGGGGGTCAACAGTGCCCTTCTAGAAAGCATCTCCAGGTTACCCATGTAAAATGCTCGGCCTCAAACATTGCTTGCAATACCAAAGGTAACAAATCACATACGCAATTTTAAAGCTATGCAATTAACCTGGTTTTTCTTTCCCCCCCAAAATCTGTTATTAAAGGGACTTAAGTGGATGACATATAGGAACTGAAAAGCGGCAGTGTCTTGCTAAAGTTGAATCTTGTTGACTTAGAAGTGTAGAAAGACATCCATTCAGATGCTCAATCTAGACATGATAGGAGGGGCTGGAAAGAAAGCATGAATTTCTATCAAAAGTGAATGGAAAGTGATACAAAACCTAGAAAAATGTCTGAGACAATGTTGACATGAAAGTTTAAACAAGAGAAAAGATGCAAGAGAAGGTCAGAAGGCTAGAGTCGGTTGGGACCTTGGCAGTCATCTAGTCCAGCCCTCTGATTCCACAGGTGAGGAAATGGTTACAGCGAGGCTGAGTAGAGGGGTCAAGGGCATGTCCGGGTCTGCTCAGTTCCAACATCAGCAGTCTTGCCCGTGCATTCATTACAGCTCTTTGAAAAGAAATAAGGAAGAGAGAAAGATAATATGTTTTAAGCAACTTCTATAGTGCTGGTTGTATCAGTTATCTATTGCTGCTGAACAAACTACTCTGAAACTCAGTGGCTTAAAATGATAATCACTGATTTGCTCACAATGCTGTGGGTTGATGATTTGGGCTGAGCCATCTGGGATGGATTGCCTCTGCCTCACACTGCTGTCTGGGCTCACTCAGGCATCTGCGGTCAGCTGGCAGCCAAAGACCTTACATTTCTGGGAGTAGACTGGCTGTGGGCCATGTCTGTCCTTTTCCTGTAGGCTGGCTCAGAGTTCTTCACCCAGTGGTGGCTTCAGGGTGCCCGACAGCAATAAGGGAAGGCAAACCTCAATGTGCATGGCTCTTCAGGGTGACGTCACATCATCTCATTGACCAAAGCAGGTCAAATGGCCCAGGCCAGATTCAGGAGTTGGGGAGATATCCTGTACTCTTTGGCTATAAAGTCACATTGGAAATGGGCTTGCAGTGAGTGACAGGAGGAATCTGTGGCCTTTTTTTTCAATTGACCATGTCTAGAAATGAGATAAGTTCTTTATAAATATAACCTCATTGAATCTTAAGGTCCGTGGGGCCAGCCAGAATGATCGCAGGAAGATGAAGAAGCTGAATTTTGAGAACTGAGTGGCTCTCCTGTCTTCACATTACTTGTGAGAAGTGGGGTGGGATCCAAAGTAGCCAACATTAATAGGGGGTGTCTGTCAGGCATCAGCTGAATGCTTCCCTGCTAGGGTAGAATCTCACACCTCAGAGCCAGCCAAGCCTGGGTTGGAGGCAAGTGTCTGCTGCTGTCTCTCACACTCTATCCTGATTAACTGAGCCTGGATTTCCTCACTTCTGAAATGAGCTTATTCTATGTGCTGCCTGGCATTGTAGGAGGCAAGGGCGGGCTCAGAGTGCTGGCAGTGCCTTCCTGAGTGGAGCTGGCTGGTCACTGTTCTTAAAGACAGTTGGCAAGACAAGAGCTGCTGGTGCTTTTTCTGAGACGTTGAGAGAAATGGCAAAGTCTAGATCCTTGGCACCAAGCCGATGCTGGTGTGAAGACCCTCAGAACCTAAGACCATGACTGTGTCTCTCCCTCAGCTGGGGACCTTCTTGTTTCAAGGGGGCAGAGGCTGAGTGTAGCAGACACTGTTGTGTCTGGATCAGATGCCCCAGATATCAGTGGCTGATTCCATCTGGCTGCCCCTAGCTCCTATGGACTTTGCTGCTCAATGGCTCACACCAACAATGTATTGAGTATTGTGCTCAGTCCTTGGACAGCTTTAGTTTCTCTTCTGAGAATATGAAAATGTGGGCTCCTGAAGAACCACCCAGGCCTATCTAGGAGGGTTGGCAATGCAGCATGGTATGGTGGAGAGGATGCCAGCTTCAGAGGCAGGCCGGGTGAGTTTAATCCTTCACATCCGACCTTTACCTGCTTACATTCAACAAGCTCCTCATCTTCTTGAAATGTCAGTTTCTCCATCTAGAAAGTGGGCATACTGGCATTGAGCATGAAAGGCAAGTCCAGGGCACTGAAAACCATGAGCACGCAGGAGAGGAGCTGTGGGCACCGTGGGCACAGTGCACTGCTGTGCTTGTCAGCAGACCTTTCTAAGACCCATCTTTGCCCAATACCCCATGGAAGCCAAAATGGCAGCTTTTGCTACCTATTATCTGGTGTTCTTATGCCCATTCTTTGTTGGAATAGTTTCCCTCAGCCAAGTTCACAATTTCACAAACCTTAATTGGATAAATTGGATAAGATTTGTCACGCTTCAGTAAACCAGAGGTGCTAAAATACCCAGAAAGAATGTGACATTTGGCCTGTGTCTCCCTTCCCAAAACCAGGGCTGGAGAGCTCAGTCAGGACGTTTATTTGGAAAATAATCCCAGGAAAAAGGAGTGAGGGGCCAGTGGGTGGCCAGCAGGGCGGGAGGGGAGCCAGATGGCAGAAGAATCCCTGAGCTGGTCACTACTGCAGGCAGCAGCCACTCTCCAACCCTTTGGAAGGAAGAGTGTGTTTCTCAGAATCACCCAGCCAGGGGATGAAGAGGAGATGCACCTCCATCAGCCTCTGTCCTCCAGGGGCGGAAGAGACATCACCCGCATTGCTGAGTGGTACCTGAATGTGTGAGGCGGGTTCCCTCTAGCACAAGAGAGATGTCAAAATAGGATCCTAGGAAATCTTGCTGTGTCATTTAAAATGTGGAATTCCTGCATTGCCCAAGTCTACATTAGAGATCTAGATTTCAATTCAAGACTTTAGGTGTCCAGTTTATCTTTTTTCTAAATATGAGCCTGTGTTGAGCCTGGGTCATAAGGCTGCTTAGAGCAGATAATCGCACAGGTAGGTTTTGTTTATGCCGTCCAGTTGGGAGAGATCCTAAACCATCACCAGTGAGCAGCCCATTCACACAACGGACAGCCAGAAATCAGGTAAGACAGAACACTAAGTT